>NC_000001.11:145059587-145684587 GCF_000001405.40 Homo sapiens | reverse complement strand
ATATGCTCTTGGTATCAAAATATGACACACACCCTATAAATATGTACAAATGTTATGTATCAATAAAAAATAATAGCTCAGGCCGGGCGCAGTGGCTCACGCCTGTAATCCCAGCACTTTGGGAGGCCGAGGCGGGCAGATCATGAGGTCAGGAGATCGAGACCATCCTGGCTAACACGGTGAAACCCTGTCTCTACTAAAAATACAAAAAATTAGCCGGGTGTGGTGGTGGGCGCCTGTAGTCCCAGCTACTCAGGAGGCTGAGGCAGGAGAATGGTGTGAACCCGGGAGGCGGAGGTTGCAGTGAGCTCAGATTGCGCCACTGCACTCCAGGCTGGGCGATAAAGCAAGACTCCGTCTCAAAAAAAAAAAAAAAAAAAGCCAAAAATGCAAGGATAGTGATGCTGGCAGTTCAGATATGACAAAGAGAAGCTGTAAAGTGGCCGGGCACAGTGGCTCATATCTGTAATCCTAGCGCTTTGAGAGTGCGAGGCGAGTGGATTACCTGAGGTCAGGAGTTCGAGACAAGCCTGGCCAACATGGCGAAACCCCATCTCTACTAAAAATACAAAAATTAGCCAGGCGCGGTGGCAGGCGCCTGTAGTCCCAGCTACTCGAGAGGCTGAGGCAGGAGAATCGCTTGAACCGGGGAGGCAGAGGTTGCTGTGAGCCAAGATTGCGGCCCTGCGTTCCAGCCTAGGTGACAGAGCGAGACTCCATCTGTTAAAAAAAAAAAAAAAAAGGCTGTAAAGTGCTTCTATTAAGTGAAAAGTTCTCGATTTAATAAGGAAAGAAAAAATACTGTATGCTGAGGTTGCTAAGATTAGCTCAGTTATTGTTAATCTCTTACTGTGCCTAATTTATAAGTTAAACTCTATTGTAGGTATGTAAGCACAGGAAAAAACATATAGGGTTCGGTATACTATCTTAAAGTTTCAGGCCTCCACTGGGGGTCTTGGAATGTATCCCCCATGGTTAAGGGGGAACTGCTCTATTAATATCTTTGAAGAATTGACAGCATTTCTATAAGTAGCACCTAAATCTCACCACCTAAATGCATTCGGGTTCTTCCCTCCCTCCTGTGCCTGTCCTTGTTAGCCTACATTGGTGAGATGACTCCACAGCATACGATGGCTAATATAATAGTACAAACTGAAGAGGAGAGAATGGTAAAGATGCTTTCTGATTCTACAAATGCAAAGAAAGGGCGTATGACACAATAATGCAGTGTGGGCATGTTTTAGCGCTTTCTGGTTCAAGGGGCCAAGGCCACCCAAGATTCCATCTTTGCATTTAGCTGACCTCAGAAATTCTATTCAAATCAACAAATACCCACTGAGTAAAGGCTGTGTCAAGTTCAGTGCCAGGACCTATAACTGTGATTTTAGATCAGAAGCCAAAGGCCGAGTTAGCTCTAAAATCGGAAGTTTGTTTCACATTATTGGGAGAAAAGTCTTTACCATTGGATTTCGAGTTTTTCTTTGCAATGGAGTGTTCTGTGAAAGGGTGGTGTATGCAAAGCAGTCCCTCAAAGGCCAAAGGAGCTGAGAAACCAAAGGACAAGGCAGGCAAATCCAGTTTGTTGGTACATTGGAATTTATCAGGGGAACTTACGAACAGAAGCATGGTCTTGGACAGCCACAAAACATGTAGATCTCTGTGTTACTCCCCAGACCCAAGGCTGATATACCATAGGGAAAGGGTATATGTGCTCCAGCAAGACAATCGAAGGCAGCCCTCCGCAATAGCCAAGAATGCTATAGTGCATCATAGCCTATAATTTGCGTGATAACATTAAGGTTGACATGTTCTTAGACTAGGGACAGTAAATGAAGTAGAAATCGGGAGGCAATCACAGGACTGGGGCTAATCAGAAGTCAACATCACAGATTACCATCCAAGAGGGAGTCACTTGTGTCTCCACATGGAGTTTACCCCTACTCTCTTCCAGGTAAAAAGGGGGTGTACATGACTGATATTACACCTCAAGGTGTGGCTATGAGAGCTGGAGTTCTGGCTGATGATCACTTGATTGAAGTGAATGGAGAGAATGTAGAGGATGCCAGCCATGAGGAAGTGGTTGAAAAGGTATGCCCCAAAGGGTACTTTTCTTACCCTATCTTCCACTCTATTCTCATTGGAGGTGACAGGAAGACAGGGGTGGTAGGGGACAGCATGAGTTTATGATGGAAAAAATATCCAGTTGAGTTGCCCCTTCATATTAAGGGTGAACAGACTCACACTAGTGGTATAAGCAGTGTTAATATAGGGTTTTGGAATAAAGCCTTCCCTAGTTTCACATGAGGTCTACAAAATTATTAACTTTACCTTTTGGATCTTGTTTGTATCTGATTGGGAGCCCCCTCTGAACTGTTTGATTGAGACAGGGTCTCACTCTGTTACCCAGGCTGGAGTGTAGTGGCACAATCTCGGCTCATTGCAGTCTCGGCCTCCTGGGCTCAGATGATTCTTCTACCTCAGCTTCCTGAGTAGCTGGGACTACAGGTGTGCACCACCGCACCTGGCTAATTTTTATGTGTGTGTGTGTGTGTGTGTGTGTGTGTGTGTGTGTGTGTGTTTTGTAGAGATAGGGTCTCACTATGTTGGCCAGGCTGGTCTTGAACTCCTGAGCTCAAGTGATCTGCCCGCCTTGGCCTCCCAAAGTGCTGGGATTATGGGCGTGTGCCACTGCGCCCTCTGAATTTACAATAAGTTCACTGTTGAGCCGTTAATACTGAAATGCTTTAATAGGAAGTGGGAGATAACCGAGATTTTCCTTTGAGGTCATATGGAACCTTAAAAATTGACCAACCTTCTCTTTGTAGAATGATTTTTTGACGTGGACCCTTACTTTCTTTTCTTTTCCAAACTCCCTTTCTAGCTTTTATCTAGGTACCTTTATGGGTTTTCTGAATTCCAGCTCCTACTTGGGCTCAGTTAGCACCTATGTGGGTAGGTCATACTTAAATAAGGGAAAACAACTATAGAAGTGGAGATAGGGGCCGGGCGCGGTGGCTCACGCCTGTAATCCCAGCACTTTGGGAGGCCGAGGCGGGTGGATCACGAGGTCAGGAGATCGAGACCATCCTGGCTAACAAGGTGAAACACCGTCTCCACTAAAAATAAAAAAAAAAAAATTTAGCCAGGTGCGGTGGCGGGCACCTGTAGTCCCAGGTACTCGGGAGGCTGAGGCAGGAGAATGGCGTGAACCCGGGAGGCAGAGCTTGCAGTGAGCTGAGATAGTGCCACTGCACTCCAGCCTGGGCGAAAGAGTGACACTCCATCTCAAAAAAAAAAAAAAAGGCGATAAATACATATCAGTTAGCTGGTAGGGCATAGTGTAACAGCTTAAACTCAGGCCTTTCATCCCCTATCTTTTGTTGAACCTAGAGACTGTGTGCCTTTATACAGAAACTTTCTTATTCCCCAGCATTGTTCTTGGGGGTTGATGTCATTCCTCATCTGTGTGTGTTGTTACAGGTGAAGAAGTCAGGAAGCCGTGTCATGTTCCTGCTGGTGGACAAAGAAACTGACAAGCGTCATGTTGAGCAGAAGATACAATTCAAAAGAGAAACAGCCAGTTTGAAACTGTTACCCCACCAGCCCCGAATTGTGGAGATGAAGAAAGGAAGCAATGGCTATGGTTTCTATCTGAGGGCAGGCTCAGAACAGAAAGGTAAGGTACAAGAGCAGGAAACTTGGCAGTAACCAGCAAATTCCTCATCCCATTCTGACTCCAGAGTTCCATTAGGTTCCCAACTCCCAGCCAGATGCATGAGCGGCATAGCATAGAAGGCACAGCTGGGTCAGCGTCTATGTCACATGAGGGTCTGATGTTGGGCATCAAAAGTTTCCATAGCATTATGATAAGGCAGAATTTGGGATCTGGGCAACGGTATCCTGGTAAGTTAGCTCTCTGGGGCGGGGGTGGGGGGAAATCCAAATTGGTAGCGTTTGTTTTTGGTACCAAATTGGTAGTATTTTGTGATGTAAATACTCCTCCCATGTCCAGTTTCAACTTACTAACACGATGTCACTGAACACAATGAAGTGTTGCACAGAATTGGCTTTTGTGAGCCGGTGTGAGCCAGTATAGCACACCGCTGGACCTGAGGCCGAGGTGTGGGTGAGGATTTGGGACTCAGAACCAGGAGTCCTCCTTCCTTGCAACTCAATAGGAAGAACACTAGGTTCTTTCAGGGAAGGTAAATACATAAAAGAACATGAGTTCGGGCCGTATAAACTGCTATTCGCCCATAAGTTGTTATTTTCTTTTCACTCTCTGTTTACATTAATTTATCAAATATTAATTTGGTTTGTGTTTTGTAAAAACATCCTCAGTGCCTTGGAGAAAGAATATCATATGAAGCAGACAGGAATTCTTTAGTGAAGGAGTCTACCATTTAGTAGATAAGAGATATGTCCATAATGAAGGGAGATAGAGGTTAAGTACCTTCATACAGGGGCAGATCAAGCACTGTGATAATTCAACGTTAGAGTAAGCTTTTCTCACTAAAAAGGTACCAGAAGCCCTCATAGTAGGGGTGGCACTTGAGTTCAGGCTTTGTAACATGAATAGATTTGGGAAAGTAGACAGAGCTGGGATAAGGAAGATCATTCCAGGAAGGTGGGAATCATGTGAACACAGTCAGGAGACACTGGCACAGTTTAATTGGCACATGATGTGTAGTACAAGAATTCGTTGGAAAGGTAGGTTGGAGAGAGGTGACAAGGGGACTTCTATGCAAGACTGATGAGTTTGAACTTGGCTTATCAGACAATGGGGAGTTGTTTTTTGAGCAGTATAAGGGAGAAGAACAAAAACCAGCCTATAATGTCTTGGGGGCTTTGCACATCTCAATTACTCCTAACAATTATGCAAGAAGAACTGCTGAAATTGAGGGCTTGGAGAAGATACAGTAATTATGTAAGGTCAAATAGTTGTTTAGTTCCAAAGCCCATGCTCATTCTGTTGCACCAGGAAGTGACTTGGTTAGGAATGTGCACCAAGATGGATCTGAAGGCAGATCTGTATCAGACAGAAGGACTGGGGAAGGGAAAGCAGTAGGTAAGGTGCTGTAATAGTTTAGGTAGAATTCTAGGCAGGAACTAATACAAACTGCATTCAGGGTAGAGGAAGTGGGATGTGTAAGGTATTATGGTAGCATCAGAGGACTTAGCAATCGTCTAGATATGGGGACTGGATGCTGGGGAAGAATCAGTTGCCAAGTGTTGGTGACTGGGATGATGTTGCTCCACTAACAGGTAACCAAGAGGAGGGGCTTTGGGATGGAGAATGGGCAGAGCTGATTTTTGGCTTGAATACATTACAGTTGAGAGATCTATGAGATATTTTGTTGGAGATACCCAGCAGCTAGCTGGAAAAGTGAAACAGGAACTTGTTAAAAAAAAAAAAAAAGGCAGCATCTGGTGAAGATACCAGAAGGCCAAAGCACATGGAGGCATGTATATACAAATATATTCAAAACCGAACACACCCAATTGCTACTAAAATGCCAGCCTGGGTTTCTTAAGGTCCAAAGTTTTGGGTTTTGTTCTTTATTCTTCCCCATCTTTTATGACAGCTTTTACATAAGACGCGTGGCTACAAGTATGCCCACTGACTTTCTGGGAACTTGCAGCCTTTTAATATGCTATTTTGCCAAAATCAAATGTCAGACGCTTTTAGTAACAGGATTATTTTCGTTAAGACCCCTTCATTGTTAATTGCTGGGTTAGTTTCTGGGGTGAGTTCTGAGCAGGAAACGAGCCTAGATAGTGTGCTTATAAGCTTCCTGGGATGCTGGTGGAAGGGGTGGTAGTTGTACTCAGCATGCCTTTTTTATCTGTTTCATCAGGGCTTTGGGCTCCAGCAGAAAATCTGTTTTATTTTTTTAGGGGACTTACTGATAATTTTATTTTTTGGGGTTGGGGGAGGGTAGGTCAAATCATCAAGGACATAGATTCTGGAAGTCCAGCAGAGGAGGCTGGCTTGAAGAACAATGATCTGGTAGTTGCTGTCAACGGCGAGTCTGTGGAAACCCTGGATCATGACAGTGTGGTAGAAATGATTAGAAAGGGTGGAGATCAGACTTCACTGTTGGTGGTAGACAAAGAGACGGACAACATGTACAGACTGGTAAGTAATACAAGGCCATATATTCATGCATTAAGGCTGGGCCCATTCACTCATGACCTCAACTTTTGCACTGAGTTAGGACTTTGTTCCTCAAACTGGAAGAGGCATAACAATCATCATTAAGGCTAAACTGAAGCTCAACTCAAATTGGTAGTGATAAGAGAATGCCAAATGATTGATAAATGAGTTTTAAGTCCTTGGTCTTAAGATTTTGAAAGAATTTGTGAATATAACTGCAGGCTTACTCTTGGTGATCTGAGAAAATCTATGGAGAATATAAGCCTGGAAATAAAATTGTTCCCAAAATAGGAAACAATTAGATTTTAAGCTTTAGGTCAGTTAAGTGCTATCAACTGCACATAAAAGCCTAGAAAGGATTATTAAACAACTTGTAAGCCCTTAGCAAATAAAAAAGAAACACAGATAGACCAAGACCAACCTGAATCAAACTAACTTTATTTTCTCTTAACAGCTCTTTATCATAACACCCACTACTGCATGTTTTAAGGTTTTTTTTTTTTTTTTTTTTTTTTTTTTTACTTTTAACACAAGAACTGAGGTTGTCTAGTTTAACAGATAACCTGGGGGGCCTTCTAAGTACCATCTGTCTTGCTAAGTGTTGATTGTAAAGATGAACAAGATAAATGTCCTCTGTGATATACAATGATAGTAGAATCTAAAATAAGCGGTACAGAGGGGGGAATATGATGGGTGGTGATATCTTAGGCCCTCCTCATAGATTAGGAAACCGAAGCTTAGAGAGACTAAGCACTTTGCTAAAGTCACGCAGCTTAGTAAAGACTGAAGGTGGTATCTGAACCCAAATTCTTGGACCCGTAATTCATTATACCATACTCCCCAGCACATTTTTTCAAGATAATCTTGTAAGCAGGATTAAACAATTAATTAGATTAATGGCTTTTTTTTTTTAGCTACTTGAACAATCATACCTAGAAAATACTTGATATCAACCTGAATATCAACTTGAATAGAAGTCTCTAATGGCATGCTACTTGTTCCTAACCGTTTATGTGCTTAAAGTTGAAAGGAGATATGGAAAATATATTAACATACTTAAAGTGGCACTAGATAATTCATTTGCTGGATGGTGTAATTAATACTCAAAATATTTAGTTAGGATAGAAAGAATGAAAACTAAAGAAATAAGAATAAATTTCAGATGTACTATACTAACCTAAAAGTAAATTGTATGAATACCACATGGTGAGACCTGATTTGAGGACTACAGAAAAAGACCAGAAACTTCATAGTCCAAGTGGTTGCCCCATCCAAATATGGTAATTTAAAAATTAACTGACAGACACTTGGCTTCTAGAGATGACCATCTTACTGTACTTACTTGGTCAGACCATACTTGGAATACCTGGTAATATAGTTACCACCTCTCTCTGTGCTTCAGTTTCCTTAGTTGTAAGAGAGGGGTAGTAGCTACAGCGAAGGGTGGCTATGAGGGTTGAATTGGAATATTCAGAGCATGTAGAATAATGCCTCACACATCTAAATGTTCTATTTGTTCAATCAATATTGTGTCCGGTTTCAAGAACTTCACTTTAAGAAGGCAATGACAAGGGTAACCAGGGAAGAGGTTTTGGAAGCCACCATGTGAGTATTTAGCTTGAGTAAGGCTTTGGAGAAGAGAGCATCTTCAAGAATTTGAAAGGCTATTACATGTAAGAAGGAGCACACTTTTTTTTTTTTTTTTTGAGACGTTGTCTTGCTCTGTCACCAGGCTGGAGTGCAGTGGTGCCATCTCAGCTCACTGCAATCTCCACCTCCCGGGTTCAAGCGATTCCCCTGCCTCAGCCTCCTGAGTAGCTGGAATTACAGGTGCGCACCACCATGCCCAGCTAATTTTTTGTATTTTAGTAGTTTTACCATGTTGGCCAGGATGGTCTCGATCTCCTGACCTTGTGATCCGCCCGCCTCGGCCTCCCAAAGTGCTGGGATTACAGGTATAAGCCAACACGCCCGGGCCACACATTTTTTTTAAGGTGTCCTATGGGGCACAACAGGACCAGAGAAGCCATAGGGAGCTAGCTTTTGGCTTAAGAACCAACTGAAGCTGCCAGAAATGATGAGTCATTTTGCAGTTGGTGGAAAGTCAAGCAGAAATCAGAGGCGGCTGCTGCAGCTGTTTGTTGTAAAGGGGATTCTGACCCCTCCTGATCTTATCATAGAATGATTTAATTGTAATTTTTCTGTTTTGGTTAATAGAGAACTTTGATCGAAAAAGAAGCCTGCCCTCATCATCTCCTTCCCCGCTCTCCAAAGTAAGCCCTGTAGGTTGGGGTGGAGGGTAGATCTTTGAGATACATCAGTGAGTAAAACACAACCCTCTAGCAGTCCCTGGCACATACTAGACACCCAATTATCTGAATGAAGCATGAATAAAATCTCATTTTTTTTTTTTGAGACAGAGTCTCCCGCTGTTGTCCAAGCTGGAGTGCAATGGTATGTTCTCAGCTCACTGGAACCTCTGCCTCCCAGGTTCAAGTGAGTCTCCTGCCTCAGTCTCTCAAGTAGCTGGGACTACAGGTGTGTGCTACCACACCTGGCTAATTTTTATATTTTTAGTAGAGAATGAGGTTTCACCATTTTGGCCAGGCTGGTCTCGAACTCCTGACCTCAAGTGATCCGCCCACCTTGTACTCCCAAAGTGCTGGGATTTCAGGCATGAGCCACCAAGCCCGGCCAAAATCTCAAGTGTTTTAATGTTATTGCACTTTGCCTCGAGATGAGCTGCGACTGTCAGATACAGTTGATTTGCTTGTTTGGGTAGTGTTATCAGACGTATTTTTGCATGTAATGAGTCACCTGATAATTTTCCATATTTTAAAGAGAAAGGCTCCATTGTGGAACTGTTGCAAGTATATGACTGAAAGGTCTGAAGTTAGTTGAACTGGGTAACTAGGAGGTTCTGTGCTGGTGGTATTCTCACTTAGAAAGGAAGGAGATGTGGTCTTGTGGTTAGTAAGACACATGATAACCAGAGGACTAAAAATCTAATTTTAGTCAGGCTGCTAAACAGTGCGATTTGAAGTAGAGCCCACACTGTGCTCACCTTCCATTGCTTGATTTCCTACTCATCACCTAACAAATGTTCCGGACACGTGTGGGCAGCCATTTAGCTGCTGATCCAGGATCACACCATACCCAGGTCCACCCTTCTAATTGTCTCAACTAAAACAGCCAGTTAGGCTTGTAATTCTATTACAAAAAAATCAATCCTGTTTCCTGTTCTATGCCTCTTCGGTATTCAAGATCATCATTTCTTTACATGGATGGTCTGGGAGTTGATATGAATTAGGAGTATTTAAAGATGTTGGAGAGTTTGGCATAATAGAAGTGACAGCTAATGCTTACAACAATACATAGCAAAATAAATAAGCACAGATCCCAGGTCTGGAAGGGGAGGGTATTGGCAAGCAGCAAAGGGTTGGAATTAACTTTTGTTACAATATGTGACCATATAACAGCTGTCACCCTCTCACCAATTATTCCTGTGTATATGGGTTGGTCTCTTCTAGTAGCTTTGAATCTTTGGATAGTGATAAAAATAGTGTTATATTAACATTCTCCAGAGAGACAGATCTAGTAGGATATAGATACAGGTATGAGAGGAGATTAATTAGGGGAATTGGCTTGTATGATTATGGAGGCTGAGAAGCCCCACGACAGGCTGTCTTCAAGCTTGAGACCCTGGGATGCCAGTAGTGTGGCTCCGTCCAAATCTGACTGAGCCACATTACTGGCATCACCCCTGATTGGCAGTCCTACTTGTTTGCTTCTGTGCATTTGGCCTGAGAATCTGGGGGGCTGCGGCTGTAGATCTTAGAGTCCAAAGGCCGGAGAACCAGGAATTCTGATGTCCAAGCACAGGAGAGGAAGAGGGTATCCCAGCTCTAGCAGACAGACTGACACCTTTGCCTTTTCTGTAGTTCACTCAGACTCGCATGCTAATCCCCTCTGGAACCACCTTCACAGACACACACCAAAATAATGCTTTGCCGGGCTTCTAGGTATTCCTTAATCCAGTCAAGTTGGCATCTAAAATTAACTATCACAAGTGTCTTGTGTTTTACTTTTTCTAATGTGTTTAAGGAGCTCTGAAGACCATCTTACCGAAAGGAAAAGCCAGAAGAATGTACTCTGCATGAGGTACCGGCTAGTCGGTCAGATATGTCATTTCCCAACAGGGAGATTATGTATAGCTTGTTCAGTGACTTGCTCACTATCATGAACTCACTCAAAAGAAACTAGCAATTTTTTAGACTTCTTTTGGGATCCTTGTACCGCATCCTATACTGCTTTTATGTTCATGTGTGCATTTGTGTACATGTATACACATATTACTCCATAACGAAGCACAGTCTTCTTTTATACCTTTCCTGGTTGGGGTAGTAGAGGAATTTTACAGCCTACAATCAGACACATCCAGAAGAAGAGTGGAATATGTATGATACCTTAAAAATCAGCACATTTAACAAAGTATAACTTACTCATGGTTACAACTAAGTTAATGTTTTTTCCCTTTATTTTTCAAAAGGCTCATTTTTCTCCATTTCTCTACTATCAAAGTCAAGAACTGCCCAATGGCTCTGTCAAGGAGGCTCCAGCTCCTACTCCCACTTCTCTGGAAGTCTCAAGTCCACCAGATACTACAGAGGAAGTAGATCATAAGCCTAAACTCTGCAGGCTGGCTAAAGGTGAAAATGGCTATGGCTTTCACTTAAATGCGATTCGGGGTCTGCCAGGCTCATTCATCAAAGAGGTATGGTAATCTGGTTCCAGCAGCCCAACAAACACAGCCACAATTAGGATAGTCTCAGCTTTTCCCACCCATTGATGGCTTAGTAGAGAGGTTCCATTGAAGGCACACACTGAGGGGTCTCACTTGGGTTCAGATAAATGTTGTCATGGTCCCACACCCTTTAGGTTAGCTACCAGTACATCATAAGCTCACGTTTGTTTGTTTCCCAAACATCTGTTCCAAACAGTGTGAGTTGACTGAACTCTAGTTGACAGTCACTATCAACCCTGATTGGCAGTCATATTTGTTTGCTTCTGTGCATTTGGCATAATGCCCCTTACCCTGTAGGGACTGATAAGAATCCCTAAAGCTTTCAAGTTGGGAGTGAAGAAGGGGGACCTATTTATCCCCCTTCATCCCAGAAGACATATGATGCTGAACCACTATTTATAATACCACTAATCATGTGAATATGGAAGTTATAGCCTTCATAAATATAAAAGCATTAGAACACCTTTCTCAACTTCTATACCTCAAGGAGAAATAATAACATGATTAAAAATAAATTCTTGAGCTCCTCATCTATTCTCTTAAGGAGAGCTAGTCTGATGTCCCCTTCTCTGTTTGAAATTGATAACTCAGAACTTCTGTTCACAGGTACAGAAGGGCGGTCCTGCTGACTTGGCTGGGCTAGAGGATGAGGATGTCATCATTGAAGTGAATGGGGTGAATGTGCTAGATGAACCCTATGAGAAGGTGGTGGATAGAATCCAGAGCAGTGGGAAGAATGTCACACTTCTAGTCTGTGGAAAGAAGGCCTATGATTATTTCCAAGCTAAGAAAATCCCTATTGTTTCCTCCCTGGCTGATCCACTTGACACCCCTCCAGATTCTAAAGAAGGAATAGTGGTGGAGTCAAACCATGACTCGCACATGGCAAAAGAACGGGTGAGTGGGGGCCTATTTCTTTTCGTGATCTAATTTACTAGAGTATGGGTACAGTCCCTATGAGTATATTTAATGTCTATGTTTGCCACAGATTTTTTTAAAACTAGAAAATGAAAATGTAAAGATAACTAACAAATCAAGTTATTGTAGAGGACAGGAGGCAGTATAAGAACAACAAATTTCTTACTTTCATAGCATGCAGCTGACAGCAACTGTCTAGAGCTAATAAATCAAGAAGTAAAAAGTTTATCAGTATTGTAATGGGAACCCCCAAAAGAGCCTGAATCGGATGATCTAGATATGAATTCTGGTTCTGTCATTTGTCAGCTGTGGGGAAATGGATTTATTTGTTCTGTTCCTCAGTTTTCCCACCCATAAAACAGGAATAATTTGTAGGATTGTTATCAGGATCATGTTAACTAAGATTAACTATATTAAAGTGCTTTGAATAGTGGCTGGCTCATAGTGAGCATGTAAGTGGTGACGGTTAAAGACAATATTGTTTAAAACAACTGACAGGTAATCCAGTTTTATTACTAGGAAAGATTAAGCATTCTCTATATTATTCTCTATATATTTGGATTAAATTTCTTGGTAAGTCTCAGTTTTATATTTTTGCCCAATTTTTCATAGATGAACTTGAGGTCGAAAAGTAAACTGACTTATCCAAGTTCATAAAGGAAATTTATAGCAAAGCCGAGACTCTAAAAAAGTTTAATTCAATGTTGTTCTTCTTTCCATTATATTAATTCTGCTAATGGGTGGAATATTCATTTTAATAAACTCAGTTTAATGAACACACACAATGCCCACTGATTTGTATTCAGGAATGCTTAATAAATACTATTAGTTGTATTAGTTGTCATTTAAAAATTCTGTAATTTCTCTTTAGGAAGTCAATATCCTAGTCTTATAAAAAAGAAATATACACAGACATTAAGGAATTTGTTAATGTGTCAAACAGCAAGTTGAAAACAATCAAGTGTAGAATTCAGGTCACCTGACTTCTAGTCATACCCAGATCATCTGATTCAGGCTCTTCTGGGGGTTCCCATTACAATACTGATAAACTTTTTACTTGATTTATCAGCTCTACACAATTGCTGTCAACTGCATGCTGTGAAAGAAAGAAATTCTAGTGAGTGACTCTACTCCCCGACTTAAGTCATGCAACTCTAGAATAGATCATCCCTCTTTCATTACTCTACCATTTGTAAATTCTTTGTTTTCTTATACACAGGCCCACAGTACAGCCTCACATTCTTCTTCCAATTCTGAAGATACAGAGATGTGATGAAAACAAGTAATAGCTTTGGCTGTTTATTTGATAGCTGTTTCTGGGTATTTAATAGGAATCCTTTCTCAAGGAATGAGTTGTGACCTGTTTACTGTCTCTTTAGAAGAAAAACTCCACTGGAAACCATTCACCATGTGTGATTGTCTTCTGTTATCATTTGTCTTACAGGCGGCTATTGCAGACGGCTAATTTATGCTTAACTTAGGAAGAGATAAGGCAAGAGCTAGATTTTTTTCATGTGATCTTTTCCAAGCTTCAACTTAACTTAACTACATTTCTCTGTATGATGATGTCTCTTACTTCTACAGGTTCCTTGAGCACCAAAGATGATTCATAACTCTGTATAGGTGACAGCTGCTTATAAAAGCATCTTAGCAGATAAGCCTATTAAAATTGTGCTTTTGTAACAATGTTGTGGTTGCTAGAATAAATACCATTAACAAATGCCTTTTGAGTATGCTTGATAGTGCTTTTGTTTTGGATTCACTTTTTATGCTTTAACCTTCATTTGCCTCTAGAAACCCAAAACACAATAAAGTACAGAATAAGACCTTAGTAATAAAATTCAGAATTTTCTTAAATTGCATGTCTGAGTGTTCTAAAAATTTTTCAACATTTCCCTTTCACAAGTGACTTATTCCCCCAGTTAAGTTATTCACGGTTTCACCCCACAGCGTGAGGGGCAGATAGAAAAAAAAAAAAGGAAACATCACTACCGAATTGAAAGTAGGGTATAATACTAAGTTCACAGGAAATCAAGAAAAAATGACATACCTGAAATCTCTCTTTTGGTAAAATCTATTTCAGGTGCATACCACCCCTTTCCCGGAAAAGAACAGATAACCTCTTTCTTGGTTATTTTAATGGGGCAGGATCAGATGAGGAGGTGTGGGATGCTAACTGATGTTAGATCACACAAGCATAATAAATACCAAGCTATGCTTGATAAAATGAACGTAAGGCAAAAGTGTTACAGTCTCTGATTTTAATGAGTCAATCTCAAGGCAAAGCTATAACCTTTTCCATGTGAACCTTAAAACGGAAATCCTACGTGTTTGGCTCAGCTACCATAGACATGTCTTGCCCCAGAGTTCCAGTGTATTTTTCACCTTTAGTTTCTTGGCTCCTCTCCGCCTCTACACCAGCCTCATATCCACACGGGATGCTCTCTGCTGAGTATTGTCTTGAGTTAGTTCTCCCTCTCATGTTCTGGCTGATGCTACTCATGGTCATAGTATCACCTGACGGGGAAGGAGTATGCTATGAAGGTGAAAAATGCTACCATAGCATTTTGTTTGTTTATAAAATGTCAGGCCCTGGTTCCATTTTTCCCCCCTCTTATATCTAAATTTTGAAACCACTGGCCTCTAACAGTCTGTAGTAGGCTTAAGTTCAAGGTGCCATTTGCTTCTCTGGTGCCTGTTTGTGAGCCAAATAGAGGAAGAGTATGCTAGAGAGAGCGCTGACCAGGAAGATCACATCAAACCAACGGTGATAGAAGTTGAACTGCAGTTCTCCAAGGACTTCAGTGATTATGGTGCGGTATTCTAAAGGCATACTCATTCGGATCAGCAGCACAGAGGAGACAAAGTACATGCCCTGTAAGTCAAATGAATTAATCCAGAAGTGACTCTGAATGTAGTGAGGAACAGGACAAAGGAAATTATTAAAATTCTTAAAAGTATCAAGCACATTTCTGATATTTTACAGCTGTAAACATAAAGGTAACTAATTAAACTTACCATTATCTGTGCTAATAGCAGGACAATGACATTGGAGGACTTACTGCTAGAGATGGCATAAAAGAACTGTCAAGAAAGAGGGAGATGAATTTATGCAGTAGTGTTAGATTCCTGTGTCACGAACAGTAAGAAATATGGTTAACATTTGATTAAAAGTGTCTCTTCCATGCCACAATCCTGTATAGAACAATTCATATGATTAAGACTATAAAGAAGAGACTTAAAATAGACTGCTGAAAAAGTTATACTTTCCCCCTGGGGGTAATTTAATTACATAACATATGAAAGGATTCCTATTGCTATCAAACTTCAGAAACTATGTGATACATATGACTTAACATCACTATAAAACATTAAGTCAGATCACTCCAGCCCACTCCAAGCGGTTGTAATTGTTAGTAGGCTCCCACGCTCTTTCTAAAACTGTGCTAGATGCCTGCAGATCCCTTCCTGTCCCAGCCACTTCTCTTTCATTCAAAAGCTCCTGGATTTTTAAATCCCTACCTTTCCTACCAGAGAGGACTCACTTTCCACCTCCGTGAAGTCTTCCTACGTTGATTAGAAAATAGATGAATTCAGGCTTTGGTATCAGGATGATGCTGGCCTCATAAAATGAGTTAGGGTATCATCCTGATACCAAAACCTGGCAGAGACACAACAAAAAAAGAGAATTTTAGACCCTGATGAACATCGATGCAAAAATCCTCAATAAAATACTGGCAAACTGAATCCAGCGGCACATCAAAAAGCTTATCTGCCATGATCAAATGGGCTTCATCCCTGGGATGCAAGGCTGGTTCAACATATGCAAATCAATAAACATAATCCAGCATATAAACAGAACCAAAGACAAAAACCACATGGTTATCTCAATAGATGCAGAAAAGGCCTTTGACAAAATTCAACAGCCCTCCATGCTAAAAACTCAATAAATTAGGTATTGATGGGACGTATCTCGAAATCGTAAGAGCTATTTATGACAAACCCACAGCCAATATCATACTGAATGGGCAAAAACTGGAAGCATTCCCTTTGAAAACTGGCACAAGACAGGGATGCCCTCTCCCACCACTCTTATTCAGCATAGTGTTGGAAGTTCTGGCCAGGGCAATCAGGCAGGAGAAAGAAATAAAGGGTATTCAATCAGAAAAAGAGGAAGTCAAATTGTCCCTGTTTGCAGAAGACATGACTGTATATATAGAAAACCCCATCGTCTCAGCCCAAAATCTCCTTAAGCTGATAAGCAACTTCAGCAAAGTCTCAGGATACAAAATCAATGTGCAAAAATCACAAGCATTCTTATAGACCAATAACAGACAAACAGAGAGCCAAATCATGAGTGAACGCCCATTCACAATTTCTTCAAAGAGAATAAAATACCTAGGAATCCAATTTACAAGGGATGTGAAGGACCTCTTCAAGGAGAACTACAAACCACTGCTCAACAAAATAAAAGAGGAAACAAACACATGGAAGAACATTCCATGCTCATGGATAGGAAGAATCAATATCATGAAAATGGCCATACTGCCCAAGGTAATTTATAGATTCAATGCCATCCACATCAAGCTACCAATGACTTTCTTCACAGAATTGGAAAAAACTACTCTAAAGTTCATATGGAACCAAAAAGAGCCCGCATTGCCAAGTCAATCCTAAGCCAAAAGAACAAAGCTGGAGGCATCACACTACCTGACTTCAAGCTATACTACAAGGCTACAGTAACCAAAACAGCATGGTACTGGTACCAAAACAGAGATATAGACCAATGGAACAGAACAGAGCCCTCAGAAATAATACCACACATCTACAACCATCTGCTCTTTGACAAACCTGACAAAAACAAGAAATGGGGAAGGGATTCCCTATTTAACAAATGGTGCTGGGAAAACTGGCTAGCCATATGTAGAAAGCTGAAACTGGATCCCTTCCTTACACCTTATACAAAAATTAATTCAAGATGGATTAAAGACTTAAATGTTAGACCTAAAACCATAAAAACCCTAGAAGAAAACCTAGGCAATAACATTCAGGACATAGGCATGGGCAAGGACTTCATGTCTAAAACACCGAAAGCAATGGCAACAAAAGCCAAAATTGACAAATGGGATTTAATTAAACTAAAGAGCTTCTGCACAGCAAAAGAAACTACCATCAGAGTGAACAGGCAACCTACAGAATGGGAGAAAATTTTTGCAATCTACTTATCTGACAAAGGGCTAATATCCAGAATTTACAAAGAACTCAAACAAATTTACAAGAAAAAAAACAACCCCATCAAAAAGTGGGCAAAGGATATGAACAGACACTTCTCATGTGCAGCCAACAGACACATGAAAAAATGCTGATCATCACTGGCCATCAGAGAAATGCAAATCAAAACCACAATGAGATACCATCTCACACCAGTTAGGATGGTGATCATTAAAAAGTCAGGAAACAACAGGTGCTGGAGAGGATGTGGAGAAACAGGAACACTTTTACACTGTTGGTGGGACTGTAAACTAGTTCAACCATTGTGGAAGGCAGTGTGGCAATTCCTCAAGGATCTACAACTAGAAATAACATTTGACCCAGTCATCCCATTACTGGGTATATACCCAAAGGATTATAAATCATGCTGCTATAAAGACACATGCACACGTATGTTTATTGCATGTGCAATATTCATACTATTCACTATTCACATACTCTATTCACAATAGCAAAGACTTGGAACCAACCCAAATGTCCATCAATGATAGACTGGATTAAGAAAATGTGGCACATATACACCATGGAATACTATCCAGCCACAAAAAAGGATGAGTTCATGTCCTTTGTAGGGACATGGATGAAGCTGGAAACCATCATTCTCAGCAAACTATCGCAAGGACAAAAAGCCAAACACTGCATATTCTCACTCATAGGTGGGAACTGAACAATGAGAACACTTGGACACAGGAAGGGGAACATCACACACCGAGGCTTGTCGTGGGGTGGGGGGAGGGGGGAGGGACAGCATTAGGAGATATACCTAATGTAAATGACAAGTTAATAGGTGCAGCACACCAACATGGCACATGTATCCAAATGTAACAAACCTGCATGTTGTGCACATGTACCCTAGAACTTAAAGTATAATTTAAAAAAAAAAAATAGTTGAATTCAGTAGGTCCTTACTTAATGCCATTTATAGGATCTTGGAAACTGAGATTTTAAGTGAAATGATGTATAACAAAACTACATTTTTCTCACAGCATTATAATGAAATGTTGAACGAAACATTTTTTTGAGGACTTGGTATATAGTTTTGCTTAAAGCTGCTGTTTCCAAGAACTTATTGATGACATTAAGGACTTGCTATATTCTGCTCCCTTACTTCCATATCTTCTCTGTAAGTGACTCTCACAACTATTCTTCCAGTCTCAAATATCTGCTGAATATCTGCCTACCATGTGCTAGGTTCTGTTCTAGATACTGATAACATATCAGTGAACAAAACAGACCCATATCTTACTCTATCACCTTTAGTGAATGTACTTATCTATAATTGGTATATGATGTAAATATATCATCATCAATTTATGTAGTAGTTTAACTTTTAAAAAATTCTGTTGTATGTCTTTTAAATCCTTGACACTGTTGTTTAAAGTCTCAGGAGGCAGAATTCTTAATGAGGTAAAATTATCTCATGGTACCACCTATTTTTTTTTTTTTGAGATGGAGTGTTGCTCTTTCACCAGGCTGGAGTGCAGTGTGTGACCTTGGTTCACTGCAATCTCTGCTGCCTGGGTTCAAGTGATTCTCCTAACTCAGCCTCCCAAGTAGTTGGGACTACAGGCATGTGCCACCACACCCAGCTAATTTGTTGTATTTTTAGTAGAGATGGGGTTTCACCATGTTGGCTAGGATGGACTCGATCTCCTGACCTCGTGATCCACCCACCTCAGCCTTCCAAAGTGTTGGGATTACAGGCGTGAGCCACCACACCCGGCTGGTACCACATTTAATTAAACAAATGATAAGCAGTACTTTTTAACACTGTGATAAAACATACCTTGGTAAGAGTGATCAGCAATCCTCTGATGGATGTGACGATGATTATTCCAACAAGAATGAAGGAAATGTGTTGGGACCAAAACTTCACCTGCCACCATAACAAGAAAAAATATCTGCTAAATCTCTGTTCAGAGAGACGTAAGGGCTAAGCTATATCCCGATCATTTACATGACTGTGAGAGGGAGCTTTATTAGACCCTACCTGATTTTTTTTCTTAAGGGAGAGAGGAAAGCAAGTAGGTGGCAAATAAAACAACTACAGAAAGACTGCAGTAAATACCTTAATTAGCAGACTTAATTAAACCTTAAAATTAAAAAAATATTTTTTTTGTAGAGCCAGGGTCTTGCTATGTAGTTCAGGCTCGTCTCAAACTCCTGGGCTCAAGCAATACTCCCACATCAGCCTCCCAAAGTGTTGGTATTACAGGCATGAGTCACCATGCCCGGCAGCAAGTACCAAGAAGTGATAAAAATAACGCTAATAAATCAGAAAAAAACAGAACTAATGATACAGTTTTACTGTGATAAACGAAAAGCAGGAATTAAAAGGAAACTAAATAATACCTTGATTATTTTCTATCTATGAATAATAGTTCCCTAATCACCAAAACTTCAAGGAATCTTTCTTTTTATAGTAAAAGAATATATAGACATTCTCAGCTAAATTCTAGGAAATAGTTGAACTTCACTGGAACCACATGATACCTTTTTCTCCTCCTGTATTGCTTCATAGTGAGAAGGAGTTTTGGGACCCTGTGTTTGATTCAGTTCTGAAAAGTATCTGAAAGGGAGCTGCTATTACTAACATCTAAACGATTTGTTATTCAGAATTACAAAATATAGCATAAACAGATGAATTACAGATGAAATATATACATGGCCATGTAAGTATCCTCAGAAAGTACAGAAAAGCAAAAGCATTGCTAAAAATTCAGCCCAGTAAAACACTTAAGGAAACACAAATGCAACAACAGCAAAGCATACTTTTTGTTGTTTTTTGAGACAGGGGTCTCACTCTGTCGCCCAGAGTGGAGTGCAGTGGCACTATCTCAGCTCACTGCAACTTCTTTCTCCCCGGCTCAAGTGATCCTCCTGCTTTAGCCTCCTGCATAGCTGGGACTACAGGTGCATGCCACCATGTCCAGCTAATTTTTATATTTTTTCTAGAGACAGGTTTTCACCATGTTGCCCAGGCTGGTCTTGAACTCCTGGACTCAAGTGATCTGTCTCGACCTCTCAAAGTGCTGGGACTACAGATGTGGGCCACAGTAGTGCGTGGCCTGTAAAGCATATTTAATATAATTTATATACCACTTGAAGAAAAGATATCATGTTCCTTCACACTCAAAGAGGATACACTATTGATCTAGCATCAAGAAACATGTACATTGAGCTGTTTCTCAAGGATTGGGGCTCAATTTGCTCTCGTTCATTTTCATTTCATCCAAGTCCTTTTGAGATTAGGGGCACGTCTGGCTGGGATGGATGGCTGGGGGTAGCACGCAGTCTGCGTCTAGGTTGACAGCACAGCTAAATGGCCTACACTGGGACTAAGAATATGACATTGGTCTTACTATTAAAGTGCTATTCAGCCAGAGTCATTGGCTCTGGTTTATGAATAAAGACACTGAACTTCAATTAGGACAAGGGTGTATTTATGACAGTGGTATTATGAAACAGTAAAAAGACAATTTAAAAAAAAATTTTGTGCATAGGTGACAGTTACCATCTTTAGCCCAAGGTCCACATTAATAGATAAAGATCATTTCTTACAGCAGAAATCATTTCAGCTCTAACACAGAACACTAATTAGTAGCTAATTTTCCACTGGAGCATCAAAGCTGAGTTGTGTGTTTGAAGAGCTTAATAAGAATCACAGAGAGAAGTATTTGAATACTTTGGTGGGGAGAAAATGGTAAACTGGTAGCTGCCTATAGAGAAGCAGAGGAGCAGCTGTAGAAATAATCAGCATCCATGACAATATTAAGTATCAATCATTACTTCTGGCTTTATGTTAAGAGAGAGAATCTTGGCCTTTTACAAATTTTCCATGTGAATACATCAAAATATAAAAATTTTCCATGTGAATACGTCAAAATATACAGAGTGGGAAGAACAAAAGCAGAAGCAAGTACCTAAAGTATACAAATTAGAATCTTAACAATGGTAAGTTATAGTAGATAAAACAGAAACATGACAAACCAGGATCTTGATATAACACTTACATCAAATTGGATTCCCAGATAATTCACAGTGATCTCAATGCCTCTTGTGACAGGATCCGTTTTCCCAACTCGATCAAAAACAATATTGATGGTAGCCTGCAAAGATGCAGATTTTTACCTTGGAGCATCTTAACAATCACTTACTATTTCAAAAAGTGACTGAAACTAATGAATTAATCACTGTAACATATCTTACAGGTCAATGTTCCTAAAAATGCAATTCTACTCTTAATCCAAATCATATATAGGAAATCTATTTTGGATACTCATATATAGGCAAACAAAAGTCCCTATTTCCTCCATCTTTCTTTTCTGTAAAGAGTCAATGGGAATAAAGCTACGGCATTATGCCTTAATTTATCAGGAGCCAGAAAGGTAACATTCTGGTAGATGAAGTCAGATTAAGAGAATCAAGAAATCCCAGGGTAATTCCTTGTGGTTATTTTCTGAATGCTTTAACAGCAAATACTAAAATAACAGAAAAAGGAGTTATAGCTAATAAGTCAACAAACGATATCAAATGGAATAATGAAAAATTCCCAATTAATCCCCAAGATGGAAGTTTAAAAAAGGAAAAAGGGAGAAAAGAACAGATGGGACCAATGAAAAGAAATAGCAACACAGTAGTTTAAAATCCAACCACGTTAAAAAAAAAGAAACAACCACATCAATAATCACATGAAATGTAAATGGTCTGCATAATAGGTGAGCAAACTCTGCCACTGGAGTGTGACAGCAGCCACAGACAATACACAAATGAATGGACTTGGCTGCGTTCCAATAAAACTTTATTTCCAAAGGCAGGCAGTGGTTAGGTTTGGCCTGTGGGCTATAGATTGCTGATCCTTGGTCTAAACATGTCAATGAAATGGCAGAGGTTGTTAGATTGGATAAAAATGCAAGACCCAACTATATATTCCTTATGAAAAAACCACTTTAATAAATATAAAGATACAAATAGGTTAAAAGTAAAAGGACAGAAAAATATATTATGCTAACACTAATCAAAAGAAAGCTAGAATGTCTATATTAATGTCGGACAAAGTAGATTTCATAGCAAAAATACTGCTAGGTATTAAAAGGGTCATTTCAGAATGATAAAAGGATCATTTCAACAAGGGGTACACAATGATTCTAAATGTTTATACACCTAATGACAGAGCTTCAAAATACGTAAAGCAAAACTGATAGAAATAAAAAAGAAATGGACAAATCCACAATAGCTGGATCCCCTCTCTCAATAACTGATAAAATTAGTCAGAAACTCTAATAATACTATCAATCAATTTGACGTAATTGACATTTATGGAACACTCCTGCCAACAAGAGCACAATACATATTCTACTCACATACAGGTAAGACATTTATCACCATATTCTGTCTGGGACAGAAAACAAGTCAATAATTTAAAAGATTCATATCATACAAAATATGTTCTTAGACCACATGAAATTAAATTAGAAATTAATTAGAGAATAATATTTGGAAGATCCTCAAATATTTTATAACACACTTCTAAATCACCCATGAATCAAAGAAGAAATCAAAGGGAAACTCGAAAGCATTTTGAATTGAATGAGAAATACAATTCATTAAATTTGTGAGATCTAGTATAGCAGTACATAGCAAGAAATGTATAGCATTAAAACCCCTATATCAGCAAAGATCTCCAATCAATGATCTTAGTTTCCATCTTAAGAAATTAGAAAAAGAGACTCAAAATAAGCAGAAGAAAGGAAATAACAAAGACCAGAGCAGAAATCAATGAAATAGCAAAAAATGAGAGAAAACTAATTAACCCAAAAGTTGGTTCTTTGAAAAGTTCAACAAAACCAATAAACTTCTACTAGACTGATAAAGACAAAAGAGGGAAGTCACAAGTTACCAATATTAAGAACAAGAGAGACATCACTGTCACACCCATGAGGATGGCTATAATAAAAAAGTTTTTATTTTATTTTATTATTATTATACTTTAAGTTTTAGGGTACATGTGCACACTGTGCAGGTTAGTTACATATGTATACATGTGCCATGCTGGTGTGCTGCACCCATTAACTCATCATTTAGCATTAGGTATATCTCCTAAAACTATCCCTCCCCCCTCCCCCCACCCCACAACAGTCCCCAGAGTGTGATGTTCCCCTTCCTGTGTCCATGTGTTCTCATTGTTCAATTCCCACCTATGAGTGAGAACATGTGGTGTTTGGTTTTTTGTCCTTGCGATAGTTTACTGAGAATGATGATTTCCAATTTCATCCATGTCCCTACAAAGGACATGAACTCATCATTTTTTATGGCTGCATAGTATTCCATGGTGTATATGTGCCACATTTTCTTAATCCAGTCTATCATTGTTGGACATTTGGGTTGGTTCCAAGTCTTTGCTATTGTCAATAGTGCCACAATAAACATACGTGTGCATGTGTCTTTATAGCAGCATGATTTATAGTCCTTTGGGTATATACCCAGTAATGGGATGGCTGGGTCAAATGGTATTTCTAGTTCTAGATCCCTGAAGAATCGCCACACTGACTTCCACAAGGGTTGAACTAGTTTACAGTCCCACCAACAGTGTAAAAGTGTTCCTGTTTCTCCACATCCTCTCCAGCACCTGTTGTTTCCTGACTTTTTAATGATTGCCATTCTAACTGGTGTGAGATGGTATGTCATTGTGGTTTTGATTTGCATTTCTCTGATGGCCAGTGATGGTGAGCATTTTTTCTTGTGTTTTTTGGCGGCATAAAAGTCTTCTTTTGAGAAGTGTCTGTTCATGTCCTTCGCCAACTTTTTGATGGGGTTGTTTGTTTTTTTCTTGTAAACTTGTTTGAGTTCATTGTAGATTCTGGATATTAGCCCTTTGTCAGATGAGTAGGTTGCAAAAATTTTCTCCCATTCTGTAGGTTGCCTGTTCACTCTGATGGTAGTTTCTTTTGCTGTGCAGAAGCTCTTTAGTTTAATTAGATCCCATTTGTCAATTTTGGCTTTTGTTGCCATTGCTTTTGGTATGCTTTTAGACATGAAGTCCTTGCCCATGCCTATGTTCTGAATGGTAACGCCTAGGTTTTCTTCTAGGGTTTTTATGGTTTTAGGTCTAACGTTTAAGTCTTTAATCCATCTTGAATTAATTTTTGTATAAGGTGTAAGGAAGGGATCCAGTTTCAGCTTTCTACATATGGCTAGCCAGTTTTCCCAGCACCATTTATTAAATAAGGAATCCTTTCCCCATTGCTTGTTTTTCTCAGGTTTGTCAAAGATCAGATAGTTGTAGATATGCGGCGTGATTTCTGAGGGCTCTGTTCGGTGCCAATGTACAAAAATCACAAGCATTCTTATACACCAATAACAGACAAACAGAGAGACAAATCATGAGTGAACTCCCATTCACAATTGC
Organism: Homo sapiens; assembly: GCF_000001405.40. Classification (NCBI taxonomy): domain Eukaryota; kingdom Metazoa; phylum Chordata; class Mammalia; order Primates; family Hominidae; genus Homo; species Homo sapiens. The sequence continues at coordinate 145,660,029 of NC_000001.11, read as the reverse complement.
TTCAAAGAGAATAAAATACCTAGGAATCCAACTTACAAGGGATGTGAAGGACCTCTTCAAGGAGAACTACAAAACACTGCTCAATGAAATAAAAGAGGATACAAACAAATGGAAGAACATTCCATGCTCATGGTAGGAAGAATCAATATCATGAAAATGGCCATACTGCCCAAGGTAATTTATAGATTCAATGCCATCCCTATAAAGCTACCAATGACTTTCTTCACAGAATTGGAAAAAACTACTTTAAAGTTCATAAGGAACCAAAAAAAGCCCACATTGCCAAGTCAATCCTAAGCCAAAAGAGCAAAGCTGGAGGCATCACGCTACCTGACTTCAAACTATACTACAAGGCTACAGTAACCAAAACAGCATGGTACTGGTACCAAAACAGAGATATAGATCAATGGAACAGTATAAAAAAGTTAATAACAATTGTTGGTGGGGATGTGGAGAAATTGGAGCACGCATCCCCTGCTGACAGGAATGTAAACTGTTGCTGCTGTTTTGGAAAAGTCTGGTAGTTCTTTAAAAGGTTAAACATAGGCCGGTCGCAGTGGCTCATGCCTGTAATCCTAGCACTTTGGGAGGCTGAGGCGGGTGGATCACAAGGTTAGGAGTTAGAGACCAGCCTGGCCAATATGGTGAAACCCTGTCTCTACTAAAAATACAAAAAAGTTAGCCGGGAGTGGTTGCATGCGCCTGTAACCTCAGCTACTTGGGACGCTGAGGCAGGAGAATTGCTTGAACCTGGGAGGTGGAGGTTGCAGTGAGCTGAGACTGCACCACTGCACTCCAGCCTGGGCGACAGAGCTAGACTCCACCTCAATAAATAAATAAATAAATAAATAAAAAGGTTAAACATATACTTAGCATATGACACGGCAATTCTACCCCTAGATATACACATAAGAGAAATTAAAACATATACTCACATAAAAACTTATACACGAGGCTGGGCATGGTGGCTCACGGATATAATCCCAGCACTTTGGGAGGCCGAGGCTAGTGGATCACCTGAGGTCAGGAGTTGAGACCAGCCTGGCCAACATGGTCAAACCTCGTCTCTACTAAAAATAGAAAAATCAGCCAGGCGTGGTGGTACGCACCTGTAATCCCAGCTACTCAGGCGGCTGAGGCAGGAGAATCGCTTGAACCCAGGAGGCAGAGATCGAAGTGAGCTGAGATCACCCCACTGTGCTCCAGCCTGGGCAACAGAGTGAGACTGTGTCTCAAAACAAAAACAAAAAAATTATACACAAATGTTCACATCAGCATTATTGATAATGGCCCAAAAGTAGAAACAATCCTAATGTACATCAACTAATAAATGGATAAAAAATGTGGTGTACCTATAAAATGAAATAGATATTATTCAGCCATAGAAAATATGAATTTTTTTTTTAAGACAGTCTTGCTCTGCTGCCTGCTGGAGTGTGGTGGCACAATCACGGCTCACTGCAGCTTCAACTTCCCAGGCTCAAGCGATCCTCCCCCGCCTCAGCCTCCCGAGTAGCTGGGGCCACAAGCATGTACTTCCATGCCCTATTAATTTTGTGTGTGTGTGTGTGTGTCGGGGAGGGAGGGGTAAAGAATGGGGTTTCCCTTTGTTTCTCAGGATAGTCTCAAACTCCTGGGCTCAAGTGATCCTCCTGCCTCAGCCTCCCAAAGTGTTGGGATTACAGGCATCTGCCACTGTGCCTGGCCAGGAATGAAATATTGATAGATACTATGACATGGATGTACCTTAAAAACATTATGCTAGGGCTGGGTACAGTGGCTCAGCCTGGGCAATATAGTGAGACTCGTCTCTATGAAAAAAAATATATACTTTTTAAAATTACATTTAAAAAGCTCCCCCCCAACCCCATTATGCTAAATGAGAGAAGCCAATCATAAAACAATATAAATTATGTGATTCCATTTATATGAAACATCCAGAATAGGGAAATCTACAGAGACAGAAAATAGATTAGTGGTTGCTAAGGGCTGAGGGAGTGGGAATTGGAGGGAAATGGGGAATGACTACTAATGAGTATGGAATTTCTTTTTGGCTTGATAAAAATGTTCAAAAATTGATTGTGGTAATGGTTATAAAACTATGAATATATTAAGAACTACTGCATCATACACTAAATGAGTATATTGTATTGTATGTGAATTATATCTCAATAAACCTGTTACATGAAAAAAATAACAGTCTCTACAGGTTCTATAGATATTAAAAGGATAGTAAGAATATTATGAGCAATATCATGCCAATAAATTTGACAACTTCAATAAAAATAGACAAATTCCTTGAGACCCAAATTGCAAGAGCTCACTCAAGAAGAAATAGATAACCTGCATAAACCCTGTATCTTTAAAAAAATGAATTGGTAGTTTAAAAAAATCTTCCTGCAAAGAAAACTCCAGGCCCAGACGGCTTTATTGATAAACTCTACAACACATTTAGGGGAGAAATAACAACATCTCCACACATACTTTTCCACTAATTTAAAGAGGTGGCAGTACTTCTCAACTCATTCTCTAAGGTCAGCAAGCATTACTCTGACACCAAAACCAAATAAAGACATTATGAGAAAAGAAAACTATAGTCCAATATCCTCATACATATGGAATCAATTTTTTTTTTTTTTGAGACAGAGTCTCCCTCTGTCATTCAAGCTGGAGTGCAGCGGTGTGATAATAGCTCACTGAGGCCTTGGACTTCTGGGCTCAAGCGATCCTCCCACCATAGCCTCCTGAGTAGCTGGGAACACAGGCATGCCACCACACTCAGTTAATTTTTATTGTTTTGCTGAGATGGGGTCTTGCTATGCTGCCCAGGCTGGTCTCAAATTCCTGGCCTCAAGCAGTCCTCCTGCTTCAGCCTCCCAAAGTACTGGGAATACAGGTGTGAGCCAACATGCTCAGACAATGCAAACATTCTTAACATAATTTTAGCAAATTGAATCTAACAAAATAGAAAAATGATAATTCACCATGACCAAGTGAGGTTTATTCTAGGAATGCAAGATTGGTTTAATATTCAAAAATTAATGAATGTAATCAACTATAGCAGACTAAAAAAGAAAAACATTGATCATCTCAATAGATGCAGTAAAAGAATTTAACAAAATCCAACACCTTTTCATGATTAACAATACTCAATAAACTATGATTACAATGGAACTTCCTCAACCTGATAAAGGGCATCTAGGGAAAACCTAACATCATAAAGGTGAGACTGGATGCTATCTCCCTAAGAGCAGGAATAACAGTAGGATGACTAATCCTACCACTTCTATTCAACTTTGTACTGAAGGTTTTAGTCAGTGCAATAAGGCTGGAGAAGGAGCAGGAGAAAAAGGATAACAAGAAGGAAGGAAGGATGGGGAAAGGAACAACTTAATTAAAACACTGGCAAGGTCGGGGGAGGGGCCAAGGTGACCAACTAGAAGTAGCTGCTGTTGGCTGCTCCTATCAAGAATGAAAACAGCGAGTGAATGTTGCACTTTCAGGCTGAGGTAACCAGGTTCTCTCATTGGGACTGACTAGGCAGTTGGCACAACCCACGGAGAGCGAGGAAAAGCAGGGTAGTGCAACAGCCCCACCTGGGAGCCGCACAGGGCAAGGGGAGTTCCCACCCCCAATCAAGGAAGGCGATGAGTGATTGTGGCACCCTGCCCAGGAAACCATGCTTCTTCCACAGATCTGTGCAACCCGTGGATCAGGAGATTCCCCTTGTGAGCCCAGGCCAACAGGGCCTTGGATCCCAAGCACAGAGCTGCCCAGATGCTCAGTGGCCACTGAGGTTGCAGCCAGCAGCAGCAGGCTGGAGATTGCCTAAGACGACCAAGTTCCCGGGACAGCCACCATCACTGCAGGTCCAGTCTGCCCTTTTCCCCTGCCAGTGCCGGGGAGAATAGGTGGTTTGGACCAGGAGGAATTCCCCACAGCACAGCACAGTGGTAGTGGCAGACTGTGGCCAGACCGCTTCTTTAGGTGGGACTCGGATCCATTCCTCCTCACTAGGCGAGGCCTCCCTGCAGAAATGTCAGCAACTCCAGGTAGGGGTTTATGAGCAGAACTGATCTCCCTGGGAAGGAGCCCCTGGGGGCAGGGGTGACTATCGTCTTCGTGGTTCAGCAGACTTAGTCTTTCCTGCCTGCTGGCTCTGAAGGGTCTGGGCAGTCCAGAGGAGGGGGATTCCCTTCAGTGCAGCACAGCTGCTCTGCCAAGGGGCAGTCAGAGTGCTTCCTTAAGCAGGTCCCTGATCCCGTGCCTCCTGACTGAGACCCCCCACCAGGGGTTGCCAGACATCTTATACAGGAACGTTCCTGCCGGCATCAGGTCAGTGCTTCCTCCCAGAGGACGGAGCAAGCAGCCATCTTTGCTGTTCTGCAGCCTCCACTGGTAATACCTCCAGGTGCGAGAGGGACCCAGGCGAGTAGGGTATGGATTCGACCGCCAACAAATGGCAGCAGCCCTACAGAAGAGGGGCCTGACTGTTAAAAACAAACAAACAGAAAGCAACAACAACATCAACAAAAAAAGACCCCACAAAAACCCCATCCAAAGGTCAGCAGCCTCAAAAATCGAAGGTAGATAAACTGAGGATGATGAGAAAGAATCAACACAAAAACGGTGACAACTCAAAAAGCCAGAGTGCCTCTTCTCCAAATGATCACAACACCTCTCCAGCAAGGGCACAGAACTGGGCTGAGGCTGAGGCTGAGATGGATGCACTGACAGAAGTAGGCTTTAGAAGCTGGGCAGTAACAAACATTGCTGAGCAAAAGAAGTAATGTTCTAACCCAATGCAAAGAAGCCAAGAACCATGATAAAACATTATAGGAGCTGTTAACCAGAATAACCCGTTTAAAAAGGAACATAAACAATGTGATGGAGCTGAAAAACACAATGTGAAATTCACAATGCAACCACAAATATCAATAGCTGAAGAGACTAAGCAGAGGAAAGAATCTCAGAGCTTGAAGACTATCTTGCTGAAATAAGACAGGCAGACAAGGTGAGAGAAAAAAGAATGAAAAGGAATGAACAAAACCTCTGAGAACTATGGGATTACATAAAAATACCGAACCTACGGCTGATTCAGGTACCTGGAAGAGACGGGGAGAACGGAACCGTTTCAAGTTGGAAAACATACTTCAGGATATCATCCAGGAGAACTTCCCCAACCTAGCAATACAGGCCAGAACTTCTCCAACCTAGCAAGACAGGCCAACATTCAAATTCAGGAAATCCAGAGAACTCCAGTAAAATACTCCATGAGAAGATCAACCCCAAGACACATAATCATCAGATTCTCCAAGGTCGAAATGAAGGAAAAAATGTTAAGGGCAGCCAGAAAGGACAGGTCACCTACAAAGAGAAGTCCATCAGACTAACAGTGCACCTCTCAGTGGAAACCCTATAAGCCAGAAGCAATTGGGAGTCAATATTCAACATTCTGTTTTTTTTTTTTTTTTTTGTAGATGGATTCTTGCTCTGTCACCCAGGCTGGAGTGCAGTGGCATAGTCTCGGCTCACTGCAACCTCCACCTCCTGGGTTCATGCCATTCTCCTGCCTCAGCCTCCCGAGTAGCTAGGACTACAGGCGCCTGCCACCATGCCTGGCTAATTTTTTGTATTTTTAGTAGAGATGGGGTTTCACCGTGTTAGCCAGGATGGTCTCGATCTTCTGACCTCGTGATCTGCCCGCCTCGGCCTCCCAAAGTGCTGGGATTACCGGCATGAGCCACCACGCCCAGCTCAACATTCTTAAAGAAAAGAATTTCCAACCCAGAATTTCCTATCTGGCCAAACTAAGCTTCATAAGTGAAGGAGAAATAAAATCCTTTTCAGACAAGCAAATGCTGAGGGAACTTGTGACCACCTTGCAAGAACTCCTGAAGGAAGCACTAAGTATGGAAAGGAAAAACTATTACCAGCCACTACAAAAACACACTGAAGTACACAAAGCAATGACACTATGAAGCAACTACAATAACAAGTCTGCAAAATAACCAGCTAGCATCATGATGACAGGATCAAATCACACATAACAATTTTAACCTTAAATGTAAATGGGCTAAATGCCCCAATTAAAAGACACAGAATGGCAAGCTGGATAAAGAATCAAGACCCATCAGTGTGCTGTATTCAGGAGGCCCCTCTCATGTGCAAAGACACACATAGGCTCAAAATAAAGGGATGGAGGAAAATTTACCAAGCAAATGGAAAGCAAAAAAAAGCAGGGGTTGCAATCCTAGTTTCTGACAAAACAGACTTTAACAAAGATCAAAAAAGACAAACAAGGGCTTTACATAATGCTAAAGGGTTCAATTCAACAAGAGCTAACTATCCTAAATATATATACACCCAATACAGGAGCACCCAGATCTATAAAACAAGTTCTTAGAGACCTACAAAGAGACTTATACTCTCACATAATAATAGTGGGAGACATTAACACCCCACAGTCAATGTTACACAGATCATTGAGACAGAAAATTAACAAGTATATTTAGGACTTGAACTCAGCTCTGGATCAAGTGGACCTGATAGACATCTACAGAACTCTCTACCCAAAAACAACAGAATATACATTCTTCTTGGTGCCACATGGCACATACTCTAAAATTGATCACATAACTGGAAGTAGAACACTCCTCAGCAAATGCAAAAGAACTGAAATTATAACAGTCTCTCAGACCACAGGACAATCAAATTAGAACTCAAGACTAAGAAACTAACTCAAAACTACACAACTACATGAAAATTGAACAACCTGCTCCTGAATGACTCCTCAGTAAATAATGAAATTAAGGCAGAAATCAAGAAGTTATTTGATACTATGAGAACAAAGAGACAACATACCAGAATCTCTGGGACACAGCTAAAGCAGTGTTAAGAGGGAAATGGATAGCACTAAATGCTCATATCAAAAAGCTAGAAAGATCTCAAATCGACACCCTAACATCACAACTAAAAGAACTAGAGAACCAAGAGCAAACAAACCCCAAAGCTAGCAGAATATAAGAAATAACCAAGGTCACAGCAGAACTGCAGGAGATAGAGCACGAAAAACCCTTCAAAAAAATCAACGAATCCAGGAGCCAGTTTTTTGAAAAGATTAATAAAATAGACCACTACTAGACTAATAAAGAAGAAGAATCAAACAGACACAAAAAAAATGATAAAGGGGACATCACCACTGATCCCACAGAAATACAAATAACCATCAGAGAATACTATAAACATCTCTATGCAAATCAACTAGAAAATCTAGAAGAAATGGATAAATTCTTGGACACATACACCCTCCCAAGACTGAACCAGGAAGAAGTTGAATCCCTGAATAGACCCATAAGGAGTTCTGATTTGGGGCAGTAATAAGCCTACCATCCAAGGAAAGCCCAGGACCAGATGGATTTACAGCTGAATTCAGAGGTAAAAAGAGGAGCTGATACCATTTCTTCTGCAACTATTCCAAACAACAGAAAAAGAGGGACTCCTCCCTAACTCATTTTATGAGGCCAGCTCATTCTGATACCAAAATCTGGCAGAGATACAACAACAAAAAAAGAAAACTTCAGGCCAATATCCCTGAAGAACATTGATGTGAAAATCCTCAATAAAATACTGGCAAACCAAATCCAGCAGCACATCAAAAAGCTCATCTACCACGATCAAGTCAGCTTCATGCCCAGTATGCAACACTGGTTCAACATACACGAATCAGTAAACGTAATCCATCACATAAACAGAACCAATGACAAAAACCACATGATTATCTCAATAGACACAGAAAAGGCCTTTGATAAAATTCAACATCCCTTCATGCTAAAAACTCTCAATAAACTAGGTATTGATGGAACATACCTCAAAATAATAAGGGTGATTTATAACAAACCCACAGCCAATATCACACTGAATGGACAAAAGCTGGAAGCATTTCCTTTGAAAACTGGCACAAGATAGGACTCCCTCTCTCACCACTCCTATTCAACATAGTATTGGAAGTTCTGGCCAGGGCAATCAGGCAAGAGAAAGAAATAAAGGGTATTCAAATAGGAAGAGAGAAAGTCAAATTGTCTTTGTTTGCATATGACATAATCTTCTATCTAGAAAACCCCATCGTCTCAGCCCAAAAGCTACCTAAACTGATAAGCAACTTCAGCAAAGTCTCAGGATAAAAAGTCAATGTGCAAAAATCACAAGCATTCCTGTACACCAACAACAGACAAGCAGAGAGCCAAATCATGAATGAACTCCCATTTACAACTGCTACAAAGAGAATACAATACCTAGGAATACAGCTAACAAGGGGAGTGAAGGACCTCTTCAAGGAGAACTACAAACCACTGCTCAAGGAAATCAGAGAGGACACATACAAATGGAAAAACACTCCATGCTCCCAGATAGGAAGAATCAATATCATGAAAATGGCCATACTGCCCAAAGTAATTTATAAATTCAGTGCTACTCCCATTAAACTACCATTGACATTCTTCCCAGAATTAGAAAAAAACTATTTTAAAATTCAATATGGAAGCAAAAAAGAGCCCGTACAAGTCAAGACAACTGTAAGCAAAAAGAACAAAGCTGGAGGCATCACGCTACCTGACTTCAAACTATACTACAAGGTTACAGTGACCAAAACAGCATGGTACTGGTACAAAAACAGACACATAGACCAATGGAACAGAATAGAGAACTCAGAAATAAGACCGCACATCTACAGCCATCTGATCTTTGACAAAGCTGACAAAAACAAGCAATGGGGAAAGGATTCCCTATTTAATAAATGGTGCTGGGAAAACTGGCTAGCCATATGCAGAAAACTGAAACTGGAACCCTTCTTTACACCTTATACAAAAATTAACTCAAGATGGATTAAAGACTTAAATGTAAAACCCCAAACTATAAAAAACCTAGAAGAAAATCTAGGCAATACCATTCAGGACATGGTACAGGCAAAGGTTTCATGACAAAAATGTCAAAAGCAATTGCCACAAAAGCAAAAATTGACAAATGGGATCTAATTAAACTAAAGAGCTTCTGCACAGCTAAAGAAACTATCATCAGGGTGAACAGACAACCAACAGAATGGGAGAAAATTTTTGCAATCTATCCATCTGACAAAGGCCTAATATCCAGAATCTACAAGGAACTTAAAGAAATTTACAAGAAAAAAATCAAACAACCCCATTAAAAAGTAAGCAAAGGACATGAACAGACAATTCTCAAAAGAAGACATTTATGTGGCCAACAAACGTATGAAAAAAAGCTCAAGCTCAGTATCACTGATCATTAGAGAAATGCAAATCAAAACCACAATGAGCTACCATCTCACACCAGTCAGAATGGCAATTATTAAAAAGTCAAGAAACAACAGATGCTGGCGAGGCTACAGAGAAATAGGAACGCTTTTACACTGTTGGTGGGAATGTACATTAACTCAATCATTGTGGAAGACAGTGTGGTGATTCCTCAAAGACCTAGCACCAGAAATACCATTTGACCCAGCAATCCCATTACTGGGTATATACCCAAAGGAATATAAATCATTCCATTATAAAGATACATACACATGTACGTCCACTGCAGCACTATTCACAATAGCAAAGACATAGAATCAACCCAAATGCCCATCAATGATAGACCGGATAAAGAAAATGTGGTACATATACACCATGGAATACTATACTGCCATAAAAAGGAATGAGATCATGTCCTTTGCAGGGACATGGATGGAGCTGGAAGCCATCATCCTCATCAAACTAACACAGGAACAGAAAACCAAATATCACATGTTCTCACTTATAAGTGGGAACTGAACAATGTGAACACACAGACACAGGGAGGGAACAACACAAACTGGGACCTGTCGAAGGCGGGGAGGGGGAGGGAGAGCATCAGGGAAAATAGCTAATGGATGCTGGGCTTAATACCTAGGTGATGGGTTGATAGATGCAGCAAATCACCATGGCACATACTTACATATGTAACAAACTTGCACATCCTGCACATGTACCTCAGAACTTAAAATTAAAAAAAAATTGGCAAAAGATTTGAACAGATAATTCATCCAAAAAAAATATGGGTGGGAAAAAAAGCACATGAAAAGATGCTCAATATCATTAGACATTAAGAAAATATAAATTAAAACCACAATGCAATATCACCTCGTATCTATTAGAATGTCTAATATTAGCAAGACTGGCCATATAGAGTGTTGGTGAGGATGTGAACAACTGAAACTCATACACAGTGCAGGTGGAAATGTAAATGATACAATTTTTTTGGAAAAGAGTTGGCTGTTTCTTCAAAAGTTAAACATTACATCTGCCATATGATCCAGACATTCCACTCCTAAGTGCCTACTCAAGAGAAAGACAGCACACGTCTATACACAAAATTGTACACAAGTGTTCACAGCAACTTTATCTGTAATATCCCCCAACTGGAAACAACCAAATATTCATCATCAGATGAATGGACAAACAAAATTGTGGCACGTCCAAACCACGGAAACACTACTCAGCAATACAAAAGAATAAACTACTGATACAAATCATAACATGGATAAAATGTAAAATAATCATGCCGAGTAAAATAAGCCAGACAGAAAAAGGATACATACTGTAGGATTCTACTTACATAACATTCTAGAAAATACAAACTAATATATAATGAGAGAAGGCAGATTGGCAGTCGTCTGGGGACTAGAGGTGTGGGAGAGAGGCATTACAAAGGGACACCAGGAATCTCAGGAATCTCATGGCAGTGATGGATGGATGTGTTCTCTGTCTTGACCGTGGTGATGGTTGTTGCATAGGTATATATGTATGTCAAAACGTACCCAGTTGTACATAAATATATGTTCGGTTTACATATCAGTTATACCCCAATAAACCTGTTAAAAAATGACATGCTGGCTGGGTGCAGTGGCTCACGCCTGTAATCCCAGCACTTTGGGAGGCTGAGGCAGGCGGATCACGAGGTCAGGAGATCGAGACCATCCTGGCCAAGATGGTGAAACCCTGTCTCTACTAAAAATACAAAAAATTAGCCGGGCATTGTGGCACACACCTGTAGTCCCAGCTACTTGGGAGCCTAAGGCAGGGGAATCACTTGAATCTGGAAGGCGGAGGGGTTGCAGTGAGCCGAGATCATGCCACTGCACTCCAGCCTGGGAGACAGAGAGAGACTCCGTCTTCAACAAAAAAAAAAAAAAAAAAGAACATGCTTCCCTAGGCCGGGTGTGATGATGGCTCACGCCTGTAGTCCCAGCACTTTGGGAGGCTGAGACGGGCAGATTGCCTGAGCTCAGGAGTTCAAAACCACCTTGGGCAACATGGTGAAAGCCCATGTCTACTGAAATACAAAAAAGTTAGCTGGGCGTGGTGGTGCGTGCTTGCAATCCCAGCCACTCGGGAGGCTGAGGCAGGAGAATTGCTTGGGCCCAGGAGGCAGAGGTTGCAGTGAGCCGAGATCGCACCACTGTACTACAGCTTGGGTGACAGAATGAGACTCCATCTAAAAAAAAAAAGACATGCTTCCCTAAAGGCTGCATCTTAGGAAAATACCTTTTAGTAGCTTTGCTAACTGAACATACTATCTTCATTCATTATCTCCCACTGAATGAATCCAGATTTTAAAATGTCATCTGAGTATTATTGACATCAATTTATTGTAACACTAGATCCTTTATATAATGAAAATCCTCATTCATCTACATTGATCAAAATTAACTAACAAGCTGACAAAGCTCCTCTTTGCACAAACACAAACCCAGTAGGAAAGTCATCAAACTAGGAAGTCAAATCAGCCTTTTCTGTAATCACATTGAAATCCATTAATACCTGAGTCAGAGGTAAAGACAAATACTGTACATAAAAAATATTATGAGAAAACCACAAAAGAATTAGAGCTATATGTACAGCAAATGAATTTATCTATGGAAATACATTTTAGAATTTATTGTGAACTTAATTTTTTAGGTATACACATAATTAAAAAGGACAAGTAACTTCTGAGCTGAAGGTAGAAGTTGAAGTTATATATACAGTTATGTACTCATGGGTAACACAGAAAGCAGAATGCAAAATAAGAAATGTTCACATTCTATATATATATATATATATATATATATATATAGAGAGAGAGAGAGAGAGAGAGAGAGAGAGGAGGAGGAGAGAGAGAGAGAGAGTCGACGACGACGAAGAGAGAGAGAGAGATGGAGTCTCGCCCTCTCCCCAGGCTGGAGTGCAGTGGCGTGATCTTAGCTCACTGCAACGTCCGCCTCTCGGGTTCAAGCGATTCTCCTGCCTCAGCCTCCTGAGTAGCTGGGATTACAGGCGGCCCACCACCACACCCAGCTAATTTTTGTATTTTTAGTAGAGATGGGGTTTCACCATGTTGGCCAGGCTGTTCTCGAACTCCTGACCTCAGGTGATATGCCTGCCTTGGCCTCCGAAAGTGCTGGGATTATAGGCATGAGCCACCATGCCCGGCCTCAATTTAGATATTTCATAAACTAAGGCCTTATTAACAATTTCTGACAGAAGAAAAATGCAACCTTTCTTATCTATGTAATCTAAAAAGGAGAGAGGATAACGAATGAAGCCCAGAGATGTGGAAGATCATGCTCTCTGTTGATGCAATCACATTTGGAATTTAGTTCAATATATCAGTCAAATCCACTCTTATCTCCCTGCCACTACCAGGAAAAAACATCTAAACTCTGATAATTAAAAATAACATACTTACCATGAAAATTTTCCAAACACAGTAAATAGAGAAAAAGTAACCAAGAAAATTAAAATATTTCCCCTTGAAGGTTTTGGAGTATTCTATTCTCTCCTGGGGGAAAACAAACACAAAACATAGTTTTCAGCAAAATATAAATTTATATTCAACACAAGTATTCTTCCCTCTATGAATCACTGTTCAGGCTAAGTCAAAAAACCATACATTGTAATAATATTAAACTAATAACAGTAGTTGTGGCCAGCATTTACTGAATGCTTGCTTTTAGCTAGAGACTGGGATAAACATCTTACATGCATTATCCACTTAATCTTCATAACAATTCTTATGAGATACGTTCTATTATCTTAATTTTACAGATGAGAAAATTGAGGCTTTGAGAGGTTCGATAACTTGCTCAAAGTCACACAGCTGGTGAGTAGGCTCAGGTTTATCTGTTTCCAAAGCCTATGTTAACCTCTGTCCTATAAGGTTACTCCTGTAAAGTTATCCTCAAAAAGAATTAAAAGTTTGTAATCTTCACTAACAGATTTTGCACATTTAAATTATATTTTATTTTAGGTGTACATAGGAAAGTTACTTCTTACAGTTTCGACACTTATTGACCTGGATCCTTTAAAATAGGGCTAGGCCATCCATGGCAGATAGGTGTCTACTGCTCTTATAATATTACTAACTTATAAAGGAATAAAAGTAGCTACCATCTTTATCCCAGGTTAGTAGGAGGTGGTACGTGCCACCTTCCTAAATGTTGAAAAGCCTCTTCTGACTATCCCACCAATTGCTACTTTTGAGAGTGTTCCATTAAGGATTTTGCTAGTGACAGGAGCAATTTCATGAAGAGTGAAGATCCCTTATCCCTAATGCTTCATGGCTGATATAGAAGCTGTGAGGTATCTCTTGCTTGGCCACAGAGAAATCTAAAAAGCCATTTAGTCTTGTTCTCTCTTTAATAATATTGGTAAAAACCACACTTCAGTTTCCTTGCTCTGTACCTTGGTAGCATATAGATCAGCTGTTTCCAGAAAAAGCTGCCTGCTTAATTCTTCCAAAGCATCCACTTCCTGTTGAATAAGAGTAAGATCTGGCACAGAATGGGCATCAAGGTTTTAATCACATAGGAATTCAAGAAATGGCAATGAGAAAGCATATACTTTTGGTTTTTCCTACAGTGGATTCCCGGAGTTGCCTATATTCTCAATTTCCTGTTTCATAGCCAGCAGCGCTACTTCAGAGCAGCTTTCCCAACCTCTGACGCAGGTGTGTAAAAGCTTCTCCATCAAGAGCATCGCCACCAAACAATTACCACTCAGTTTCTCTTAAGCAGCTCAAACAGATGGTTTCATTTGTTTTTTGATTTAACTAGTTAGATTAAGTCAAATGTAATGTTCAAGATTGTAAATAGTTACAGAATAATAACTATAATAAAGCATAGCTTTCTCCTACATTATCTGAATATAATGTTAGAAAAGGGAACTAATACTTTACTGTGTTCTAATATAGGCTAGGATTTACAGACATTACCTTCTTTCTTTTCAAACATTATCTTCTTTTATATCTTATCTTCATGGGATTGTCTTATGCCATGGTGTTATCCATTTTGCACATAAGGAAAGTGAAGCTCAGAGAGTTAAATAACTTGCTCAAAGTCACACAATTAATTGATAGAGATGCAAAGTCAAATCCTCTTTTCCTCCAAAGCCTGCTCTTTCCATTACACTATGTTATTTTCCAAGAACTCAATCAGGTAGAGTTATTATTCTCCCATTTAGAGAACAGGGGCTCAGGGAGGTTAAATAATCCTGATATGTTTGTTAACTCATTACTAACACAGCTCAAACCCGTATTATTGGCTTTTATGAACTTTTAAGTAATAAACATAGTAAATACAGCCCCTTCTAAAATAGAAGCACATACTTCAATCTAAATCCTCCCTCCTCTCTGATTTTTCCCACTATTACCCAAATCAGTAAGTGCCCTTCAGTTCCTTCCTTAATAGTGGCTACTACTGGCATGGTTCAAGCCACCAAACAATATGGTTTAACTAGTTACATGTCTGTCTCTCCCATGATTAGAGGGTAAGCTCCTTGAGGAGAAAGGCTATACTCTACTCATCATTTTATTTCTTAGCACTCAGCCTGGAAATAGGAGATACGAAATAAATGTTTCTTGGTTAAATAAATCTAAATTAATCCTTTTTCTTTCTCTTCCACAATCATCTTGCCTTTCTTTGATCTTATTCTTATCTTCATTTGACACCAGGACATAAATCATAATTTGTAGCAAGAATAGACATCCTTCTCTAATTGAGGCAAAAGGGAATTTGTATTTCCCTGGGACAGAGAAGGAAACAGGAGTATGCTATCTCATGCTTAGTTCCCCAAAGTTTTGACCTAATAGCACCAGAGCCACACAGAAATTTGGTTACATAATTTGGGAAGTAGTTCAACATCATAACCAATCAGGAAAGAACAGTTTATTAATCTATTAATCAAATCTCCTTTATCCTTTCTTTTTTATTTTGAGACAGGGTCTAGCTCTGTTGCCTAGGCAGGAGTGCAGTGGCGTGATCTGGGCTCACTCCTACCTCAGCCTCCCAAGTTCAAACAATCCTCCCACCTCAGCCTCCTGAGTAGTTGGGATTACAGGCACATGCCACTGGGCCTGGCTAATTTTTGTATTTTTTGTAGAGATGAGGTTTTGTCATGTTGCCGAGGCTTGTCTTGAACTCCTGGGTTCAAGTGATCTGCCCACCTCGGCCTTGCAAAGTGCTGGGATTACAGGGATGAGCCACTGCACCCAGCCTCCCCTTGATTCTTTAAACCAAAATGTCACTGGAGAAGCAGAGCTACTTAAAATTTGTTTAGGAATACTAATTACTTTAGAAATGGGCCATTTATTTTAGGTAGCCATTATGCTTTATGGTGGTTTTTCAGAGTTGAGAAATGTAATAGTGTAGTGGAAAGAACTATGAAGAGGAGACCACAGTTATGTTTCTAGCTTTGCCACAAACCACCGTGTGACTTAACCTCTCTGGGTCTATTTTCTCATCTGTAAAATGGAAAGGCTGACTTTTTAGGACCACTTCAGCTCAAAGACAATGATTTTATGATATTGTGCAGGTGCTGGAAAGATGACTGTACACATGGTATTTCCTAAGCCTAGCTCTTAGGAGTTTGGACTCTGATGTAGTCAGGTACCTTAGAAGGGACTATCCCAACACTACTTTTTTTCTTTTGCTCTTGGTCCAGAGTTGAGAAAAAGAATCAAGCAGAGGGACAAAGGATACTTTCACTTCCTGATGCTGAAGTGGTAACACTTTTTATCATTCCCCAGAAACCTGATGGTTTGTTATGCACTTCCCCCTTCTGGAACATTGTTCTCCGTGCCATTGCCATCCTGAAATGAAAGAAAATATAAAGCCTCAGCAAGCAAGCATGGACCCTCACAGTCTAGTCCCATCCATTTTCCAGTCTCACAACTGCCTCTCATGTACTGAGCTGTTTATGTAAGGATACTGATTCTGGAGTCCTACTTTTCTACTACTTACAACTGAAGGGAAACTATGTGGAAGCAATGTGGCCTGGGTGAAGAAGCACAGAATTTGGGCTAGGCAATAAATTTGAGGACTGGCTCTGCTATTTGGAAGCTGGGAGGTCTTAGAGTTTTCATCTCCTCATCTCTGGATGGTTGTGAAGATAAATGAAATAATACATATGAATTCATGTTCATATGAGGCGCTATACATAGTTTAATTACTACAGT
Source organism: Homo sapiens (assembly GCF_000001405.40). Taxonomy (NCBI): domain Eukaryota; kingdom Metazoa; phylum Chordata; class Mammalia; order Primates; family Hominidae; genus Homo; species Homo sapiens. Next base: position 145,643,502 of record NC_000001.11, on the reverse strand, counting down.
TACCATTTAAAGACAAAATAAAACAGCTAACATACCTGGCTGGGTGTGGTGGCTCACTCCTGTAATCCCAGCACTTTGGGAGGCCGAGGCAGGTGGATCACCTGAGGTTGGGAGTTCAAGACCAGCATGGGCAACATGGTGAAACCCCATCTCTACTAAAAATACAAAAATTAGCTGGGCGTGGTGACCCATGTCTGTAATCCCAGCTACTTGGGAGGCTGAGGCAGGAGAATCGCTTGAACCTAGGAGGCAGAGGTTGCAGTGAGCTGAGATCACACCACTGCACGCCAGCCCAGGTGACAGAGTGAGACTCCATCTCAAAAACAAAACAAAAACAAACAAACAAAAAAAACCAGCTAACATACCTAACTAAAGGACCAAATACAGAGTTTGGAACGCAATACATGTTTTCTTCCTTCTTTTTCAAAGGCAGACAAAAGGAAAAAAAATAGCAAAATTGCATAAACCTGTCCCCTTCTAAAATATCAGTCTCTAAGTCCAATACCCTCACCTTCTGCAATCTGTCCTACAGGTGAATAAATCAACAGGAAACCTACCACTCCTGGTCCTCTCAGTCTGTGGAGGACCGACTAGTACAGTGGTAGCTGCTGGCATGTCCCAGCTCACCACAAAGGTATCAACAGGGTCCTAGTGAGGATCAAAATAAAATATCATTTGTACATAATTGATTTAAAGGGTTTAATGGGCCAAGGCCTACAGGCATAAAATGAACTAGGATGAGTCTAATAAAAATAGAGTAGCAGGACCAAAGAAAAATGTAACTCAAGGTGGATATTTTTGGGAGGCAAAAGATAAAAATGGTGAAGAGCAAGCAGCAGCATTGGTATTTATGCCTGGGACTAATACAAATAGTACCAATGGTACCAAAGATCAAATGATATTTCTATGGGTGAAATTTTTTGAGCCATTAGCTAAAATGATATTAACAAGAAAGAATGTCAGCCATGTTGACTTAACTGTTTCCTTTTGAAAATGACCTTTGCCTGGATACTGAGTGAATGAAACACAGCTCTTTTAGCTCTTTCTGCCTTTCTTCTAACTACACATCTACTATCACTCACCATTTTGGGAAGATGTAATAAACAACCAAGAAGAGGCTCAGACCTAGGGAGATTCTGACTTGTAAGATTAAGGCTTAGTAATTCTAGGTTTTTATATTTTCATAGTTGAAAAAGCTAGAACACATATACAAAGAAGGCAAGGGTTCTATTCCACTCATTTAATAGTTCATTTCAGCTTAACATGCAGGATTAAAAGAGGCAGTTGTGAGAGAGGAAGCACAGAGCTCATTTCTATTGTCCTTATTTTCAGTGTCTACAACAAACACTAATGACTGGCTGTGGAGTGGAATCGATTGAATATGTAAAGGTGATTGACACTGTGCTGTGGTCTCATAATAGGCAAAGAAGTGTAATCACTAGAAGTGAAAGTTAGAGGCACATAGACAAGCATGGCCTTGTTTTAAACAATTCACTTTTACTTTCAATTGTATCAAGAATCTATTAATTCTAAACCAATTTTGCTCTTATCAAATAAGTTGTAGATGAAAAAGAAATGATCATATATTTAAGAAGGTAACAATATTAAACCTTCCGAAGCGTGAATAGGAATGAAAAAACCACCCAACCATATGAGGTACTATAGAATTAGATCACCTTCATCTTCAACTTTTCTTTACTATCATCATCACTATTGCCTCTTTATAACAAGGGTAGCTTACAAGGAATTATCTATTTGTTATTAGCCCAATGTCATTTAAAAGTTCCTAATATGGAAAAACATATGCACTTGGCTGAGGTTTGGTAGTAGTGCACAACAGAAGAAGCTAAAAAATGTCTACTGAGGTTTAAATGTCAGTCAACTATTTTCTGGTCTCTGTTGTTTCTAGTAGGAAGTCAGCCATTACTTTTTTTTAGTTAAACTTTTTGAAATAATTGTAGATTCATAATGTAGTTTTGAGAAAAAATGCAGAGATTCCATGTACCCTTTACCCAGATTTCCTCAACTGAAATATCTTGCAAAACTCTAGTACAACCAGGATACTGACATTGATAGAGTCACAATACGGGACATTTCCATCACTACAAGGATCTTTCAGGGTGCACCTGTACAGCTTACCTCCCTCCCACCTCCAATTCCTTAATTCTGGCAACCACGAATCTGTTCTCCATTTCTGTAATTTTATCATTTCAAAAATGTATATATAACTAGAATCATACGGTATATATTCTTTGGGGATTCTTTTTCACTCAGCGTAATTTTCATAAACATTCAAGTACAGTTTTTTTGTGTGAATATAAATCTTCATTTCTCTGGATAAATGCCCAGGAGTGCAATTGTTGGGGTGTGGTAACGGCATGTTTAGCTTTTAAAGAAAGAGCTAAACTGTGTTCCAGAGGGACTGTACCATTCTACATGGATGCCAGCAACGTATGAGTGATCCAGTTGCTCTGCATTCTTATTAGTATTTGGTGTTGTCACTAATTTTTATTTTAGCTATTCTGATAGGTGTGTAGTGATTATCTCGATGTAGTTTTAATGGCATGTCCATAATGGCTAACAATGTTGAACACCTTTTCATGTGGTTATGTGCCATTTGCATATCCTCTACAATAAAATGTTCATCATTTTTGCTTATTTTCTAACTGCATTTTTTTTAAATGTAAGCTTTGAATGTTTTTTATTCTAGATACTAGTGCTTTCTCAAATAAGTGGCTTGCAAATATTTTCTCCCAGTGGGTAGCTTATCTTTTCATCCTCTTAACAGTATTTTTTTTTTTTTTTTTAAGTAAGGAGTCTTGCTCTGTCACCCAGGCTAGAGTACAGTGGCTCCATCTTGGCTCACTGCAACCTCTGCCTCCCAGGTTCAAGCCATTTTCCTGCCTCAGCCTCCCGAGTAGTTGGGATTACAGGTGCCCGCCACCACGCCTGGCTAATTATTGTATTTTTAGTAGAGACGGGGTTTCACCATCTTGGCCAGGCTGGTCATGAACTCCTGACCTTGTGATCCACCCACCCTGGCCTCCCAAAGTGCTGGGATTACAGGCGTGAGCCACCGCACCGGGCCTTAACAGTCTTTTACAGAGCGAAAGTGTTAAATTTTGATGGAGCCCAATTTATCCATTTTTTCCTTTCATGGATTTTATTTTTGGTATCAAGTAAAGAACTTTTTGTGTAGCCCTTGATTCCAAAGATTCTTTTTTTTTTTTCTGAAAGTTTTATAGTTTTACATTTTAGTCTATTATCTGTTTTAATTTTTTTTTTTGAGACGGAGTCTCGCTCTGTTGCCCAGGCTGGAGGGCAATGGCGGATCTCGGCTCACTGCAACCTCCACCTCCTGGGTTCAGCAATTCTCCTGCCTCAGCCTCTCCAGTAGCTGGGATTACAGGTGCCCGCCACCACACCGGGCTAATTTTTTGTATTTTTAGTAGAGACGGGGTTTCACCATGTTCGCCGGTCTAGTCTTGAACTCCTGACCTTAAGTGATCCGTCCGCCTTGGCTTCCCAAAGTGCTGGGATTACAGGCATGAGCCACCACGCCCGGCGTGTTTTAATTTTATATAAGGTGTAAGACTTAGATTTAGATTCATTTTTTAAACCTATGGACGCCTAATTGCTCTAGCACCATTTGGTGAAAGGTTATCTTTCCTCCACTGAACTGCTTTTGCATCTTTGTCAAAAATTAGCTGGGTGTATTTGTGTCAGTATTTCTTTTCTTTTCTTTTTTTTTTTTTTGAGACAGAGTTTTGCTCTGTCACCCAGGCTGGAGGGCAGGGGAGCAATCTCAGCTCACTGCAACCTCTGCCTCCTGGATTCAAACAATTCTTCTGTCTCAACCTCCCAAGTAGCTGGGACTACAGGCGCATGCCACCATGTCCAGCTAATTTTTGTATTTTTAGTAGAGACGGGGTTTCGCCATATTGGTCAGGATGGTCTCAAACTCCTGACCTCAGGTGATCTACCTGCCTCAGCCTCCCAAAGTGCTGGGATTACAGACGTGAGCCACTGTGCCTGGCCATGTGTCGGTATTTCTGGGTTCTCTTTTCTGTTCCAGTGATCTATGTCTACCAGTACCACAGTCTTGATTACTGTAGCTATATAATATGTTTAAAGATCAGGTAGAGGAATTCCTCTCATACTGTTCTTTTTAAAAATTGTATTAACTATTCTAGTTATTTTGCCTTTCTGTACAAATTTTAGAATAATTTTGTGTATATCTACAAATAAATCTTGCTGGGATTTTGAAATGAATAACATTAAATTTGTATACCAATTTGGGGAGAATTAACATCATTACTATTCAAGTCTTCCAATCTATTAACATGGTTTATTTATATCTTATTTGATTTTTTTCATTAGTTTTATAATTTTCAGCAAACAAGTCCTATATACATGTTTTGTTAGACTTCTATGTAAGTATTTCATTTTGTGAGTGATTGTAAGTAGTGTATTTAAACATTTGATGTTCATATGTCCGTTGCTAGCTTATAGAAAGACAATTGATTTAAAAAAATTGGATTTTCAAGATGGGGTCTTGTTACTTTGCTCTCAGGCTGCACTCAAACTCCTGGGCTCAAACAATCCTCTCGCTTTAGCCTCTTGAGTAGCTGGTCAAGCGCATTCACCACTGCTCCTGGCTACAACTGATTTTTGTATGTTCATTTGGTATTCTACAATGTTGTTGAATAACCATTACTTTTTTTTTCCCATTGTTGCCCTGTATGTATCATTTTCCCCTTGTTGCTTTCAAGATTTTCTCTTTACTTTTGCCTTTTAGCAGTTTCACTATATATACACATAGGTGTAGTTTTCTTATGTTTTGGGCTGGTATTTCTTTCAATGCTTTTTCTGCCCCTTTCCTTTTCTTTAGAACTCCAATCACAAGAATGTTGGACTGCTTGATATTGTCTCCTACTGAGACTTTTGTTGAGTTTTCTTCAATATTTTTTTAAAAAAATATTTACTATTTTTTTCTTCTTTTTGAGACAGAGTCTCGCTCTGTCACCTGGGGTGGGGTGCAGAGGCGTGACTGCAGCTCACTGCAACTTCCGCCTCCCAGGTTCAAGCCATTCTCCTGCCTCCATCTCCTGAGTAGCTGGGACTACAGGTTCCCACCACCACGCCCAGCTAATTTTTTTTGTATTTTTGGTAGAGACGGGGTTTCGCCATGTTGGCCAGGCCTCAAGTGATCCGCCTGCCTTGGCCTCCCAAAGTGCTGGGATTACCTGGCCATTTTTCTTCAATCTTTTATCTATTCTTCAGATTAAATAATTTCTATTACTCTATCTCAATTTTTATTTTTATTTTATGTTTTGAGACAGTCTCGCTCTGTCACCCAAGCTGGAGTGCAGTGGCATGATCTCAGCTCACTACAACCTTGCCTCCTGGGTTCAAGTGATTCTCCTACCTCAGCTTCCCAAGTAGCTGGCACTACAGGCACGTGAAAGCATGGCCAGCTAAGTTTTGTATTTTTGGTAGAGACAGGGTTTCACTATGTTGGCCAGGCTGGTCTCTAACTCCTGATCTCAGGTGTCCAACCACCTCGGCCTCCCAAAGTGCTGGGATTACAGGCGTGAGCCACCATGCCCAGCCTGAATTTTTATGGATCTGATTCTTCTGTCATCTCAATTCTCCTGTTAAGCCCACCTAGTAAAATTTTTATTTCTGTTACTGTAGTTTTCAGTCTTTGGATTTCTATTTTGTTGTTTTTTAAAAGTTTCCATTTCTTTGTTGGGATTCTCTCTTTTCACTTGTATCATGCTTTCCTTCACTTTTTTGAATATATTTGTAATGGTTACTTTCAAGTCTTTGTTAAATGTGTAATCTGGATCCACTTGGAGTTAGTATCTATTGGCTGCTTTTTATCTTGAACATTGGTCACATCGTCTTGTTTCTTTACATGTCTAGCAAGTTTTGGTTGAAGGTAATATGTTGTAGTGACTTTGGAATCTGTTTTGTTTTTCTGAGAATTGTTAATTTTTTTGGTACTAGTAAGCAGTTAATTTACTTAAACTGTGAAATCTGTCATACCTGCAGCAGCTAATGTTTCTGCTCAGTTTCTTGGTTTCTAGCTTCTCCTTTTTAGCCTAACTCCCTGATATTCTCTGCTGAGCTTGAGCTTGTGTAGGGTAGTGGTAGTCTGGACAAATTCTATAGTCATATTTTAGGGCTTATCCTCTCTGTGGATCTTTTGCTTCTAGGGATCTCTCCTAAATTTTCAACTGCTTTGCCAGTCCTGAGATCTACCCTCTGACACCTCAAGCCAGAAAAGCTTTCACTTTCTGTCATCCAAACTGTGTGTTCAACCTGCACATAGCTCAGAAAATGCACTCAATCAAAGGCACAGCAACCTTGCAAATCGCACCAAGAAGCAGTTCAGTATATCAAGCATAGACTCTCTTCCAGTTTCTGCCTATTTTTCTCAGGCTCTTTGGTGTTTACCGTGGAAATACATTATTTAATGATGACACAGAGATTTGGGAAGGGTTTATACTGAGATTTTGGATATTAGTCCTTCTGCATTTCCCTCATTTCCAAAATTTCCCCTTTAAATGTTCAGTTACTCAGCTGATTTAAACTCTTACCAATCTGTACACTTGAGTGGGTGCTGGCAGGGGGGGTGGTGGCTAAGGGGCACTTCCAGGCAAGAAAGCTATCAACTTGCAATAGTTACCTGATGCTCTTCTCAAATTTCTACCTGCCTCTGCTCATTTTCCAGTAACTTCAAATACTTGCTTTTAATATTTTTTCCAGTTTTTATGATTTTCTGTAGAAAGAATTGCTTAAATTCTTTCCACTGTCATTTCTGGAAGTTTCCTCTATTGAGAATGGCTGTGGGTATTGCTGAAATTTCACTAGTGAATATATTTCTTCCTCCTATCTCTACAAAATTTCAAAGAGGTCCTAGAAAACTAATTCAAGGTAGAGGTTAACATTTTTTCCTTCACTGTTCCAAACAGGAAGACGTATGCCTCTTTCCTCCTCCCATTTTAAACCATTAACTTTTTTGTACATAACAAATGTTACTTTTCTTGTATGTCATCTCACTATGGCCCTCTACTGTTAAGGTGAAAGATGGTTTTCTGGTCACTACTCCTCCCCAACTATGAATGTTTGCAAAAACAGTTTTTCTTTTTTATTAAAAAAATTTTATTTTGTAAAACCACTTGTAAACAACAAAAACAGTTTTTCTATATTGTGGTAAATGGCAAGGGCATTATATGAATCCCAAGGGCCCCAGTGTTGTCATGTTTGCTGTCTATCTGCTCTGTTAGTTCCACTGGGTAAAGGACTGTGGTAACGGGGTCACGTTGGGAGGCTGATTCTTCTGTGAGCCACTCAAATTAATAAAACTTACTGTCGGACCACAAACCATTCCTGATCCTGACCAGACAATGCATTATAGGGGAAATGGGCTATAGTATGTATAGATCAGAGTCAATTCCTTAGCACTATTAGTATGAAATGGCTTAAAAGTATGTATACACACTTGACAAGGGTCATGACTTCACTTTTTTTTTTTTTGAGACAGAGTCTCGTTCTGCCCCCAGGCTGGAGTGCAGTGGTGTAATCTCGGCTCACTGCAACCTCTGCCTCCCGGGTTCAAGCGATTTTCCTGCCTCAGCCTCCCAAGTAGCTGGGATTACAGGCATGCACCACTATGCCCAGATAATTTTTGTATTTTTACTAGAGATGGGGTTTTGCCATGTTGGCCAGGCTGGTCTTGAACTCATGACCTCAGCCTCTCAAAGCGTTAGGGTTACAGGCATGAGTACCCGGTCATGACTTCACTTTTATATATTCATTTCTTTATATGAATAAAAGAAATACAGTGAGAAAGAGAATAGCCTTGGGAATCAAAATAGTATTGTTTACATAAATCTTTCACTTTTGAATAATCTTGCTCTACTTTTTAAAATCTGCATTTATATACACTCATGTAAAATAAACAATAAATGTAAATAAAATAAATTATACACGTGTCTACCTTCAATAGCCTAGTAAAGACATGCAGAAATAGAGACAAATAATTAGTCAGTGAACCTGAGCCTTCATCATTCTTTTTTTTTCTTTTTTGAGACGGAGTCTCACTCCATCACCCAGGCTGGAGTGCAGTGGCGCGATCTGGGCTTACCGCAAGCTCCGCCTCCTGGGTTCACACCATTCTCCTGCCTCAGCCTCCCGAGTAGCTGGGACTACAGGCGCCCACCACCACGCCCGGCTACTTTTTTGTATCTTTAGTAGAGATGGGGTTTCACCGTATTAGCCAGGATGGTCTTGATCTCCTGACCTTGTGATCTGCCCGACTCGGCCTCCCAAAGTGCTGGGATTACAGGCGTGAGCCACTGCTCCTGGCCTTTATGTCTAATGTTATCTCTTACATTAAGGCTTCTTTAACTTGACTATGGGTCTTACTACAGAAAAGTGTTGAAGGAGGAAATATGAAATGTGAAAATACTCATGCAATTCAAAACCTGTTACCATTTACTTATGGGTAATAATAACTTTAATAAAGAGAGTAGACTAATAAGCTTCATGAAGGTAAGAAATGATTATCTTGTTCATCATTCTATCCCTAGCATCTAGTACAGTGCCTGGCGTAAACTAGGTTTTCTAAAATTATTAAGTGAATGAATCTATGAATGAATAAATGAAGGCAAAGCATGAAAAGCAAATGATTGTACTGTAGAGACTATTAATAATTTCAGTAGTTGTCCTTAGCTATATGTGGGTCATTGTTCTAAGGGCTCTAACTTGTTTTTCTAAGTCTTAACTCATTATTATTACCTCTATTTTACAAATGAGGCACAAAGACATAAAGTAACTAGTTCAAGGTCACACCATTAAGTTTTAGATCAAGGATTCAAATTCATACACAGTCTGATTTCAGAGCCTATGCTTTTATACACTGTGATATAGATTTCTATGAAATCCCACCTTGAAAATACACATTTTAAAAGTACTTTTTAAATAACAAAGATGATATAGAGGACTTAAATGATTTTAAGTAGTTGGAACGAAGGAAGTTGAGATCTAAGTCAGATATGTAAAAGATTGTAAAAAATTAAGGAAAATAGACTTAAAAAAATTCAGGACAATAAGGCTGGGCATGGTGGCTCACGCCTGTAATCCCAGCACTTTGGGAGGCCAAGGTGGGCAGATCACTTGAGGTCAGGAGTTTGAGACCAGCCTGGTCCAACATGGTGAAACCCCGTCTCTACCAAAAATACAAAAATAAGCTGGGTGTGGTGGTGCGCACCTATAATCCCAGATACTCGGGAGGCTGAGGCAGGAGAATTGCTTAAACCTGGGAGGTGGAGGCTGCAGTGAGCTGAAATCACGTCACTGCACTCCAGCCTGGGCAACAGAGTGAGACTCCGTCTTAAAAAAAAAAAAAAAACACAATAGACAATATTCCATTCTTTGAATACAAAAATTATACACCAGTCCATGAGCATGGGATATCTTTCCATTTATTTGTGTAGACTTCAATTTCTTCTATTAATGTTGTATAGTTTTCAGTGTCCAGGTCTTTCTTCCCCCTTGGTCAAATTTATCCCTAAGTATTTTTTCTTGTAGCTATTTTAAGTGGGATGGTTCTCTTGATTTCATTTTTGGAATGTTCATTGAACATTAGTATTGTTAAAACATCCATACTACCTAAAGCAATCTATAGATTTAATGTAATTCCTATCAAAATTCCAACGTCATTTTTCATAGAAATAGAAAAAATAATCCTAAAATACACATGGAACCACAAAAAACTGAATTGCCAAGGCAATCATGAATAAAAGAACAAAGCTGGAGGCATCATACTATCTTATTTCATATTATACTACAAAGCAATAGTAATTAAAACAGCATGATACAAGCATAAGCACAAACTCATTGACCAAGGGAACAGAATAAAGAACCCAGAAATAAACCCACACATGTATGGTCAATTGATTTTTGACAAGGGTGCCACATGTACACACTGCGAAAAGGACGGTCTTTTCACTAAACGGTGATGGGAAAACTGAATATCCATCTGCAGAAGAATGAATTTGGACCCTTCTCTCACTTAATATATAAAGATTAACTCAAAATGGACTAAAGACTTAAGCCTGGAAACTATAAAACTAGAAGAAAACAGGGAAAAACTACACAAATCATGCTCTGAGCAATAACTTTTTAGATTTAACCCCCAAAGTGCAGGCAATTAAAGCAAAAATAGACAAATGGGATTACATCAAAATAAAAAGCTTCTGCACAACAAAGAAAACAATTAACAGAGTGAAGAGACAACCTATGGACTGGGAGAAAATATCTGCAAGCCATATGTCTGATAAGGGGTTAGTATACAAAATACATAAGGACCTCAAACAATTCTACAGAAAGAAAACAAATAACCTGATTTTTAAATGGGCAAGGAACCTGAATAGACATTTCTCAAAAGAAGGCATACACATGACCAACAGATATATCAAACAATGTTTAACATACTAGCCATTAAGGAATTGCAAACTAAGACACAATGAGATATCACCTCATACCTGTCAGAATGACTACTATCAAAGGGGCAAAAGATAAAGAACATTGGTGTGGATGCTGAGAAAAGGAAACCCTATTACATTGTTGGTGGAAATATAAATTAGCACAACCCTATGGAAAATAGTGTGGAGGTTCCTAAAAAAACTGAAAATGGAATTGCCATATGATCCAGCAATCCCACTTCTTAGTATTTACCCAAAAGATCTGAAATCAGTAAAATGTCAAAGAGATATCTGTACACCTATGTTCACTGCAGTATTATTTACAATAGCCAAGTTATGGTATCAATCTATATGTGCAGCAACAGAAAAATGGATAAAAAAGATATGGCATACATGTACAACAGAATACTATTCAGCCTTAAGGAAGGAAATTCTTTCATTTGTGACAACTTGAATGTAACTGGAGAGCACTATGCTAGCAAAATGAGTTGGACACAGAAAGACAAATACTGCATGTTCTCACTTATATGTGGAATCTAAAACAGTGAACTCAACAGAAGCAGAGGGTAGAATGATGGTTACCAGAGGCTGGATGGGTGGGAGGAATGGAGAGATGATGGTCAAAGGGTACAAAGCTTCAGTTAGACAAGGAGGAATAAGGTTTTTTTTCTTTGCAACATACTGTACAGCATGATGAATATAATAAATAATAATGTATTGCACATTTCAAAATCACTGAGAGTAAATTTCAAATGTTTTCACCACAAAAAAATAAACATGTGAGGTGATAGATATGTTAATTAGCTTGATTTAATTATTCCACTTTGTATGCCACAAATACATACAACCATAATTTGTCAATTTACAATTTAAAAAATTAAACAAAAAAATTCTAATAATTTATCTAAGGAGAATGATCTAAATTCAAGAAATGAGATTGAATTTTCTTTCACACAAAACACTAAATCTTTTTAAAAAAATTTTTATATTTTTAATTTTATTGTTATTTTAAAGGGGTGGGGTCTCACTATGTTACCCAGGCTAGTCTCGAACTTCTGGGCTCAAATGATCCCCCCGTCGTGGCCTCCCAAAGTGCTGGGATCACAGGTGTGAGCCACTGTGTCCAGCCAACACTAAATCTGGTACTTTACCTTATAGTAAAAATGAATAAGATAAAATTCCCTGCCAGCACCAATTCACAGTCAAATTTTCTTGTTGAGAAATTGTAAGAGTCCAAATGTATTACAGTGTTGATATCTTACCTTTTCTTTTTGCTTATGATCATATCCATGGTTTGCAGCAGTCGCCGTTCCAGGGCTAGAATATCCGTGTCAGTCACATTCCTACAAAAAGCACAAACTGCTAGCAAAATGTTTTGGGGTCCCACTCTTGGGCATGATACAGGGTATCTGGAGACAAACATAGACTTCAACTGTTACCTACTACTTTTTTCTAGAAAATAGTAAAATGACCATAATAAACTAAAATGCCTTTGCTCTCATTTCTTATAGCTAATCCTCTGGGATCTCAGGGAAATGGAATTCACCCAGCTCTCTTACAGTTTTTCTTAGCTTTGATCCAGTTACATTTATATATATATATAAAATATATATTTAAATATTTTTATTTTATTTTTTATTATACTTTAAGTTCTCGGATACATGTGTAGAACATGCAGGTTTGTTACATAGGTATACACGTGCCATGATGGTTTGCTGCACCCATCAACCCGTCATTTATTTATGAAAGAGTCTAGCTCTGTCGCCGAGGCTGGAGTGCAGTGGCATGATCTCAGCTCAGTGACATTTAGGATGTATGTTTAAGCACACTTTTAACTTGGCATTGTCTTCTACTGTTCTGTTAATATCTAGGAGGGGAGCTGAACTGCTGAAGTTGGAGTTGGTTTATACTGCTGGTCACTAGAAATGTGCCTTTAAAAAAGTGGGAGGGGAGTGTCAGATTGAAATTTGCCATTTAAAAAATAAATGAATGTAGGACAAATAATAAAGGCAAGCCGTACAAGTGATAATACTTATTTAGAAAGATTTCCAGGTCAATGCCCACAGGGACAGAGGAAGAGAAGAATAAAAAGACAGTGTCATAGATCTAATATATAATCTTAAAGATGGTGGCATAATATGACATATGTATTCAAGAAGTAATGGGGCAAAAAAGAAAGGATGCAAAGCGCTCTGTTACCTGAGGAAGTAAGACATGTAAGTGTATGGGCAGTTGACAGCACCAAATCCAGAAAGAAGAGCCATGAGAGTCACTCCAATCACACCAACCCGGCTGATGAGCTGTTCTATGGATAAGATCCCTAAAAACATCAAGGCACATTAATGCCAGGTAATATAGACAAAATGGCTCTCATCTGTACTGCAAAAGGAAACATTATTTAAAACATTAACCATTACACATAACTAACTCATACAAGCCAACTTTTAATTATTAATGTGTAGATGATTTATAATAAATATACTAAAAGTTTACTGATTTTCCTCCTGTCCCATATGCTTCAGAGTGATCTCTTTTATTGGGTGATAGCAGTAAAATAATAACAACAATAATTATAAATAACAATCATTGACTGTTTACTCTTGGTAGCATGAATGCTAACAAAGCAAAGTACTTTTAGTAAAAGCATCGGCCAAAAAAAAAAAAACTAAGAAAGTAAATCTGCTGGAAAAGTATAAATAGCAGGAACTACTTTGTGCTAATTATCTTTGATATATATGTATTTCCCCTAAGGTGATACTCTTTTGCTTTTGTCTTATTCTTTTTTGCATCCAATAAACACAGAATTCATCTAATAAAAGGACTAAACTTATAGATGAATGAGTAATTCAAAGGCAAACACATCAGTTTCGGATTATAAATTGTATCCTAATTATCAATTGTTTCATATCACGTGAGAATGCTGAAAATCAACTTAGCAGTTAAAATAAATACTGCTGGTTGATGTATTTGGGATAAATGAGAGAAAGCAATGCTGAAGAATAACTCAGTAAGTTTGGCATTGCAGAAAAAGAATGGTTTTAACTGGTTTTCACTTTCTATTTCTAGGATAGAATTCACTACAGCCATCCACTCCTATGGTCAAATGCCAGAGCTATAATTCAGGAATTCTGTCAGCTTCAAAACTGAAAATTCCAATATTCCTTTTCTGACTACTGGCCTCCATTCCTAGTCTTTCTATTTCCACTACACTCGTTTTAGAGGTCAGTGCAACCTCTGGTCTTCTGCTTCTCCATTCTTCACCTAGCTTGGACTCCAGGCTTGCTGGCTTCAAATTCTCTCACCAGGAGCCTCAATCTCCTACTATCTTCCTTCTGAAGCGCTAATCCTACAAATTCCCAACTCTGGATCAGTCTAACACTCTGCCTTCCCTGTGCCCATGTTTTGCTGCCTCAAATTGCTAGAATGCGTACTGATTTTGGAGCCATTACAAATGTATGGTCTCCAGTCCTAAGAGAGCTCTCACACTATTGACTAATCCTTATCTTGCCCTTGGTCAGCCATCTCTCTCCATTGTCTTCGGCAGTTACTCTTTATTTTTCCTACCTTTGTCCTTCTCCTTTGCCAATGTCCTTATTATAAAAGACATAGCTATTAGCCATAAACTACCTTCACTCTACACTATGGTCATGAATTTTCTCCTGGTTGCAAAATTCAACATTTTCCAATCTTTGTTTTATGGGCTGTTTTATAACATTGAATATACATCTGCAATCATCCTCCCAACTTGTCTCCCTTAGAACAAAGTAGCATCCAAAGCTGACTTCTCCACTTGTGCTTCTGATCTTCTCTGGGCCCTGGGAACTGTCTCATCCTTATATGTGAGTTCTGGGATATTGCTAGTGATAATCTTGGTGCTATTTGTTTTTGGTTTTCTGCCAGGGGGGTAAGCAAAGCCAGCTTGCCCCTACGCCACCATCTTGGAACTAGCAGTCACCATACTTTTGATTGTATTCAATCCCTTCCACCTCTTTCAGAGTCTTGTTCCATCATCTGTCTCCTCTCTCTTGTATATTCAATATTTCCTTCTTTGCTAGTTCTTTCTCTTTAGTTTCAATTCTCTTTTCTAAGAGAAATTCTGTTCTTGGCTTCGAGTTTACGTCTAGTTACCAACCCCCATCTATTTCCTCCTTAATAGCCAGGCTTCTTAAAAGAAGTTTATAGTTATTGTCACCTTTTCTTCACCTCCAGTTCATTCCTTAACTGACTGCAATCCAGCTTTCTTCCCATTCTTCTTTATTGAATGAAATTACTTTCACTAGTAATTGTAATGGCAATAGGTAATATTCACCAAGCACCTGCTATGACTAGGCACTGTTCTAAGCATTTCACATGTTCTAATTCATTTAACCCTCATAACAATCCTATGAGGTAGATATTATTGAAAACCTAATTTTACAGATGAAGAAATGGAGGCACAGAGAGGTTAAGTAACTTAGTTAAGGCCACACAGATAAAAGGGGCAGAGTCAGGATTCAAGTGCAGTCTAGCTCCAGAGTCTGGGCTTTAACCACTACGACACTATGGTAATAAGTTTTCCCCTGGTTGCAAAATTCAACATTTTCCAATCCTTGTTTCATTGGCTCTTTTATGACATTGAATCATTTTTGTTTAAAATTATTTTATCTTCTTGGCTTCCACAACACCATTTCCCTAGGTTTTCCCTTTTACTTCTCTAATTGCTTTTTCTTGGTCACTTCTTGCTCTGTCTGGACCAGAGTTCTCACTTTCATTTCAGTATACACATTTTTTGCTTAGGTGATCTCACCAATTTCCCCAGCTTCACCTAATGGCATTTAGTTGATGATTTCTAGTTGTTTAGATTCCTGGAGTCATCTCTATGAGGACTGATACATGTACACCTTTTCCCTAAGCTCCTGATTTGTACATCCAATTGCTTATTTAACATCACCTGGATATGCATAAGTAACTCAAATTCAGCATATACCAAACTAAAATTATCTTTCCCCTCAACTTGTTCCTTCCTCTGCATTACCTGTCTTAGAAAATGACATAATCACCCTAACAATAAAATCTATACACTATACGATTACTTTCCATTCTATCTCTTGCCTTTCCTTGAATACACCAAGGTCTTTCTGCCTCAGGGCTTTACATGATGTCTCCTGTGCCTTCTTGCTGGGTCTTCCTTTGGTCTTGTCCTTTAAATCTCAGCTTAAATATCCCTGTCTCAGAAAGGGTGGATCTAACTGTTTGCACTACATTATCGGCATTTTTCTCTATCACAGCAACCTGTTCACTCCTTGATGACAATGATCACAATTGGCAATTATTTATTTATATATTTACCTCTTTATTGTCTAGTTCCACCCACAAGACTATCAATTTCAGGGGGGCAGAAACCAAGTTTGTTTCGTTTGTGGTTTATTTCCAGTGCTTAATTTATATAAAGTGGATGCTCAATAAATATTTGTGTAATGCTGAATGAACGAATAAATCCTCACCTAAATTCTGTTATTCTACTTGCCGTATACCTCTTGAATTTGCAACCCCTTTACAAGAAGACATCATTTCTTATTGATCTTTGTTTTCCTTACTGCTTGGCACATATGAGGTGTTCAACAAATGTTTGTTGACTATAATATCACTCAGTAACATAAAAAATCCAAGAGATTAATATGGGCTATTAAATTTGAAAAACTGAAAAAATTCCCCCTCTACCTTTATTCCTTTTAACATGGTGTCTTTGTCCTTTTATTACATATCTTTTTCTGGTTTAAAGTACTTTGTAGATACTATTTACTTAATCTCAGCATTTCTATGAAGTAGGAGTCAGTCATCATTATCCCCATTTAGCAGTTAATACATGGAAAGTCAGATGAATAAGGAGACTAGCAGAAGATCATCTCACCTTTGCCACCTGCTCACACAGATTCCTTACAGTCTTTTGTAATCTCTCTTACTCTTTCCCACTAAGGACATTCCAAGGTTGGTTCAGACACCGCACAAGAAGTACTTTTACAGATTATCTTTTTTTCATTTTACATAAGGATTGGTCTTATCTTTTTTTTTTTTTTTGTAGAGTCTCGCTCTGTCGCCCAGGCTGGAGGGGAGTGGCACGATCTCGGCTCACTGCAACCTCAGCCTCCTGGGTTTAAGCAATTCTTGTGTCTCCGGCCTCCGGGGAGTAGCTGGGATTACAGGCATGCACCACCATGCCTGGCTAATTTTTCTATTTTTAGTACAGATGGGGTTTTGCCATGTTGGCCAGGCTGGTCTCTAACTCCTGGCCTCAAGTGATATCCCTGCCTTGGCCTCCCAAAGTGCTGGGATTATAGGGGTGAGCCAACCTGCCCAGCCCATTTTTTTGTGGTCACCACAGCAATAAACAACCATACTGGTTGTTGGGACAGTCCTGGGAAAGCTCTAAGAAGGCAGTGTAAGGCTGGTTGCTTCTCAGCTACTACCTAAACTTTTCTTCCTCCTTACTTATCTTAAAGGGTTAAATAAATTAAGATACCTGAACATTCAGGCATAAAACTGTAATGCCTATTGGAGTACAATGGAAAGAATAAAACTGAAACTATCTCCCTAGCTTTCTCCCTCAGTGTCCTTTTCAGGGTAATCCCATAGAATTTAGAAAAAGGGGTGGATGAAAGGACAATAGATACAATGGCCTTCATCTTCCCTCTGGTGCGGCCTGGCTGCACTGGTCATGTGAGCTGAATGCACACAGGAGAAAGCTGGAGAAAGGTGTCAGAGTCGGGTCTTTGTAGTGCATGTGAGACTGTATTTGCCCTGTCAGCAGCCCTGGGGGCCTTTTCTAACTCTTCTCTCTGACTTCTACCGTCACAGATAAATGTGTCTGTCTGTGGGTTTCTTTGAAATAGGTTTATATGAGAACTATACTACCAGGACTCTTTAGTGCAAGTCGTTCCCTTTGTTGACCATTGACATAGGCATGCTGATCACATTAGCATTTCCTAAATTCCTATCCAGAGTGTTAAAGTAGTAAACTCATCTACCACTTTGGAGAGACTCAATTTTCTTCCATCCACTGATTCAAAGAACACGTATTAAACACTTGTTATGTGTCAGTTTCCACACTAGGCACTGGGGATACAAAGACAAATAACATGGAGTTTTCTGACCTCAGGGAGCCCATAGGTTGATGAGGAAGTTAGAAAAGGAAACATGAAATTTTAAGTTTTATAGATGATATAGATACCTTGAGATGGTAGCAATTAATATCTCCTAATGATGGCCAGGAAAATCTTCCTAAAGGAATTGACAAGAGTTGAATCTAGAAAGGATAAATAGGCATTTTCTAGGTAGACAGGGTTGGTGAAGGATTGTCCAGGCTGATAGAACAGCTCTAGAAACTTGAGGCTGGGTGTGGTGGCTCATACTTGTAATCCCAGCACTTTGGGAAGCTGAGGTGGGTTGATCCCCTGAGCTCAGGAGTTCGAGACCATCCTGAGCAACGTGGAGAAACCCCATCTCTATGAAAAAATACCAAAATTAGCCGGGTATGGTGGCATGCGCCCATAGTCCCCGTTACTCAGGAGGCTGAGGTAGGAGGATCACTTGAGCCTGGGAGTCGGAGGTTGCAGTGAGCCAAGATCATGCCACTGCACTCCAGCCTGGGTGAGAGTGAGACCTGTCTCAAAAAGAAAAAAAAAAAGAAACTTGAAATAATTTCACAGGACTGGAGAATGCAACATGTATAGAGAGCAGCAGCCAGGTCATGAAAGGTCTCATACGCCACCTAAGAGTTTGAATGCTTTTGGCAGGCTGGTGTTATGTTAAGTTTTCCGGCCTTTAACGTTATTTGAAATTTTGAAAGTTATTCTTATTTTAAAAATACACAACTATTTATGGTATTGCATATGCTTTTCAAAACTGCATATCTCCTCTGATCTTACTGCAGGAGAGTCTCATAACCTCTCTCCCGAAATTCCTGCTATAGGCAATCAGTATACATGGAAGGGTGTGTGGGAGGTATGGCAGATTCTATAATAGACACTGGCTCATTCAACATTAATTCCAATATCCTTTTCCAGCATTTGTTTTGGTACTACAGAGTTTAGAAAGCCAAAAGCCCCTTCTCAGACTTCCTTGAGGCCAAGGTTTTAAATATTACCTAGGTTTCACCAAAAAACCCGGCCCATGTGAGGCCTCAGATGCAGAAATGAACAATGTAGGGGTGGTGATAGCACTTAGGAGCTCAAACAGCTGGGACTGAGGTCCCTGATGTCATAGACCCTGAGTGGCAGGTGATAACTTCAGTGAGGTTTTCTAGTTTAGTATTGTGGCATAGTTGGGTATTTCTCTTCACTATATAGCAGTTAAGCTTTGCATCCCTACTTTCCTAGAAAGTCTATAAATTGCCTGATACTGTATAATTAATCACTTTCTGCTTTAAATTAGTTACAGTAGATTCTGTTTTCTGCAATAAGAAGCCTAGTAATAGGTACGGCAGGATGGTGAATAAAGAGGTATATATATATAGATTTTTTTAAAAAGGTTCCAGCATGAAACCTGTAGTATATTTATTACAGATGGGCTCTCTAATCTTTTTAGATAGATTCTCTAATCTTTTTAGATAGATTCATACATACTTCTGAAATAGTTCTGGAAGGACTTGTTAGCTGAGGTACTTTTGTTCATTGTTTTTAGCTTAAAAATTAGGGCTCTGCCAAATTTCTTGTTTTAAAATAAACTTTTTTTGTTAGAGGGGAGACACCGATTCTTGGAAAGCTTTTCTTTATCTACTAATTGTGGGTGTTTTATGTCACCTTTCCTCAAATACATATGCTTCCCTAATGTATCTTTATCATCACTTAAGCAGTGGCCGTTTACCTTTTGGGTCACAGACCCAAATCTGCTACCCAAATCTGATAAAAGTTTATTGATACCTTACCTCCAAATACACATACAAATATATTCCTGTAGTTCCATATACAATATGAGTTAGACACCGTTCTCTTTCCTTATACCCTTTAAGTATATTCAGTAAATGAAGGTCAAAAATTCCTACTCTAGAATGACAGAAGTGAGGTCCAAAACCAGCATTAGTTATCTCTTAGAATGAAGGAGAAAATGTGGTTCAAAATCAGACATTTTTCAGAGAAATAGCTTGCTATCCTCCTCAATCAGAAAAATTTTTTTCCAAATCCCAAGAACCTGTGAATTAATAAATTATTTCCCCAAATACATTTTTTCCCCAAGAAATTTAATTAATTGTTTTTGAAATCAGAAAATTAAACAAATCGTCTCCCCCCACTTCCTCTGCCCTCCTATATATACTCACCATGTTTTGGGCTGAGAATGGGAAAGGGATCTCCTAGTTTCCAGAAGAAATACATAAAGGTCAGCCATAAGAGACAGGAAAAAAGCAGTCGTTGTTTATGCACTGAGACAGAGGAGACAAAACTGTTAGGAAAAACAGATATAGGTTAAAGAGCTTGCTCTATTTAAAAATATAAGATAATGCTAACTAATATTTGGCTGCTAATTCACTTGGCAAATGACTGATGAACAGCATAATTTTTAGTGAAAGCATCCTTACCATCGTAAGAGAAATTTAGCTGAATTTAAGGTGTGGGATGAACTAAAGGAGACATTATTAATAGGTAGAAAAATAAAGCTGTGGCAGAACAAATAACCTAATCATTCATTCAATATTTATTTTGTGCCAATTCATTCAATATTTATTTTATATTTATTTTTAAGATGTTGTGTGTGAGGTATCCTCAAATAGCGGTAGATACTGAAAGTTAATGTAGAAATGAAGCTATCCACAATTTAAGTCCCCTCAAATACTCATCTCAATCTATATGCTGACTGAGAGGGTAAAATACTTACGTAGTCGGATATTGCTCACAATAAAATAGCCAATGTAAAAAGGCACCATGAAAACCAGGATCAGCAGAATTACACACAGGTTCATTTTCCAGTGAAAATAACGGGAGCTGAAATAAATGTCAAAGACTGTCACTGGGAGGAAGAGAGGGCAGCAACTTTCTTTCTCTTTAGTCTTCCAAAGGGTCCTTTTGCTCTTTGGACTCAATATTGAATATATCCTATCTAATCAGCCTACTAGGCTCTTAAAATCTACTCATTTGTAGAGATTAAAAAATACAAATTTTTGAAAGGTATATATGACCATCTTAACATCTTAAGAATTTCATATATTAAAATAAGAATGTTTATGTTTTTGATATATTCATAGGCAACATATACCATTAACATGTATCAACATATGCCATTGCTGGTAGAATGACTATTGTTTTACCCACCCCTAGGAATCTCATTCCAATGTAAGAATTAAAGGAAAATAAATGTTAACAGTAATATATGTTATACTCAAAAATATTTCTTTTGTACTCTTGATATAAACACCTGATTTGCATGAATTACTTTTATTAGTTTATAAGATGTACTTCATTTATTAAAACTTTTTGTTAGCACTTTTTATAACAGTTTTAATGAGATATAATTTACCCATTTAAAGTGTACAATTCAATGGTTTTTGTATACTCAAGAGTTGTGCAACCATCACCTAAATCAATTTTAGAACATTTTCATTACGCCATAAAGAAACCCTGTACCCATTAGCAGTCACTCCCTGTTTCTCCCCAATCTCCTCAGCTCTAGGAAACCACCAATATACTTTCTGTTTCTAGGAAACCACCAATATGTAATCTTTTGTGACTGGCTTCTTTTACTTACCATAATGTTTGCAAGGTTCATCCATGTTGTAGTATCTATCAATAATTCCTTTTATGGTTGAACAATATTCATCCCATTATATGGATATATTATATTTTGTTTCTGCATTCATTAATTGAGGACATTTGGGTTGTTTTTAGCTATTATAAATAGAGACGCTAGGAATGTGTGTGTATACATTCTGGTGTGGACGTATGTTTTCATTTCTCTTTAGGTAGAAATGGAGTGGAATTGTTGGGTCATATGATAAATCTATATTTAATCTTTTAGGCACTCCCACTGTTTCCCAATGTGGCTGCATCATTTTACATTTTCCTCAGGAGTGTATGAGAGTTCCAGTTTCTCCTCAGCCTCGCCAACACTTGTTATTTTCTGTTTTTTTTTTGGTTATAGCCATTTTAGTTGGTGTGAAGTGGTATCTCATTGTGGTTTTGATTTGCATTTCCTTGATGGCTAATGGTATTGGGCATCTATTCATATGTGCTTACTGGCCATTTGTATATCATCTCTGGAGAAATGCCTATTCAGATCCTTTATTCATTTTTTAATTGTATTATATGATTAAACTATAAGAATTCTTTATATATTCTAGATACGAGTCCCAGTCCATTATCAGATAGGTAATTTATAAAAATTTTCTCTTGTTTTTGGAATGTTGGTTCACTTTCTTGATGGTGTCCTTTGTATTTACTGATTTTAAACTTACTTAAGCCTTGTTTCAAAAAAGGCCTAAGTGGTTAAATGGCTTACAAAGATAAATAAAATACAGGATGATGAAATGAACTATAAGGAAATATGAACAACAATGGTAACAGGTAAAATATTGGGCCAAGCCTGATGGCTATTATAAAACAGAATTCTAGAAAGTTGCTATGGGTAGGTCATAAATTTAGCTTTAAGTTTTCTAATGGTCAATGTGAAATAAAAAATTTGATCAGTTAGATAAAATCATCATGTCTGTAAGAAAATAAAAATTAATTCCTCAAAGGAAGCATAATTATCATTTATTGTTACTGAATTATTAACAAGATTACAATGAAATTTCTTCAAAGATTTCATAAAGAAAATGCAAAGGCAATTAACAGTGTCATCAACAACATCCTTTCAAGAGAAATATGTTTCAGAGGGCTGTTTCTTATTGTTCCTTCCTTAGTACAGATGGCAGGCATCACGAAACAAAGAGCCATTCAGTAAAAGCTACCCTACAGGGAGTGAATACCATTTAGACTAGATACATTGACAGCTTTTTGCTCCTCTAGGTTAACAACTACTTTAGAACATTTAGAGAAAGAAACAAGCTGGACATCCTCCAGGCAATACTACATAGTATTTCAGCTAAGCTTCTGAAAGATTTTGGGAAGCAGTGGGTTTGAAATAACAAGTGCAACTTTAATTGGCAGTATGGACTGCCTATTAAAAGTGAACCACATGTTTTAACTAGTCTTTTGAGCTGAGAGTAAAGTGATATTCTCTTGAAAAAACTAAGCATCCCAACAAGATTACATATTTGAATAGGAAGTCATATGATCTCTGCTCAAAGGTGAGTCAAAGGAATATTCTGGCCAAGATTCTCTTTTCAAAACGATTCTGAGTCCAGTCAATGGACAGTTATACATCATCAAGGTTCATATTTGTGTTCCATAATTGGGTGAAACATTAGCATGAAAAAACAGGTATAACTGAAGATATGTCTCAGACCCAATCCTCTATATAGCACACAAAGAAAAACCAGATTTTAGCAATGCTACTTCTTATCCTCTTTAACTAATTAAGAAATTTAGGAAACATACACCATAGTATGACAGATGTTTCTTACTATACGGGTTATTAACTATAAGTTAAAAGTTGGGGGACATCATCTACCAAAAACAGTAAATATAGCTTTAGAATATCTGAATCCTCTGTATCAATATTTAGATGAGTAGCTGGCAAACTATGGCCTCACAGCCACCTGCTTTTACAAATTAAGTTTATTGGAGCATGGCCATGCTCGTTTGTTTATATATTGCCTATGACTGTTTTCTCTCTACAACAGCAGAGCTGAGTACTTGTGATAGAAACCTTCTGGTCCACAGAAACCTAAAATATTTATTATCTGGCCCTTTACAGAAGAAAGCCTGCCAACCCCTGCTTAAATAGCAGTGAAAGATGCAGGTTGTGATAATAAAATTTAATAACCATTATGTAAAATAATACCTGTCTATTCTCTATAGTCACAGGATCTATATCTAGCTCATCCAAGAAAAGGTTTGGATTATTTTTTATTTATTTATTTTTTTGAGATGGAGTCTTGCTCTGTCGCCCAGGCTGGAGTGCAGTGGCACAATCTCGGCTCACTGCAAGCTCTGCCTCCTGGGTTCAGGCCATTCTCCTGCCTCAGCCCCCCAAGTAGCTGGGACTACAGGCGCCCACCACCACGCCCAGCTAATTTTTTGTATTTTTAGTAGAGACGGGGTTTCACCATGTTAGCCAGGATGGTCTTGATCTCCTGACCTCGTGATCCGCCTGCCTTGGCCTCCCAAAGTGCTGGGATTACAGGCGTGAGCCACCGTGCCCGGCCAAGGTTTGGATTATTAAAGTTTAAAAGCAGGAGAATCAGAAAACACTTCTATTTTACCATAATACATGTTATTCATTGTTCTATCAAGAGACCATTATTATCAACTCTGATTCTCTCTCTCTCACTCTTTTTTTTAAGAGATGGGGTCTCATTGTCTTGTCCAGTGATCACAGCTCACTGCATATCCTCAAACTCCTGGGCTCAAGGGATCCTCCTGCTTCAGCCTCCAGGGTAGCTGGCACTACAGACGTGTACTACCACACTCTGCTAATTTTTTTTATTTTTTTGTAGAGACAGGGTCTCACTTTGTTGCCCAGGCTCGTCTTGAACCCCTGCACTTAAGTGATCCTCCTGCCTCAGCCTCCCAAAGTGCTAGGATTATAGGCGTGAGCCACTATGTCTGGCCCCTCTCTCTTCTTTTTTTTTTTTTAACCTTTCAATGTTTTGTGATTAACCATCTGTATAGTAAGTTTTTCTTTTTAATTTAAATTTCGTTTTCAACTCTGATTATCAAAGGATTTGAGAGTATAGTCTCTCTACAAGTCTCAAGTGCCAGGGGTCTATAATGAACTTACCTTGGCACTGAATCCTAACTTTAGAGTGAAAGACTGCTTTACTCCTAAAAGGTTTTTCCAGGTGGTGATAAAAAAGCACAACAAAGTCTGCATAGCATAGTTGATGAACCCTACATATAAATGCTGGCCTAAAAACATACTCAAGCTTGCAGATTAACAAGCAAGAAATATTTTGAATAGACTGTCTAATAAACTAACAAGTCTATTATTTGGAGGGGAGTAAAGAGTTATTTTTAAAAAGTGTTTTAAGAAACACTTTAAATTCAACCAAACTTGACCATGACTGTAAAATCAATAAAAATAACTAAGTTAAGTAAGAACTGGAGTTTCAGTCTTCAGAGAGATCATTAAAGTAGCTCTGAGGAATTCTAATCTTTTCAGGTAGAGATTTTCAATCAGCAGAACAATGTGAAGGGCTGTTACTGGGATTCAGTCAGCGAGCAGTCCTGGAAAAATAAAGCTTCTAGGAGTGAAGCCTAGACTGCAGCTTCACAGCCTCACTCCAATGAGTTCTTCAGAGTTAACGGTCAGATCTTTTGTTTCCTGGTATCTCATAATCTTTATCAAACCAGCTATTAGGTGGCTGTGACCCATATCTGTTGTGATCATTGCAGTTACTGAAACTGAACTATTAACACAGTGTTTTTTTTTTCAGTTATGAGATCCAATAGCTTTTCCACTGTAAAGAATGTAGCACAGAACTCTTCAAGAGGAGTTTTCAGTACTCTTACTCACCTGCTATTCAATACTCCTAAGATTTCAAAGATGATGAGCTCAAACATGGTGCAAGAAAATGCAAACGTCACGGAGAAGATCACCTGTACAACATACTGACGTATCTGTTAAAAGCCAAACAGAGACTAGAAGTTATTTCCTTGTTTAAAAACTGAACTGATAACCTCCTTCTGGTTACAAGTCAGAAAACTTATTTTGAGGAAATTCTCAAGTCATTGGAAGTAGGGCCACAACAGCAACTTGCCTGGAGCTAAAGAAAAAGATCAATATAGGTGGCACTTCTGAATCTTGAGTCACTATTACCAGCATCCTCCTGTGGATGAAGAATTTTGAGGACAAGAAGATGAAGTGACAGGGTCATAGGTAGCACTTAGAATTCCTGATGCATACTGACAAAAAACTGACAGATTCGTACATAATGGTTAATGTTTAAAGGGGTTCTTCAACACTCTGCAGATCCTGGATCAGTTCTGGAACCTTCCTCGGGAGGTCTTAAAGTATTGGGCAGAAGAAAATCTCCAGAATCCCAGGCTCTTTCAGACAATAAACTCCCTGGGAAAGTTTAATGGAGAATATCCTAGAAATGACCCAAATGTAGACTATAACCACTGATCTTATTACTAATTAGGAGAACTAACTAGGAAATGTCGAGTCTAGGGTGGTGATCTTCTGAATCCAAAGCTTAAGATAAAAACAACACCAGCCTTGTGTTGCGGGAAGTCAGGGACCCCGAATGGAGGGACTGGCTGAAGCCGCAGCAGAAGAACATAAATTGTTTCATGGACATTTATTAGTTCCCAAAATTAATACTTTTATAATTTCTTACACCTGTCTTTACTGCAATCTCTGAACATAAATTGTGAAGATTTCATGGACATTTATTAGTTCCCCAAATTAATACTTTTTAAATTTCTTATGACTGTCTTACTTTAATCTCTTAATCCCGTCATCTTTGTAAACTGAGGATGTATGTCACCTCAGTACCCTGTGATGATTGCGTTAACTGTACAAATTGTTTGAAAAACATGTGTGTTTGAACAATATGAAATTAGTGCACCCTGAAAAAGAACAGAATAACAGCAATTTTCAGGGAACACGGAAAGATAACCATAAGGTCTGACTGCTTGCGGGGTTGGGCAGAATAGAGTCATACTCTTCTTCTTGCAGAAAGCGAGTAGGAGAAATACTGCTGAATTCTTTTTCCAGCAAGGAATAACCCTGGGGAAGGAATGCATTCTGGGAGAGAGGTCTATGAATGGCCGCTCTGGGAGTGTCTGTCTTATGCGGTTGAGATAGGACTAAAATACACCCTGGTCTCCTACAGTGCCCTCAGACTTACTAGGATTGGGAAATTCCAGCCTGGTAAATTCTAGTCAGACTGGTTGTCTGCTCTTGAACCCTATTTCCTGTTAAAATGTTTATAAAGACAATGTGTGCACAGTGGGACACAGACCCTCATCAGTAATTCTAATTTTTGCCTCTGCTTTGTGATTTTACTGCCCTTTGCAGCATGTGATCTCTGTGACCCACTCCCTATTCGTACACTCCCTCCCCTTTTGAAATCCCTAATAAAAACTTGCTGGTTTTGTGGCTCGGAGTCACCATCACGGTCCTACCAATATGTGATGGCACTCCTGGAGGCCCAGCTGTAAAATTTCTCTCTTTGTACTCTTTCTCTTTATTTCTCAGACCGGCCGACACTTAAGGAAAACAGAAAGAACCTATGTTGAAATATTGGGGACTGGTTCCCCTGATAGCCTTGGGATTTTGGTATTAACTTATAATATAAGGTTTGCAATTCAGGGCCAGATAGACAAATGAAAGGGAACATTTGTGAGACATTATGAATTAAATTCTCTCCTACAGAATAACTATTTGCTATTGGTACATATCCTGATATGACTAAGACATAATCCTTGCTCCTAACTTCTGGGCTATATTTGATTTGCCTTTTTTCCCCCCTTTTAAATCAATTAAGTCTACTTATATTCTGCAATCTAATAGTTATATAGTACTTATTTGGTAAAAGCTTCCTATCTTGGAAATGAACATAATGTTTCTTTAATGGAGACATTTTTCTTGTCAATCTAAATCATATAGTGTAAGTATGACAAAATGATTTCTTCTCACCTCATAGTCTTTAAACAATTGGCGCATGAAGAAAAGCCACCCAAATCCAAAAAATAGTATCTGGAGGAGAAAGAAAATAGAATGTCAATACATATTTTCTTTTGAGAAATGTTTTATAGAAACTCTTTTATGATAAAAGGTCTGCTAACTAGACGGTTAACTTATTTCA
Organism: Homo sapiens; assembly: GCF_000001405.40. Taxonomy (NCBI): domain Eukaryota; kingdom Metazoa; phylum Chordata; class Mammalia; order Primates; family Hominidae; genus Homo; species Homo sapiens. The sequence continues at coordinate 145,616,124 of NC_000001.11, read as the reverse complement.
GGGATTAAAGATAAGATCCACTCTTATAAGACCTATTATTAAAGCTCATGACATTGGAAATAAATTTTTAAATGCCCTTGGAGTTTTGAAGTTATCCATGTTACAGAGTATGCTTTAAGACAAAAATGGAAGTACATATTTTGCCATAATCTTATGATAATCATTATATGAGCCAGAGAAGTTTGCAAATAGAAAAGGAGTCAGTGGCCAGGCACGGTGCCTCACACTTGTAATCCCAGCACTTTGGGAGGACAAGGTGGGCAGATCACCTGAAGCCAGGAGTTCAAGACCAGTCTGGCCAACATGGCAAAGCTCCGTCTCTACTGAAAATACAAAAATTAGCTGGGTGTGGGCACCTGTATTCCCAGCTACTCCAAAGGCTGAGGCATGAGAATCGCTTGAATCTGGGAGGCAGAGGTTGCAGAGAGCCAATATCGTGCCACTGCATTCCAGCCTGGGTGATAGAGTGAGACTAGGTCTCGAAAAAAAAGAAAAGGTGTCAGAGTGAGACTTGCTTCTTATGGATGATCCCTGATTGCAAGTATTTAAAAATAATACCAGCCTGGCCAACATGGTGAAAACCCGTCTCTACAAAAAACACACACACATAAAAATTAGCTGGGGGTGGTGGGGTGTGCCTGTAGTCCCAGCCACCTGGGAGGCTGAGGTGGGAAGATCACCTGAGCCTAGGAAGTTGAGGCTGCAGTGAGCCATGATTGCACCACTGCGCTCCAGCCTGGGCAACAGAGTGAGACCCTGTCTCAAAAAATAAATAAAAATAAATTAATTTAAAAAATAAAAACTTCAGGGGAGAGGAGTTGAGACCAAAATTAGAGGAGTAGTAGAAAGCCTAATATTTTTTATATCTGTTTCCTTCAGAGAGTTTTCTTAGCTTCTCCACCATCCTGCCTAATCTACATAAAAGTGGTTTTCATCTCAATGTAAAGCCGAGAGATTGCAGGATCCCTCTTTCGTCAGTTTTGTTTCAAACTGGCAGAGACCGTAGCCACATGACAGCTGATAAAGCTGGTCTGTAGTAAACAGAACTTTCTATACATACACACTGACACAACTACTCTTTTCTTCTTAAACTGGCTAGGACCTTTATGAATAAAATGATTTTATGTCTTTCTAGGGACTACTTTACTGAGCAAGTGTAAACTCAGTAGTTTAGCACAGACTACTTTAGCTTCTTATCATGCCCCTGCTGCCTAGCAAACTCATGTGTTCAGCCCCCTGGAACTTCTTTGGTTCTTTAGATCCATATTCTTTCACATCGAGACCTGTGTAGATGTCCTCTGAAAGGAACTTCTCTCTAGCCCTCTCCCAGTTATGCTATTTACTCCCCCTGGAAGGCCCTCTCTGCCCTCCCAAATGCAGATAAATTGCTTTTTATATAATCCTGTTTTACATTGTACTTCCCTCATCAAAGTGCTTACCATACAGTTTTGTAATGTGTGATTTAAATATTTTTTGACATTAGATTATAAGCTCTATGAGGACAAAAACCATGTTTGTCTTGTAATCTTTGTATCCTTGGCATCCAGCACAAAGCCTGGTACGTAGCAGGCTCTCCATAAGTGCTTGCTGAATGGCTAAGTGGTCTACATAAAAGATGGTTTATTCTTCAGCATTCAATCTTAAATTTTCTGTAATAACTCCTACGTGCTATGCTAAGTGCTGAGGATACAAAGATGAATAGGATGGTTACTACCCTCTAGGAGCTCACAATATAGTGAAGACAGTACATAAATAATTATAACATAATATGGATGTGCAATGATAGAAATACATACATGATATTGTAAAACAATATGAAAGAGGGAGACCAAACCAATCTGTAAGGGGTTAGGACAGATTTTCTGGAGAAGATAATGCCCGAGCCGAAGGAAGTTTTAATTTGGGGTTAAAACCTGATATTGTATGCACATTTTGGGGTTATGTGCATTTTTCTAGAGTGGTTTCAAGGTATTCATCACACAGTCAAAGGTTTCCACCACCCCTAACATAAAAACCATCCTCTCAAAGGATGAATAAGAATCAAGTAGGGAGGCTGGACATGGTGGCTCACGTCTGTAATCCCAGCACTTTGGGTAGATCGCTTGAGCCCAGGAGTTCGAGACCAGCTTGGGCAACGTGGTGAAACCCCATCTCTACAAAAAATACAAAAATTAGCTAGGTATGGTGGTGCGTGCCTGTAGTTCCAGCTTATGGGGAGGCTGAAGTGGAAGGGCCACTTGAGCCTGGCAGGTAGACGTTATAGTGAGCTGTGAGCATGTCACTGCATTCCAGCCTGGGTGACAGAGCGAAACCCTGTCTCAAAACAAAACAAACAAACAAAAAACGAATCAGGTAGGGTAAAAACAGGTGGTAGGGGTAGGAGGACAGGGCTTTCCAGATAGCAAAGGGCATGAGTAAAGGCGCAGAGTGAATAGCATGGTATATGCCGGGAACTACACATGGTTTGGTGCTGCTAGAAGATGAAATTCAAAGAAGGAAGAGGTTAAAAATGAGGCTAGACAGGAGGAGTGGATGTCCAATCACTGAGAGCTTTGAAGGCCACCCTAAGGAGCTTAGATTATAGTCTGTAGGTGATGAGGGTTATTTAAGCAGGGAAATGGCATGGTCTGATTTGTTTTATATTATATAGAGCGGTATGGTGGCTGTATGGAAGACACACTTGAAGGAAACAACAGTGTAGAAAGAGAAACATTATAGAAATGTGTTATGGGAATTCAGATGAAAGATGATAAAGCCCTGAATTAAGACATTTGGTGACAGAAGAGGAGAAAACAGATTTGAGAACTATTTAGAAGGTAAAATCAACAGGGAGAAGTCAAGGATGACTAGTTTGGAATACAGGATGAAGAGTGAAGCTACCCAATTTATATAAAGAATACTGGAGAAAGAAGAGGTTTAGGAAAGGGGGCAGAGGATGGGGAAAATGATGAGCTCATTTTTGAACACACTAAGGGCCTGAGGGACAGCCAGCAAGATGGATCAAGATATCCAGCAAGTATCTGGAATAAAAGACAGATTGTGAAGGCAGGTCTAAGATATACCTATGAGTTGAAACCACCAAAGTACATGAGATCACCTGGGAATAGTATCTAGAGTAAGGAGAGCAATGTGCCAAGAAGAAAACACTAGAGGATAAGGAAAACAATTTTGAATAGTGAGGTAGAGGCAGGAACCAGAGTGTAGCAGGTCAGAATGAATGGGAGCTAAAGCAGTGGGGACAGTAAATGCAAATTACTCTAGGGAGAGCCAGGAATGAGAAAAAAAGAAAACATTAGATAATAGGCTAGAGAAGAATGTGGAATAAAGGGAAAGTTTATTGGCCAAGGGGAAAGAAAGCAGTCAAGTAAGGAGAAAAAGATGAGAAGGATGGTGGAATACTAGAGGATAAACTGATAATACTATTATTAATATGATTAGGTAACTTTTATTGAGCATTTACTATACTACAGGCTCTCTAAGTAGTACTTAGCATTATAATCTTATAAAAATAATTAAAAACTCAGTACAGTGGTTTGATTATCCTATTTTCACGGAGAAAGATGAGGTTTAGAGAAGTTAATCAATTTATAGTAAGTGTCAGAATCAAGATTGAACTCAAGCTTGTTTGACTCCAAAATCTGTGCTTTTTTTTAAATATTATTTTTTCAGCTCTTATTGAGTCTGTCTGTTTAGAAAATCTGTGCTTTTAACCACTTCAAAATACGCTACTCTAAGATCAAAGGTAGGTAGAATGGCTTTAAACCGGAGTAGGGGAACCCCGTTTTCTGAAATGGGAGGAAAGGAGGTAAGAATGGTTGTGAACACAGATAACCTTTTAGATTAAAATGCAGAAAGTATTCATAGTAGGAGATCATACCTTTTGGCTTCACTTTTGTTGAGTAAGTACGAGGCAAGGTTATCTGCTAAGAGTAAGAGAGGTGAGTTAGAAAAAGGAGCTTTGAGGAGAGTGACAAAGATTCGGAGAAACTTTGAGGGGAATGAAACAAGTAGCTGATTAAGGTCAAGAAAAGGAATAATTCAGTGAGCTGAGGGTTAAACTCCTGGCGTTGGCAAACTACACAGCTATGTGATTTTCTATAGTAGCCTTCAGGCCTCTGTATTAGTAGTAAACAAACTATAGCAGTGATCCAAGTGTGGACTTATATATACATGAAGGTAAACGAACAAGAGGGTGTAAGAAAGTAAGTTGGATCCAAGCATCTAGATCAAGCAGAAAAGGAAAGGGTCAAACAGATTAGGAGAAAATGTCCAGGATATCCTTTGGCTATTATAAATATTTACCGGTGGAGACAGATGTAAATTCAGAGTTTAGAGACCATATTTATATGACTTATGAAGCCACGACTGAAGACAGAGAAGTTGGGCAGTTAGGACTGAGGGTGGTATGTATAGTGGAAATGGATGATTAAAAAAAAAATCACCAAGATTGCTATGAAATGGAAGAGAAAACAAGCAAAAATTTTAAGTTTATATGGTGGGGAGGGGAATGGAAGAAAAGAGAAACAGATATATACCTTTAATATTTCATTGTGGCCTCCTTTCACATTGAAAAAGAAAAGCTTAAAAAGACTTTCAGAACAAAATTATGTCCTTTGCAGCAACATAGATGCAGCTAGAGGCCATCATCCTAAGCAAATTAATGCAAGAACAGAAAACCAAATACCACATGTTCTCACTTCTAAGTGGGAGCTAAATATTGGGTACTCACCAACATAAAGATGGCAAAAACAGAAACTGGAGACTACTTGGGGGCAGGGGAGGGGAGAAGGGGGAAGGGTTGAAAAACTAATTATTGAGTACTATGCTCAGTACCTGGGTGACCGGATCATTTGTACCCCAAACCTGAGCTCCCACAATATACCCGGCACAAGTACCAAATCTAAAATAAAATAAAAGTTGAAAAAAAAAAAAAGACTTAAACTACACACACACACACACACACAAGTAGCTGGAGAATTCATTTACATCCAAGTAAACACAAATTCTGGCAAGATTATAGAGGATCCAAAAAGAAAGCAGAAGCAAAATGCAATTTCAAATAGCTTTGCAAATAAAATGGAAGGCGTATAGCTTCTTATTAAAAATGAGACTTGATACTTTCAGAATTGTACAGAGTCTTGACCTTAGGACTTAAGAGTGTACTCTGGAACTGATAAGTCTTATGACGGTATAGAGGGCTCAAAACATGAGTTAGTTAACAGTTGCTTTTAAAAAAGTGACTTCTGGGTTGAAAATTAGCTACTGTTAAAAAAAAAAGATGGCCATCAGCAGGACAGTTATTAAAGAATTAACTATAAAAGACACCTTTCTTGGATCATTTATTCACCCTTTTAATCATTTAACAAATATTTATTAGTGCCTAATATGTGCCAGGTCCAAGGGATAGAATGGCAAATGAGAGCATGAATGCTACTCTCAAGGAGTTTATAATCTATGGAGGAGATAAACAAGTAATTACCAAACAATGTGGTAGTGTTGTTACAGGGGAAGTAGGTGAAGGGTACTATGGCAGTAGGTATAGGGACATCTAGTCCAGTCTAGGGGAAGCTTCTTGGATGTTCAACTTGAGATCTGAAGGCTTAAAGAAGGGGAGGGATATGAGGAAAAGGCCCAGAAAGAGAAAACACACTGTGTGGAAATCTGGAGGCACCATAGCATCGCCAGGTTAGGGAACTAAAAGAAGTTCAGGAAGTCTAAAGAATAAATTGGAGCCACAGCTGAAGAGAGAAGAGCCAGGGTCCCATCAATAAGGGACCTGAAAAGCCATGTAAAGGAGTTTGAACTTCATCCTGTGCCGTGGTGAGCAAGATTGAATACGTGACCTCTGATTTCAGATTTCATTTCAAATAAACCTTTCAGTTAATACAAAACAGAAAAAATGAGCAGGGAGGGGCGCAGGGGGCAATGGTGGTGTTTCCAAGGTAACCACACCTCTCTAGAGAGGTGCTTTTTATTAAACAAATATTCACTACAACTCTACTATGTGCCCGCAACTGATCTAGATGCTGGTGAATACAGGAGAGAACAAGACAGACAGTATCTTGGACCTCATGGACAGATAACAAACACATGAATATACAAATGAACCATAGTAATAAATGCCAAGAAGAAAATAAAACATGGAAATGAGGAAGAAGGCAGCCGAAATGGAAAGCTACTTTGGTTGTGGGCAGGGTGTCAGGTAAGACCTTCCTAAAGCGACATTTTTATTAATACCGAAAGGATGATAAAGTAGCCACATAAATATCTGAACAGAGAACATTCCATGCAAAGGAATCTTTGGGTCTTTCTTCCACATTTGTAAAAACCAGGTTTAACAATTAATTACTGCATGTGGATGCATGTGTGAAGTGAAAGTCTATGATTATAAGGCATACAAAATTAGAAAGCCACTTCCTCGGTTCAACGTATCAATTATATCCATGCTAAAAATCGTAGAGGCTGCAATGCAAAGCCAATTTTCTACTGACATTCTTATCTTTATTCTAAATGAAAAGAAAAGCTAATTAAATATTGTTATTTTTCTTAAATTGGTACTAAGGCTAAAAATAACCCTGAGTTGTCACCAAGGGCACTGGGTAGTCTTAGAAAGGTTTTAAGCAGAAGAGTTACATGTCTAGGTTTTTTTACATTAATACATTTGAATATTATGCAGCCAATAAAAACAATACTTATGAAAACTATAGAAAAGGTGGTAAATTTTAAAAATGAAAAAACTATTGCATTAGAGTGGTAGGATTATGGATGGCTTTTCCTTCTTTCTTATTTTCTTAAATATTGTAAACAAGTTTTTGAAGAGAAAAGGACAATGCTCCGCTCTACGGAGACGAGTATTAGGATGAAGCAATACAAAAACGGAATCAAAGAACACAAATTTAGTTCACTTTAAGCCCCCAAAGGTAACTGCTTCTGTTATTTGCCGTTTGAGAGAAAGAACAAGTAAAAACAACCACACACACACAAAATCTTTATTGGAAAGATGGGGGGAAGAAGGTCAACAGGCAGTCTGAGCTTCACAAATATTGGCCAACAATTATTTATTGAATGCCTGCACTTGGAAGTGGGGATACAGCTATGAACAAGGCAGGATCTCAAAAAACAAAATCAGAAACACAGACATAAATGATGCCAGTGCTATGATGAATGCTAGGAAGAAACAATAATTAACAATAGATTACATGGTAAAAGCAAGAGGCTAACTAGACGAAACTTCTATTGAGCAGAGACAGTGTCTTACATGTTTTTACGCTCAGAGCTTTATATAATGGTCGATAAATGTTTGTTGACTGTACAAACAAATGAAGGTGGCCAATGGAGAAGAAATGAGGGTCAGAAAAACATCCGGAAAAGGTGGGTAACTAAGCAGAGGATAAAGGACGAGGTGTCAGTGCAAAAACGAAACCTTATACTTTCAAGCACAGGTATTACCTTATACTGATACTTTGAAGCAGCAAATTTCTCCACACCCGGATTCAGGATTTGACATCTAACAGCAAAGCCTGCACTGACGTGTCCTCAGTATCCAGTATTGGCGCGTCGCACACCGCGCGCCCAGAACCACACAGGCTTCCCCAGTCCAGGATCAGTTGGCGCAGCCCGGAAGCTTCGAGGAGCTCCTAGAACCGCCGCCTTAGCTGGCGGCGCCGGCTCTTAGCCTGGAGGTCGGCGGACCGCTTCCAAAAGTGGACCGAAATTCCGGGGATGGATGCCGGGTGGGGACGCGGACGGCCGCAGGCCAGTCTCCTGACAGCCGGGGCTGAGGGAACCGGCCGCAGCAAATCGCACACCCTCTCTGGGTGCCAGAGTGACTAGCGCAGGACGCGTAAGAGAGGAGCGAGACCCCGGACCAGCCCGCACCGCGGAGGACCGGAGAGGGCGATTCGGTAAAGGGAGGCGGACGGGTGTCGGGGCGGGAGGCGGTGACTCACCTGGGAGGTAATCATGATGCTGGAGTCGATGAGGAAACTCATGGCGAAGTGTAAGGAAGGCTCCTGCCTCCACTTCCCACTCCCCGAGGCCACAGCACGCTGGGGCCACAGGCCCCCTCACACGGTCTGCCTTCTCCCAGGTGCTGCAGCCGGGACTGCGGCTCTCCAGCCCGACGCCATCAAGCTGCGCCCCAGTCAGCCAATCAGCGTCTACATCCACAGCCCCGCCTCGGGCTCGGGGTGGGTGGGGCGGACGCTAGGCTCCCGCCGCGGAGGCCCCAGGGGCGGGGCTTATTAGGGGCGGTGCTAAAAGCAGCAATGCAAGGTAGCGTTAACGTTTCTGAGGCTGAAGGAGGTAGGGCCTGAGAGCTAAGTGGTAATTCTGTTTTGTAATGATCCTAAGATAATAATGGTAATTATAGTAAGTCGGGCATTGTGTCCTAAATGTTATAACTTTTACTTGACTCGGCAAATATGACTGTACAAAGTGAGGGAAGACTGGAAAGTCAGATGAGATATGAACAAATATAACTAACCAAATACATTTCTGTGACAACAATGAAAAGCACACTGTCTGTAGCAATTTAGTGATAATATTGTACTGCATATCAGTCAGGCCACAGGTGGAGTACTGCACTCCATGTACCACACTTTGAAGAGATTTTACAGGCCGGGCCGGCTCACGCCTGTAATCCCAGCACCTGGGGAGACCAAGGCGGGCGGATCACCTGAGGTCGCAAGTTCAAAACCAGCCTGACAAGCATGGAGAAACCCTGTCTCTACTAAAAATACAAAATTAGCCGGGCGTGGTGGTGCATGCCTGTAATCCCAACTACTAGGGAGGCTGAGGCAGGAGAATCGCTTGAACCCGGGAGGGGAGGTTGCGGTGAGCCGAGATCGCGCCATTGCACTCCAGCCTGGGCAACAAGAGCGAAACTCCATCTCAAAAAAAAAAAAAAAGAAAAGAAAAAAGAAGAGAGAGATTCTACAGAGACATATTGGAGCTCGCTCAAATGTGAGCCACCAGATAAGGGCTGCTGGAAGGAGGCGAAGAAAGATGACTCAGAACATGACATCTGTCTTCATGTGAAAGAATGGGTAGAACTGATGTGGCGCTACGAATTATCTGTAGGGCAAAGGACTGGAAGTTAAATGAAGATAGATTTTAATTCAAAACAAGGATCAGTTCTTTAAGAGTCTGAAGAAGGGTTATTTTAGGAAGTAGCTGCCTCTGCCCCCTTCCCACCTATTGCAGTGGATCAAATATACACTGAATCACTACCTCATTCATTCAACACTCATTTCATGAAGGCTTAACGCATTGCTGTGGGGCTTACTCTGCCGCCGACCTGGGGCCTAGCTAGGCTTTGTAGTCTATATAGTCTCATAGTCCTGCAAACTGGCTCCAGCCCAGGAAATCACCCTGTGTAGGAGTGGCTGCAGTCAAGACGCAGGAAGACAATCCTGAGGGGACCTGACATCCAGCATCTGAGTTCAGACTACTATAGTTTGAATAAGTGATCTGCAGATTCATTATACACAAGGGAACATGTCTTCCTTTTGTTGGATTGAACTCTGTGATACCAAGCAGTCAAAACTACCTGTCAGATGTCCAATCCCTGATCCAGAATTTCAAGGAGCTATGGAGGCAGCTGTACAATGGGAGTGTCATAAACCAGAGAACTTTGTGTCCAGGCTATATCTATTAGGTAAGCAGGTAGATTCCCACATAACAGCACCTAACTGACATTCAAGAGTGTGTAGAGTGCAGAGTGCTGAAAGAGACTATCAAGGCAAGCAGTTTACCTTGGTGGCTTACTGGGGTGCACAGTGGGGATCAGAATATCAGTAACGAGGAATAGCAGAGAAAGGTGTGCAATACCTGCTGGCCTAAGGCCTATGCAAAGCTTTGGGTGACACTATTCAGAATGCTCCCTACTGTACCACTTGTGTCCAGGTAAAGGACAGGCCTAGGTGATTCAAGCGACTGCTTTATCCCCTGATTTTGATTGAGGAATGTCTTTAGAAACCTTCGCACTGCATTTAGTATCCAATTGACTCTCCTTTCAAAGCAAGTCTGTACTGCTGGTGGTGGACTCTGACACTAAAATGGCTTGTCCTCCCATCTCTACTGCTGGTAATATTCTCCCGATCCACTCTAGCTGCTGCCATCCTCTTAGAATAGTGGGATCTTTTGGTTCTGCCTCCATGGACAGTCACACCATCTGGGCTCTGAGTCCCCAGTTTGTGCTTTTTCCAAGGGAGCTTTTCAAAATATGTCATGTTCATAACTAGTAGCCATTGTTTGCCACTCATCCAGAGATTGACAGCCAGTCCCATAGATGTGCTACAAAGAGTCAACTGACAAGATGATCAGTCTGTGTCCTTTGGATGAGTGTTTGCTCACACCACTTTACTGTCCTTTTTCATAGCAACTGCAGTGTTCATACCTACGGTACTCTCACACTTCCCAGCACCATCCACATACTGACAGCTAACTACTTCATCCCCTTCCTCCAAATTAATGCAAAGGACTGGGCCCAGGAGTTGACACTAACATTAGATCCCTGGGAAACACCCTAGTACTTCTTCTCCGTGCACTTACATAGCACCTGCCCATGCCAGTGGCTGGATGATCTCTGTTAGGGATTTTCTTTTGAAACTTTTTACTTATTATGACATAGTTGTAGATTCACATGCAGTTGTAAGTCTGGGATCGTTTGAGACATATGGTATCACCAATTCCGTGGCATCCTACTCCCGCTGTCTCCCTTCATGGATAGACAACCTATCTTGTAGTTTTGCCCACTGTGCCAGGTTCACTGAGTCTCTGAACTCCCCTGTGTGCCCCACTAAGTCACCAGTGTAAGCTGGACAGGAAACCCCAAGTATTCAGAGGAAAAGTGTTTATTTCCCAATGGTCCCATGGACAGTATCTATACTTGATACCTAGAAAATATATAAGTGCAGTTTTCTCAAAGTGTGGTTCTCTCATGACTTGGGGAGCTTATTTAAAATGTAGATTCATAAGTCCTAATGTAGACCAGTGGACTTGGGATTTCTGAAAGTGACTCCCAGGAGGAATCTAGGAGTCAATTAATTAATAAATAAAAATTATATATATTTATCATGCATAAAATGATATCTTGAAATATGTATACATTGTGGAATGGCTAAAGCAAGGTAATTAGCATATATATTACTTCAGATATTTATTTTTGTGGTGAGAATACTTAAAATCTACTCTCAGAGATTTTCAAAAATGCAATACATTTTTATTAGTTACAGTCACCATATTGTACAATAGATCTCTTGAACTTATTCCTCTTATCTAACTGAAATTTTGTATCCTTTGACCAACATCTCTCCAACCCCACCCGACTATCCCCCACCAGCCCCTGGTAATCACCACTCTACTCTCTGCTTTTGTGAGTTCAATTTTTTTTTAAGAAGGAATCTGCATTTGTAACGGCATCCCAGGAGATTCTTATGCATACTGACTGGGGACTGGTTGTGAGACTCTGCTCCCCATCTCAAAACTTTCCTAGAGTGAGTTAGCACCTTCACACTAGGAAAATGCCAGCTCCGATTTGTCTAGAGAAAGGGGACTGAGGGCCAGAGTGGTGCTAGCTTTGCTCTTTGCTTTTTTCCACTCCCGCACCCTTTCTCTAGATATGCTCACTCTATAGCCTCAGGAAGCCTAAAGATCTTTTCCAACCACTTGCGCTTTGGCTCAAGAATTCCCCTTCATCTTCCTTGAGTCTACTTTGAACCTCTTCCCTAGTTGGTTCTCACTTTTCCAGACCTTCTTGGAGGTGCATTCCAGTCCTTTCCTCTTATACAATCTCATTTTGGATATATTGACCTTGGTGCTGACTTGGTATGCACCGCCTTGTCCAGGGCCTTGACTGGTTCATATGAGTTAGAGTCAGCTCTGTATCAAGTGCTTGGTTGTTCTTGAGGTCGTGTTCCTGAGGAAAGAAGATTAAATAGTTGTGTGGTTTTATGCAAGTTACTAAACTCTCTGTACTTCAGTTTCCTCATCTAAAAAATAGAGATAGTAATAGTATCTTATCTCATAAGGTTATTATGAAGATTAAGTAATATACATAAAGCCCTCAGGAAAATAAGCACTTTATAGTAAGTATGCAACAATTTTTACCCATTATTATTATTATTATGAGTTTACATTCAGTTTTCCTTCATCATTAGTTTCAATGTATATTTATTTATTAATATTTATAAATGTATATTTAAAAGTTTTGGTTGTCAATTATTCAAATTATACTGAAAAGACTGATGATCGTAGAGCTCTCAAATTTGGAAAGATTCAGTGGCATTATTTGAAATATATAACACCAACTTTTTCCATTTATTAAAACTAATTTTGGGATTCTCTGTTGATATAATTATCATGCAGAATGAATTTGATCCATATATTTTGTGAACAAAGGGGAAGAATATGTAGAGATTAAATTTAAAATGGAATATATTAGTTGAAGTTCAAAGTAAAGGATGTTCATATTCTTATTGTATGAACTGTTCCAAACTTCTGGTCCCCTGCCGTCTGTGCTCAGGCAGAGCAGAAAGCTCTCCCTACTGCCCCACCACTTCTTGCTCCAGGACTGACCTCTTCTTGGGATAACTACCAGCAGGGACATTTGCTTATTTTAAAGAAGTCCCCATCTTTACCACTGGATTGAGATTTGCCACCGTAATGTTAAGACAGTTGCAAAGGAGTACAACACTGGCATATTTCCAAAGTCTGGGATATTCATTCTTATTCTTGGTTAACGTGATGCATACCCACACGAACGCACATATACCTTTTGATTTTCCCAAAATTGGATCACAATTTTGGATTCCCAAAATTGGAGGAGTGCTATGGACTCCTAGTGATCCAATATTGAAAAAATGGATCCTGTTTGTGTACCCGCAAAATGCATATGTTGAAGCCCTGGTTCCCGATGTGATAGTATTTGGAGGAGGGCCTTTGGGAGCTGATTAGATTTAGACGAGGTCATGAGAGTGAAGCCCCATGATGGGATTTGTGCCCTTCCAAGGAGATGAAGGAACCAGCACGCTCTCTTTCTGACAGGTGAGTATATGGTGAGAAGGCAGCTGTCTGTGAACCAGAAGGAGGGCCCTCACCAAGAAGTGACCATGCTGGCACCCTGATCTTGGACTTCTGGCATCTGGAACTGTGAGAAATAAATGGCTGTTAAATATATACACCTACTATGCACCCACAAAACTTAAGAATAAAAAATTTTAAAAACTTTGTTGTTTAAGCCACCTAATGTTGGGTATCTTGTTATAATAGCATGAACTAAGACAATGAGTATACTATGTTGTTATATATTTTTCATTATATTTCATTTTAGAAATATTTTATGGGGCTGGGCATGGTGGCTCACGCCTATAGTCCCGGCACTTTGGGAGGCCAAGATGGGCGGATCACTTCAGGTCAGGAGTTTGAGACCAGCCTGGCCAACATGGTGAAACCCCGTCTCTACTAAAAATACAAAAATTAGCTGGGCATGGTGGCACATGCCTGTAATCCCACCTACTCAGGAAGCTGAGGCAGGAGAATCACTTGAACCTGGGAGGCGGAGGTTGCAGTGAGCTGAGATTGTGCCACCACACTCCAGCCTGGGTGACAGAGTGAGACTTCATCTCAAAAAAAAAAAAAAAAAAAAGAAATATATTATAGTATTATAGGCCAGGCATGGTGGCTAAAACTTGTAATCCCAGCACTTTGGGAGTCCGAGGTGAGAGGATCACTTGAGCCCAGGAGTTTGAGACCAACCTGGGTTACATTGGGAGATCCTGTCTCTACCAAAAAAAAAAAAAAAATTAGCCAGGCATGGTGGTGCGCACCTGTAATCCCAGCTACTCTGGAGGCTGAAGTGTGGGGATTGCTTGAGCCTAGGAGGTTGAGGCTGTAAGAATCTGTGATTGTACCACCGCATTCCAGCCTGGGCAACAGAGTGAGACCCTGTCTCAAAAAAATGTATATTATGAATATTTTCTTGTGCCAAATACTTTATAACATTTTTATTGACTCAATAACATTCCATCATATGGTTATGTCATTTGTAACTTAACCAATCTACCTTTTGGATTTTTTTTTTAGTGGTGTTTACTATAATAATATGATGGTGAAGAATTTGGCCCACAAGAAACACTTATTCAAGCCTACAATTTTCCCTGGGCAAGGGAAGGTCACCGTGTCTATGTCCCAGCAAATTCTGAAGACACACATCAAGCTCCTGCAAGCTTGGCTACTGTGGCAGCCAGAGGTGAGCCTGTGAACTTCTGCAGACTAATAGGCCACTAATGACTAGTGAGAAAGAGGTCAGGCCTCCCTCCCAGCAAGTGCTTCCCAGAAAGTCTCAGAGGTTTTCCTTGAGCCCCTCACTTGGAGGGGAATGAGAGAAGGGGATGAGAAACACCACAGCTCTTTCTTCTAGTCTGACAACTCTCTTCAAAGACTGCTCCTATCAGTTAACCCTTATCTTTCTCTTAAATAACCCAGAGGTGGATTGTGAGCTAGGAGTTGCAAGACCATTTAGGGGCTACTTTTTTTTTTTAAGGAATTCTAGATTGTGCTTTGTACCACTTTTTAGAAAGTGTAGACATTGAGCATTTATTGTCCTTGGTTATGTAGCCTTACTGAAACTCCAAGACATAGGAAATATTTTGTTTAACATTTCATTACATATCCATTAAATCAGACTTGTAAATTACATTTAGGTCCTCTCTATTTTTGTCTTCTATCAATTCGTCAAGGACTGAAGTCTTTTATTGCTACTATTTTTCTGTCCATATCTCCATTTTTTCTGAGAGCTTCATACAGTCCAGTGCCTTATTTTTCAGTGCAAAATGATTCGTAGTGTGTCTTTGTTGCATATTATATTTTATATTAATAAAGACCAATATTTTGGTTTGGTTTAATGATTCTGCTCTTGTATTTTCTGTGTTTGGTCTTTATTTTTGCCTTTTTTCTGTTTTTTCTTCTTTTTGCTATATGGATTTTGTAGTCCTTGTTTCTTGTTTTGTTTCCTAGTAATCTGGAAGGCATGCATTTTGTTTTAAAATAACACACACAACTTTATATTTTTTTATTACTAACATAGAGAATAAAATAGTATCTTTGTACGTTGAGAATACCAGGACACTTCTACTTTCTCACATTTCTCCTTCTTTGTTACTCCCTTCACCCCACACAATACCCAAGTTTATGTTGGTGTAATCTGGGATTTTAAACCTTACTTTAAAAATATATTTTTGTTAAGGATTATTTATGATATTTGTATTCTGTGTTGTAACTATACTTAAAATAGTTACATTTAATTCATTTTATGCTTAAATGTCTTCAGTATTCATCATCAGCCTCTTTCATACTTTGCCTTTTTGATTTCTTTTTTTTTTTTTTTTTTTCCTGAGACAGCATCTCACTTTGCTGTTCAGGCTGGAGTGCAGTGGCATGATCACAGCTCACTATAGTTCCTGGGCTCAAGTGATCCTCCCACCTCAGCTTCTCAAGTAGCTGGGACTATAGGCGTGCGCCATCATGCCTGGCTAATTTTTAAATTTTCATAGGGACAGGGTCTCACAATGTGCCCAGGCTAGTCTCAAACTCCTGGGCTCAAGTGATCTTCCCACCTTTGCCTCTCAAAATGTTGAGATTACAGGTATAAGCCACTATGCCTGGCCTTGAATTCTTTTAAAAAATATTTCTCTTGGGTGGACGCGGTGGCTAATACCTGTAATCCCAGCAGTTTGGGAGGCTGAGGTGGGTGTCTCACCCGAGGTCAGGAGTTCGAGACCAGCCTGGCCAACATGGTGAAACCCTGTCTCTACTAATAATACAAAAATTAGCCAGGCATGGTGGCGCACGCCTCTAATCCCAGCTACTCGTGAGGCTGAGGCATGAGAATTGGTTGAACCTGGGAGGTGGTGGTTGAATGAGCCAAGATTGCACCATTGCATTCTAGCCTGGGCAACAAGAATGAAAGTCCATCTCAAAAAACAAAAAACAAAACAAAAAACAACAACAACAAAAAACAAAAAATATTTCTCTCTTGGCTTGAGTGGGTTATGAAATAAATTTTTCTTTAAAAAAGTGTTTGCAGGTATTTTGAGCTTTTGCATAATTGAGAGTGCCTTTCAATTGGCTTCACACATGAATGAAATTTGGCTTGTTGTGGAGTTTTCAGCTGAAGTTTTTCATCTGCAATATTCTGTGGATAATCTTTTCTGAAATTTAATGTGTTATGCAGAAGTATGATGCCAGCCTGATTTTTTTTTCCTTTGTAAGTAACTTGATAAACACTCTTTTCATCCACAGTTGGCACTGGAAGGACAAGCGCCACACTGAGAGGGTTGGCTGAAACTGAGAGTTTTTGGTTCCTTATGCTCACTCCAGCTTCCCTTTTCCTTTTGAGCTATTATTCATCCCTATGACCAACAGTGGCCTCTGAGGGAGAGGAGGAATCTCTCTCCTTTACCCTCCAGACCATATAAACCCTTTTCTTAAATCTCTATCAAAGCTGAGTCTAAAGTGCATTTTTATTGTCTTTCCTCCAATAAGACTAGGCTGGGCGTGGTGGCTCCTGCCTGTAACCCCAACACTTTGGGAGGCTGAGGTGGGTGGATCACGAGGTCAGGAGTCTGAGACCAGCCTGGCCAACATAGTGAAACCCCGTCTCTGCTAAAAATACAAAAATTAGCCAGGCGTGGTGGCATGCGCCTGTAGTATCAGCTACTCTGGAGGCTGAGGCAGGAGAATTGCTTGAACTCGGGAGGTGGAGGTTGCAGTGAGCTGAGATTGTGTCACTGGACTCCAGCATGGGTGACAGAGCAAGACTGTCTCAAAAATAATAATAATAATAAGGCTATGCTAAATTACGGTAATCATATCACATATAATAATAATTATGAAGGTGATGATAGCTAATATTTGTGGAGTGCTTATTATGTGCCAGGTACTGTTTTAAGATCTTGACTTGTATTAACTCATTAACTCCCCAACTTAGTTCCTAGCTTGCCTCCATATGGCAGATGCCATTATCCCTTCCTTTTTTGGAAGTACTAGTGAGCATATTATGACTCTTTGGATTGCAGGCTCAAGAGAATGAGGCTCAGAGAAAGGAATTCCCTCTTGTTCCTGTTTAAGGCCCACCTTCCAAATTCTCTTTTCTCATCTTAGAATCTTTCTCTTTTCAGCAGTTGACATTTGAAATATCTATTATCTTCAAGGAAGCCTCACCTCCTATTGAGAGAGGTATGATCCTACTCTCTGTTCACAAGCAGACAAGAATGTGAAAACATAGTTGTTAAACAGTGGTACAAAAACCATCGCAGGGGTTGTTCCATTACATTTCTAAATTATAGAATTATGTCTTTATACTTGCAAATCAAAATTTATCTAGATTTTTCTGGTGCATGATGAGTCCCTTCCAATTTGCAATGTCAGGTCTTTTATCAGCTCAAGAAAATTTCCTTCTATTGTATCTTTAGAGCTTATGGTTCACTTGTCCTGACTTTTCTTCAGGAGCATTGATATCTATGTGTTGGATTTTTATTGTCTTTCCTCCATATCTGTTATTTCTTCTTGGATAATTTTCATCTCTTTGTCCTTTCTTTTGGCATTTGGGAGAATTTCTGATATTGATTCTTTACAAAATTGATTTGGTATTATGTATTGCTAATTCTGCTCTTTATTCTTAAATTCTGCTGTGGCTCTGTTTCTTAACTCTGCCAGCTCCTTTTACAATTCAATCTAGTACCTTATTATCTTGTGTTTCATCTATTGTTTTATAGAGTCCATGTTTTCTTTAACCTTTTTTTTGAGAGTACAAAACAGATTTTAAATAATTTTTATTTTTAAGTAAAGATTTTTTGAAATTATGCCATTCTTTTACTTTTGGTCTTAATTGTTTTCTTCTCATGTCTCTGAAACCTTCCAGAGACTCCAGGTTATTCTCTGTCTAGTTGTTATTTTCCCTATCTATTACTTATCTATAAAACTGAGAATCTCATCCATCCCAGGATATGTATAGGACCTGACTAGACACAATAAAATTATGTCAACAGAATTAATAAAAATGTAAAGAAGAATCCTCTTTGACTATTGGATAAGTAAATTTCTAAAAAATATTTAAAGGAAGACAAGTAATCTATAATTCAAGAAAAATATAGAGTTGTCCTAGAATTTAGTGCCTTAGGCTGAAGCAATTATGAAAAAAAAAAAAAAAAAACTGGAGAAAATTGACCTTCTGATGTGAGAGATCATAGAGAGATGAACAATTGTAATATCATAACGACATTCCCTGTCATAATGTCTGCCTTATAGATATCATTGAGTTTTTTAATTGTTAAGTTATATTCCACTGGCTCAGGTCACTTGTGTTTATCTAATCTCATCATTTTCTGTTGGTTACATTGATCTAACTCAATTTTGGAGGTACCTCATTGTTTCTTCCATCTACCGATCTGGCTAGTTTAAAGATGAAAACTGCAGCAGATGAGAAAGAAAAATACAACGTGAAAATTTGGCTGAATTAGAAACACTAAACAGTTTTCAGGAAAGCTGAGTGTCAGAGAGAAACAGACACTGGAGGAAAAGAAAAAAAGAGGACACAAAAACTGTCCTGGCCGAAGGGGTCATGACCACACATTATCCTCAGATGACGGCTTCTAATTTTTTCTTCTGCTTGATCAATTCTACAAAGACAAAAAAGTATAATAAAAAAGTTTTAAATTTCAAAGTTTGAAATGATATTAAAGTGGCACACAGTTCCCTTGGGAAAATCAAGTGAGAACCACAAACTCTGAGACTAATTCCAGCAAAAGTATGTAAATCAGTTTGATCTAATGGTACACGGTTAGCTTTGAAGGCCAAAAGGAACTGATATCTAATTCTTATTCCTCTCCTCACTAGTTTTGTGACTTAGGGAAATTTTGCAATCTTTCTGAGTTTGTTTTCTCATCAGGAGCAGGATAATACCTAAGTAACAGGATAGTTCATAGATTTTTTTTTTTTTTGAGATGGAGTCTCGCTCTGTCACCCAGGCTGGAGTGCAGTGGCTCAATCTCAGCTCACTGCAAGCTCTGCCTCCTGGGTTCATGCCATTCTCCTGCCTCAGCCTCCTGAGTAGCTGGGACTACAGGCGCCTGCCACCACACCCAGCTAATTTTTTGTATTTTTAGTAGAGATGGGGTTTCACCATGTTAGCCAGGATGGTCTCGATCTCCTGACCTCATGATCCACCCGCCTCGGCCTCCCAAAGTGCTGGGATTACAGGCGTGAGCCACCGCGTCCGGCCAGTTCATAGATTTAAATATGATTGCATGGCAGTGGGCATGAACCATAATTCTTAAGAATATATTTACACTGAGCTCTCCTTTATCCATTAAAATTGTAGACAAACAACAATTGACAAAGAATAGACAAAATGTTCTAACATAAATATTCTTCCTTTGTTTCTGGAAAGAAGTCACACATACAGTAAAAATAGAGAGAACCTAGTTCATTTTGAACAATCTTCCCCAAACCCTGAAACAGGTCTACTTTCTAACACCAGAGATGTCTTGAATGAGTCCCACCCCTGCAGTCCCCTCTCTCTGGAATAGACTGAGGAAGTTTGCTCCAGCCTTAGAACAGCATGGGCTGGCAAGCATTCTCAGAGAGGCTCTCGACTTCAACTCTAAAGGCCCTGAGGAATATGTGCAACTGGGTCGGGTTAAGGCCAAGCTGAATCACATGACCAGGGCTCTCACCGGCGCCAAAGTCAGTGGAAGGATATCAGTCCCCAGAGCTCTGTCACAGGCCATGGGATGCTCCATGGAGGGGTGGTGAGCATATGAATAACAATCAGGAGAAACATCGGTAATGGACAGGAGGCATAAATAAACAATGTCCGCCCTCCAGTAAAACCCAGGAAAGTTCTCATTCAAAAAACTATGTCTTGAAGAAAACATAGGTACAAATCTTTGTGACTTTGGATTAGACATTTTTTAAGTAGGCACAAACAACCCAAAAATAAATAGATAAATGGACTTCACTAAAATAAAAAACTTACATGCTTCAAAGGATAATGTCAAGGAAGAGAAGAGATAATCCACATAATGGGAGAACTATTTCCAAATTATATATTTGACATGGGTCTAGTACCTAGAGTATATAAGGAATTCATATAACTGAGCAATAAACGACAAACAACCAAATTTAACAATGGGAAAAAATCTGTGAGTAGAGGTTTCTCTAAAGCAAACACACAAATGGCCAAGAAGCACATGCAAAGATGTTCGATGTTTTTCATCATTAGGAAAATGTAAATTTAAATCAAAATGAGATACCACTTCACACCCACTAGTATGACTTAAGAAAAAATAAAGACAACACATGTTTGGAAAGTTATGGAGAATATGGAATTCTCATATATTACTAGTGGGAATGTAAAATGGCATAGCCACTGAAGTTGGTAAACAGTGTGTAAGTTCCTCAAAAAGTTAAACATAAAAGAAAGTTAAACATAAAGTGACATGATGCAGCAATTGCACTCCTAGGTTTATAACCAAGAAAATGAAAAACAGATGTTCACTCAAAAACATGTACAAAGCTGTTCATAGCAGCATTATTCATAATAGTTAAAAAGTGGAAACATCTTAAACCACCATCAGTTGATGAATAAACAAAATGTGGTATAATCATATGGTGGAATATCATTTGGCCATAAAAAAGTTGAAGTATTGATGCAGGCTAAAAAGGATGAAACTTGAGAAAAAAATGCTGAGAAGCAGATGCAAAATGCCACACTTTGTTATCCCATATAGAGGAAATGCCCAGAACAATTACATTTTTATATAGAGAAAGTAGATTAGTGGTTGTCAGAGACTGCAAGAAGGGGGGAATTGGAGAGTGACTGCCCATAGGTACAGGCATGCTTTTTGGCATTATGAAAATATTCTGGAATTAGGTAGTGGTGATGGTTGCAGAACTTTTGGAATATGGTAAAAGACACTGAAATATATGCTTAAAAATGGTGATTTTTGTGATATATGAATTATACTATAGAAATAATAACAGTAATAAAGCAAGGTGTCTTTCCCCATCTCCATGCCTTGTATTTTCATTAAAAAAAAAAAAAAAAGCATTTCAGGGCCAGGCTCAGTGGTTTACTCCTGTAATCCCAGCACTTTTGGAGGCCTAGGTGGGAGGATCGCTTGAGGCCAGAAGTTCAAAACCAGCCTGAGCAACATAGCAAGACCTTGTCTCCATGAGAAATAAAAAATTAGCCAGAAATGGTGATGTGTGCCTAGAGTTCCAACTACTTGGAAAGCTGAGGCAGGAGGATCGCTTGAGCCTAGGAGTTCAAGGTTGCAGTGATCTATAATCACCACTGCACTCCAGCCTGGGTGACAGAACAAGACCCTGTCTCAAAAAAAAAAAAAAAAAAAAAAAAAAAAACAAAAAAAAGGCATCTCACTTTAATAGTAAGAGGCCAGAATATGATGCTGGCAGCATGTTGTGAGGAAATGTATTAGATGAAAGAAGTTAAAGTCCAGTTCTCCTTTTTTCAGAAATGACTTATAGGGGAGAGAAACACGTACTTGGAAAGAATTGACCCAGCTGAATTGGAAAATGTGGGAAGGGGATGGGGAAGAGGCTGCTCCACCTGAGATCCGGCTCCAGGACTTACAGCAAGGGGAACTTGGGTAAGTTACAGACTGTCTATGCCTCAGTTTCTTCATCAGCAAAACAGAAAGAATCATCCCAAAAACTATAAGGTCGATGGTATCAGCGGGTCCCCAAACTGACTGCACATCTGAGTCATGTTAACAAACACATTCCAGGCCCCACCTGAGCCCTCTGAATCAGAATCCCTGCAAGGAGGACGATGAACTTGTATTTGCACTGACTTTCCCAGCTGTTTCTTACTCTGATCAACTTGGGGGTAGGACCCATTGAGCTGCATCACATCATTCCAAAGCCAAAACACAACAGCAGGACAAGAATATTTTCAAGGCAGTCTCTAAAGCAGAGGAGAAACTGTTGAGGGAACCTAGAAGTAAAGGAGATCTGGCTTGCTGGGCTCCATTTGAACTTTGAGTACAACAGAGACATGAGCCTTTTGGGACACATGCCTGAGGTAGTGACAGTCCAACTTTGGAAGAGTGGAAGCCCTAGTTCCAAATTCAAGCATGCTTTGAGTAGAAATTAAATTTACCTCTTTTTGCACAGCAACATGGCCAATCTTTCCTAAGCTGCTCAGCTTACAAGAAAAGGAATCATACTGCTAAGAATTCAAACGTCAGCAGTCATAGGTAAGTAAGGAAGTCTTATAAACTTATTCTAGCCAACTAACCAGAAACCCGAAATTTAGCAGGTTCTTTCACTTTCAGGACAGTTGTGTTCACTAGATCAGAGGCATTGAGACATGAAGAACAGACCCTTAAAAAGGGAAAGTGTTCCCTTCAGTTTGAGGACATCACTGGAACATTAGGGAAGTGGGAACACAGCTGCTCACTCTACAGTATGGGTTGCCTTTGTGTCTGGAATGTGTCTGACATCCTGATCCCTGTGCACATTTCAGGGAGCCTTGGGAGGACCCCGAATCACTGATGGAATTGGACAGTGCATGGAGATGGCTCAGCAGGATGAGGGTAAATGCAGGGGCAAGTCCAGGTCATACTGAGAGACAATGAGTGGAGCTGATGGGGACAAAGATAAAATCAAAAGTTTGTGCTTCATCTTCAAAAACTCAAGCTGATAACAAACTTGGCCTGATGAGAAATAATAAGTATTTTTCTATTTACATGAGAATTTAATCTCAAAACAGAAATCAGAAAAATATGAAGTCCAGGGCATAAAACCTAAACCATTGCTCATAGTTATTCTTTCTAAATAGAGCAAAGTGTAAAATCTTCTCCATAAGACATACATTGTGGTTATAAAAAGGCAAAAGTCTTAGTGAGAATCATTGGTATTCCATAGAAGAGTGAATTAAACACAGCCAAGGGAAGACCCACGTCTCATACTTCTCTTGTATATTCCAAAGTTCCAGGGAAATTCCAGGTGATAGAGGTTATTTCCCATACTGTTAAAGCAAGGTTTCAGACACTTCTGAATTTTGGTCCCAGTACTCTAGAAGGGCACACCTCTGTCCTGGAAAATAATACAGGAATGAATACTCTTCACGTGACTCATTCTGGTCATTCTTCCAGCATCACAAAAACCAAAAAATGGAAATATGGCCAAATACATGATTAGCTATCCCTCATCTTCAGGTTTCTTAATTGTTACTTACGGATAATAGCATTACCTTAAGGATTATGATGAAGATACAATGTCCAAATATAAACACAGTTTTGAGCAAAATGCCTTGTATGAATTGGTCGATGAATAATTACTAAATATGTGAATATTTACTGGATTCTATGGATCCTATGAATAATTACTGAATAATTATTGTGATTGCTTTTATTGGCAGTGCTGAAAACTCATCCCTTTGTGACCTCAAGTAACCCATGTCACTTTGTGAACCTGCAGTTTTTTCATTTAGAAACTTGACAGATTTTCATTCTGACACAGAATGTCAGGTCTTCCAGACCCTAGAAAATACATTGACTTAAAGCTTTTGATACATCTCAAAGCATCAACCCACTGCACCCTCAACTCAGGCAAGCCCAGCAGGCAATCTTAGGAGACCTGGGCTACAGAACAGTCTCTCAAGTTCCAGGCTCACAAAACCTAGGTGGGGATGAAAGCTGAGAAAGCAAAGAGGTGGCTCAGGGGATCACTCTTTCCTACTTGTTCCTCTCACCTCAAACTCACCTTCTACTGCACAGCAACACTGAGGATCACCAACCAACCCTGACCATAACCTTGATCTTGCCATGTTCTGTTAGTGGAATGCAACCCAAAATCAATGGTGTTAGGTCATCTCAACAAAATATATATCGAACCATATTCCATAAGAACTGCCCGTGGCCCTGTTCTTTTCAGTATATGGGAAAACAAAATAGAAACAGCAAAATAGCATCAGGTTTACAAAACTTCCCAAGATAGATGGTCACACATTTTTTCAGGAGACCTCTATATAAATGACTTTGATCACTTGATACCTTGAAAAGAGGTCTTGTGGCACTAGAATGACATCTATAAGTGACAAGTATAAAATGTAGTGCTCAGTGACATTAAAAAACAAATCAACCCACATAGAGGAAGAGCTTTGGATGTAGGGATGTCAAACTGGTCTAGAATGTAATGAAAACCCAAGAAGGTGCCCCAGTAAGAAAGAAGAAATCAATCTAACAATGGGATGCAGCAGCAAGAATACTGAGACAGGAAAGAAAACATTTTAAAAAAATGAATTATTCATTCACTTTCTAGTGGATACAGAAAAAACTGCAGAAGACCCAGAGGATATCAGGGCAGGCTAAAAGTTTGATATCTTACACCTGTGGAAAAGCCTTAAGCTCTGTTTTAACTGAGAGCAGGTGGGGTGACTTCATGACTACCATTAAGAAAATATAACCTGTTGGGAAACTGTTTCTGCCTTGATGATGTTGTACAGACAAGAGATAAACAGTGAGGAATATGCTTAGATGTAGTGGGAAAGACACGGGTCTGTGGCATTGTCACAAGGGTACACGAATACTGAGAGTGAATGCTGAAGGAATGATCCCCATTGGTGGTGACCCTCAGGTGAGACTAGGGTGCCTGTGTTTCAGCAAAGCCTGGGCAATTGGAATGCAGGGCTCCTAAGATTCCATGACACCCCCACCTTCTAATTCTGTTATTGCAACTGCAGACGGTTACCTGGCACGCTGGCCACAATCTACCTCACTCTTATCAGAGTCTGAGCTACTGGCAGTGCTTTCAGCTCTGAGTTGAGGCACCTCGAACCTTGTTTTTGTGGTGAAGGATCCTAAAGTGCTGTGGGGAGTGATCACATTTTTCACAACAATAAGTTAAGAATTTCAGTTACTGACATCCCTCAGTCCTGATTAAACCGATTTGATTTCACCAGTTTTTAACCCATCATATGTTTGGGTTTCTTCTCCCCAGTCCCTGACTCCACCTCTTCTGCCACAAACATCAGCATGGTGGTATCAGCCGGCCCTTGGTCCAGCGAGAAGGCAGAGATGAACATTCTAGAAATCAACGAGAAATTGCGCCCCCAGCTGGCAGAGAACAAACAGCAGTTCAGAAACCTCAAAGAGAAATGTTTTGTAACTCAACTGGCCGGCTTCCTGGCCAACCGACAGAAGAAATACAGTAAGATCTATAGGCTCACCATCATGAAAGTGATGAATGATGTCCTGTCTTCTCTCTGAGACACTAAATGCTCTCTCCATCAAAAAGAATTTCATCCTTCCTGTACTTCTAGGAAAACAGAAATGGGTATTTTAACATTTTGTTAAAGTTGGAAGACAGAGGTACCAAAGTATTTAGCAACTTTCCATGTTTGCAATCAGATGGGGGTGGGACTAGAGGTAAACTGCCATTTATTGATTTCTGACACAGGCACAGAATGACCTATTTTCTCCAAGAGGCTCAATCATGTTTTCAAGAATCCTCTCTGTACCTTATAAGATCCTGCAGACAAATAACATGTAGTCTGTTGTTCTAAATGTCTAGGACTAGTGAAATTTTATTCAGTTCAAGTTTCTGTTGAGGCCCAACAGGCAAAGCTGTGTTCTAGTGACTCTGAGGGGAACTTGGTGATAGTACCCAGTACCTGCTCTGAGGGGCTTCAAGAGGAGTCTGCTCCTAATAGAACCTGTGCTATCTATAAGTGACAGCATCAAGAGCAGGGAGTAGGGGCCGTGCAATGTGGCTCACTCCTGTAATCTCAGCACTTTGGGAGGCTGAGGCGGGCAGAGCACGAGGTCAGGAGTTTGAGACTAGCCTGGGCAACATGGAGAAACCCCATCTCCACTAAAAATACAAAAAGTAGATGGGCGTCATGGCGGGCAACTGTAATCACCACTAATCGGGAGGCTGAGGCAGAAGAATCCTTTGAACCCAGCAGGCAGATGTTGCAGTGAGCCAAGATTGCACTATTGCACTCCAGCATGGGTGACAGGGCAAGACTCATCAAAAAACAAACAAACAAAAAGATAAATAAAACAAAAATAAAAATAAAAAGCAGAGAGTACCTTGGTGAGAGTGAAGTCCTGCTTCCTGGTGCACAGGCTCTTGTTCCTAAAGAGGAAGAAAGATCACACCCGAGAATGTGTGGAAGCAGCAGTGCAGTGTGCAAAGCAGGGACCCTCAGCCTGTCTCCTGGGCTCCATCCAAGTTGCTTGTCTTGTCTGTCCCTCAGTTTCCTCATCTGTTCAGAGGGTACTACAATAATACCTACCTCTGTAAATTGCTGCAATGAATTACATGAGGTATTTCCTGTCAATCTCCTTGAACATTAATTGGCACAGTGTAAACACTATCTATTAGTTCTTCATTCTGATGTTTCTAAATTAACACAAACTAATCTTATGCTGTTTCTAAATTAACACAACGAATCTAAATCTTAATGCTGCCTCTCATACTAATAAAGAATTTGGGCATATTTCCTTCATGGCCTTATGGTCTTATGTCTCACACTTTATGCTTCAGATATGATTCTTAAAATCATAACTGAAAATATGATTTAAAAATCAAAGATTTTTAAAATCTTTCACATACTTGTCCTTGAAATTCCCAGTAAAAGGGAAACCATCAGTCCCATAGTCCTAGGGGCCTTCCCGACTGTACAAGAAATCACTACTTCATGCCCCAGTGCAGTGTTTTAGAGGAGAGGCTGCAAGTCTTGGGAAAGTGGCCCCGAATTCAGAGTCAGACCTCAGGGGCTGAGAATTCTGACTCCACTTCGTTGTGGTTGAATCATCTTGTCAACTTCCTTGATGTGCCCTTGAGGTTCTCTTTCTTCATCTCTAAATTTTGGAGGATCAGATGCCAGAAAGTCAGGAGACTGAAGAGTAAAGATGTGGAAATCCCTGTCTAGACCCTGGTACTGGGGAGAGTTTTGTCCTTGGGATGGACCTGGCTCCTGTCCTGTAGGGAATGACCACAGCAGCATGTCCAGCCTTGCACTGATGCAGGCGTGTCTGTCTTTTCTCAGAATATGAAGAGTGCAAAGACCTCATAAAATCTATGCTGAGGAATGAGCGACAGTTCAAGGAGGAGATGCTTGCAGAGCAGCTCAAGCAAGCTGAGGAGCTTAGGTGAGGGGACCCCATGGGGGCAGGCAGGGGGGCAGGTGTGTAAATCTCTGAAGTACAGTAGCTCGGTGGGGAGACGTAAGAGCTAAGCTGGGTCAGGAGAAGGGCAGGAATTGCCATGGCAGGTTTGCTACACACAAATATTTATCAAACAGAGAAGAAGGATAATAAAAATGTATGGGTTGCAGTTGTTTCTCAGAGCCTTGTTTTCTCTTTTTCAAACAAGTAATTGTTGATGTGAAATTTACATAACACAAAATTAACCAAAGGAGTGTGAACCACACAGCAGCATTCAGTATACTCAAAATGGTGTGCCATCACCACCCCACTTACCCTTAGTGAGAATCACCTCCTGACTGACTGAGGCTTCTCATTGTTTCACTCAATCAATGTTGCCTTCTCGACCCTGTCATTCTTTTCTTCTTTCGTCTTTTCAATTCGCCCCATCTGCATCTGGCCTCATTTCTGTACATGGCTTTGTATCTAGTGGCCGCAAGATGCACTATGTGTATTTTCACATGGAAATGTCCATGGCCAGAGTGAGGAACTGAAAGGATGTCTTTTTGAAACAGAATTAGGAAGACACCTACTTTTGTTTACAGAAGAGAAAGATGAATGGAACATCATCGAGGATCTTGCAGGAGCCCTCTCTGATACAGGGAAAGCCTGTAGACCATTTTCTGTTCTTTCTCTTGGCCACAGACATTCCTTTCAACATGTGCTGACCTTCTGCTTGAAGGTCTCCTTGGGAACGTTGTCTCAGAAATCTCTGTTGCAATATTTGAACGGATCACTCAACGCTTTTCACTGTTAAATTTTCTCTACCGTCTCACCTTAGGCAATATAAAGTCCTGGTTCACTCTCAGGAATGAGAGCTGACCCAGTTAAGGGAGAAGTTACGGGAAGGGAGAGATGCCTCCCGCTCATTGAATCAGCATCTCCAGGCCCTCCTCACTCCGGATGAGCCAGAAAAGTCCCAGGGGCAGGACCTCCAAGAACAGCTGGCTGAGGGGTGTAGACTGGCACAGCACCTTGTCCAAAAGCTCAGCCCAGGTAAGGTGGCCATAGGCCCTGATGACCCAAAACCCCAGGCTTATGAGAGGCTCCAGACCTCCATACTTTCACAATGACAGTTGTATCAGTGGGGTTTTTTTCTACTACACATATGTAGCCATGACATGATCAGGACTTCCTGGGTAAGAACAGAAATGGGAAACCCATGGGTTTGGAGATCACAGTATTGCAAGTGTCCCTCCTTCCTTGATGGAAGGTGGTCTTTGGAGCAAGAGGCAGCATCTATCTAGTTTTAAAGGACAGGAAGGAGGCTGTGATGGGAGGGCGCTTGTTGGAGTGAAAAGAGCTCTGGGCTAAGAATGAAGGTTCCCAGGCTGTCTTTTTGGCAATGTTCTTAGTAAGTGTCGGTGAGTGAGTGATTTATCTTTCCAGAGTTTCTCTCTCTCCATCTGCAAAGGCAGACAAATTGTCTCTTGCAAGGGTCTGAAGCATCCAAATATGGGAACACTTATGAATGCTTTTCAAAATGAGATGAAGCCCCTCTCCATGTGGTGTTGGAGAAGGCACTTGATGTGGGGTCATTTGGTGGTAGGAAGTGCTTCAGACTGGAGCACTCCCCATGGATAGAATGTCCCTGAATAACACAGCAGAAGCCACATGGAGGGCCTGTGCAGTCTCATGACGCATAGAGGACTGTGGGACAAGTTTGTCCTCTCCTAAGAGAAAGAATGAGGTTTGAAATGCGAACTGTGACAGGACACCAAGCCTGTTCCTGGGAATCAGATCTGTGGCAGGATTGGGGAGACAGCTGCCAAAGTCCAGAGAGAGGCTGCACAAGCCTCCAGTGATATGGGAAGCAAAAGGTCTTTTCAATATTTGGCCACATCTTGATGGTGGCCTTCCAGATCAGAAACGCATTGCCCGATGGACCAGGAAACCATGCCAGGGCATTCTGTTAAAGATAAAACATGAGAGTTTTCAGTTGAACGGTGACCCATGCCTAGGTGTTCATGTCTCTGTTGCACATTGGGCTGACTGTGCTTGCAGACTGTGAAGTGGGAAATATCTGAATGAACACTTCTGTATTTACAGAAAATGATAACGATGACGATGAAGATGTTCAAGTTGAGGTGGCTGAGAAAGTGCAGAAATCGTCTGCCCCCAGGTAACACTGAATACTCAGGAACAATTAATGGATGGTAACATATGAAGAATATCTAGGAGGCACACCCTCTCTGGCATGTATGATGGGCCAAAAACCCGCATTCGCTTGGCCACAGTATGTGAAATATAACCCAGCTTAGACACAGGGTGCAGCAGCTGTCATGTTTCTCTATGTGTGCCGAGTGTCATGTCTGCACCGT
Organism: Homo sapiens; assembly: GCF_000001405.40. Classification (NCBI taxonomy): domain Eukaryota; kingdom Metazoa; phylum Chordata; class Mammalia; order Primates; family Hominidae; genus Homo; species Homo sapiens. The sequence goes on along the minus strand of NC_000001.11, from coordinate 145,586,561 downwards.
ACAGGGATAGCTGAGTCTTCATCCTCCTCAGCTCCTATCTGTCCAGTGCAATGAACAGCAGCTGCTCTCTTCCTCTCTGGTTCCCATGGCAGCCATGCTCTGTTGCAGAGAGAACAGGATTGCATGTTCCCTCTTAATGGGAACCTCCATTTTGCTTTCTGGGACCACTCTCTTAATGCCGCCTGTCAAAGCCAGCTAGGACTCCCTGGGGTCCAATCCCTCTGTGTTTAATCTTCTGTCATCTCTGTCCCACCTGGCTCATCAGGGAGATGCAGAAGGCTGAAGAAAAGGAAGTCCCTGAGGACTCACTGGAGGAATGTGCCATCACTTGTTCAAATAGCCATGGCCCTTATGACTCCAACCAGCCACATAGGAAAACCAAAATCACATTTGAGGAAGACAAAGTCGACTCAACTCTCATTGGCTCATCCCCTCATGTTGAATGGGAGGATGCTGTACACATTATCCCAGGTAGCCTCTGTTTTCCTTGTGTCTCATACCTCTCTCTAGGCTGAGGAAGATAAACTCTGAAGACAGGCTCTATAAACACAAATTCATTTGAATAAAAAACTGTGATGGGTTTCTAAACAGATATCAGGGAGTTTGTTTGTCCTTCTCAGCTAATGTCATGCCTTTGTCTGCCAGTCCCCAGTATCAAGTTACTCGACCCCAGGCAAGTGTGACAATCTCATAGTCACCTGAGTGCAGGAGGTGCACAGGCAGTATCTCTCAGGGCTCCTAGCTTCGATTCAGTATCTCTTGTCATCTGTGATTAAGTCATCTGTCCCTGAACAATGTCCATGGAGTTTCTATGCCTGTTTAAGGAAGCTGGCAGCCTTGCCTTTGTATTTGGAAATATTGTTCCCCAGGCTTCACTGCTCTCAGCTTTCATCTGGATCTCCTTCAAGTCAGCTTGCTTAGCTGCACAGTCACCCTGAAATCAGGACGGAAACTTTTCTTCTTTACTTTGCTGATATATTTCCATAAAGCAAGGCTGGACCCTGGTTCTCCACCCTGTCAATGCAATGGCTGATCCAATGTTTCTTTGTAGCATCGTAGATTTTTTTTTTTTTTTTTTTGCGATGGAGTCCTGCTCTGTCACCTAGGCTGGAGTGCAGTGGCACCATCTTGGCTTGGTGCAACCTCTGCCTCCCAGATTCAAGTGATTCTCCTGCCTCAGCCTCCTGAGTTGCTGGGACCACAGGTGCACAACATCACATCTGGCTAATTTTTGTATTTTTAGTAGAGACAGGGTTTCCCCATATTGGCCAGGGTAGTCCTGAACTCATGACCTCAAATGATTCACCTGTCTTGGCCTCCCAAATCACAGATTCTTTTTAAAGCAAGAGTTGTTCAAATTTATCTATCAGTCGTGTTCCATGTATAGAGCCTCTAAACATTTAATGTCCATGTTACCTGGTGATATAAGTCCGTATTGCAGCAACACTCTTAGAAAATTGTTTGACCAATTTTTGGAGATTTTTTTGGGGAAAAAATTTTGTTTAACTTTGACTCAGGCAGGGAATATGGCATTATGGTCTACACGTAGAGGGAGATTTTGGCCTGTGGGTCTGGAAAGCAGGGTCATCTAATTCTCACCAAAGTTAATCTAGGGCACCCTAGAATATTCCTGTCAGAATCCTTATTCTTGCACTGAGAATAGTTATGTCCTTGTGCTATGACTGGACAGTGATTTGTTCATATGTGAAGTATGAATTGCTTAATGTGACCTGCTTCTCTGAATTTATTTACAGAAAATGAAAGTGATGATGAGGAAGAGGAAGAAAAAGGGCCAGTGTCTCCCAGGTAATGTTGTGGAATTGTTGGCTGTTAATTCAGTAGTGACATCTGGAGATTGTAGATTTAGGGAAAATGAGGAAGTGATGAATAGAACTATTTCTTCCATTCACCCAGCTACAAATTGTGCTGATTTACAATGTTGTATGTTATTTGTGGCACTTGTATTGGTTTTAATTTCATAGTCCTCTCAAGATAGGAACTTGCCATCAGATGAGCCAGGTGAGCTAGCCAAACAGGGTTTTCTTGTTGATCTTTTCAAAAAACCAGCCCTGGATTCATTGATTTTTTGAAGGGTTTTTTGTGTCTCTATCTCCTTTAGTTCTGCTCTGATCTTAGTTACTTCTTGTCTTCTGCTAGCTTTTGAATTTGTTTGCTTTGCTTCTCTAGTTGTTTTAATTGTGATGTTAGGATGTAAATTTTAGATCTTTTCTGCTTTCTCTTGTGGGCATTTAGTGCTATAATTTTCTCTCTACACATTGCTTTAAATGTGTCCCAGAGATTCTGGTATGTTTCTTTGTTCTCATTGGTTTCAAAGAACATCTTTATTTCTGCCTTCATTTTGTTATTTTCCCAGTAGTCATTCAGGAGCAGGTTGTTGAGTTTCCATGTAGTTGTGCGGTTTTGAGTGAGTTTCTTAATCCTGAGTTCTAATTTGATTGCACTGTGGTCTGACAGTTTGTTGTGATTTCCATTCTTTTACATTTGCTGACGAGTGCTTTACCTCCAACTATGTGGTCAATTTTGGAATAAGTGTGATGTGATGCTGAGAAGAATGTATATTCTGTTGATTTGGGGTGGAGAGTTCTGTAGATGTCTTTTAGGTCTGCTTGGTGGAGAGCTGAGTTCAAGTCCTGGATATCCTTGTTAAGCTTCTGTCTCATTGATCTGTCTAATATTGACAGTGGGGTGTTAAAGTCTCCCATTATGATTGTGTGGAGTCTAAATCTCTTTGTAGGTCTCTCAGGACTTGCTTTATGAATCTGGGTGCTCCTGTATAGGGTGCATATATATTTAGGATAGTTAACTCTTCTTGTTGAATTGATCCCTTTACCATTATGTAGTGGCCTTCTTTGTCTCTTTTGATATATGTTGGTTTAAAGTCTGTTTTATCAGAGACTAGGATTGCAACCGCTGCATTTTTTTGCTTTCCATTTGCTTGGTAGATCTTCCTCCATCCCTTTATTTTGAGCCTATGTGTGTCTCTGCATGTGAGATGGGTTTTCTGAGTACAGCACACTGATGGGTCTTGACTCTTTATCCAATTTGCCATTCTGGGTTTTTTAACTGGGGCACTTAGCCCCTTTACATTTAAGGTTAATATGGTTATGTGTGAATTTGATCCTGTCGTTATGATGTTAGCTGGTTATTTCGCCCGTTAGTTGATGCAGTTTCTTCCTAGCGTCAATGGTCTTTACAGTTTGGCATGTTTTTGCAGTGGCTGGTACCGGTTGTTCCTTTCCATGTTTAGTGCTTCCTTTAGGAGCTCTTTTTGGGCAGGCCTGGTGGTGACAAAATCTCTCAGCATTTGCTTCTCTGTAAAGGATTTATTTCTCCTTCACTTATGAAGCTTTGTTTGGCTGGATATGAAATTCTGGGTTGAAAATTCTTTTCTTTAAGAATGTTGAAGGTGCTGGAGAGGATGTGGAGAAATAGGAACACTTTTACACCATTGGTGGGACTGTAAACTAGTTCAACGATTGTAGAAGGCAGTGTGGCAATTCCTCAGGGATCTAGAACTAGAAATACCATTTGACCCAGCCATCCCACTACTGGGTGTATACCCAAAGGATTATAAATCATGCTGCTGTAAAGACACATGCACACATATGTTTATTGTGGCACTATTCACAATAGCAAAGACTTGGAACCAAGCCAAATATCCAGCAATGATAGACTGGATAAAGAAAATGTGGCACATATACACCATGGAATACTATGCAGCTATAAAAAATGATGAGTTCATGTCCTTTGTAGGGACATGGATGAAGCTGGAAACTATCATTCTCAGCAAACTATTGCAAGGACAAAAAACCAAATACCGCATGTTCTTATTCACAGGTGGGAATTGAACAATGAGAACACATGGACACAGGAAGGGGAACATCACACACTGGGGCCTGTTGTAGGGTGGGGGGAGGGAGGAGGGGTAGCATTAGGAGATATACCTAATGTTAAATGATGAGTTAATGGGTGAAGCACACCAATGTGGACATGTATACATATGTAACTAACCTGCACGTTGTGCACATGTACCCTAAGACTTAAAGTATTAAAAATACATATATATATATATATACATACACACAGAAAATAATAAAGGAAAACTATACATATGGAAAAAAAAAGAATGTTGAATATTGCTCCCACTCTCTTCTGGCTTGTAGGGTTTGTGCCAAGAGATCTGCTGCTAGTCTGATGGGCTTCCCTTTGTGGGTAATCCGACCTTTCTCTCTGGCTGCCCTTAGCATTTTTTCCGTCATTTCAACCTTGGTGAATCTGATAATTATGTGTCCTGGGGTTGCTCTTCTCGAGGAGTATCTTTATGGTGTTCTCTGTGTTTCCTGAATTTGAATGTTGGCCTTCCTTGCTAGGTTGGGGAAGTCCTCCTGGATAATATCCTGAAGAATGTTTCCCAGCTTGGTTCCATTCTCCCCGTCACTTTCAGTACACCAATCAAACGTAGATTTGGTCTTTCCACATAGTCCCATATTTATTGGAGGCTTGTTCATTTCTTTTTACTCTTTTTTCTCTAAACTTCTCTTCTCGCTTCATTTCACTAATTTGATCTTGAATCACTGATACCGTTTCTTGCACTTGATCGAATTGGCTACTGAAGCTTGTGCATGCATCACGTAGTTCTCGTGCCATGGTTTTCAGCTCCATCAGGTCATTTAAGGTCTTCTCTACACTGTTCATTCTGGTTAGCCATTCGTCTAATCTTTTTTCAAGGTTTTTAGCTTCCTTGCGATGAGTTCGCACATCCTCCTTTAGCTCAGAGAAGTTTGTTATTACCGACTTTCTGAAGCCTACTTCTGTCAGCTCATCAAAGTCATTCTCCATCCTGCTTTGTTCCATTGCTGGCGAGGAGCTGCGATCCTTTGGAGGAGAAGGGATGTCAGGTTTTTGGAATTTTCAGCTTTTGTGCTCTGGTTTCTCCCCACCTTTGTGGTTTTATCTACCCTTGGTCTTTGATGATGGTGACCTACAGATGGGGTTTTGGGGTGGATGTCTTTTTTGTTGATGTTGATGCTATTCCTTTCTGTGTGTTAGTTTTCCTTCTAACAGTCAGGTCCCTCAGCTTCAGGTCTGTTGGAGTTTGCTGGAAGTCCACTCCAGACCCTCAAACAGTGATTTCTTGGTGTCGCCTATTCTCTCCCATGTGTTTAAATCCAGGGAGAGATGTATATATGCTTTCTTCCCATTTGTTGGTAGAATGTTGGCTAGTATTTTTGCAAGAAAAGAAATTGAAAAAGTAAATATATTATATCAAAATATTGGGAAAATGGGGCCCTTAATACACAAGATCTGTGTCTGCACTGCGTCAAGAACTCTCTTCACTTGAATGCTGCATGTAAAATTCAACCCAATTTATGCAAAGTAGTTGAAGCCCTGTGTCAGTTCTCTGTGCTGCAAGTCTTGATGGTAGTTTACAGGGAGAGTCTGGGTGCCCTGAGTTGGCTCATCTGTGGCAAAAGTACTGAGCACATGCTGCCCATTTTTGCTGTGTCCCCAGAGCAGTCACCCTCCACCCTGCATTTAGAAGGATAGTTTTATTTCTCTTGAAGGAAAAATGCCTTTGGTTTCTGTGACCACTCCATTCTGTCTCCCATCAGATCATCTGGGAGGTTTTGTTGTCTAATCTCTGTTGGTTAAATCTTCTATCATCCCTGTCCTGCCTGGCTCATCAGGAATCTGCAGGAGTCTGAAGAGGAGGAAGTCCCCCAAGAGTCCTGGGATGAAGGTTATTCGACTCTCTCAATTCCTCCTGAAATGTTGGCCTCGTACAAGTCTTACAGCAGCACATTTCACTCATTAGAGGAACAGCAAGTCTGCATGGCTGTTGACATAGGCAGTGAGTACTCCATTGTGAAGGTGATAAAGCTCCAGTTCATGGCCCAGGTAGACCCCATAATCTTTGTGCCTTGTGCCCCTGGTTGGGCTGAGAGTTGCCATCACTGTGGGCTGAACCTATATATCAATGTAGATTTCAATCACTCTAGAGTCGAGTCTGAAGCACAGGCATGGGGTGGGTCAGTGAGCTTTGCTCTCTTCCTAGTCTCAGGCCATGCCTGTGCCAACCTGGACTGACTGTCACGACATTGAACTCAAGGCAGGTGTGGCAAACTCACACCAAACTATGCAGCACATGCCCAGGAGTTGTCTGTCAGCTCAGCTCATCTGAATTAAATGTCTCTTGCCAGCTACAAAATTCCTTATGAGTTTTGTTCCCAAAGCATGTCTGTGTGGTTCTTTACCTGCCCAAGGCCAGTGTCACCCTTGTCTACCTCTCAGTGAAAGATGTGATCCAGGTTTCACTGAATTTATCCCCATTTTCTGTGTCTTCTAAGTTCGCTTGTTTTAGCTCATCTGTCCGTCATGTTCCTGGTATGTTTTCTAGATAAATGGCTGACTTTTCACCCACAAAAGCCATAATAGCTGATGCTTCTGTGTAGAACCAAGTTTCATTTTGACTCAAGAGCTGGTACATTGCACCCCTTCATCAAATCTCTGTGTCCACAATCTCATAAACTATCAAATTCTGGGTATTTGATGAGAGAAAGCTTAATATTGAAGTATCTCTCCTATGAGGTGTTAGAACTATTTGCCTACAATTTATTGGGGAAGAAATTGCTCATTTGTGTACACAAACCTAGGACAGAGCACATAGGGAAGATAACATTCCAAAACAGGGTAATTTTGCCCAAGGCTCATGAAAGAACTCAAGCCAGTTTTCTCAAGACTTGACCTCAGGCCTACTGGAATATTTCTCTCAAAGTCTCCTGTTCTCACACTGACAAGACTGATGTCCCTGTGTTAGGATTGGACAGAGGAATGTTTCCGTGTGCAAGGAAGAACTGCTTAATGTAAGAGGCCCCATCTGAATTTATTTGCAGGATATCGGTGGGATCAAGTGAAAAAGGAGGACCAAGAGGCAACAGGTCCGAGGCGAGTCTGAGAAATTGTGGACAGTTAATTTGATGTTGACACCTGGAGATGCCAAGTCCAGGGAAAACAGTACATGCTGAAAATAATAATTTCATCTTGACAGACAAGTCTGAATTATGCCTACTAACATTGCTTTTTGGTTCTCATTAGAGTACATGTTTAGGTTTCCATTTCTTCCTACCCTTATCATTTACTAACCTAGTGAAGGTTGACCATACCTCAAAAGCTGTATTCTCATGGTGACTGCAGGGAAACTTGAGCAAATTTTATGCAAAATTATTGAGGCCATGCTTTTCATGATCACTGTTCACTGTGTGTCCTGAGAGCACAAATACAGAGTGTCCTTTGAATCCCTGATCAGTGTGTCACCTGGCCAATTCACTGAGCCCACTCTGTGTGTGTGTGTGTGTGTGTGTGTGTGTGTGTGTGTGTATGTGTGTATGTGTGTGTGTCTTTCTCTTTCATCCTTTTCTACCTGGCCCTAGTCTATCCCAACATAAAGGCAATAATTTGTTACCTCATTAATGGATCTGTCCTTTTTCTTTTCAAACTCTTCCTTATGTTAGCCATGTAATCTAGCTGGGGCTGTGTGGTTTCTGATTCCCCCTGGCTTATTCTTTACTTTTTCCCACTTTTCCAGGCTCAGCAGGGAGCTGCTGGATGAGAAAGAGCCTGAAGTCTTGCAGGACTCACTGGATAGATGTTATTCAACTCCTTCAGGTTGTCTTGAACTGACTGACTCATGCCAGCCCTACAGAAGTGCCTTTTACGTATTGGAGCAACAGCGTGTTGGCTTGGCTGTTGACATGGATGGTGAGTACCTTTCTATGAAGGTGATAAGGATCCACTGAGTCTTCTGGTTAGGGTCATATTCCTACTGCAAGTGGCCCTTACTGAGCTGAGAGATGTCATTGTCACAGGGAGGACCTATAGGCACATGTAGGTTGAATGAAACTCTAGTTCCACTTGGAAGCCCAGACAAGGGATGGGTCAGTGAGCAGGGCTCTCTTCCTAGTCTCAGGCCATGCCTGTGGCGCCCTAATCCTACTCTCAAGATGTTGAATCTGGGCAGATGTGACAAATTCACACAACTCTGATTTCGTCTCAATTTTGTAGATCCTGTAGATTTCATCCTTCACTCTAATTTCAGCGTCTAAAATCCTCGCTACCATGAACAATCTGAGTATTTGATGAGACAGGGCTGAATAGTGCAGTTTTTCTCCTAGCAACTATTTGGGGGCATTTGCTTTAAATCAATTGGAAAAATATGGCATAGCCATTTGCACAAACTTGGGACAAATGATATTGGGATAACGATCTACCAGAATAGGGAATTTTACCCACAGTTTCTGGGACAAAAACCAAGGAATCTCTATGGTGATCAGCCTTCAGGCCTCCTGAAGAATATCTCTCACAGTGTCCTATTCTCATGCTGAGGAGCCTGAAGTCCCTGTGTGAGGATTAGACAGTGGATTGTTATGTGTGTAGGAGAACCAGCTTAATATGTCTGTCCATGTCTGAACTTATTGCAGAAATTGAAAAGTACCAAGAAGTGGAAGAAGACCAAGACCCATCATGCCCCAGGTAACTTTGAGCAATTACGGATGCTTAATTCTGTGTTGACACCTGGAGATGCCAGGTCCAGGGAAAACAAGAGTGTGTTCAATTTCATGTTTTCAACGAAGGTTGAATTACTCCTACTGACATTGCTGTTGGTTTTCATTGCAGTAGATGTTTAGGTTTCCATTTCTTCCTCCCCTTATCATTTACTAACTTACTATAGGTTGACCATACCTCAAAGGCTGTATGGCAACTGCATGGAATCTTGAGCAAGTTTATGGAAAATTATTGAGCCCACTGTTTTCATGATCACTGTTCGCTGTGTGTCCCGAGGGCACTAACTCAGAGTGTCCTTTGACCCCTTCATCAGTGTGTCACCCGGCCAACTCGCTGAGCTCACTTTCTCCTCTCTCTCTCTCTCTCTCTCTCTCTCTCTCTCTCTCCCTCTCCGTGTCTTTCTCTTTCATTCTTTTCTACCTGGCCCTGGTCTATCCCAACATAAAGGCAATAATTCATTACCTCATTAATGGATCTGTCCTTTTTCTTTTTAAACAGTTCCTTATGTTAGCCATGAAATCTAGCTGGGGCTGGTTGGTTTCTGTTTCCCCCTGGCTTATTCTTTACTTTTTCCTACTTTTCCAGGCTCAGCAGGGAGCTGCTGGATGAGAAAGAGCCTGAAGTCTTGCAGGACTCACTGGATAGATGTCATTCGACTCCTTCAGGTTATCTTGAACTGCCTGACTTAGGCCAGCCCTACAGCAGTGCTGTTTACTCATTGGAGGAACAGTACCTTGGCTTGGCTCTTGACATGGACAGTGAGTACCTTACTATGAAGGTGATAAGCCTCCACCTGGTCTTCCAGATAGGGGTGATATTCCTGTTCCAAGTGGCCCTTACTGACCCGAGAGATGTCATTGCCGCAGGCAGGACCTATGGGCGCATATAGGTTGTAATGAAACTGTAGTCTCAGCTGGAAGCCTAGACATGAAATGGGTCAGTGAGCAAGGCTCTATTCCTAGTCTCCAGCCATGCCTGTGGCAACCTGAGCCCGCTCTCAGCACATTGGACCCAGGGAGATGTAAAAAAATCACAGAACTATGATTTGGACTCAAGGGTTTGTAGATTTCCTCCTTCATTCTAATTTCAGTGTCTAAAATTCTTGCATCCGTGAACGAGCTGGGCATTTGATGAGACAGGGCTGAATACTGCAGTTTTCCTCCTAGAAATCATCTGGGGCATTTTCTTTGAACTGATGGGAACAATAAGGCATAACTGTTTGCACAAACTTGGGATAAATGATTTTGGGATAACGATCTAGCAGAATAGGGATATTTCACCCTTGGTTCTGAGATGCAAACCAAAGAATATCATGACCAGCTTTCAGGCCTCCTGAAGTATATCTCTCACATTGTCCTGTTCTCATGCTGAGGAGCCTGAGATCCCTGTGTGGGGATTAGACAGTGGACTGTTATGGGTGTAGGTGAATTGGCATATTTTGTCTGTCCCTGTCTGAATGTATTGCAGGAATTAAAAAGGACCAAGAAGAGGAAGAAGACCAAGGCCCACCATGCCCCAGGTAACTGAACAATTGTGAACAGCTACTTCTGTGTTGACATCTGGAGACTCCTGGTTCAGGGAAAACAGAGCGGGCTGACATTATCGATTACATCTTTTCAACCAAGCCTGAATTATTCCTACTAACATTGCTGTTGGTTTTCATTGCAGTAGATATTTAGCTTTCCATTTCTTCCTCCCCTTATCATTTACTAACCTACTGTAGGTGGACCAGTCTTCAAAAACTGTATTCTCATGGCGACTGCATGGAAACTTGAGCACATTTTATGGAAAATTATTGAGCACAGTCTTTTCATGATCACTGTATGCTGTGTGTCCTGAGGGCACTAACTCAGAGTGTCCTGTTACTCCCTCATCAGTGTGTCACCTGGACAATTCACTGAGCTCGTTCTCTCTCTCTCTCTCTCTCTCTCTCAGTGTGTGTGTGTGTGTTTGTGTGTGTGTGTGTCTGTCTTTCTCTTTCATTCTTTTCCATTTGGCCCTGTTCTGTCCCAACATGAAGGCAATAATTTGTTACCTCATTAATGGATCTATCCTTTTAGTTTTTTAACCACTTCCTTATGCTACCCATGAAACCTAGTTGGGGCTCTGTCGTGTCTGATTTCCCATGGCTTATTCTTTACTTTTTCCTCCTTTTCCAGGCTCAGCAGGGAGCTGCTGGAGGTAGTAGAGCCTGAAGTCTTGCAGGACTCACTGGATAGATGTTATTCAACTCCTTCCAGTTGTCTTGAACAGCCTGACTCCTGCCAGCCCTATGGAAGTTCCTTTTATGCATTGGAGGAAAAACATGTTGGCTTTTCTCTTGACGTGGGAGGTGAGTACGTTTCTATGAAGGTGATAAGGATCCACTGAGTCTTCCATATAAAGATCATATTCCTGCTGCAAGTGGCCATTACTGAGCTGAGAGATGTCATTGCTGCAGTGAGGACCTATAGGCACATGTAGGTTGAATGAAACTCTAGTTCTACCTGGAAGCCCAGACATGGGATGGGTCAGTGAGCATGGCTCTCTTCCTAGTCTCAGGCCATGCCTGTGGCACTCTGATTCTACTCTCATGACATTGGACCTGGGCAGATGTGACAAATTCAGAGAACTATGATTTTGACTCAAGGGTTTGTAGATTTCCTTTTTCACTCTAATTTCAGTGTCTGAAGTCCTCACAACCATGAACAATCTGAGTATTTGATGAGACAGGGCTAAATGTTGCAGTTTTTCTCCTAGAAATCATTTGAGGTTATTTGCTTTAAACTGATTGGAAAAATATGGCATAACTGTTTGCACAAACTTGGGACAAATGATATTGGGATAACGATCTACTAGAATAGGGACATTTTACCCACAGTTTCTGGGAGAAAAACCGAGTAATTTCTATCACGACCAGCCTTTGGGCCTCCTGAAATATATCTCTCACAGTGTCCTATGCTTATGCTGAGGAGCCTGAGGTCCCTGTGTGAGGATTAGACAGTGGATTGTTATGTGTGTAGGGGAATCAGCTTAATGTGTCTGTCCATGCCTGAATTTATTGTAGAAATTGAAAAGAAGGGGAAGGGGAAGAAAAGAAGGGGAAGAAGATCAAAGAAGAAAAGAAGGAGAAGGGGAAGAAAAGAAGGGGAAGAAGATCAAAACCCACCATGCCCCAGGTGACTTTCAGCAATTGTGGATGCTTAATTCTGTGTTAACACCTGGAGGCAACAGATTCAGGGAAACCAGAGTGTGTTTGATTTCATGTTTTCAACGAAGGCTGAATTACTCCTACTGTCATTGCTGTTGGTTTTCATTGCAGTAGATGTTTAGGTTTCCATTTCTTCCTCCCCTTATCATTTACTAACGTACCATAGGTTGACCATACTTCAAAAGCTGTACTCTCATGGCCGCTGCATCGAATTTTGAGCATATTTTATGGAAAACTATTGAGCTCACTCTTTTCATGATCACAGTTTGCTGTGTGTCATGAGGGCACTAACTCAGAGTGTCCTTTGACTCCCTTACCAGTATGTCACCTGGCCAACTCACTAGGTCACTTTCTCTCTGTCTCTGTCTCTGTCTCTCTCTCTCTCTCTTTCTCTTTCATTGTTTTCTACCTGGCCCCGTTCTATCCCAACATAAAGGCAATAATTTTTTTTTTTTACTTCATTAATGGATCTATCCTTTTTCTTTTCTAACCACTTCCTTATGTTACTTCTGAAATCTAGTGGAGCTCTGTGGTGTTTGATTTTCCCTGGCTGCTTCTTTAGTTTTGTCTCATTTTGCAGGCTCAACGGCGTGCTGATGGAAGTGGAAGAGCCTGAAGTCTTACAGGACTCACTGGATAGATGTTATTCGACTCCGTTAATGTACTTTGAACTACCTGACTCATTCCAGCACTACAGAAGTGTGTTTTACTCATTTGAGGAACAGCACATCAGCTTCGCCCTTTACGTGGACAATAGGTTTTTTACTTTGACGGTGACAAGTCTCCACCTGGTGTTCCAGATGGGAGTCATATTCCCACAATAAGCAGCCCTTACTAAGCCGAGAGGTGTCATTCCTGCAGGCAGGACCTATAGGCACGTGAAGATTTGAATGAAACTATAGTTCCATTTGGAAGCCCAGACATAGGATGGGTCAGTGGGCATGGCTCTATTCCTATTCTCAGAGCATGTCAGTGTCAACCTGTGCTCAGTCTGAAGACAATGGACCCACGTTAGGTGTGACACGTTCACATAACTGTGCAGCACATGCCGGGAGTGATCAGTCAGACATTTTAATTTGAACCACGTATCTCTGGGTAGCTACAAAGTTCCTCAGGGATTTCATTTTGCAGGCATGTCTCTGAGCTTCTATACCTGCTCAAGGTCAGTGTCATCTTTGTGTTTAGCTCATCCAAAGGTGTTACCCTGGTTTCAATGAACCTAACCTCATTCTTTGTGTCTTCAGTGTTGGCTTGTTTTAGCTGATCCATCTGTAACACAGGAGGGATCCTTGGCTGAGGATTGTATTTCAGAACCACCAACTGCTCTTGACAATTGTTAACCCGCTAGGCTCCTTTGGTTAGAGAAGCCACAGTCCTTCAGCCTCCAATTGGTGTCAGTACTTAGGAAGACCACAGCTAGATGGACAAACAGCATTGGGAGGCCTTAGCCCTGCTCCTCTCAATTCCATCCTGTAGAGAACAGGAGTCAGGAGCCGCTGGCAGGAGACAGCATGTCACCCAGGACTCTGCCGGTGCAGAATATGAACAATGCCATGTTCTTGCAGAAAACGCTTAGCCTGAGTTTCATAGGAGGTAATCACCAGACAACTGCAGAATGTAGAACACTGAGCAGGACAACTGACCTGTCTCCTTCACATAGTCCATATCACCACAAATCACACAACAAAAAAGGAGAAGAGATATTTTGGGTTCAAAAAAAGTAAAAAGATAATATAGCTGCATTTCTTTAGTTATTTTGAACCCCAAATATTTCCTCATCTTTTTGTTGTCATTGATGGTGGTGACATGGACTTTTTTATAGAGGACAGATCAGCTGTCTGGCTCAATGATCTACATTCTGAAGTTGTCTGAAAATGTCTTCATGATTAAATTCAGCCTAAACATTTTGCCGGGAACACTGCAGAGACAATGCTGTGAGTTTCCAACCTCAGCCCATCTGCGGGCAGAGAAGGTCTAGTTTGTCCATCACCATTATGATATCAGGACTGGTTACTTGGTTAAGGAGGGGTCTAGGAGATCTGTCCCTTTTAGAGACACCTTACTTATAATGAAGTACTTGGGAAAGCGGTTTTCAAGAGTATAAATATCCTGTATTCTAATGATCATCCTCTAAACATTTTATCATTTATTAATCCTCCCTGCCTGTGTCTATTATTATATTCATATCTCTACGCTGGAAATTTTGCGTCTCAATTTTTACTGTGCCTTTGTTTTTACTAGTGTCTGTTGTTGCAAAAAGAAGAAAACATTCTCTGCCTGAGTTTTAATTTTTGTCCGAAGTTAATTTTAATCTATACAATTCAAACCTTTTGCCTATCACTCTGGATTTTTGGATTGTTTTTTACATTCAGTGTTATAATATTTGATTATGCTGATTGGTTTTGGTGGGTACTGATGCGAATTAATAAAAACATTTCATTTCCATGTTTATTTTCTAATCTCTTCCACATTGTAGGCTATGTTTACCATACGTAGCAGAATGTATTTACATTTCTTGGTTCTAGTCATTTGTATTCTTCGTGTGTGTGTGTGTGTGTGTGTCTGTGTGTGTGTGTCTGTGTGTGTGTCTGTGTGTGCCTTTGGCATTTAGGAACGGTTGTATAGCTCATGTTAAATATTGCACTAAAAATGTTTTTGATGGTTTTCCTCCCTTTGAACTAGACACACTTCTAATATTTGGTTTATAGTTTTAAATTATAACTTTCAGCATCAAATATTTCCATACAACAGTCAATTACATGATGTGTTTTCTTTTTCCTACCTCCTTTACCTGCCACTTCTCATAATAGTATTTGAACCTAAACATATACCGGTGACATTCTGTGATTATCATCTTGCCCCTACCTTGGTTTTTGGTTTAGATCCACAATGAAATATATTAACGCTCATGAGCTATTCAAAAGTGAATGTCACAGTCGTCACTTGCTGAGTGGTACTCATCCTTAACAGAGTCCTCATGAGGGAATCAGGTCTCGCTGAGTTTAGCATGTTTAATAATCTTTTTTCACGGTCTTGATACATGAATCGCATTACTAGATATAAGGTGCTTGTCCAAAATGATTTTTCTGGAGTTTTTAGGAGATATTGTCATCCTTGGGGGACATACATGGTGTATGTTCTCATTGTGGGATTCTATTTTGTTCTACCAGGACCTCTAATTTCTGCCAGTTACTTCATTCATTTGTTCTCTTCACCATGAGTCTCCAGAGGATACTTCCATGGTCCACGCCTCCCCATCTCCCAGCAATTCTGCGTTTCCAAGATTGGCACCTCTGGTCCTCTGCACGGTGAAGCCCCTTCCTTTCAATTCCCCAGTAGCCAGTGCTCTAATCCTCCAGGTCTCAGGCATGATCTATGTTTCTCCACACTCGCTTTCTGAGGAGAGTTTTGCCTGGGTTCTATCATGAACAGGCCCTCCCTGCTGTCCTGGCCTCTATTTGCATAGTGTTTCCTGCTCCCTCTGCCGTCGTGTGGCTCCCAGTCCTGGCTAAAGAAAATCACCTGAGGGCCACAGTGTTCCCTAGCCCTGGTGTTTAGGGGCAGGATTATGGGTGAGATTTTTGAGTCTCTAAGTTGACTCCTACGGCTCTGAAGTGTATGTTGAGAAATTCAGCTGTTATCATCCTAGGTGGACTTGCTCCCTCCTATCCTCCTACTTCAAATGCAGAACTTCAATCGTTTACAAAAGAAGACTGAATCATATAATAGAACACACCCTTATTCATTGGCTGGCTTCACCAATCATCTCATGGCTGAACTTATAAAAATACAATCTTAGCCACATACCTATGAAATGTATATGTGTGTGTATATATATACATGAATTTGCTTCTGAGATTATGGAGGCTGAAATTCCCAAGATGGAAGGAAAGCTGGATACCCAGGAAAGCATTTGTTTCCCATTAGGCCTCTTAATTCTCTCCTGGCCCTTGATGGATTGCATGAGGCCCACCCCTATTAAGGAGGGCAATCTGCTTCACTTAGTCTGCCCATCCCAATGTTAATCATATCTGAAAGACTCTCTGGAACACAACCAGAATCATGTTTGGCCAAATGTCCTGGCACCCTGGTGCTCGGTCACAGTGACAACTACAAGTAACTATCACACATGCCCTTTGTCATATTGGTGATTTCCACTGTTTTTCTCCCAAACTGCAGCTTATATTTGTCCTCTTAATACTGTTGAGCAAAAACTTTTAATTTTTATAAAGTCGAATTTATCAATGTTTTCTTTAATGGTTTGTGTTTATTGATAATAAAGAACACTTTGCCTAACTCTGTGTCATGAAGATTTTGTCTTATATTTTCTGCTATACTTTTTCTAGTTTTATAGTTTATATTTAGTTGCATAATCCATTTTGAGTTAGTTTTTGAGTTAGTATTGAGGTTCAGGTGAATTTTTTTCCTTTGGGGATAAAAAAAAAAAAAACCAAATTGTGTAAAAAAAAGTTGTTTCTACACAATTTGTTGACAAGAGAATGCCTTCTCCACTGAATCATATTTGCACCTTTGTCATTCCATTGGGTGGTTGAGACTGGTGAGAGGACTGTCCTGGTGTTTGGACAGAGAGACAGGGCATGAAGTAGGGTGGTTCTTATGGGAAAAATTAAGGAAGACACATTTTTCCATGAGGAATAGGAAATCCCCAAGCACAATTGGGGGTACCCTCTACCAGCATGTTGTAGCACACTCATCTCTGCTCTACCTGTCCTGCTGCAAAAGCTTGGGTGTGCATAGACACTGAGGTTGAGTGGTGTCTTTGGGCATTTTGAGCATTGACACCAAAGTTCCAGCATCAAATCTTAGAATATCAAGCAGCCAGATGGATCACCTGAGGTCAGGAGCTCACGACCAGCCTGACTAACATGGTGAAACCCCATCTCTACTAAATACAAAAAAATTAGCCAGGCATGATGGTGCATGCCTGTAATCTGAGCTACTTGGGAGGCTGAGACAGGAGAATCGCTTGTGTACCTGGGAGGTGGAGGTTGCAGTGAGCTGAGATCACACCATTGCACTCCAGCCTGGGCAACGAGAGCAAAACTCTATCCCCCCGCAAAAAAAATAAATAAAAATAAAAGAATATGAAGCAGCCAAAGAAGCAGGAAAACATGACACATAATGAAGAATCTAATAATCTAGTTGAAATTGACAGACATGTTGGAAATAGAAGGAAAGGACATTAGAGCAGTTAGAATAATTGTATTTTAATTAAATGGGGAGGTTGAAGATTTTTTAAATATCAAATTCTGTAAATAAAAAGTATGATTTACAGTCTGAAATGGAAGAAGGCAGTGGATTAAACATTGCAGAAGAGAAGATTATTGAACTAGAAGGAATAGAAGTTGAAACTAACATAAATGAAACACACAGTAACAAATGACTTGAAAACATAAAAAGACCATCGGCGTCAAAACTTTAAACCCCCAAGTATAGGGCTAAATGGAATCCCTGAAGGGCGTGTAGTGGAGAAGAGAGACAAAGATATTTAAAACATACTGGATGAAAGATTTAGAAGCTCCATGGAAACCATAAACTTCAAATATTACAGAAATATGATTATTCTAAGAACAAGAAACATGAAGAAAACTTCACCAAGGAACGCCTTAATCAAATCCATCACAACCAGTGATAAAAAGGAAATCCTAAAAGGAATAAAAAGGGAAAGAACATGTTACATACAGAGCACTAAATATAAGGATGGCATAAGATTTCTCATACAAACAAGAAGTTTGCAATAAAGAACTTAAAAAAAGAAAAACTGTCACCTACAATTCTACACCTGGCCAAATTATCTTTTAAAAATAAACATGAGAAAAAGTATTTTTGAACAGAAAACAAAATGATCTCAATTTGCAGATGGTGTGATCCTATGCATAGAAAATCCCAAATAATACCTACAGATGCAAACACACATACATGCACACAGAGGCCAGACACACACACACACACACACACACACACTCACATACACACACTACTAGAGTTAATAAGCGAATTCAGCAAACTTTCAGCAGACAATCAGTTGTGTTAGCAATGAACAATCTGAGAAGAAAATTGACACAATGATTTCATTTATAATAGCACTTGTAAGAATAATATGCCTGGGAATAAATTTGTTCAAGAAGGTGCCGTACTTGTACACAGACAACTACAGAACATTGCTCGAGGAGATTCAGGAAGACCTAAATCAATGGACAGACATCTTGTGTCCATGGGTTGGAAGTTGTAACATGGTTAAGATAAAAATACAACTCAAAGCAACCCACAGATTCAATACAATCCTATCAAAAAGTGGCCTTTTTTACAGGAATGCCTAACAAGAACTTCATATTCCTAAAAAATAGTGTGTCCCCCCAAAACAAAAGCAATCTTGAAATGCAAGAAGAAACATTTTCTATTCCAAAGGTCTTTAACTGCTCTAAGCAGTACTTGGTAGTCTTCAATATATAGGCTTTCACATCTTTTTTTTTCTTCTTTTGTTTCTGCACAGGATCTCACTCTTTCACCCAGGCTGGAGTACAGTGGCACAATCACAGCTCACTGCAGCATGGAATTCTCAGGCCTATGACATCCTAGGGCCTCATCCACTGATTCCTGGGACTACAGGCTCACACCACCAAACCCGGATAATTTTTCTGATTTTCAGTGAGATGAGGGCTCACTATGTTGCCTAGGCTAGTTTCAAGCTTCTGAGATCAAGCAACCCTCTTGCCACAGCCTTCCAAAGTGCTGGGATTTGAAGCCAAGCCTGGCTGGCTTTCACATCTTTTCTATGTAGTTTATATTTCTGGATGCCATTGAGAGTCTGGCTGGCTTTCACATATTTGCTATGTCGTTTATATTTCTTGATGTTATTGTAAATGTTTATTAAAGGAATTTTTAAAAACTTTGTTTTGGCCAGGCGCGGTGGTCCACGCCTGTAATCCTAGCACTTTGGGAGGCCGAGTTGGGTGGATCATAAGGTCAGAAGATCGAGACCATCCTGGCTAACATGGTGAAACCCCATCTCCACTAAAAATACAAAAAAAACATTAGCCTGGCGTGGTGGCGGGCGCCTGTAGTCCCAGATACTTGGGAGGCTGAGGCAGGAGAATGGTGTGAACCTGGGAGGTGGAGCTTGCAGTGAGCCAAGATGGTGCCACTGCACTCCAGCCTGGGAGACAGAGTGAGACTCCATCTCAAAAAAAAAAAAAGTTGTATTAAAATTATATATTTAAGGAATTACATATATATTTATATATATAATACATATCCTTAAATTATATATATTTAAGGAATACAACCTGAGGACTACATATACATATACATAATGAACTAATGCCTACTAGGTGAGGGGCTGCCTTGTGAGCAAACCCAAGGTCCCTGGCTTATGAAGCCTTTGTCTAGAAGGATGGAGGGATCAGCAAGGTGGGCACACAGCAGGTTCTGTCTTTGGTGTGGGCATCTGCCCACTCGGGTCTCTGGCAATACTAACCAGGCTTCACGATGGGTGAGGTGAGCTAGGAATGGGAAAGTGGATGACTTCAGATCCAGAGACTGCAGTTGTCACCTGGGGACCTGGCGTAGGCGTGGAGGAGTCTCCCACTGACTTGGCCGTGGGTCAATGCCCAAACATGCACAAGGACGGGACTCTCGGCCTCAATGCTTTAGGAGCCCCCAGTCTTCTAAAGAGGGTTTGTGGTGGGGAAGAATGTTCAACAAAACAGAAGAGTTATGGGTACTCTAGCTTGGCAACGGAGAATACTTCCTTGTGCTACTAAATGGCAATATTTGACAATTACGGATGACACAATTGAGCAACAGCTTTCACTGTTTAACAAGCAGTGTCTCTGGAACACTGGGTTAGTGCTGTCGGATGTTGACTGAAAAGTCAGTGGTTTGAGCCCATCCAGTCATATTAATGTTTCTAGCTGATGTGACCTTCCATCTGAATAGTCTCTTCCTTGGACCAAATATCTCTTAAAGCTTCTCTTCTTCTTGTCTCTTGTCTATTTTCTAAGATGCCTCTTTGTTGCTTGGGGCAAAAAAAGTCCATTTTTAATCCACACCCAACAAACATCTACCCTTACGTATCCTGGTTTTTAGGGTTTTGAGTTTGTTGTTTGTTTTCTCAGCTTCTCATATTTGGAATACTGGAAATTCCTAAAGTGGAGAATGACAGAACGTGAATCACAGCTATGGTGAAGCCACAGGCTCTGGATGAAAAACCTAATCTGCCAGGGTTTGAAGTTAAACACATTAATCTTCTGTGCCTCCATTTCTATCTGTCCAATGGGCTAAATCAGAACACTTAGGTTGTCCAGTGTTTAAATGAGCCGTGCAGGAAAAGCATGGAGCCAATGCCTGTCACGTAGTAATTGGTCAACACGCATGAGCTCCTATCAGTGCCATGGTCTCCAGCATTTCCATCACGCTTTGATCTTTGAAATGTCCTTCTTGATATGAATGGATCATTCCTCAAACATTCTCTAACTGATGGCCATGAAATTGCTCCAATGTGTATTATTACAAATACAACTGCAGGGACCAGACTGACACATGTATCTGTCGTGCATCGCTTGTCTATTTCTCTGTAGACACCTGGAGATGGAATTGTCAGACCAAAGTATTTATACATTTTTGATTTTGCTAATTTCTGTCTAAATTACTGTGAAAAGAAAATATAACAGGTCATACCTTTAACATTTTTTGAGAATTATTTTTTTCTCCATCTTCTGGCCAAAACTGGGAAGTACTTGCCTACCATTTCCTCTGAACTCACTTTTGCCAACATTTGTGTAGTCATACAGTGGGATCACATTGTATGCAAGACATCAAACTCAAATCCTTAAATGAAAGCGATTAACATGACTGTGTAAAAATTTATCTTCAAAATACAATGAATACATATATACACATACTTATATGGGAAAGGAATTATTTGGATACTTTATCAAAGTTATATATACTTGAAAATTTGTTTAGTAAAATAGCATTCCCCTTGTGTACTCCCAGAGTTTCATCACATAGAAGCAATTATTTCATTATTTATCTCCTTATGTCTAAATAGATATTATTACTTTTTGATTTTCAAGTTTAGGCACTACCTCTCCTTCACATACTTGCTCATCACCACCACCCCCAAACACGCCTCTCACCACCTTACCCTCCAACACGTTTGTGTCCTCGTTTGCTGGGTCAATTGCTACATTGTTATAACTTGTATATTTTATTCAGAGTTCAGTCACATTGGATATACATAGCAGGAATGAGAGGCCAGTATCTTCAGGGACTCTCTCTCAAGTAGATAAGCTTCAGAGATTTTTGTAGTCTTTGGTCACTCTCCCCATCTTTTTCCTATTCCAGGTAAGTACTGGATCTGATGGGCCCAGCTCAGGTCAGGCACTCTCTCCTTGAGCAGGGGAGAGCGGGACATCTTCATGTGCAGTACCAGGAAGACACTGTCCAAAGAGGGACAGGTAGTTCTTAGACAGAAAAGTCTGTCTGGGGTACAGGTAGGCAAAACAAGGACACACACACAAAAATTAGTCTGTTCTGTGAGGGGAGCATGCAGTAGAGGGTGGATTCAGAGTGGGAGGGGAGAGTTTTGAGAGATATGGGCCATGGATATCACTCTGTGGGCCGGAGCCACACAAGACGGTTGGGGTCTCTCAGGGCAGGGAGCTGAGGAGGATCTGCCCTCCCCAACCTGGGAGACTGGTGAGGGGACTGTCCTGGTCACCAGACAGAAATGGGGTCTGGGCCAGGGCAGTTCTGGTGGGAAAGAAAGAACAGGACATCTCCTTAAGGAAAGGTCCTGAGTCAGGTCTTGGCAGGGAGGGAGGTTACCTTGCTCATTGGCAGCTGAAGATGGTTGGCCAGATGAGGGCACTGAAATCCATGTCCTCTAAACTTGTAGTTCAGTAAAAGAACGACAGCAGTAAAGGGTCTTTAGGAAGAGGAGGTGGAAGACCTGATTTGGGTTGGGGGCTCCAAGAAGAATGTCTGCCTTGCTGTGCAGAAGCCTCTGCATAACCTCCCTGGTCCCCTTGCTCAGTCTCCTGGCCAGACCCCTGTGAGCCCTGGAAGTGCACAGTCAGCTCGGCCAAGGCATCTCCAGCCAGGACTCATCCCTGGGCATTTCTGTGGCCTTGGGTGCCCTGGCCTCCTCCAGGCCCTGTCTTGCAGGCAATCATCCTGCTAGGGAAGGGGGAAAGGAGGCTACTTGACAGTTAACTCTGAGCAGCTCCACAAGGTCCTGACTTAGCTCCTAGTCACTTGCAAACCTATATACCCCCATCTCATCCCCCAAATGATGAAAAGAAACTTTGCAGGACTCATGCCAGACAAATAGGGTGGGACCATTCTGTAGAGCCAAGTTCTCAGGACATCAATAAGAGATGGAAACCACCTGCTGGAAGGTGCCACAGTGGGAACTTTGGGGCCAGGGAGCAGTCACTGAACTGTCAGGGTGAATCCTGGCTCCTGGCCCTCACACACCCTTTCTCCCCCTCCCTCCTTCTCTCCTCCCTCCTGTCTGCTCTTTCCCCTCTCTCTCCTGAATCCCTCAGGTACCTTCCATGGGCCCTGACCCCTCCTTTTCAGAGGCTCCAAAGTGAGCCCTCAAAACACTTGGTAACCTTGGATATTTCCAAAACTGGAGAGACTTGACCACAGCATTTTTATGAGCTAGGAAGGTCCTTCAGAGCTCTTGCCTAAATTTTTCTGCTGATGAGAAGAGAACAAGAGTTTCCATCTGATCTGGTCCTAAGGCAACTTCTCCTTGGAGCAGAGTCTGGGCAGGAAGAAGGGGGTTGCCCAGGGCCCTGGACTTGCCCCTCCCAGCTGCTCTGCTCCTCTCCCCTTCACTGCGGGAGGCTGGCCAGGGATCAGGAACCTCTATTCTCCACAGATGCTGGGATTCCAGGCTCAAATCTAAATATTGGCTGATTTAGGAGGCTAAGGGAGGCAATTCCCTGGAGGGAGGTGTCAGGATTTGGGACAAGAGCAGCATCTAGTTGTCATCCACAGAGACCCCAAGGACAGGAATCCACTGGTAGCCGGTTGGAGGGGATCCCATGAAAACAAGATGAAACGCGCCATTAGTACTGGACCCAAGATCAGGAGATGAAAAACTGCACTGTCCTAAGGGATGAAGGAATTAGGGAATCCTGGAAGTAAAGTTTTTCATATAGGTCATTTCTTCCAAAGAGACATAGGGCAATGGCCCAATGACGTGAACAAAAGAAAACTCGGGGTCTAGGATTGAGGGGAGGCAGCCTTTTTAGTGGAGACCTGTGACCTGGAGGCCCAGGGTCACCCTGAGAGGGGAGGGGTCTTGCTGGTTGCTGGGTCCGCGACTCCAATTGCACACAGCCAGTGGCATGGAGGGTCTGTGACCACGATTGGGCAATTTCCCCCATTCTGCTTATGGAGCAAGAGAGGAACCTCACTGGAATTATACAGAAAGGTTCCAGTGAGACTTGAACTCTGATCACTGTATTCAGAGTCCAAAGTGCTCACCATTACACCATGGAACCTCACACTAGCTTATAACTGGAGGTAACTGAGTTCATACTTAGCAGCCATAGTTCCCACACACCTATGTTAAGGCATTTCTTCTGATCCCTCAAGCAACACCAAAGAAGGTGGACCTGCAAGAGAGGAGTCATCCTCTTTCTTTCTTTCTCTCTGCCCTCTCCTTTGATCAACTTTTATCGTTTCATTTGCACCTCAGAAAATGAGGCAAAATCCAGTTTGGGCTTAGGGCCAGAGAAGAGCCCTTGAGGCCTCCCTCTGGAAAACATACTCTCTCAGTTTACCAGAGTTTCCTGTACCAAGGGGAAATTTCCGCAAACAGTAGTGTTATATTCTTTTTGCCTTCCCTCTTTTCCCTTTGCCCAGGGAGGCCAGATGATTGTGAGAACAGGACTTGGGACTTCCTGGGTGTCTTGCCCCCTTCCTCCATGTGATAAATAATGGCTGATACCAAGCAAGTGGGATTGGGAGGCAGGGAATCTTTCATTTTCTTCTTCATATACTTCTATGCATTTGTTTCGTTGGTTTTGGCAAGATTTTCTCACCAGAAATGGAGATTTGTTGGATTTAAAATAAAAAGTAATCAGCCATGTTTTACATTTCTATAAAACACTCAAACCAGGCCATACTCCCCTGCTGTGCCTCAAAATCAACCATAAACTGTCGAGGTCAGGAGGCAGGGCCCTGACACTTAAGCACAGTGTGTTTCCTCAGAATTGGCCAGGTTGACGCCACTCCAATTTCTCAATATACCACAACCCATTAATTGCGGTTTTTAAAAGTGTACATGTATTTTTACCAAAACCCCAGGGCTTCAGTGTTCTCAGCACACAGAAAGACAATCATTGAGACATTGAGTATTGCTGAGGAAGAAGGCTTTAATCAGGTGCTGCAGCTGAGTAGACAGGAGATGAGTCTCAAATCTGTCTCCCTGATTGACTAAAGTTAGGGGTTTATATAGTGCAGAAGAAAAGTTAACTGTGTGTGGGAAAAGAGGAACTAGGGAGGGGTGAGGAAGCACTCGTGATGAGTGAGGGGACTGGCATCTCATTGTCTGGATGCTGTGATTGGCTGAGTTTCAGGTCTCTGATGTTTTTTGAGAGGCCTGAGAGTCCTTTCCTGAGGAAGGAACTCAGAGAAAACAAATGTAAGTTTGTTTTATAGAATGGCTTGACCTCAGGAGTTTGAAACCAGCCTGGGCAATATGGTGAAACCCTGTCTCTACCAAAATACAAAAAGAAAAAGAGGGTTGCTTCCAAGATGGCTGAATAGGAACAGCTCCGGTCTACAGCTTCAAGTGAGATAGATGCAGAAGACAGGTGATTTCTGCATTTCCAACTGAGGTACCTGGTTCATCTCACTGGGACTCGTTGGACAGTGGATGCAGCCCACGGAGGATGAGCCAAAGCAGGGTGGGGTGTTGCCTCACCCGGGAAGTGCAAGGGGTTGGGGGATTTCTTTTTCCTAGCCAAGGGAAGCTGTGAGTGACTGTACCTCGAGAAGCAGTACACCCCTGCCCAAATACTGTGCTTTTTTCCACTGTCTTTGCAACTGACAGACCAGGAGATTCCCTCTTGTGCCTGGCTCGGCAGGTCCCATGCCCATGGAGCCTTGCCTGCTGCTAGCACAGCAGTCTGAGATCAACCTGGGACACTGGAGCTTGGTAGGGGGAGGGGGTTCTGCCACTGCTGAGGCTTGAGTATGTGGTTCTATGGTCACAGTGTAAATAAAGTGGTAGGGAAGCTCGAACTGGGTAGATCCCACTGCAGCTCAGCAAGGCCTACTGCCTCTAGATTCCACCTCTGGGGGCAAGGCATATCTGAATAAAAGGCAGCAGACACCTTCTGCAGACTTAAACGTCCCTGCCTGACAGCCCTAAAGACAGCAGTAGTTCTCCCAGCATGGCATTTGAGCTCTGATAATGGACAGACAGCCTCCTCAAGTGGGTCTCTGACCACCGTGTAGCCTAACTGGGAGACACCTCCCAGTAGGGGCCGACAGACACCTCATACAGGTGGGTGCCCCTCTGGGACAAAGCTTCCAGAGGAAGGATCAGGCAGCAATATTTGCTATTCTGCAGTCTCTGCTGGTGATACCCAGGCAAACAGGGTCTGGAGTGGACCTCCAGCAAACTCCAACAGACCTGCAGCTGAGGGACCTGCCTGGTTAGAAGGATTAACAAACAGAAAGGAATAGCATCAACATCAACAAAAAGGACATCCACACTAAAACCCCATCTGTAGGTCACCAACATCAAAGACCAAAGTAGTACATAAAACCACAAAGATGGGGAGAAACCAGAGCAGAAAGGCTGAAAATTCCAAAAACCAGAACACCTCTTCTCCTCCAAAGGAACACAACTCCTCACCAGCAAGGGAACAAAACTGGATGGAGAATTAGTTTGATGAGATGACAGAAGCAGGCTTCAGAAGGTCGGTAATAACAAACTTCTCCGGGCTAAAGGAGCATGTTCTAACCCATCAAAAGGAAGCTGAAAACCTTGAAAAAAGGTTAGCTGAATGGCTAACTAGAATAAACAGTGTAGAGAAGAGCTTAAGTGACCTGAAGGAGCTGAAAACCACAGTATGAGAACCTCGTGAAGCATAAACAAGATTCAATAGCCAATTCAATCAAGCAGAATAAAGGATATCAGTGATTGAAGATCAAATTAATGAAATAAAGCGAGAAGACAAGATTAGAGAAAAAAGAGTAAAAAGAAATGAACAAAGACTCCAATAAATATGGGACTATGTAAAAAGACCAAATCTACATTTGATAGCTGTACCTGAAAGTGACAGAGAGAATGGAACCAAATTAGAAAACACTCTTCATGATATTATCCAGGAGAACTTCCCCAACCTAGCAAGGCAGGCCAACATTCAAATTCAGGAAATACAGAGAAACCACAAAGATGCTCATTGAGAAGAGCAACCCCAAGACACATAATTGTCAGATTCACCAAGGTTGAAATGAAGGAAAAAATATTAAGGGCAGCCAGAGAGAAAGGTCAGGTTACCCACAAAGGGAAGCCCATCAGACTGACAGCGGACCTCTCGGCAGAAACACTATAAGCCAGAAGAGAGTGGGGACCAATATTCAACATTCTTAAAGAAAAGAATTTTCAATCCAGAATTTCATATCCAGCCAAATGAAGCTACATAAGTGAAGGAGAAACAAACTCCATTACAGACAAGCAAATGCTGAGAGACTTTGTCACCACCAGACCTGCCTTACAAGAGCTCCTGAAGGAAGCACTAAACATGGAAAGGAACAACCAGTACCAGCCACTGCAAAAACATGCCAAATTGTAAAGACCATCTATGCTATGAAGAAACTGCATCAATTAATAGGTGAAATAAGGCTGGGCACAGTGGCTCACACCTGTAATCCTAGCACTTTGGGAGGCTGAGGTGGGCGGATCACAAGGTCAGGAGATTGAGACCATCCTGGCTAACACTGTGAAACCCCATCTCTACTAAAAATACAAAAACAGAACTAGCCAGGCATGGTGGCGGGTGCCTGTAGTCCCAGCTATTCGAGAGGCTGAGGCAGGAGAATGGTGTGAACCTGGAAGGTGGAGCTTGCAGTGAGCCGAGATCACACCACTGCACTCCAGCCTGGGTGACAGAGCGAGACTCCATCTCAAAAAAGAAAAAAAAAAAAAAAAAGGTGAAATAACCAGCTAGTATCACAATGACAAGATCTAATTCACACATAACAATATTAACCTGAAACGTAAATGGGATAAATTCCCCAATTGAAAAACACAGACTGGCAAATTGGATAAAGAGTCAAGACCCAGGGGCGGTTCCAAGATGGCTGAACAGGAACAGCTCCAGTCTACAGCTCCCAGCATGAGTGACGCAGAAGATGGGTGATTTCTGCATTTCCAATTGAGGTACTGGGTTCTTCTCACTGGGGCTTGTCAGACAGTGGGTGCAGGACAGTGGGTGCAGCGCACCGAGCATGAGCTGAAGCAGGGCAAGGCATCGCCTCACCCAGGAAGCGCAAGGGGTCAGGGAATTCCCTTTCATAGCCAAGAAAAGCTGTGACAGATGGCACCTGGAAAATTGGGTCACTCCCATGCTAATACAGCACTTTTCCAATGTTCTTAGCAAATGGCACGCTAGGAGATTATATCCCGTGCCTGGCTCAGAGGGTCACACACCCATGGAGCCTCGCTCCTTGCTAGCACAGCAGTCTAAGATCGAACTGCAAGGTGGCAGCGAGGCTTGGGGAGGGGTGCCCACCATTGCTGAGGCTTGAATAGAAAAACAAAGCTGCAGGGAAGCTTGAACTGGGTGGAGCCCACTGCAGCTCAAGGAGGCCTGCCTGCCTCTGTAGACTCCACCTCTGGGGGCAGGGCATAGCCAAACAAAAGGCAGCAGAAACCTCTGCAGACTTAAATGTCCCTGTCTGACAGCTTTGAAGAGAGTAGTGGCTCTCCCAGCATGGAGTTTGAGATCTGAGAACAGACAGACTGCCTCCTGAAGTGGGTCCCTGAATCCCGAGTAGCCTATCTGGGAGGCACCCCCCAGTAGGGGCAGACTGACACCTCACACGGCCAGGCACCCCTCTGAGACAAAACCTCCAGAGGAATGATCAGACAGCAATATTTGCTGTTCTGCAGCCTCCACTGCTGATACCCAGGCAAACAGGGTCTGGAGTGGACCTCCAGCAAACTCCAACAGACCTGCAGCTGAGGGTCCTGACTGTTAAAAGGAAAACTAACAGACAGAAAGGACATCCACACCAAAACCCCAACTGTATGTCACTATCATCAAAGACCACAGGTAGATAAAACCACAAATATGGGGAAAAAACAGAACAGAAAAACTGAAAATTCTAAAAATCAGAGTGCCTCTCCTCCTCCAAAGGAATGCAGCTCCTCACCAGCAATGGAACAAAGCTGGACAGAGAATGACTTTGATGAGTTGAGAGAAGAAGGCTTCAGAAGATCAAACTACTCCGAACTAAAGGAGGAAGTTTGAACCCATCGCAAAGAAGTTAAAAACCTTGAAAAAAGATTAGATGAATTGCTAACTAGAATAACCAATGCAGAGAAGTCCTTAAAGGACCTGATGGAGCTGAAAACCATGGCATGAGAGCTACATGATGAATGCACAAGCTTCAGTGGCCAATTCGATCAACTGGAAGAAAGGGTATCAGTGATTCAAGATCAAATGAATGAAATGAAGCGAGAAGAGAAGTTTAGAGAAAAAAGAATAAAAAGAAATGAACAAAGCCTCCAAGAAATATGGGACTATGTGAAAAGACCAAATCTACGTCTAATTGGTGTACCTGAAAGTGACGGGGAGAATGGAACCAAGTTGGAAAACGCTCTGCAGGATATTATCCAGGAGAACTTCCTCAATCTAGCAAGGCAGGCAACATTCAAATTCAGGAAATACAGAGAATGCCACAAAGATACTCCTCGAGAAGAGCAACTCCAAGACACATAATTCTCAGATTCACCAAAGTTGAAATGAAGGAAAAAATGTTAAGGGCAGCCAGAGAGAAAGGTCGGGTTACCCACAAAGGGAAGCCCATCAGACTAAAAGATGATCTCTCGGCAGAAACTCTACAAGCCAGAAGGGAGTGGGGGCTAATATTCAACATTCTTAAAGAAAAGAATTTTCAACCCAGAATTTCATATCCAGCCAAATGAAGCTTCATAAGTGAAGGAGAAATAAAATACTTTACAGACAAGTAAATGCTGAGAAATTCTGTCACCACCAGGCCTGCCCTAAAAGAGCTCCTGAAGGAAGCACTAAATATGGAAAGGAACAACTAGTACCAGCCACTGCAAAAACATGCCCAATTGTAAACACCATCGATGCTAGGAAGAAACTGCATCAACTAATGAACAAAATAGCCAGCTAACATCATAATGACAGGATCAAATTCACACATAACAATATTAACCTTAAATGTAAATGGGCTAAATGCTCCAATTAAAAGACACAGACTGGCAAATGGATAAAGAGTCAAGACCCATCAGTGTGCTGTATTCAGGAAACCCATCTCACGTGCAGAGACACACATAGACTCAAAATAAAGGGATGGAGGAAGATCTACCAAGCAAATGGAAAACAAAAAAAGGCAGGGGTTGCAATCCTAGTCTCTGAAAAAACAGACTTTAAACCAACAAAGATCAAAAGAGACAAAGAAGGCCACTACATAATGGTAAAGGGATCAATTCAACAAGAAGAGCTAACTATCCTAAATATATATGCACCCAATACAGGAGCACCCAGATTCATAATGCAAGTCCTTAGAGACCTACAAAGAGGCTTAGACTCGCACACAATAATTATGGGAGACTTTAACACCCCACTGTCAACATTAGACAGATCAACAAGACAGAAAGTTAACAAGGATATCCAGGAATTGAATTCAGCTCTGCATCAAGTGGACCTAATAGACATCTACAGAACTCTCCACCCCAAATCAACACAATATACATTCTTCTCAGCACCACACTGCACCTATTCCAAAATTGACCACATAGTTGGAAGAAAAGCACTCCTCAGAAAATGTAAAAGAACAGAAATTATAACAAACTGTCTCTCAGACCACAGTGCAATCAAATTAGAACTCAGGATTAAGAAACTCACTCAAAACCACTCAATTACATGGATACTGAACAACCTGCTCCTGAATGACTACTGGGTAAATAATGAAATGAAGGCAGAAATAAAGAGGTTCTTTGGAACCCACGGGAACAAAGACACAACAAACCAGAACCTCTGGGATGCATTTAAAGTAGTGTGTAGAGGGAAATTTATAGCACTAAATGCCCACAAGAGAAAGCATGAAAGATCTAAAATCGACACCCTAACATCACAATTAAAGAACCAGAGAAGCAAGAGCAAACACATTCAAAAGCTAGCAGGAAGCAAGAAATAACTAAGATCAGAGCAGAGCTGAAGGATACAGAGACATAAAAATCCCTTCAAAAAAATCAATGAATCCAGGAGCTGGTTTTCTGAAAAGATCAACAAAATGGATAGATCACTAGCAAGACTAATAAAGAAGAAAAGAGAGAAGAATCAAATAGACGCAATAAAAAATGATAAAGGGGATATCACCACCTATCCTACAGAAATACAAACTACCTTCAGAGAATACTATAAACACCTCTATGCAAATAAACAAGAAAATCTAGAAGAAATGGATAAATTCCTTGACACATACACCCTCGCAAGACTAAACCAGGAAGAAGTTGAATCTCTGAATAGACGAATAACAGGCTCTGAAATTCAGGCAATAATTAATAGCTTACCAACCAAAAAAAGTCCAGGATCAGATGGATTCACAGCCGAATTCTATCAGAGGTACAAGGAGGAGCTGATATCATTCCTTCTGAAACTATTCCAATCAATGGAAAAAGAGGGAATCCTCCCTAACTCATTTTATGAGGCCAGCATCATCCTGATACCAAAGCCTGGCAGAGACACAACAAAAAAGGAGAATTTTAGACCAATATCCCTGATGAACATCGATGCAAAAATCCTCAATAAAACACTGGCAAACTTAATCCAGCAACATATCGAAAAGCTTATCCACCATGATCAAGTGGGCTTCATCCCTGGGATGCAAGGCTGGTTCAACATACACAAATCAATAAACGTAATCCAGCATATAAACAGAACCAATGACAAAAACCACATGATTATTTCAATGGATGCTGAAAAGGCCTTCGACAAAATTCAACAGCCCTTCATGCTAAAAACTCTCAATAAATTAGGTATTGATGGGACGTATCTAAAAATAATGAGAGCTATTTATGACAAACCCACAGCCAATATCATACTGAATAGGCAAAAACTGGAAGCATTCCCTTTGAAAACTGGCACAAGACAGGGATGCCCTATCCCACCACTCCTATTCAACATAGTGTTGGAAGTTCTGGCCAGGGCAATCAGGTAGGAGAAAGAAATAAAGGGTATTCAATTAGGAAAAGAGGAAGTCAAATTGTCCCTGTTTGCAGATGACATGATTATATATCTAGAACCCCCCATCACCTCAGCCCAAAATCTCCTTAAGCTGATAAGCAACTTCAGCAAAGTCTCAGGATACAAAATCAATGTGCAAAAATCACAAGCATTATTATACACCAATAGCAGACAAACAGAGAGCCAAATCATGAGTGAACGCCCATTCACAATTGCTTCAAAGAGAATAAAATACCTGGGAATCCAACTTACAAGCGATGTGAAGGACCTCTTCAAGAAGAACAACAAACCACTGCTCAATGAAATAAAAGAGGACACAAACAAATGGAAGAACATTCCATGCTCATGGATAGGAATAATCAATATTGTGAAAATGGCCATATAGCCCAAGGAAATTTATAGTTTCAATGCCATCCCCATCAAGCTACCAATGACTTTCTTCACAGAATTAGAAAAAACTACTTTAAAGTTCATATGGAACCAAAAAAGAGCCCGCATTGGCAAGTCAATCCTAAGCCAAAAGAACAAAGCTGGAGGCATCACGCTACCTGACTTCAAACTATACTACAAGGCTACAGTAAACAAAACAGCGTGGTACTGGTACCAAAACAGAGATATAGACCAATGGAACAGAACAGAGGCCTCAGAAATAACAGCACACATCTACAGCTATCTGATCTTTGACAAACCTGACAAAAATAAGCAATAGGGAAAAGATTCCCTATTTAACAAATGGTGCTGGGAAAACTGGCTAGCCATACGCAGAAAGCTGAAACTGGATCCCTTCCTTACACCTTATACAAAAATTAATTTAAGGTGGATTAAAGACTTAAATATTAGATGTAAAACCATAAAAACCCTAGAAGAAAACCTAGGCAATAACATTCAGGACATAGGCATGGGCAAGGACTTCATGTCTAAAACACCAAAAGCAATGGTAACAAAAGCCAAAATTGACAAATGGGATCTAATTAAACTAAAGAGCTTCTGCACAGCAAAACAAACTACCATCAGAGTGAACAGGCAACCTACGGAATGGGAGAAAATTTTTGCAATCTACTCATCTGACAAAGGGCTAATATCCAGAATCTACAAAGAACTCAAACAAATTTACAAGAAAAAAACAAACAACCCCATCAAAAAGTGGGCAAAGAGTATGAACAGACACTTCTCAAAAGAAGACATTTATGCAGCCAACAGACACATGACAAAATGCTCATCATCACTGGCCATCAGAGAAATGCAAATCAAAACCACAATGAGATCATCTCACACCAGTTAGAATGGTGATCATTAAAAAGTCAGGAAACAACAGGTGCTGGAGAGGATGTGGAGAAACAGGAACACTTTTACACTGTTGGTGGGACATAAACTAGTTCAAGCATTGTGGAAGACAGTGTGGCAATTCCTCAGGGATCTAGAACTAGACATACCATTTGACCCAGCCATCCCATTATTGGGTATATACCCAAAGGAATATAAATCATGCTGCTATAAAGACACATGCACATGTATGTTTGTTGTGGCACTACTCACAATAGCAAAGACTTGGAACTAACCCAAATGTTCATCAATGATAGATTGGATTAAGAAAATGTGGCACATATACACCATGGAATACTATGCAGCCATAAAAGAGGATGAGTTGATGCCATTTGTAGGGACATGGATGAAGCTGGAAACCATCATTCTCAGCGAACTATCGCAAGGACAAAAAACCAAACACCGCATGTTCTCACTCACAGGTGGGAATTGAACAATGAGAACACTTGGACACAGGAAGGGGAACATCACACACTGGGGCCTGTTGTGGGGTGGGGGGGTCAGGGGAGGGATAGCATTAGGAGATATACCTAATATAAATGACAAGTTAATGGGTGCAGCTCACCAACATGGCACATGTATACATATGTAACAAAGCTGCATGTTGTGCACATGTACCCTAGAACTTACAGTATAATAAATATATATATATATATATTGAAAAACAAAAAAAAGAGTCAAGACCCATCGGTGTGCTGTATTCAGGAGACCCATCACACGTGCAGAGACACACATAGGCTCAAAATAAAGGGATGGAGGAAGATCTACCAAGCAAATGGAAAGCAAAAAAAAGCAGGGGTTGCAATCCTGGTCTCTGATAAAATAGACTTTAAACCAACAAAGATCAAAGAGACAAAGAAGGCCATTACATAATGGTAAAAGGATCAATTCAACAAGAAGAGCTAACTATCCTAAATATATATGCACCCAATACAGGAGTGCCCAGATTCATAAAGCAAGTTCTTAGAGACCTAAAAAGAGACTTAGACTCCCACACAATAATAATGGGAGACTTTAATACCCCACTGTCAATATTAGACAGATCAACGAGACAGAAAATTAACAAGGATATTCAGGACTTGAACTCAGCTCTACACCAAACAGACCTAATAGACATCTATAGAACTCTCCACCCCAAATCAACAGAATATACATTCTTCTCAGCACCACATCACACTTATTCTAAAATTGACCACATATTTGGAAGTAAAACACTCCTCAGCAAATGTAAAAGAATAGAAATCACAACAAACTGTCTCTCAGACCACAGTGCAATCAAATTAGAACTCAGGATTAAGAAACTCACTCAAAACCACACAACTACATGGAATTAACCTGCTCCTGAATGACTACTGGGTAAATAATGAAATGAAGGCAGAAACAAAGAGGTTCTTTGGAACCAATGAGAACAAAGACACAATGTACCAGAATCTCTGGGATACATTTAAAGCAGTGTGTAGAGGGAAATTTATAGCAGTAAATGCCCACAAGAGAAAGCAGGAAAGACCTAAAATCGACACCCTAACATCACAATTAAAAGAACCAGAGAAGCAAGAGCAAACACATTGAAAAGCTAGCAGAAAGCAAGATATAACTAAGATCAGAGCAGAACTGAAGGAGATAGAGACACAAAAAACCCTTCAAAAAAATCAATGAATCCAGGAGCTGGTTTTTTGAAAAAAATCAACAAAATGGATAGACCCGCTAGCAAGATTCATAAAGAAGAAAAGAGAGAAGAATCAAGTAGATGCAATAAAAAATGAAAAAAGGGATATCACTACTGATCCCACAGAAATACAAACTACTCTCAGAGAATACTATGACACCTCTATGCAAATAACCTAGAAAATCTAGAAGAAATGGATAAATTCCTGGATACATACAGCCTCCCAAAACTAAACCAGAAAGAACTCAAATCCTGGAATAGACCATTAACAGGTTCTGAAATTGAGGCGATAATTAATAGCCTACCAAGCAAAAAAATTCCAGGACCAGACAGATTCACAGCCAAATTCTACCAGAGGTAAAAAGAGAAGCTGGTACCATTCCTTCTGAAACTATTCCAATCAATAGAAAAAGAGGGAAACCTCCCTAACTCATTTTATGAGGCCAGCATCGTCCTGATACCAAAGCCTGGCAGAGACAAAACAAAAAAAGATAATTTTAGGCCAATATCCCTAATGAACATCAATGTGAAAATCCTCAATAAAGTCCTGGCAAACCGAATCCAGCAGCACGTCAAACAGCTTATCCACCATGATCAAGTTGGCTTCATCCCTGGGATGCAAGGCTGGTTCGACATACACAAATCAACAAATGTAATCCATCACTTAAACAGAACCAATGACAAAAATCACATGATTATCTCAATAGATGCATAAAAGGCCTTTGACAAAACTCAACAGCCTTTCATGCTAAAAACTCTCAATAAACTAGATATTGATTGAACATATCTCAAAATAATAAGAGCTATTTATGACAAGCCCACAGCCAATATCATACTGAATGGGCAAAAACTGGAAGCATTCCCTTTGAAAACTGGCACAAGACAGCGATGCCCTCTCTCACCACTCCTATTCAACATAGTATTGGAAGTTCTGGCCAGGGCAATCAGGCAAGAGAAAGAAATAAAGGGTATTCCATTAGGAAAAGAGGAAGTCAGATTGTCCCTGTTTGCAGATGACATGATTGTATATTTAGAAAACCCCATCGTCTCAGCCCCAAATCTCCTTAAGCTGATAAGCAACTTCAGCAAAATCTCAGGATACAAAATCAATGTGCAAAAATTAGAAGCATTCCTATACACCAAGAACAGACAAACAGAGAGCCAAATCATGAGTGAACTCCCATTCACAATTACTACAAAGAGAATAAAATATCTAGGAATCCAACTTACAAGGGACGTGAAGGACCTCTTCAAGGAGAACTACAAACCACTGCTCAATGAAATAAAAGAGGACACAAACAAATGGAAGAACATTCCATGCTCATGGATAGGAAGAATCAATATCATGAAAATGGCCATACTGCCCAAGGTAATTTATAGATTCAATGCCATCCCCATCAAGCTACCACTGACTTTCTTCATAGAACTGGAAAAAAACTACTTTAAACTTCATATGGAACCAAAAAAGGGCCCTCATAGCCAACACAATCTCAAGCAAAAAGAACAAAGCTGGAGGCATCACGCTACCTGACTTCAAACTATACTACAAGGCTACAGTAAACAAAACAGCATGGTACTGGTACCAAAACAGAGATATAGACCAATGGAACAGAACAGAGGCCTCAGAAATAACACCACACATCTACAACCATCTGATCTTTGACAAACCTGACAAAAACAAGCAATAGGGAAAGGATTCCCTATTTAATAAATGGTGCTGGGAAAACGGGCTAGCCATATGTAGAAAGCTGAAACTGGATCCATTCCTTACACCTTACACAAAAATTAACTCAAGATGGATTAAAGACTTAAATGTAAGTCATAACACCATGAAAACCCTAGAAGAAAACCTAGGTAGTACCATTCAGGACATAGGCATGGGCAAAGACTTCATGATTAAAACACCAAAAGCAATGGCAACAAAAGCCAAAATTGACAAATGGGATCTAATTAAACTAAAGAGCTTCTGCACAGCAAAACAAACTACCATCAGAGTGAACAGGCAACCTACAGAATGGGAGAAAATTTTTGCAATCTACTCATCTGACAAAGGGCTAATATCCAGAATCTACAAAGAACTTCAACAAATCTACAAGAAAAAAAAAAACCATCAAAAAGTGGGCAAAGGATATGAAGAGACACTTCTCAAAAGAAGACATTTATGCAGCCAAGAAACATATGAAAAAATGCTCATCATCACTGGTCATCAGAGAAATGCAAATCAAAACCACAATGAGATACCACTCATGCCAGTTAGAATGACGATCATTAAAAAGTCAGGAAACAACTGATGCTGTAGAGGATGTGGAGAAATAGGAACGCTTTTACACTGTTGGTGGGAGTATACATTAGTTCAACCATTGTGGAAGACAGTGTGGCAATTCCTCAAGGATCTAGAACTAGAAATACCATTTGACCCAGGAATCTCATTACTGGGTATATACCCAAAGGATTATAAATCATGCTACTATAAAGACACGTGCACACCTATGTTTATTGAGGCATTATTCACAATAGCAAAGACTTGGAACTAACCCAAATGTCCATCAATAATAGACTAGATAAAGAAAATGTGGCACATATACACCAAAGAATACTATGCAGCCATAAAAAAGGATGAGTTCATGTCCTTTGCAGGGACATGGATGAAGCTAGAAATCATGATTCTCAGCAAAATATCACAAGGACACAAAACCAAACTCCGCATGTTCTCACTCTTAAGTGGGAGTTGACCAATGAGAACACATGGACACAGGGAGGGGAACATCACACACCGGGGCCTGTTGTGGGGTAGGGGGCTGGGGGAGGGATAGCGTTAGGAGAGTTGATGGGTGCAGCAAACCAACATGGCACATGTATACCTATGTATCAAACCTGCACATTGTGCACATGTACCCTAGAACTTAAAGCATTAAAAAAAAAAAAAAAAGGCAAGGTAAATGTTTAGTTCTTTCCCTTTTACTATCAATGTCAGAGTAAGGATTTATTGAATGATCACTTCCAATGATGGCAAATTAGTTTTTTTTTCCTTTTCTTTCACTTTTTTGGGTATTACTATGGACTAATGAATTTTTATGTATTCAATGTTTTGCAATCAATATAGCCATATTCAAACTGTCCAAACTTTGGCTAGTGGGAGCCCTTTCACACTAGCCCCTGTGTCCTTGTATCATGCCCCCATAAATCGCTGAGCACTTCCTTGGTATATCAAAATGTCCTAAACTTACCTTGTAATTTCCATGCTCAACACCTAGAATCAGCTATTTCTCCTGTAAACAGGAACATTGTTTACTGTGTTTCAATAAACAAAGATGAGTAGAAACCAAGATCTGGGTTCTAGGTATTGCTCATTGCTAGAGGAATATCATTGCTTCTATGTTCTTTCAGTGTACAGAGCTAGAATACACACACACACATATATATGTTTTTAATTCATGAGTCCATATTGATATTGCCAATTCAAATTTAATATAGTTTAAAATTACAAGTGTTGGCTGGGCACGGTGGCTCACACCTGTAATCCCAGCACTTTGGGAGGCCAAGGCGGGCAGATTACTTGAGGTCAGGACTTCAAGACCAGCCTGGCCAACATGGTGAAACCTTGTCTCTTAAAAAAAAAAAAATTACGAGTGTTTTTATTAGACATTTTAAAAGAAGCATGAACAGACTTTGAATAATGAGTTAAATGTAAGAGGCAAGGACAAAGAAAGAATGAAGAATGAGTCCCTAAGTTCCCAGTTTGAGAACCTGAACTTGGGTTCATGGTG
Source organism: Homo sapiens (assembly GCF_000001405.40). NCBI lineage: Eukaryota > Metazoa > Chordata > Mammalia > Primates > Hominidae > Homo > Homo sapiens. Next base: position 145,548,533 of record NC_000001.11, on the reverse strand, counting down.
TTGCTGCTGCCATTTTACCCAAGGTAAGGAGTAAGAAAAAGAGAAAAATTCATAGGGCAGGGGTAGGGGATGAGAAGTCAGTTTTACATAGTTCAGTGCTTTGTTTTATTTGTTGGTTTGTTATAAAATTAAATAATCTATTTGAGAACTGACACAGGTGAGCAATAAGAAAAGGAATTTACAGAGGTATAAAATGTAAGTTATATCCAAAGTACCAGTCAAGACTCATCTCAAAGACTGAGCACTCTTCGAATACTGTTAAAATTTGTGGAATCTTTGTACTCCAGTATGTGGATGAAGTTAGAAACCTGAGTATGACTTCTTAGGGTGTAGAAATCTAGCTCAAGCAAAGGAGGAAAGAAAAACAAATTTAAAATTAAGGTTAGAAACTTCTGAAAAAAAAAAAAGAGAAACTTAAAAAAAAAACCTGGATTTAAAACATAGTGGATGAGTTTGCTAGGGCTGCCATTACAAAATACCACAGGCTGGGTAGTTTAAACAACAGAAATGTGTTTTCTCACAGTTCTAGAGAACAGAAGGCTAAGATCAAGTTGATGTCAACAGGATGGTTTTCTTCTGAGATCTTTCTTCTTGACTTGTGGATGTCTACCTTAGTGCTGTGTCCTCATATGGTCACCCTTTTGTTTTTGTGTTGTTTGTGTCCTAATCCACTTTTTTTCTAAGCGCAACAGTCATAGTGAATTAGGGACCACCTGTATGGCCTCATTCTACCTTAACTACCTCCTTAAATGCCCTATACCCAAACAGTCACATTCTGAGGTACTGGGGGTTAGAATTTCAACATATGAATTTGCTAGGGAGAATACAGTTCAGCCCATAACACATGGGATAGAAAAAAGCTATGTGATACAACAGATACATACTTGAGAAACTCAGGAAGTCTTCTCTATGGCTGGGTCTCATTTCTAGCTGGACAAAGTTTGGTGGTATTATTACTCCACAATAGCTTTAGCAAGTTGGAGATGATGGTTAATGGTGAGCCACATGTTTATCCACATTTCTATGGTCAACAATAAATACACACAGAGAAAATTGAAGATAGAAGAATATATCCACCCTGTTTCCACCAAGATTTTCTAGGCTTTGGATTTGAGTCATTACGCTTAGTTTGCTTTCTGCCCGGGGTGGGTGGCATTTAATCATTGCATTTTCCCTCTTTTTTCTGGACAAGTAGCCCTATGCCAATGGCCTCATCTGATACCAGCCTTAGTTGTCATAAATGATATGGGAATGGTGGGTTTCATCTACCTTAGTACAGGAAAAACTAAAGAAGAGGAAATCAAGTTTTGTTCAGGATGCTAGAAGTTTGGCACTTTTACAGATGAGAAAAGCACAGGGCTGGGGCTAGTGAAGTGATTGGTTCAGGGACTTGCTTGGCTAGTTAGGCACACAGCTAGGGCTCCATCTCCTGACTCTTATCCCAGTGTTCTTTCTGCTTCTACACAACTAAGTAGTTCTGTGTTTAGTTTTTTTTGGTTAAAAAATGTTCCTGGAAGCATTGCTTACAAATAACTTGAAATGCCAAGGAACATTATAGTACAGTGGTTAAGAGTGCAGACTGGCCAAACAAGCCTGTGTTTGCATCTCAGCTTTATCATTCTACTACTATATAGCCTTGAGCAGGTTGTCTAATTTCTTAAAACTTCATATTCCTCAACAGTGAAATCGGGATAACAGAGCACCTACCACAGAACAGCCCTGAGGACTTAAATAATTGAAAGCATTCTGAAAAATTAATAGTGTTAGGTACATAGTAAGTGTTCAATAAATAGGAGGTGTTATTATTCATCATAACACTCTAAAATTTATCAGAATTCAAATTTCCATTCTTGTTTCTTAGGTAAAATGAAGCAAAAATAAAGTAACAACAGACAAACCTCTTTAACTTGACATCTTTCCAATTCACAACCAAGAGGATGTTTACTGCAACGTGCTAGGATCAAGCAGTTGAGCGCAAGGACAAAAAACAAGCCTAATAATTGAGTCAAAGGGTTTCACACCTCTAATTATTTAACATCACAGCTGAAGGAGAAAACAAAAATTTCCAAGGCAGTAGAATAAAAGGAAGTTCTGAAACAAAGGAAAGAGCATGGGAAAAAAGAAAGGATGCTACCAGATCTGCAAGCTCACCAAAATATTGGTGCAAGCCAGGAGTAAAAAAAGCCACTTTCTAGCTTTTTCCTCAAGATAGTCCCTAAAGCAAAGGAAGTCCTTTCCCCTTCCAAAGCAGAAGCTAAAGCAAAGGTTTTGAAGGCCAAGTAGACAGTGCTGAAAGGCATCACAGCATCACAAATAAATATCTACACATCACCCACCTTCTAGAGTCCCAAGACACTAAGGCTCCCAAGGCAGCCCAAGCCCCCAGGAGAAACAAAGACAGAATAGTGCCCTCGGAGAAACAAGCTTTAGCTGTATGCCACAATCAAGTTCCCCCGACTACTGAGTCGGCCATGAAGATGGACAACAACAACCCATTGTGTTCACTGTGGATGGCAAAGCCAACAAGCACCAGGTCAAACAGGCTATGAAGAAGCTTTGATGTTGACATGACCAACGTCAACACTCTGAGCAGGCCTGATGGAGGGAAGGCAACATATGCTCAACAGGTTCCAAACTATGATGCTTTGGATGTTGCCAATAAAATTGAGATCATCTAAACTGAGCCTAGCTGGCTAATTCTAAATACACATTTTTATCACCACAAAAAAAAAAAAAGAAAAGAAAGAAACCAATTTCTATATCTAAAAAATGAAGGTAAGATGCCCAAAGAAAATAAAATTATTTCCAACAAGAAACACTACTTGTCTTTCAGAGCCTGGGCTTTGCTAACATGAAGAGGTTTCTTCTGAGGTAGGGTCACATGAGGAATTTGCCATTACATCCTGATGAGACCCTTCATCGGTGACTCCCATAAAATGCTGGCTACTCACTGGGCCCTCATGTTTGAGCTGGCTGCTACATTAATTTTTTAAAATCAGTGATTTCTTTCAACAGTTGGGTTCCAGGGCCCTGTTGGACAGCCTATCGTTCAAAATTAATGAGATGCTATTCATAAAGTATCTAATGGGAAACTCTAGCCTCCGTTGAAGAAATATAGCATTTTTAGAACAGATGTGTGGCACAAGTGATACTTAAAAACTATTAATTTTGTCAGTCTTTATTGCTTCAAGGGCCAAAGAGCAAGACCCAGAAGTAAAAGCACAAAGTAATGAATTTACACAGCACATAAAGAAGACAGAGCCAGAGGGATTCTTTCAGAACAGACATCTGTAGGCTTTCCATCTAAATTGAAGGAGAAAGGGACTTTCAGTTTTGTGGTCATTTCAGTTCTTTGCTTTTCTGAAATGGTCACCAATGAGTCAGAGCCATTAATACTCTTTGCTAATTTTATTTCTACTGATTTCAGTTCTTGTCTATGAACTGCATTGGGAACCCTTTGTAAGGCGATTTGACAGTATTTATTTAAAAAATGCCTAAAGTGCATATCCTTTGACCTAATAATTTCATTTTTAGGAATTTCTCTATAGAAATTCTAAATTCTAAAGTGTATAAAGAGAGAGCTATGAGGAAATCTGTCCCATTGTCTGAAATACTATAAATTGAAAGCCACCTAATGCCCACCAGTAATGGACTGGCTAAATAAACTCTGATTTAGCTATATACATGCCCCTTGGAATCAGACTACCTGAGCTCCCATTTCACTACAACTTATTAGTTGTGGCTGCTTGTATTCATTTCCATTGCTGCCTTAACAAATCACCACAATTTTATGGGCATTAAACAACACAGACTTATTATTTTACAGTTCAGCAGGTCAGAAGTCTGGTATGAACTAAAATCAGTGGGTGGGCAGGGTTGCACTCCTTCCTGTACAGTCTAAGAGAAAATCCCTTTCCCTGCTCGTTCAGGTGTTGGCAGAATTCAGTTCCATGTGGTTGAAAGACTGAGATCTCTCTTTCCTTGCTGACTATTAGCTGAGGGCTGCCCTTAGCTCCTAGAGGCCTCTTGCTTGTCCCTGCACATAAATGTCGACCTCTCAAAAACAGCGACAGGGTGGTGAATCCTTCTCAGGCTGCTGTCTCTCTCACCCTGCTTCTACCATCACATCTCTCCCTAACCCAGCTGGAAAAGGCTCCACCTTTAAGGACTCAAGTGATTAGATTGGGTCCACCTAGATAGGCCAGCGTGATCTCTCCATTTTTAGGTTCTTACTATTAATCACATCTGCAAAATCCCTTTTGCCATGTAAGATAACAAACTGACAGGTTCCAGGGATTTGGACACAGACATCTTGGGGGACCATTATTCTATCTGCCACTCCTCTCTAAGCCTCAGGCTCCTCATCTCTAAAATGGGGCTTCTTTTGACATATAATTGTTGTGATTTTTAGATGAGACAAAGTTCTTAGCACATAGCAATTACTCAGAAAATGTTAGCTATCATCATCATTGCTATGTAGCCATTAGAAAGAATGAGATAGAACTGTGTTACTGACATAGAAGGATATTCAAAAGTTATAACTGCAAAGTAAGCTATGGAAGAGTGCATATAGTATAACCATTTTTCTATAAAACAAGAAGAAACGAGGAAAGATGGATCTTTTTTTTTTTTTTTTTTTTTTGAGACGGAGTCTTGCTCTGTCGCCCAGGCTGGAGTGCAGTGGCATGATCTTGGCTCACTGCAAGCTCCACCTCCAGGGTTCATGCCATTCTCCTGCCTCAGCCTCCCCAGTAGCTGGGACTACAGGCGCCCGCCACCAGGCCGGGGTAATTTTTTTTTGTATTTTTAGTAGAGATGGGGTTTCACCGTGTTAGCCAGGATGGTCTCGATCTCCTGACCTCGTGATCCGCCCACCGTGGCGTGAGCCACCGTGCCCGGCCAAGGATCATTGTATTGGCTTAGGGAAAAAATGGATGAATATCAACAGATTGAGACTGAGAAGATAAATACAGACTTGGAGTTTTAAAAATAATGCATAAGTTTTATTTTCATATTTAAAGTGGCAGCCCCACTAAAAAGACAAATAGAATGTTTATTTTCCAAACCAGTGTGGAAACAAAAAGGAATTTTAAAATGATTACTTACATGGACAAAAAAGAAGAAGAAAAGCATGAAAAATTTCAATAAATAAAAAATTCTAAGAAAAATGCTAAAAACAATCTTAAACTTATCAATAATCACAATAAATATAAAAGATCACATCTGCTTATCAAAATACAGAGATTCTGAAGTTGGAGAAAATAACAAAATCCATATGTGTAAAGATATTACTTGGGTAAAATTTTAAAACACAATTAATATATTGATCACAGAAAGATATATATTTAGTAAAATTATAGGAACAGAGAAAGGAAATAAATGCATCAATTTCAGGCTTGTGGTTGCCTCTAGGAATAAAAGGAGGTAAACGGCATGGGGGGAGGACTACAAAAAGGATATCAACTATATTTGTAATGTTTCATTCTTTTTTTTCCCTTTATTTATTTATTTATTTATTTATTGGACATGAATAAGTTCTTTAGTGGTGATTTTGGAAGTTTTCGTGCACCCATCACCCAAGCAGTACCCAATGTGTAGTCTTATATCCTTCACTCCCCTCCCACGCTTTTCCCTGAATCCCCAAAGTCCACTGTATCATTCTTATGCCTTTGCATCCTCATAGCTTAGCTCCTAATCTTTTTCATAAAAGTAAAATATCTGAAACATGGTACAAGATATTTACCTTTTTAAATTCTGCTGTGTTACATCCTGTACTTTTCTGTGCATATAAAATATTTTGAATATTTGTTCAAAGAACTGTACTTAGAAGTCAGAAATAGAGATGCTGACCTAATGGCACGTATATTTTGGGTTCTAGAAAAAGTTCTAAATGTTTAAAGGTAGACATGGAACTAGGGCAGACAGGGAAATGTATTTCTACTACTTGTCCATTGGTTAAGGTTGTCATCTATTGAACAGTTGCACTAGGTTAAGGATGTTACTGTTTGAAAATGCCCAAAATATGTACATGAAATGTTTAAGAAGACTTAAGTAGACACTTATATGCAAAGTTAATACAGTTCAGAAATGTCAAAAAACAAAGCAGCAATTGGAATAGTGACTAAATGTCTCAGAGAAGTTTAATTTTGAGCTAGAATATGAAGAAGTTCATGGATTTCTAAGAGAGAACAATTCAGATAGGAAAATGGACTGTGCCGAGGCACAAAGAAGGGACCTCATTACTGAACGCAGGGGACAACAGGAGTTCAATGTGATTGGAACAGATTTCCTTCTGAAGTTCTGAAGAGCTGTGAAAGCAGATACAGGAATTTTATGGGCATAAACACAGGAATATGTCAATATGCAATTAAATAGAAGAGGTAGATTAACCACACTAATCAACTTCTTCCTTATACATTCGCTGGCTCCACAGTAAAAATGTAAAGCATAAAGAAGGTATTTATGAACTGCTTTGAAAGAAAAATGGGAAATGCCGATGGAGAGCTGTGAGTCAGCCTCAGCTCCTTCCCTGCTGAAAGTGTTAAGTTACCTCTCCAGGGCCAGATACAGTTATTTAATAGATCGACAGAGACAAATATCCTCCCCCAGAAAGGATCATCTATTTTGAAAATGTCCCACTTCATGTCATCACAGTACTTTAATGTCCGGCTATTCATCATTCTGCCTTCAAGTTAGTTTGAGTGCAAGACTCAACCTATGTTCTATTTTGGGTGATGCAGACAGCCACAACCACTGATTGGAAACTTGAGTCCGTCCAGATCTCGTGGCTTACAGCCCAAGGCACCTGTGACCTGCCTGGTTCATCACCGGGTCCCACTGCTTTGGCCTCATTATTGCCCTCCACACCCTGATTCTTACCAGTGTTGTTTCAGATCTGGGCTCATCCCATTTTGCCGCAACACTGTGGCAGCTTCTAGATGCTGTCTCCACCATACAGCCGCCAGAGTGAACTCATGCTGTCTTTAATGGCCAATCTGAAAGATCCCTGCTATGCTGAAAACCTTCATAAGAGAGCCTTACCACGGATTGCCTCACTGATGTGTTTCTGTGACTTGTGAGGTGGGTCACAGGCCATTTGCTACTAATAATAAAACCCCAAAGACTCCATAGACTCACTCCTGTATCTAGATGCCTTCCCCCGTCGCTGAGTCACCAGCTGTGCTGCCTGGCAAATTCCTTCTCCTCCCGCAGGTCTCGGCTCAGATGCTCTCTCTGTGAATCCATAATCCTCAGTGCCCACTCCTACCCCATCCGGCTCACGTCCTTCTCCTACAGGCTTGCTGTGCTTTGTATAGACTTCCATTTAAGAATTGTCTTGTTTCATTGCAATTGTTTATACAAACGTCTCCCATTTCTTTGTAAGCTCCTTAAGGACAGAGGCCAAGTCTTAGCTCTTCTTACATCTCCAGTAAATAGCAGTTTGTGGCACATTTTAGGCACACAGCAGATGTTAATGGATGAATTAGTAAATTAGTACTACCGCTCACGTGGAGTAGACTCCCCAGTTAATCAGAGCAACAATTTTTTCCCATTCCTACTATAAGTGGCAGCAAAGAAAAACCTTTCTTCCTAATTATTTCATATAACACTGTATCATGAAATATCTGCATTTTGAGAGCAAAGCCTGAAGGAAGTTATTTTTTCCCTCATAAAATTAAAGACTTTAATTATTGGCAATAAGATGATACTACATTCATTGGAAGAAAGAGTGGTCTAGCGATTCTTTCTATGTTCCTGTAACTAATTATGGGTGAGTAATTTTTAAAAAATTGGTACCCATAAAAATTGACCACAAACCAATAAGAACAATGAGTTGAATCATAAAAATTCCATGCTATTTATATTTCTCCACACACACTCAGTACATTTATTTATTCTAAATGGAAAAGTACAAATATTGGGATAAAAACATTTAAACTACAGAAATAAGAAATTCCAAATGCTAATTCTGCCTAAGGGGCAGAATTTAATTCTGTGCTAAGCTACTGTATGTGGGATTAAGAGGCATAGTTAACCAAACATTTGAGAACAAGTAATTACCACTGCATCTCTCTATCACATATTTGCCTTACACATAATTTATACAAGTCCACAGAGGGGAAAAATAAAATGCTGTTTGAAACATTTTTTTTCCAGCCACACATTTTTCAGGCTTACTTTTTTTTTCCTCATCAAAGACTATTCATTTTTATGGTCTTATATTGGATAACAGTGGGATATTTTCTCTCTGTTATATAGGGACAGAGAAACGACATCTCTAATCAGTTATTCTTGGCTGTGTCCTTTAGATGCCAAATCTTGGGCATCTAAATGTGGAGGTGCACAGTCCCTGAAGTTGGTTTATGTAATACTTTCAGAGTGGTATGGACATGCAAACAACACTGTCATTTATTCATTCAGCAAACATTATGAGACACTTTCTATGTGCCCAGAATTGTGCTGGGCTCTCAGGATACCCATGAATAAGAGAGGGTCCCTATCCTTGATGAGACTGTAATCTAGCAGTAGAGACAATTAAACCAACAATTACAAAATAAAACACTAACAGCTGTTGGGGGTGGGATGCACGAGGAGTTGCAGGGATACCAACACCTGTCTGAGATGGTCAGAGGCCATTTAAGTTGCTTCTTGAATGGCCTGTAGGGCTCACGCAGTTGAAGGAGGGTAGGAAAGTGTAAAATGCAAAGCTGAGGGAATACCTGGAAGAGATCAGAGTATGAAACGGAAAGTGGAAGTAGATGAGGGAAGGTGGCGCCTACTGATGCAGCAGAGCAGATATTTACAAATAGAAGTAAGTCTGAGTCTCTAGGTGACTGTTTTCTGTGCTCACAACCAAGTAACAGCTCCTGCAGCCCTCCTCCCCTTCTCTACCTGGGGCACCTACAATACAGAGAACAGTTGAGAGCTCAAGTATATTTGAGACAGACATTAAAGTCTCTATGCATTAGCATCTTGGCTGGACCAATTCTGGTATTTGCTTATTTTAGCATTTTGTATGAAACATGGAGAAATGGTGCCATCAAACCATAACTTGTCTGCAACTCCAGCCCAGCTCTGGCTACAATGTGGTATTCAGCAAGAGCCTGGCCTGGAGCAAGGGATTTAACCTTCTTGTACTTCAGAGCCTCATCTTTAAAATAGATTGCAGCAAGAATTAAGTGAGTGAGTGTGTGAAAGAGCACAGAACAGAGCCTGGCATAAAGCAAATGCCCAAAAAGTATCAGCCATAATAATTTTACTCCTCATGTGGGAAGTGTCGGTGAAACTAGTTGTCTAGTTATTTAAATAACAAGCATGTCATTTATGGGAACTGGGTTCAGGAGTAAAGCTGCTATTGTTGGTTGTCTTTGGCATTAACATTAAGGATATTAGGAAAGTTAACTCTATGAACACAAAGGCTGAACTCTGGCAGCCTTTCAAAAGAGTTAGCAATCGAATTTTTTGCCTATATCCATTCATTGAACATTCATTATCCTCACACTTATTGAGTATCTACTGATGTCAGGCATGAGGATGCAAAGATACCTGAGAAGGCCAACCATCTATTATTCATTCGACACACATTTACCAAGTACTTTTTTTTTCCCCAGCAAGTCACTGCTGGGAAAAAAAAAAAAAACCGATGCATCAGACCCTTCAGTAGCTTACAGGTTAATGGGGGGAGATAAGTGGTGTGTACACAATGGAGACACAAGGAGGAAGATGATACATACTACAAAGAGGTAGGGACAATAATAATGAACACTTCTTTACACAGGCTCCATGCTAAGTGCCTTACTTGGATTATCCCAGGGTGCTGTGGGAGTTGAGAGGATGGAGAGATGGCTCTCAGCTGGGCTGATCTGGAAAAACTTCATGGAAGTGGAGGCGTTTGAATAGGACCTTAAAAAAAACACTACTTCTGGAGCATTTTGCTTAACCCTGGTTGTACAACAGAATAGGCCCAATGGCTTTCTCTAAAGATGTTTGGTATAAGCCTATCTTAAAGGAAATACTGTATCTGATAAAATGGGATTGTTTCCACTGAAGACTCATCTGGCTACAAAACAGAACTACTATCAACCTGAGAAAGAATCCAGCTGTTGCTTTAAAATTAACAACTTCCCATTACATCATCAAGCTTGATAATCATCTTGCCTGCAACTCCAATTCCATCTCACCCCTTAATACTCCTTCTTTCCCCTAGGTCACTGGGAAGCTTGCTTGCGGCACTCTCTGGGATCCTGTTTCCAGTTACTGGTTGCGTAATGTATTGATAAAGCAAAGCCAAATATGAGTAAGAAGAAAAGCCTAATTAGAAATGAAGCATGCAGTGTCCCAACAAGAAAAATGCCAGGGCTTCAAAAATAGGAAATCAGTGATGCATAGTTTCTTCTGTCACTGAAGAAATCATCCCAGTACTTAATAAGCCAGAAAATGGATTAAGCAGATGGGGGAAAGTTGTCAGCGGCAAAGAATGGGCACCTATGGAGAAACAGAATTATTTAGAACCAAAATGACTGACTGGCACACATTAAAGAATATCTGTTTGTGTCTTGAAATGAATGCTATAGAAAATATAGTAGGTATGAAATATAGAAAATATAGTAGGTATGAAAACAAATGCAAAATCGGCCACCAAGAGAGAACATCACAGGCTATGGGCTGACGTAGAAATGCTGGAGATGCTGACTTTTTTTTCTTTATTGAATTGACTATTTGAGTGAAGCAACCAAAATAATAACTTGGAGTAGAGTGTGGATGTGCAGCTTAATTCTAATAAACTTGCCCTTAAATATAAAGAAAACCTTTCTTTCATAAGAATCCACTCGTACAGCATATGTATCTACATATTCTTCTCTCCCTACACATATCTGAACATGTTTCTAGCAAGTTGACTGTTGACACTTAACTCAGTTGATAGGACATGTCCTCTGGCTCATAGGAGAAACAGCAAAGGTTCAGTACATTTAAGTCTTTGAAGATTATAGGAACAAAAACTCAGTTTTAAGTGTCAGGGAATTGCTGTATGATCTTTACCACATCACTTAACTTCTAAGTTTTCTAATTATTGTATTGTACAATTGAAAGAATGATATTCACACACACACACACTCCATACCCTTGAACACTGAGAGACAATAGACTGATCAGGAGGCTCTTACATCTGGAAGAAACAAAACTGGAGACTAGCAGGACACATAGCTTCTGAGTGATGGCGTAACAAGTTGCTATTTATACCCCATCTTCCATTCACCAATGTGAACTAGGGGTCTATCCCTGCAAGAGAGTAATTTTAGAGAATGAGCTTCCAGGTGAGCTCACAGCTTAACACTGCTTGTATCACCATCTTGAGTCAGCAGTGGATAATGCTGTGCAGAATAAACTAATTTTAGTCCTCTGCGGTATCCTTGTAAACACTTCATAGTGATTCTTTAAAAAGTCAGTAGGAACTTGCTATCTCTGCTTCATTTCCTACTGCCAATAATTTGCTAGGGTTATTTTTAGGTGACTGTGTCTTACAGGATTTGTTTAGGTGAGCTCCTCTGTTTCAGAATGGCCATGTGAAAATTCTGCCACAGATTTTGAAGTCAGAAGGCTGTCTGGTTAAATGGATCCAGAAAAATTACTAACAGATATGGTGACAAAGGAGACATGGAAATCTAAGTGTCCTGTATGTGCTACAGGAAAAAGTGCTGCCCATCTTTCCCTCATTTCAGCAACACTTTCAGTGAGCCCCAGCTCATGGAAAGAGAGACGAGGAGAGAAAAAGGCTTATTCCTAAAGCTAATAGCTTTCCTTCTAATACTATACGTTTGCAGTGACAAATGATCCCTCAGCTTCTGAATCATCTCCTCATTCTGTGATGTACCCCTGGGTTCTGAGTTTCATTTCATTGGCAGTCAGTCACATGCTGAATATAGAGCACCTCTAATTTGTTCAGTGTCTCATGGATCACTGAGAAAGAATAGGGCCTTATGACAAACTCCACTGGTCAGAGCACCCGGATCTAGGTGTGTGATCACAGCCTTTAACTCTTGACCAGGAACTCATATTTCATGGAGTGAGAATTGTGAGACCTTGCACTAGGGTTTTGTGATTCTGAGAAAGATGCTGGGTTTGGCTGTATTTATCAAGGAATGTGGATACCAAGAGAAGGGGCTGAGTTGGGAAGAAGGGGGTAAAGAGAATTCTAGGCAAATTAAACCTCTCAGCAACGAGTATCCCATAGGCCAGAAAGAGTGTGAAGGGATTCAGTCATATGTGAAAGAAGTTCTGTGGTTTTTGTCTTGTCTTTCTTGAAAACCTCTGGCCCTGGAATGTTTGATATCGATTTTCCCTGGTCTAAAAAGAGAATTAGAGAATTTCAAATGAAGTGTATGTGACACAAAGTGAGAAGAGAAGGAGGGAGGGAGAAAAGAGAGGCAGAATCGGAAATGTTAATAGGAAAAAGGAAGAAAATGGTGTGTCCTGTAATTACTTATATAAGAAAGGCAGCTAATAAGTGTTCCAGGGTAGAATTTCTATTTCTTGAATTCATTAAAAGTAATTTTGAGACTCCTGGATTGGTGGCGGTGGAGGCAAGACTTTGCTAAGGATAACTTTGTTTAAATGCCTCTTTCCAAAGCAAATACACATCATACCAAGATATACGACCTATGTGTAGCTTCACTATGCTGCTGGAAACTGCCTCACTAGGTGATTCTTCTTTACTGAGGATCCTGCTGTCCTCATCTACCCCTTGAAAAGCGAGTTTGATGGACTCTGGGTGAGTAAAGCAAGTCTTTCAGAGGAGAGGAGAGGCAGCACCATTGGCTGTCTGCCAGTGAAAGGCTTGTGCAGCAGTCTGGTCTCTGTGAACCATGCAGGCAGTGTTGCTGCAGGATCCTAAGAAACTAACCTTTTCAGGAACGTTGTGTAAAGGAATGTCTGGAATGTGTTTAGCCTTGAGAGTTTGCAAGAAGCCTTTATGGTTCATGATGAAGAATGGGAAAAGCAGTATTATAATGTTAGGCAAGACTGGTTGAGACCAGAGAGAGATGGAGGAAGAAATCATTAAAATGAAGGATAGGATTGTCTCTTTGCAACTATTAGATGCAGTTTCAGAATTTCCTTCTGGATTCTGTGCATCACACAGACTGTCTACTCTCATCCCAGGCTAATGAGAGGGTAGGTACTATATAAGTAGGTTATAAACTTTAAAATAAAAGAGCAACTCCCTGCAATTTTTTTTTCATATTGGTCTTTAGCTTAGAGTAGATGAATGAATGAACACTGTGAAAATATCAGCATAATTGCATCTTTTACTTTATATTATTAACAAATGCTATTCATGGAATCGGAAGTTCTATTTTGAATTACATTTTAAAGGTTTTAAATATATTTGAAGGTTTTAAAAATTCTATTTATGGGTAGATGTCTGTATGCATGTACATATACACATATGGGAGTACATTTTGCCTCCATGCCTCTTTTGTTTATTAAACAAGTTTGTAAATTTGTTAAAGCTGAAGGCATTGTTTTAACAAATGTTATTTAGTGTTTAAAATCATATTTATTGTGTAATATGGTTATTTACATTTTACCTTTATTTTGAACTCTTCATTTTAGGATTTCTTAAATTTTTTGTCTGCATTCCACAGTGAGTTAGTACACTCACATGTATATGTTTATATGTTATTTGTATACACATATAAATATGTGTGAATATATATGTGTATATGCATGTATATGTGTGTAAATGTATATAAAACAAAATTTCACAAAACAAAATCTACCCTTACCAAGTGTGATGCATTCTGGTATTTCTATTCCATTCTATTACCTCATTTGTATAAAATTTATATTAATTTCCAGACTCACCAATGGGTCATGACCTGGAGTTTGGAAAATACTGCTTTACCAAGTCCTTTGCAAAATTTCATAATTGTATGAAAGTAAATAAAATATTATAGGGCAATAATATGGGTATGATTTTAAATGATTCAAGGAAATAAAAGGGTGCTAATAAAAGGACTCTATATTTTACTTACATTAGTTATGATAACTGTTGTTATATTATCATATTCTGAAGAATATTAACTTTTTAAAGAGGAAGACAGACATGCAATCCCTTCTTTGCTTTTTAAAGAACATTTTTTGCAACTTTTCAAACTTAAAAATTAGGCTACTTCCTTCCTTTAAGCTTCCTATACCCCATCCAATTTTTTTTAAAGAAAAGATAATGAGGCTCATGCCTGTAATCTCAGCACTTTTGGAGGCTGAGACGGGCAGATCACAAGGTCAGGAGTTTGAGACTAGCCTGACCAATATGGTGAAACCCTGTCTCTACTAAAAATACAAAAATTAGCTGGGCATGGTGGCACACGCCTGTAATTCCAGCTACTCAAGAGGCCGAGGCAGGAGAATCGCTTGAACCCCGGAGAGGGAGGTTGCAGTGAGCCGAGATTGCACCACTGGACTCCAGCCTGGGCAACAGAGCACAGAATTAAAAGTCTGGTTTTAGAACAAGCTCACTTGAGACTATTCTAAGAAGGCCATATGCAGCAGGAGGATGAATGCAGATTCAGGCTCTGGACACTTGATGGTTCCTTAAAATGGATGTGTAAATTTAACATTTAAGATAGGGTCGGATATTAATTACCAAAAAAAGGGTAATTATTTAAAGAAACTTTGTGGTGATTACATCTGTGAAAATGAAGAATCATTCTGTAATGTGAATCCTGACTCTAATTCAGAGGTCCTTCACTCATTAATTAAAACTGATGGACTGGTCAGAACCCAGTAGATCCCATGTATTCCAACTTAACACGTATGGTTTATAAGTAAAAATTTTTGCATATTGAGCTGGATTAAAATAGGGGCCTATCCATACCTTTTCTTGATGCTGCCTGCAGAGTTTACAAATTGAGACTGAGAAATATATATTTCAAAACTCCACACATGACAATATAGATTCCCTGGACAGCAAAACAGACTGTTCTAATAAGAATGACCCTTTGAGAATCTCCTTTTTGGACTGGCCCCTTCCTCAGTGGCAGGTGGGGTAGAAGCACTGCACAAACTTCTCCCCAACCAAGAGCAGGGAATTCTGAGTACACGATTCTCAATATGCCGTTCCACCCCCATTCCCACCTGGCTTTCTTCATATTGCCTCGCCTGAATTGCCCACCATACTCAGTTGTAAGTGCCTGCTGACTTCTGCCTCCTGTGGTAGATTGTGGGTGGCAGAGGCCAGGCAGGGTGCTATCCTGTTCGATGTTGCGTCCCTACCCTAGCACAGTTACTGGGCACATTTTCTGGTCACTCCATAACAATGTGTTGAGGGAAGGAATAGATAAGTAAATGAATGTTAAATTAATCACCACTTTAACTAGTAGACCCATCCCAGAGTCAGCTTTCTCCTTACACCTTGCCCAGTGTGAAGCAGGTGCCAAGTACTCTTCAGGGAGCTTACTTCCCGGGCCCTCCCACCAGTGTCTGATGACAGCTACAGCTCTGTGGGAAGGACCCTGGGCATCTCGGAGGGGTTGGAAACTGCTGACCCACGCATTTGGAAAACCCAGAAATAGCAGAGCTGGTGGTACCCAGGGTCTGAAAAAAATATTCAGATGTCATTTTTTGGCTTATCTTTCTCCAAACCTTTTGCAACAAGTATTTCACTGATAAAATGTGAGGGAGGGAGGTAATATTTTACAGGTAAATTGCTATGGACAGCATGGTCCAAAGTATATAGTAAACGTTCCATAAATATTTGCTCAGTGGAGGTACAAACTGGGAGAATCCAGTCCCCACATACTAATCATCCTCCTTCAAGTATTTGGAAGAAGTACCTGAACCAGGTGGATGCAAATGGCACTTGCCGTCACTGTCTTAAGTATTAGTTTGAACCACATGAAATTGTCATTTAGTAGGTCAAAAATGTTCAAATATCAGCAATTTCATACAGTTCAAAATGTTACAGGTTGAAATGTGCTGCCTCATCACTAGAAACAAGTCAAGGCTGAATCCTGCTGATAATAAAAAGTCCAAATCGTAAAGCAGGACATTAGCAGCCTTTTGGGAGAACAAAGGACCAAAGCAAACATGAAGGATACACAATTGCCCTTGGTCAGTTCTTTGTAAAGTGCATTCTAAGCCATTTTATGAGGAAAAAAGAAAAGGACTCATTTGGGAAATGCTGCAAACCACATCTTTTTCCTAGAGTTTCAAAATGTGAATTAAAGGCTGGGCATGGTGGCTCACACCTGTAATCCCAGCACATTGGGAGGCTGAGGCGGTCGGATCACCTGAGGTCAGGAGTTCAAAGCCAGCCTGGCCAGCATGGTGAAACCCTGTCTCTACTAAAAAAAGAAACAAAAAATTAGCTGGGCATGGTGGCACATGTCTGTAATCCCAGCTACTTGGGAGGCTGAGCCAGGAGAATCACTTGAACCTGGGAGGCGGAGGTTGCAGTGAGCCGAGATCGTGCCTTTGCAGTCCAGCCTGGGTGATAGAGTGAGACTCTGTCTCAAAAAAAAAAAAAAAAAAAAAAAAAAAAAAAAGTGAATTGAAATTGAAGTATACATTAGCGTATCAAAGAATCTGAGTGTATATACAATAAAGAAAGTCATTTAATGATATTTAATCCAGGGCATTCTAAATTTATTTGACTAGTGAAACCTTATTTGAACATAATGCCTACTCTCACAGTTAACAGTTTGGGACTACCAGGACCTACGTCTGCCCCATGATCCAAGTGCCTCTACCCCTCTCAATCCTGACTTCTTAGGCCTAAACATACTACACATTTAACCCCATCTGAGACATAGAGGCCCTTGACAGAGGTCCATTTCTACTCTTTCTTGCTGTTTCCTCATAATGTAAAAAGGGTAGAATCTCAGGCTACTCCACGTGTCAATCAATACACAGGTTGCATTCTATAGATACAGTATTCAGTTTGTGCATATCTCACACTGCTATCAGCCCAGTGTTCATGTATTTTAGTGAATAATAGCGGGGATAATTTGGGGAATAACAAGACCTACCGTTTATTATACATTTACCATGTGCTTTTCACACTGCACTGTGTCTTAACATTTCGAATATCTCTCATGTGTATTACATTCCTCACAATGAGCCAGGGAAGTGGGTATTTTTTTCCCTATTGTACAGACAATTATTAGTGCCCCTAAGATGTCAAGTTTGTGACCCAAAGTCCATAGAGGGATTAAATGATACCAGTTCCTATGCTTCTTCCACCACATTAATAAAGGCCGATACGTGTATAATGCTTACTGTGAACCAGGCACCAAATTCTAACTCATTTGGCTCATAATAAAACAATGTAGGTACTATTAGTATTCCCATTTTCAACTGGGGAAACAGAGGCTGAAGAAGTTAACCAATCTGCTTAAAGTCACACACAGCTAGAAAAAGGCAGGGCTGGAATTTAGACTACTACTGAATAGTGAGTGGTTCTACAATAAATTAAGGCAGTTAACCATATTTAAACCAGGACTTTCCAAGCCTATTTGACTAGGTAATCATTATTTGTAGGGCATGCCTATTACCACAGCTAACAATTTTGGAGAATGCAATTTGGGAATCACCAAACCAACTTCCTCCCGTTGATCCAGGCACCTCCAGCTCCCAATCCAGAGTTCATGCCTTTTTATTCTACCTGCTGTCTTAGAGACCCCATAGTCTGTTTTCTGCCTGTCTCCTGGTTGCAGAGGCTATGTGTCAAGACCTGTCCATCTGCACTCTTGATTCTCTCTAAGTGCCTTATAATGTGACCAAATCAATATAACACATTTGTAAAGGTTAATGTAAATTATTTCAGAATATAAAGTGAATTTTTCCTCTAACATCCCTATAAAGAAAAACAATCTTTTGTGCTTTCAGTAACTAAAAAACCTAGAAGTCTCTAGTATTACAAAGCTATGAATTACAATGTGAGTATCAAATTCTATGAAGGTTTTCTAAAAGAATTGAGTTCAAGACAAGTCACCTTCAGTTTCACCACGTTTGCGATGAATAAAATCTAACATTTATTGCATGTTTATTATGGACCAGGCACTCTGCCATGTGCTTTACCTAGATTATCTTATTTCACAACAACTTATGAGTTGGATGCTGTTGTTACTCCCATCTTATAGAAGGCACTAGGATTTTAAGTAACTTGCCCAAGACCACACAGCTATCTAGCAAATGGTGGAGCAGCATATGAAGGGGAGAATCCCTCTTTTAAGTGTCTTCTGCCACTTTAGATGCTAACTCTGGGGTTCACAGAGCAAAGCCAAAATGAGCCCCCAGGTTTTAACAAAGTGATCACTTGCTTTTTGCAACCCTTCATTAGAAAGTGTATGACATCTACCAAATGGGCATCCTTGGGGAAGCTTCAAAATCTGTCAACTGGAAATAAGATTCTAGAGGGGAAACCCTGAAACCTTTAATTGCTCCAAGATGATACGCTGGTTTGGCAGATCTGGCTCAACTTAAAAGGAAGTTTTTTTGGAAGGTATAACTAGCATTAAAGAAACATGATTCTTGTTCTCATACTTATAAAATCATAGTTGTCATTTCTAGGTTTGCTGAAGACTTGGTTTTAAAATCTTTTACTAAACTGGAGAAAACTCACTTAGGTACATTCTGCACTTTTTGTCCCTTCACCAAAGAACCTCATAGGGTCTTAAATATTTTTAAGTTACTCAAGACACCAAGTATTAATTTTCAGCGTGTAGACATTAGAGGGAAAATCTCTTTATATACTAAAATAATTTATTTTACATTAACCTTTACAAATTGCTACATTGATTTGGTTATATTAAAAGGCTTTAAGAGAAAATCAAAATTGCATTAAGAAAGTATTTTTTTTCTCTTCTTTTCTTTTTTCAATTGAGATGGGGTCTCACTATATTGTCCAGGGTGGCCTCAAACTATCCTCCCACCCTGGCCTCCTAAAGTGTGATTACAAGCATGAGCCACCACAGCCAGCCAAGAAAGTATTGTAAAATCTAAAGTAACTGGAGCTTCAATTAGTTTACTGTTTTCTTAGAAATACAAGTACAGATGGATTTTCAAGGAGGTAAAAGAGATGAAAACAGAAGGTAAAAATGATAATTTAATGAGGCAAAGAGGTGAACTTGAGAATTTGCACCTAAAGAAAAGCTTAAAAAAAAACAGAATAAATAATCCTGGGAGGCTGTACAAGAACAAAGCCTTAGAGTCCCACAGCATGGGCTCACTAATTAGATATGTGACCTAGTGCAAGATACCTATTCTGCCCTACTTGGCTCCTTCCTATTTAAATGAGCTTGCTAATAAGACCTACCTCATAAGGTTGCTTGCTGTGAAAATTAAATAAGACAATGTGCAAAAAGCCCTTAGGACAATGTCTGGTAAGTGTTCAATAACTGTTAGCTATTAAAAGCAGAAAATGTCATTATGGCTGCATATCTGGATGGCGGTGGAGAAGGTAAATTAAACAAAGGTAAGTTAAAACAAAACGTGGGCAATGATAGGTCTGCTGAGGCATTAATACTAGAACTGACACATTGTAGGTGCTTAGTAAATATTGAATGAGTGAATGAATCAGTCAATCAATCAATCAGTGAATGAATCAATGAAAGGAGTCACAGGAAGAAAAACTTACTCTTAGAAAAGCTCAATTCTTTGCATTTTACAGGCTCCGTAATCTCCCCTAATCTATCCATAAGACGGAAGTTATCTGCCACAATTCAGAATAGCCTTTCCATGTCTCATGTAGCGTCTCACGTCAGTGCAGTAAATTTGTAACTTCTTGCAAAAACTACCCTAAAATATACACAAAGACACCATGAACTTATAAACAAGAACTCTAACTTGAAGTGACCTCAACATGAGGATAGGAGAAAAAGATGTTTAAAGATGAAGTAATATTTAACACATCCCTTATTTCTGCCTAAATAGTGTGATTTGAAATGTCTGAGTGTTGTGTGAAAAAAAATGTATATATATATATACACACACATACTTTTTTGAAAAATATAACTATAAAAGAAAAGAGAGTGTGTTGAGTGAGGAAGCTGAAATGAGAAGCCAAGATATTAGTTATTTTTCTGCCACTAGGAGAGGTATCATTATTCTATGTTCCTTCAATTCAGTTATGTACCTTCAGAAATTACTTTCAGCTTCTTTCCAATTCTGAATCATGAGTAAAATCACAAACATGTTCAACAACAATATGTTCCTCTTGCATAAATGTCTCTTCTAGGCCACATACATAATTAAAATCCTGTTGACTCAGGAATAACATCTCAGAACTGAATGTCCAAACTCTGTAACTTGCTTCCTTTTCTAACCAGACAGCACAGCTGCCAAGAGCTTCTGGGCCCTCTGCCTCTTTTCTCCACGTATAATTATTATATATTATATAGCATATATTTGATTTGCCAAAGCCTCCCAGTAAAGATTCCTGTGACTACTTATTTGAACTTTGTTGTGTATACATGTGACCAAAAACACAGTGTACCAAAGAAAAAGAAAAGGAGGTGGCGTGGGAGTGGATGTGCTTAGCAATTCTTTTTTTTTTCCCGTGGAAATGAGATGAAAGTCTTAAGGCAAACAAATATACACTGCTTTGTAAAGCAAAATTCACTTAAGGTGAAAGGATATTTTAAAAATTAGTGATACCATTACATACTTCAAATCCTTGGTTTACAACATTTGAAATGAGAAAATTGATGTTAAAATTCTTCAAAATATATGTGGGGCATAAAATAAAACACTTTGGCTTTCTTTCACCTTTGGGCAGCACCAGATTTAAACCAGACATGAAAATCTATCGTATTTTTAAAGATCTCTAGAGAAAGAAGTTGCACAATGCTTCTTAGGAAGTTGTTCCAATATTCCTCCCAGTCATAAAACTCTTACATTCTAACCTAAATCCCGCACGTTCTAGTTTCAGCCCATTTCCCTTTGCTCTGCCTAAGTATGATTGGAGAACAGTTGCTCACTTACCAAACCAACGTTATGAGACTATCCCCAGTGTTGTATATATGTTTCAGCAATGGAAATTAAACACATAGCCCACAGTTGCCTGGATCTCTTCTATTCCTTCAAAAATATATAGATATGATATTGGCTCTTTTTCAGTTTTCTGAAAGTTCTCCATTCTTCTGCAAATTTTCAGAGAAATCTGCCCATCTTTTAAAGCATTTCTCCAGGCAACAAAAGCAAAAGTAGAAAATGGGATTACATCAAACTAAAAAGCAAAGCACAGCAAAGGAAATTATTAACAAAGTAAAGACACTACCTATAGAAGGGAAGAAAACGTTTGCAAACTCCACATCTGGCAAGATGTTAATATTCAGATACGTAAGAACTTAGCTCAACAGCAAAAAAGTCCAAATAACCCAATTTTTAAGATGGGCAAAAGGCATTAATAAACATTTCTCAAAAGAAGACATACAAACGGACAACAGGTGAATGAAGAAATGCTCAGCATCAGTAATCATCAGGGAAGTCCAAATCAAAACCACGAGGCCGGGTGCGGTGGCTTGTGCTTGTAATCCCATCACTTTGGGAGGCTAAGTTGGGCGGATCACCTGAGCTCAGGAGTTTGAGACCAGCCTGGGCAACATGGCGAAACCTTAGCTAGGCATGGTGGCACGTGCCTGTAATCCCAGCTACTTGGAAGGCTGAGGGATGAGAATTGCTTGAACCCAGGAGGCAGAGGTTGCAGTGAACGGAGATTGCATCACTGTACTTCAGACTGGGTGACAAAGTGAAACTCTGTCTCAAATAAAAATAAAAAAATAATAAAAATTAAAAAGCCTGCTGGGTGCGGTGGCTCACACCTGTAATCCCAGCACTTTGGGAGGCGGAGGTGGGTGGATCACGAGGTCAGGAGATCGAGACCATCCTGGCCAACATGGTGAAACCCCGTCTCTACTAAATATACAAAAATTAGCTAGGTGTGGGGGCACATGCCTGTAATCCCAGCTACTTGGGAGGCTGAGACAGGAGAATCGCTTGAACCCGGGAGGGGAAGGTTGCAGTGAGCCGAGATCACGCCACTGCACTCCAGCCTGGCAACAGAGCAAGACTCCTTCTCAAAACAAACAAACAAAGCAAAACAAACAAACAAATGAACAAAAAAACACACACACAATGAGATACTACTCATTCCAGTTAAAATGGCTATTACCAGAAAGACAAAAGAAAACAGTGTTGGTGAGGATGTGGAGAAAAGGGAACATTTACACACTTGGTGGGATCCTAAACTAGTACAGTCATTATAGGAAAACAATATGGAAGTTCCTCTGAAAATTAAAAATAACATTACCATACGATCCAGAAATCCCACTACTGGGTATTATTCAAAGGAAATGAAATCAGTTATGATGAAGAGATATCTGTACTCCCGTGTTTATGGCAACACTATTTACAATAGTCAAGTTATGAAATCAACCTATGTCAAACAACAGATGAATAGATAAAGAAAATGTGGTATATATATATATATATATATATATATGTATATATACACACACAATGTGTATGTATATATACACACACAATGTGTATGTATATATACACACACAATGTGTATGTATATATACATACACACAATGTGTATATAAATATATATACACACAATGTGTATGTATATATACATACACATAGTGTGTATATAAATATACATACACACAATGTGTATGTATATATACATACACACAATGTGTATGTATATATACATACACACAATGTGTATGTATATATACATACACACAATGTGTATGTATATATATATATATACATACACACAATGTGTATGTATATATATATATATATACACACAGTGGAATACTATTCAGTCACAAGCAAGAATAGCCGAGTGCAGTGGCTCATGCCTGTAATCTCAACAATTTGGGAGGCTGAGGTGGGCATATTGCTTGAGCTCAGGAGTTCGTGACCAACCTGGCAAAACCTCATCTCTATAAAAAAATACAAAAAATTAACTGGGCATGGTGACATGCACGTGTAGTCCCAGTTACTCAGGAGGTTGAGGTCGGAGGATCACTTGAGCCTGTGAGGTGGAGGTTGCAGTGAGCTTAGATTGCACCACTGCACTCCAGCCTAGGTGACAGAGTGAGGACCTGTCTCAAAAATAATAATAATAATAATAATAAATCCTGTAATATGCAACAACATGAATGAACCTGAAGGACATCATATTAAGTGAAATAAGCCAGACACAGAAAAACAAATACTGTGTGATCTCACTCACATGTGGAATCTGAAAAAAAAAAAAGGTTGCTATCACAGAAGCAGAGAGTAGAACAGTGGTTATCAGACACTGGGGAGGGGAGATTGGTCAACAGTCACAAAATTACAATTAGACAGGAAGAATAAGTTCTGGTGTTCTATTGCAGGGTAGGAATAACTATGTGCAATAGTTACTAGTAATAGCAATAAGTTCCCTACTTATACTAAGTTTTCTAACTAATTTCAAACAAACAGTAATCATTAAACTTTAAAGTACATTAGAGAATTAGGGAAGCTTCTTAAAAATAAGATGCCCAAGTTTTGACCCAGACTCAGTAAATTATAATCTTTAGGACCCTGGCATATTTTAATTGTTCTCATTTACAAGTATTAATTCTATTTAGTTAATAAGTGCACTTTAAAAGTTATTAAAATCATTATAAAAACAGAAACAAAAAACCAAAAAACAAAAAAACCCACTAAGCAGATAAGTGTTCTCTTTGTCCTTGGTAAAGCCAATTCTGCTTTTACACTTAAAACCGACACATTAACAGTCAGGCATTCAGGGTGTACTGAATGTAGACATCACAATCCTCATCAGCAGGAAAATAAAAACCATACCTGATCTGTTCCTACAAGTTTCCCACACTAGAACTAAATGCACTGCCAACAGGCTATTGATGTATAATACATTATCACATGAAAATGTGATTACGACAAATACAAGACTACCACTGTCTGCAAGTATATAATGCATTCAACATAAGTTATGCAGGAACTTTCTCAAAATTTAAGCTGGTTTTAGTGGACATGAGCTCATTCAAGGACCCTGAATGGTATGGTATGGAAAGAAATAATTACTGCATAAAACAACATGAAAAGAGAAACATCAGGATAGTACCAAAAGCTGAGAAGTGGGAAAGTTCTATGTGAGAGGTGGCAGCACCTTTTCCAAGAAACTTCAAGGTGAATCAGGCTGTCTGTATTCGGATCCTAAACCATATGGTATCATTATTATTAGTGTTGGATTGCCCTAAAAGGGGAACACCCAGGTGCCTACCTCAATGATTTGCCCAGGTGGGCTCAGTTTCATTTCTTTCTCTGACATTCTCAAGCATCAGTGCTGGATTACCCTAAGGGGCTTCCTCAGATCGCCTGTGCTGTGCATTTTCCCACAAGTTCACAGGCAAGAGAGGGAAAAAAAAAAAAGAACAACTCAAAGCTACTAAAGCAACCGCAGAAATGCAGGTCAAAATGAAAAGGCTCTGAAATTGCTGAGAAAGGAAAGAAGTGAAAGCAGCAAAAAGATGGCAGTCAAATGCCAAGAGAGATTCAAGGGCAACTCAGGTGTGTAAAGAAAGAGGTTTCTGTTCCTACCAATTTGTGTTTATGCTCACAAATGTGTGCCTGCGGGATCAATTATACTCTGCACTGTTGGCCAGCTTTTCTTTTCTCTTTGGAGAAACGTTCCAAACGTTCAAATCCTTCTTTTTCTGGTCCCCCTACTTCTTTTCAATGAGTTATCTACAGCATGTTGTTTTCCTCTAGAGTTTCCATTCTTCAACCTCTTGTCTTTTCCCCAACTATTCCCTTCCTTTAAAAATCTTATCTGCAGCCAAGGCTTCAATTACCATCTAAATGAAAATGACTCTAATATTACATGTTTAGTTCCATCTCTTTCTTAGAATGAAGTTACAGATTTCTGTTTCTTTCTTTTCTTTTCTTTTCTTTTTTTTAAACAGAGTTTTGCTCTTGTCACCCAGGCTGGAGTGCAACGGCACAGTCTTGGCTCACTGCAACCTCCACCTCCAGGGTTCAAACGATTCTCCTGCCTCAGCCTCCCACGTAGCTGGGATGACAGGCTCCCGCCACCATACTCAGCTAATTTCTGTATTTTTAGTAGAGATGGGGTCTCACCATGTTGGCCAGGCTGGCCTCAAACTCCTGAGCTCAGGTGATCCGCCTTTCTCGGCCTCCCAAAGTGGATTACAGGTGGGAGCCACCGCGCCTTGCCAAAGTTACAGATTTCTAAATGCCTCCTGGATAATCTCCATCTGGAGTTGGATTCAGTGTTTCCCAGATCAAACATATCCATTTCCTTCCACAATTGTTTCTTTTCCCGTACCTTTGACTTCGGTTAATAGCACAGTTCTCTCAATCATATCCACTTCTCCCTTTTCTGTACCGTATCAGCTGGCAGGCCCTGTCAACAGCACCCCTAAGGGAAAGCTGGGCCATTCACTTTCATAAGTTCTCCCCCTCAATTACCCCTCATTAACTCTTTTCCAGACTATTGTAGTAGTGTCCCAGATAGGTTCCATCCCTCGATCAATTCTTTATATTACTGGCAGGTGATTTTAATGACCCAGTTTGATTTGCCTTTCTTCTTTTTGAAATCCTTCAATAGTTCTCCATTGCCTGTCAAACTTAATTCAACTCTCTTTCTATAAAAATAATAACTTTATTGAGCCCACTATGTGACCAGTGCTTTACATATATAATTTTACTTATTTCTCCAAAAAGCTTATAAAGTAGGTATTATACCATATCCTTGAAAATGAAATCAATTTTATAACTATGAAATATCATACTGAATGGGCAAAAACTGGAAGCATTCCCTTTGAAAACTGGCACAAGACAGCGATGCCCTCTCTCACCACTCCTATTCAACATAGTATTGGAAGTTCTGGCCAGGGCAATCAGGCAAGAGAAAGAAATAAAGGGTATTCCATTAGGAAAAGAGGAAGTCAGATTGTCCCTGTTTGCAGATGACATGATTGTATATTTAGAAAACCCCATCGTCTCAGCCCCAAATCTCCTTAAGCTGATAAGCAACTTCAGCAAAATCTCAGGATACAAAATCAATGTGCAAAAATTAGAAGCATTCCTATACACCAAGAACAGACAAACAGAGAGCCAAATCATGAGTGAACTCCCATTCACAATTACTACAAAGAGAATAAAATATCTAGGAATCCAACTTACAAGGGACGTGAAGGACCTCTTCAAGGAGAACTACAAACCACTGCTCAATGAAATAAAAGAGGACACAAACAAATGGAAGAACATTCCATGCTCATGGATAGGAAGAATCAATATCATGAAAATGGCCATACTGCCCAAGGTAATTTATAGATTCAATGCCATCCCCATCAAGCTACCACTGACTTTCTTCATAGAACTGGAAAAAAACTACTTTAAACTTCATATGGAACCAAAAAAGGGCCCTCATAGCCAACACAATCTCAAGCAAAAAGAACAAAGCTGGAGGCATCACGCTACCTGACTTCAAACTATACTACAAGGCTACAGTAAACAAAACAGCATGGTACTGGTACCAAAACAGAGATATAGACCAATGGAACAGAACAGAGGCCTCAGAAATAACACCACACATCTACAACCATCTGATCTTTGACAAACCTGACAAAAACAAGCAATAGGGAAAGGATTCCCTATTTAATAAATGGTGCTGGGAAAACGGGCTAGCCATATGTAGAAAGCTGAAACTGGATCCATTCCTTACACCTTACACAAAAATTAACTCAAGATGGATTAAAGACTTAAATGTAAGTCATAACACCATGAAAACCCTAGAAGAAAACCTAGGTAGTACCATTCAGGACATAGGCATGGGCAAAGACTTCATGATTAAAACACCAAAAGCAATGGCAACAAAAGCCAAAATTGACAAATGGGATCTAATTAAACTAAAGAGCTTCTGCACAGCAAAACAAACTACCATCAGAGTGAACAGGCAACCTACAGAATGGGAGAAAATTTTTGCAATCTACTCATCTGACAAAGGGCTAATATCCAGAATCTACAAAGAACTTCAACAAATCTACAAGAAAAAAAAAAACCATCAAAAAGTGGGCAAAGGATATGAAGAGACACTTCTCAAAAGAAGACATTTATGCAGCCAACAGACATATGAAAAAATGCTCATCATCACTG
Source organism: Homo sapiens (assembly GCF_000001405.40). Classification (NCBI taxonomy): domain Eukaryota; kingdom Metazoa; phylum Chordata; class Mammalia; order Primates; family Hominidae; genus Homo; species Homo sapiens. Next base: position 145,521,344 of record NC_000001.11, on the reverse strand, counting down.
GTCATCAGAGAAATGCAAATCAAAACCACAATGAGATACCACTCATGCCAGTTAGAATGACGATCATTAAAAAGTCAGGAAACAACTGATGCTGTAGAGGATGTGGAGAAATAGGAACGCTTTTACACTGTTGGTGGGAGTATAAATTAGTTCAACCATTGTGGAAGACAGTGTGGCAATTCCTCAAGGATCTAGAACTAGAAATACCATTTGACCCAGGAATCTCATTACTGGGTATATACCCAAAGGATTATAAATCATGCTACTATAAAGACACGTGCACACCTATGTTTATTGAGGCACTATTCACAATAGCAAAGACTTGGAACTAACCCAAATGTCCATCAATAATAGACTAGATAAAATGTGGCACATATACACCAAAGAATACTATGCAGCCATAAAAAAGGATGAGTTCATGTCCTTTGCAGGGACATGGATGAAGCTAGAAATCATGATTCTCAGCAAAATATCACAAGGACACAAAACCAAACTCCGCATGTTCTCACTCTTAACTGGGAGTTGACCAATGAGAACACATGGACACAGGGAGGGGAACATCACACACTGGGGCCTGTTGTGGGGTAGGGGGCTGGGGGAGGGATAGCGTTAGGAGAGTTGATGGGTGCAGCAAACCAACATGGCACATGTATACCTATATAACAAAGGACTTGTTACCAAAGGACTATGTATACCTATATAAGGACTTCTGGTGGCTGCGCTTCTTGCATGGTTCCTGGAAAGCAAGGGTCACAAGGCTGGAGTACACAGCAGAGCCCTTAGGGATTTCACCTGCAGACAAAAATAAATCAAATCAGTGCCCTATACTGCCAGGCCCTACTGATGGCTACCTGAAACTGGAGTGAGAGCTACGTGGTGACCAAAGCCAGGAGCACAGTGAGAGCCAGTTAAGAGGATGAGCTGAGCATGTGCTGCAGTCTGGAGGAGCAACAGGTGCCCGAGGTTAGGGGGAGCCTCCCCACCTCCCTGTGTGCTGAGATCCCTGCTCCAATTCACTGCACACTGGGTGGCTGGATCCTACCACTCCCTCTTCAGGGGCCAGGTGACTCTCCAAATCACTGTCTCAGCAGAAAGAGGCCTTTGTCATCTCCACTCAAGAAAGAAGTGCTTAGCGTGAAACATGCACATACAGAAACAGCCTGTTGTAGGAAGAAGAGGACATTTTGCTGGGAAGTCCTCTGTTAAGTTTATGTCCAGTTGCCATAATGAGGGTGTGGAGGGGCCAAGTCCACAGGGACCTCAGAGCTCAACTAAGTCCAGTTCCATCTTTGACAGATGAGGGTGCAGCAGTCTGACAGAGACTAAGGGACAAGCCAAAGCCACACAGCAGTTAATGATAAGCCTGGGATTAGAACCGAGGCCTCAGGTCCTTCCCAGTGATCTATGGGAGGTGGAGGGGAAAGCTTCCACACTGGAGAAAGCCAGTGGATAATAGAGACTTTTGGGTTACCTTTTAGAGGATACTAGAGACTTTTTCGGTTACCTTTTCTGGGACAGGAATAAGGCTTTACACAGGCAATCCTGTAAGTGCTGCTCTAAAGAGGCTCAGGAAAGAGAAGAATTATCAGAGAAAAATAAAAGGGAATTAGTGAAAAAATAAAAAAAAAAGAGCAAGTTAAACTGGCCCAAGTCATTTTTACACTATGGAGATCAACATTCTCTCAGGTTATGGTTTAGAAACATTTCTAGGAATATGCTGAATTGCTTATGGCAAAGCTTTGAAGTCCACGTTAAAAGGTTTAGTTTCTGATTTTTAAACCATTTCATATACCTCAAGTTTTTCTTCAAAGCACTTCCTAGGGAATGATTAACACTTAGTGTTTTATGTCGATAATGTCTGGTACATATGTAACATTCCGCCCCCACCCCCTAAGGTTCAGTTGTTATTTATTAACAAATTCTCTTTTAGACCAATGAGACACAACAGATCTCTTTTGTCATGTTACTTAAAGATACATCAAAATCAAATTGCTGTTCTTAACCCAGGGGTATGCAGTGAAATCAGTTTATTAGGTTGCAAATTGCTTTTACTTTTTCATGAACAGTAGAACACATAACTGGCCTCAAGATCCCTCTACCAAAAGCTCATTCAGAGGCAGACTCCTGAATGTCTAACAACTTCAAGGGTGAGCTGAATTGCATTTCTCCAGTCTCCGAACTTGGCATCAAAGAAGAAAAATTGGAGTAAAAAGGAGAGATGATCACAATGTGAGAGTGAACCAAGATACAGGGGCAGGAGCTGATGGGGTGGGAGGGTGATGGGAACAGAAACTATCAGGAAGCTCACTGAGGACCTGTGATCTTGCAAGTGGACTGGAAATCTTCTCCTGGAAGGCCAAAGCAGGCCAAGGGTTGCCTACAATATCTGCTAACGGATGGTGATGGGTGGGGGACAGGCTTGGTGCCTCTGACTGGTGCAGTAGTTTCCTTACCTCTAAGTTAGTCCTCGCCTTCTTTAAAACATCATGTGTTCTGGTTACTGAAACAACAAAAGAGCACCACAGAGTAGAAATCACCAGCAGAAATTAACCCTACTTGCTTAGCGTGAGAATTCTAAAGCATTTATTTCTTTCTGGCTATTCAGCTTGGAGTCTCCTTCTATCCACCCCCTGTCCTCCCCTCCCTCTGCAGCCACAATTGCTCATGGCACAGGAGGTTTGGGGACATCAAATCAGTCTCAACTCCCAACATCCCCAAGCCCCCCTGATCACTTCTCATCTGCAGCACAAGTGGGGCATCGGGAAGACTGCCTGTTTCTTCCCCCATTCCCTCTCAGGGAACCTACGCTGGCTGACGATGAACTGCTCCATGCTCTCCTTCTGCTGGTTGGCGTTCTTCAGATGCTCAGCTGTGCTCTGAAGTAGCCGCTCCTGTTTGGATACTTTGGTTCTCAGTTCCAGAAGTTCCCTTTCTGTTGATTCTCCCTGGATAAGAGGAACAGACTCTTACTGACCAGGCAGAAGGCCTAAAGCACCCTGTGCTTTGTGGCTCTTTCCAGTTCAAAGAAGGATTCTACAATCTTCTCAACCCTCCTGAACTGGATTTCCTCCTTCACAGCCTCGAATACCTCCAGCTGAGGACAGTTTAGGATGAGGCCATTAGGCAGGAATAATGAGACTCTGGAATTCCCCATGCAGACTAGCACAGGCCTACACACCTGTAGCTTAAGAGAACCTCGCCTCAGGCTGGTATCAAACTCCCAACTCTGAAGAGGACCTTGCTTTAGTCCTGATATCAGTTCTGTCACTCTCCCTTCACAGGTAAGATTGAGAGTTCAGAAATGTTATGCTGGGGAGAGAGATCTGGACTCAGGAAAGTTTGCAAGTTTGTAAATATTTGTGCCAACATGAAGATGGCACAACACCCTCTCCCTGGAATTAGCATAGTTGGATCCAAAAGGTATTGGTGCCATTGACCTGGAAGTAGAATCCCTGGGGAGGGGATCCTGAAACCTGCCTACATGAGGGTCTGCCAATCAGAGTTAGCCTGAGCTCTGAGCAGATCCTGAGGGGAGGCTGACTTTCCCCAGGCCTGGTCCAGCGATGCCAGCTTAAGTTGTATGTTGGGATTCCAGGCAGTGGCTAAAAAGGCTCAGTCTCATGGGGCATTCTGTGATCATTTGACCACGGGACCTGTGGGGTGGGAGATGGGTGCTAAAGCTTTAACTGAATTTCAGCTCATCCAAACTTCAGAGAGGTAAAGAAACTGAACATTTATGGATTGCCAGGGTTATGATGTCTCCGCCTTCTCCACACTCCTTCCTCTTCTTCTTTGATTTCTTATCCAGGGGTCAGGGGGCTGGTGGGGAATGGGATGTATTTAGAGCTGCAATGAAAGCAGCCACCAAGGGTCAGAGATGTCCCTCCAGGGACACTCCTCTAAGTTCCTGTCTATCCCAATTCACTATGTGGCTCCTGATTTTCTGGAAAAGCTGTGACACTGAGGAGACAGAACAGTATTGGAGGGCAGGAGAACTGGGTTTGAACCAAGAAAGGACACTGGCATCTTACCACTTTGCCAGGCAGCACAGGGATGTGGGTGCTTGGCAGGGCCACTCTCCAGAACATGGTGAGGAGGGAAGCCGACTCCTCTAGGGCATGGTGCAGGGCACTGGTGCTGCTCCGAAGCTCATGAATGCCTTTGCTGCCTAGCACCTGGGGAAAGGTAACACCACAGGAGCGGAGAGATTACTTTCTTCCCCCTGCGTGGGCTCAAGCTTCCTTTGTGAGTGAGGCGCAGAACATGGGCCTGCTTGAACCTGTGAAGCCCTCGCACAACCATTTGCAGCTCTCAGAACTAAGGTGCTGCTCCTTTTACCAGGAATGCCTTCCTCCACCTGCAGAACCCACAAGGCTTTCAAAACTCACCCCCCTTGCTATGTCCTCTATGAATCTGTTACCTTCCTTGCCTGAGATAAATGACCACATTTGCATTGGTGCTCTCACAGCACAGAGGATGATTTCTCATACTGTGCCTGTAGCCCCATACTGTGCCTATCTACTTGGGTGTGTGTCTTGCATTCCAGTGTGGGGGCTCCATGGAGGCAGGGCTGTCCCTATGCATCCATGGGTCTCCAGCAGTTCAGACAGCATAGCCACAGGTTCCTGGTCTCTCTCACTGGCAAGGTGCTCTCAGAAGCTTTGCTGACTGCCTTCCCTCCCCTATGCAGTCTGCACAAGGAAATGCCTTGGCTGCCAGGCTTCTCACCCCTTCCATATGTGGGGGCCATACACCTGCAAATCCTTCAGTTTCTGTCCATCCCATTGAGTTGACTCTGCCCACATATGGTCATGTGCCTGCATGACTGTGGTAGATAATAAGCTACCAAAGGCTGCTAGGCAATGCCACGTGTTTCTGTGGGGCTGAGGGGAAATATCCAGTCAGCTACATCTGGAAAAGAGCAGAACTCACAGTGAAAATAGGAGATAGAGAAGAAAGGGCCTGGCTGCTATGCATGGAAGAGGAAGCCTCAGCTGTTGAGAGATGCAAAGCATGAAAAAAACAAAAATGGTGGGAGAAGGAGTTAACATCAAAGGAAGAAAGGGCACAAGGAAAGAGTGCACCTAAAGCTTCAGGTGTGATTACCCCTGTGCCTTGGGCTTCAAGGCCAGGGAAGCTGCACGCTGATCTCACAAGAGACACTATCTTTTTGACCAGCAGCTTGCCCTCCGCAATCTGCTGTCTTAGGGCACTGTAGTCATCAATGTGGCCAATGACATGGCGGCCATGCTTATTGGCAAAGGAGCCATCAGTAGCATCACCCTCCAGCTTGGGAGGGGCCTTCATTACTGGAGAAGTATCCAAACCCAAGCCTGAAAAAGAAAATGACAACACAACAGAATCTTCTGTTATTCATAACGATATCCTCAGTTTGCTCCAACTAAAAAAGAGGCAGGGAACAAGAAAAGGACGAGGCTGGGAACAAGAAAGGAAGCCTGGGAATGTACAAGGGTGGGGCAAAGTCCACAGAGATCTTCTGGCTTCTATATTTTTATAACCTTTCTTACATTATCTCTTAATGATAAATTTGCCAGGAGACAATTTTTTCCTTATTGGCAAATGAAATAGGATGAATCATAAATAATAAGTTTCTGGGTAGAGAAGACACAGACAAGGAAGTCAAGCTGGATACAGAGAGCATTTTCAAGAATAGAGAGATTATGGCACAATGAAGCAAAAACAGCAGTAGGAAAACTACAGGAGGATGAACAATGGCAAGAAAGGCAGCCACAGAAGGTGCAGGGAGTAGGGCTAAAGGCCTTGGGGCATGCAGAGAAAACTCTCTAAATACAGATAATATGTTTAGAGACAACAAAAGGTTGTTTGCATTAATCACTTTCCAACATCAGTCCCTGGGCCCTTTAGTTGCCATATTTACCATGTGTTCTGTTGATTATGGCCGTTTCTGAGCCAGGAGTAGAGGAAGCAGAGCTGGGGAGGACCAGAGCTGGGGAATTCATACCAACATCCCGGACTGGAGGGGACACAGCTGAATCTAGGGGGTAAAGGCAACCACAGTTTTCAGGAGCCCTGGAACACACTGCACATGAAGCACATGCACACCTAGCCGTCCCCACTGAGACCTAAGGTGGCAGGACTCTCCTCTTACAGAATTATCCATACCCCACAAGCAAAAGCAAAAGCCCATGAGTCACTGAGTTCAGAATGTTTCCATTCTTCAGAACAAAAAGATATTCCTTTAATGGAGGGGTGTTCCAGGAGAATGTAACTTCTAGTTTGAAAAATTATTAGGTGTATTTTTATAAACCAAGTCTTGAGTATAATTTGTGTGTGGTATCTAATACGATGCCCCGTAACTAAATGTAATATGTATAAATATACATAGTACATATTAAAATCTAGAATCAAAGAATCAAGGAATGAATGGATTCATGGGGGACTAAACTCAACATTCTAGTCATCATTCTGATGAGGTAATACTGAAAGAAATTGACTTGTATGAGAAGAACGGAGAGAGAGGGCTTGGTGGGTTAACATCTTGCTGGAGACTAAAAAGCAACCCTATGGTGGAGGAATTGGAAAATATCACAAAGAAGGTAGAAAAGGTCCTACTCAGGCAAGTGTGGCCCAGTGCCTGCTTTCCAGCTCAGGCCTCAGGGGTGCTAGAGAAAGATGGGCAGGGACTGCACCAGTGGGGCTGAGTCTTGGCTGCTGTGTGGGAAGCCAGAGAGAGAGGAAGGCCTGGTTAGAAAGAAGGAAGAGTTGGAGACATCACTGAACACCACAACCATCAGGGCAGCCCAGAGAAGGGCAAGGCATCCACCTAATGTAAGCTGAAAACAGCATAATCATGTTATTGTCACCTTCATTTGACAAATAAGGTTACTGTCAGATAAATGAGCATCTACAAGAACCAGAGAAAAATAAAGATTAACATGACCCAGAAATAGCTGGCAGGAGAGTTTGAAAGCTCAGCTTTAGAGAAACTGAACAGAAGTGGTTCCTGATTTGAATAAAATTGAAGGTATGGCCATGGAGGTGAGTGGAGATGGTGTACTAAACGGTGTATCAAAAGGAGAAAAGGACAGAGGAAGTAGAAATTGAATGATTTAAGAGACTAGGGGGACACCATTGACATTTCAATGAAAACTGGGAGAAGTGAGATTGATGGGGGATATTGAGAAGAGAAGGGGGACCTGGTCAAACACGCCTATCTGAAAAGGCAGGCAAGGGGTGGGGTAGAGAAAGCGAATGATGGCCACCCGAAATAAATCACCCACCATCCAGGACTTCCCCAGAGCCCTGTTTCCTTGGGTGCAGGAACATTTTACCACACACTGAGTTCCCCACCTGTGAGGGAAAGGGGGACTAGAGAATCTGGGAAGGTCAGCAATACTGAGAGAGGGCACAATGAGCTGGAAGGAACACAGACTGAAAATCACAACATCTGGTTCTGATCCTGGCTTTGTCTATAACTTCTCTAAACCCCCGCTTGTCTGTTAATATCTCAGGACCTAAGTTTTCTTATGTGAAATACAGAGATAGCAAAACCTGCTTTACTTCAGGTGAAATTATATATGTGAAAACACTTGGCTAAAACTAAAGCACCAAGCAAATCCAAGAAAAAGATATGAACATATACAGCTACTAATTATTGAGCAATTCTTAGTGTGCCAAGCACTTGTAAATGATCTCATTTAATGGTCAAAATCATATAAGGTATATATTATTATTATCCTCATCTTAAATATGAGGAAACTAAGGCTTAAACCTCTGAGACTTTAAACACCTTGCCCAAATCAAACGACCTCTAAGCGGTAAACTCAGAATCTGGAGCCCAGTCTGACCTAAATCCCACGCTTTCACTCAGGCTGCTAGACTAGAGCATCTCTGATTTCAACCTGACCATAAGGAGCATGGACCAGGCAGACATCCTGGTGATCTCCCCACTGGCCAAGGGCTTTCTAAGTCCCTTTTCCTTCCTACCTTGGAGGAGCAGCTGCTTGTTTCCAGGGTCAGCGCTGGCTGGGAAGTTCTGGTTAACAGAGGAGGGGCTGAGGCTGGCTTTGCCAGCAGGCTATCCAGCTGCTGTTGCAGCTGCAGTCACAGACAATTGTTCCCCTGAATGCTGTTCTCCAGCTGCCCTCTCAGACCTCGTACCTCTGCCACCAGGTGGCTCAAGTCACTGCTCAAAGGGATTTGGTGACAGACATCCAGGCTGTAAGCTAAGAGAGAAGAGGAGTCTGGTAACATTGACCCAAGTATTTCCAAGCACTTGTCAGAACCCTCCTCTGTGACATTCTTTTCTGCCAAGGACCCCACTATCATCTGAGTCTCATGCAACCCATCTATGATGGAGATGTCACCATTTCTGTGTGTGGCCGGGGGATGGCACTGAGCTGGCACACATCCAGTCTGAAACTTCCTTGCGGTTTAAGTTACACACATGCACCTATAGAGCATTTGATTGGCAGATAAGGATAAGTCCATATTTCATCTCCATAGTAACCTTAGTCCTGTAGGCTAAAGTATAGGATCCTCCAAGGTAGAACGTCAGTACTGAGCTAGAGAAGGGTAGGGGATGAGGGAGAAAGAGATTTCACAGTCTTCACTCTCAAAAATGAAAGAGGAGAAGGAGGAGGCCTTTTGGTAGCATGTGAGAATGCGAGTTGGGCACATTAGACCAGGGATTATAACTGAGTTTTTCAATTTCTCTCTCTCTCTCTCTCTCTCTCTATATATATATATATATGTGTGTGTGTGTGTGTGTGTATGTGTGTGTACATATATATACACCTACATATAGTGTGTATATATATGTTGTGTGTGTATATACATACTATATATAGGTGTATACATGTACATATATACATGTACATATATACACACATATATACACATACATATATATACAAATATATATATGTACATGTATTTACCTCCATTCACCACATGTAGTCTATTTCTTTGTACTGGGGATGAAGAGATCTAAGAAATATTCTACAAGGCTACAATCCCTTATCTGAAAACCTTAAGGCCAAATGTATTTCGAAAGGTAAAATTTGTTTTAGTTTTTAGCAAGGCAACAGGGTGCATATATCATATATAACATGTACCCAGTTGCAGGTGAACCACAATCCTTAATCAAACATATAACTATTTCCGCAATGAGCTATGTGAATATCCTAAGTAGATAAATAAAGACTTATGAATATCCTCATGTCAGATCATCTAGATTTTGTCACTAAATGAGTATTTGAAAAATTTAGTTTGGAGATCGTATTGAATTTTGAAATTACAGATAAGGGATTATGGAGCTTTAGTGGTTGTAGCTTTGAAATGAGTCCTAAAAGGCAGGGAGAAAAGCATGAAAGGAAAGGGAGCTCAGGATGAAGTCGTTTCAGAGACTTTGGTAAATAATCTACTCTTGAATTTTGCCCGAAGTTTTATGAAGTTCCTCTCTCTCTTTCTCAATCCAAGTTCTCACTAAATTTTGCTTATTTTTTTAAGAGACATTTTAAAATCTATCTATACCCTTTCATCTTCCCAACAGCACCTTATATTAGACTGTCATCTCTTAATGTGCCAGAATATCACTAGACCCATCCAATAGGTTTCCCAGATTCTAATGTCTCCCAATTCCAGGACATCCCCTGAGACTTAGCATCCTAAAGTTCTGTTTTCATCATATGCTTATCTTCTTTGAAAAAGAATAGACTTAGTTTCATTATCTACTCTACAGAATGTCAACTTTCACCCTGACCTGTGAGCTTTCACGGTTTGGTGGCTCTACTCCACCATCCTGACTTCTCACTCCCCCAACCCCAAGCTTCTCCTGTGGTCAGGCTGGTCCCACTGACCCAACACTCACCATGACTGTGTACTTAAGCTATTCTCCCAGCCTGGTGAGCCCCCTCTATTTCTTCAAGTTCCAGTTCACCTTCTCTTTAGAAAATCAGGAAACTAAATCAGGATTTATGATAATTCCAATCTAAATTCCACTGCCCTTCACGCATTGTTTAGCCCCCTGGAGGGACATAAAATACATGAGTTCTTTTTCACCTGACACTTCTTCAAATATCCGAAGCCAGTTCTCATGTCCTCAAGATCTTTTGAAAGCCTACATTTCTTTAGTTTCTTTGACCAGTTGGAGATTTCTGGTCCACACCATTGTGCGCCCTGTCTTCATTATGTTCCCTAGTGTGTCAATGCCCTTTTCAAAGATAGTGCCCCTTAATCTAACAATATTTTAGACCATGGTCTCCACAGGCGAACATCACACTTACACTACTGTAGTGTCAGTTTGAGCTGGCATTTCTAGCAACCTCTGGCCTGTGACTTACTTGTGTGATCATGTTTCTACCAAACCCCATACTCTCAAGTCCACGAATGGCCGCCTGTCCTATATTTCTACCCTCATCCTATATTTCTACCACTGATATTTTTAATCGAGCTCAGGATTTTGCTTTTTATCTTTGCTAAATTTCATGACATTGATGTCAGTCCTCTGTCCCAGCCTGCTGTGACTTATTCACATTATGTTTTGAATACCCTTCTCCATTTAAAGAATGAAGAAATATATCAAATTCTCAAATATTAGATTATTATTTCAGCAGGCAACAAAGTCTTCAATAAATGTCCTTAATATTTAAATCCAGGATTGAAATTTAGGTCCTATCAGTGGTATTTCTATAAGGGTTTTTTGTTTTCGTGTCTTTTAATTTTCTCCTGTGGGCAGGCTGGTCCCCACTGACTCAACACTCACCATGACTTTGTACTTAAGCTATTCGCTCAGCCTGGTAAGCCCCTGTATTTCTTCAAATTCCAGTTCACCTTCTCTTTAGAAAATCAGGAAACTAAATCAGGATTTATGAAAATTACATGAGAGGGCAATAAGCTGAGCGCCAGATGTCACTAGGGAAAGGGTCAGGGTGGGAGCGGACTGCCTGCTGCATTGGGCTGAATGGGTTGTCAGTATGTATCACCGACAATATTAAAGGCCTTTTCAAATGATGATATCATTAGGACAGTTCTTTTGCTTTCAAAAATGTTATAATTTAGACATTGATAGGAATGTCTAGATTTTCTTAAAATAATTAGGAATGATCAGGCTGGATCTTGTTCGTGTCACCAACCTGTCACCTTGGGCTTTGTGTATGAGAGTTCTTATTGGGAGCCCCAGGCTCGGGTGGGAGTTTCTGAGACAGAACTCTGTAGCTTCCCATGATCTCCACAACTCCCAAAGGAAAGACCTCACTAGCATCCTATGCAAGGGCAAAAAGCTCATGGGGTGAGGGGAGAAGAACACATACCTTTCAGCCCCTTCTTGGAATTGCCATAAAGTGCCTCATAGATTTGTAACTCTGACTGGAGGGACTCAAAGAGCTGCTGTTTCTCTTCACACTGTTGCTGCAGGAGAACCAGCTTGTGCTGCAGTCTGACCAGGGAGAGGCAAGGCCCACTGAGATGGCAGAGCCACTCAGCCACACCAGAGCAACAGGCTGAGAGCCAGATGTCAACTCAGAGGGTCATAAAGGGTTACGGTTAGGGTTACCTCTGAGCCCCAGATGTCAACTCAGGGGGTCAGGAAGATCATCACTTTTATTTCACAGATGTGGAAATGGTGGCTGAGGGAGGTCAAGTAACTTTGCTTGAAAACACACCATTACCTACATTAGTTCAGAGCAGAACAGACACACCAGCACAGTCTCCTTACTGCTCCTACAGTGCTCTTTGCATCCTGACAAGCAGTTACAGGGCTTATGCTGGGACCAAGCATCACAGCCAGTATAGAAGCTTCCTAGGTGATGGTGAGACTAATGTCCTATATCTAATTGGAAGCATGGGGACCCTTCTTTTTCATGTCTCTGATATACTGAAGACTTCTATAACAGAGTTTTACTCTCTCAACTTGGGAGTGACAAGGCATTCCCAGAGAAGTCCTTTCTTCTGCTCAAAGCGCCCCTCCCCCCACCCCACTGACACACAAAAATCAGGAATGGCAGAGGGAACATTGAGGTTTCCAAAAGAGGACACCAATTATCTTGCCAATATCCCTTCTTATAATGTAAGAATGAATGTAAGAATGAAGAATGCTACCTTCTCTGTCAATGGGTCCCCTCTTACCTGGAGTCGTTTTCCTGGAGGGAAAGGCGTTCCTCCCTGAAATGCAAGACCTCTTGCTGCTTCTCCCTCAAGTCTTCCAAAAGCTGCTGCCTTTCCACCTTCTGGTGCTCCAGCTCCTCTTCCAGCTCTTGAAGGTGGGATCGAGAGGACAGCAGAGCCTCCCTCAGGCTTTCCATCTCCTGGGAGTGCTCTGGTGAGAGGAACACAGGAGGATTGATTTATTTTCATGGGGCCAGAGCTCAGCAGGAAGATGACCCCAAGCACATCCGCCCTGACAAACAGAGCTAAGGAGCAGGGAAGGAAGGCCCTATGTTGGTGGGAAGAGCATGCTGGCTCAACATCCCCCGCAGCCTGGAGAATGGTACATCTCTGTCTTTGCAAAACCCTTCATTCCACTTATTTAATCTGTCCTACCTTGCTCTTAGAGAAATTCTGGTTTCTAATGCTCACCACTTTCCAAGTGCTCACATACCATCTGTTCAATAATCTATCCTGATCGCTGTTATTTAACACGATGGCAGAATAGAAAACCAAATCCAAAACCAGCAAATTTAAGTAAACACAAATTTCTATAATACCTATGTAGATAGAATAATCCATAGCATAGTGGGCGAAATGATGATACATACCTCCAGAGCAACAGCTTTATCATGTATTCGCTGGCGAAGTTTCTCAAGCAACGTTTCATTTGCTTCAAGGGTTTTGTCTGAGTTATCTCGATACTGTAGGAGCTCCCGAAATTCCTGAGACCAAAACATCGTTTCTTTTATTCTTTTATCCAATATTAACTAAATTGCCAAGTAATTTGTTAGTTATTCAGGATAAAAAAACAAGATGTGATCACTCTCCTCAAAAGTAACAAGTTTAGCAGAGATAACAGACATAAATTGTAAAGTATTCTGCAACATACACCAGACACAACACATAGAATTAACTGTTGTGCAACATACGCTAGCCACCAGGGGAACACAGGATGCACTGCCTAACTCTGCCTGCAGGTGTCAGTAAAGACCTCACAGAGGAGGTAATATTTGCAGTGAGTCTTAATTAAAGGACTAGGATTTCCTAAGTGAAGAATGGAGAGGAGGACATGTTAGAGAAAAAAAAATATGCACACTATGCATACAATGAAAAAATTGTACATTCAGTGAAATGTAGTGGATTCAATGTGACTGAAGCTTAGAGTAGGTGGCAGAACAGATCAGTCTCTTCTTAATGCTCCATCTTCCCCTCAAACTTTCATTCTATCATCAAAATTACTCTTTGGAAGTTTCTGTACAGTTTGTCTTCATCTATTACACTGAGATCAGTAGCCAAATCTTTTGTCTTCCCAACACCCAGAAAAGTGTTTGACTCACAGAGGTGCTTAATAACTATTTTCTGAATATTAAGTCTTTATAAAAGACTTCATAAAAGACTGCATAAATCAGGGCTATATGTACTGTTTCTTACACTTGTTAGTAAGCATCTTAATTCACAAATTATATTTTCTATTTATTTTAAATCCTCCTGATTCCCACCTCTCAATGTTTTCCATATAGCAGGGACTCAGCACAGGTGGATTAATATCTTAAAATTATATAAACAAATTTCAGAGTTCTATGAGCCCAGTGTTCATTGAAATCATGTAAACTCACCTGAAGCAACTGCTCCTTGTGACTCAGACTATGGTTTAGGTGCTGGACGTTTTGTTCCTGGGTTCGAATCTCATTGTATTTTTCAGCCTCCCAGGCACGAAGCTGTTGGCTCTTATTCTGCAATTCTTGTAGCTGCTGCAAGGCTTTTCGCAATTCCTGAATTAAACATATTACCTTTTTAAAGAGATCAAAATTGTCACATGATTATCAGAAATGACAACCAGACTTGTAAAGCACTTAAAAGCCATCACTCCCACTCTCACCAGAAAAAAGCTGAACAAACCGAACATCAATAACTACTTATATGCAACAGAAAATGGAGGTCCTAAGACATGCCAACCCTATGAAACCTGGAGCCATGGGCAAATACAGAGAATCACAACTTACCTGGATCAGAAACCACCACTGGAGCCAGCATTGGGTAGACATACTTCAAAGGGAGTTGGCTAATTGCTGGAGCTGACAGCAGCCTAGCCTGAGAGGTAAAAACTCCTGGGGGCCTAACTAGTGGGAGCCTCCCATACCTTCATGAGTTTTGTCTCCAGAAGACTTAGGGTGAGAATCAGAGAAAACTCCTTGAGTGCTTCTGGAGGGGAAGGAGAGGTAACTGTTGAAAAATATGCCCGGTGCATTCTGTTCTACTTAACAAACACATGCCCTCAAAAGAAAATTCTGTTTCCAGAGTCTAACCAATGTAGGGAAAGGGAAATACCCAACTCCAGTGACCTCTAGCCATCCTGTCTCACCTAAGAGGGAACAAAATTTGAGAAGCACTTTTGAAGGTCACAGCCCAGGGGCACAGGCCCACCACAAGACTGAGACCTAATCATAGGATTATGGAACACTTCCCTCCCCTACTCCTTACCACTGTATCAATAGTCATATACATACATATACACACACACACAGTATATATAAATACACACACACTATACACACACACATATATATAGTAAGAGAGAGAGATTTATTACATTTGATCCTCCATATCTGTAGGTTCTGCATCCATGGATTCAACCAGGCCTGACTCCAAAATATTTTTTGAAAACTTATTATTGTGTTTGCACTGTACATATATGGACTTTTTTCTTTGTCATTATTCCCTAAACAATACCACATAACAACTATTTACATAGCATACGGGAGGATGTGAGTAGGTTATCTGCAAACTCTACGTCATTTTGAGAGGTGACAGCGTTCTGGCAGTCCTCACAGCCCTCGCTCGCTCTCGGCGCCTCCTCTGCCTGGGCTCCCACTTTGGCGGCACTTGAGGAGCCCTTCAGCCCACCGCTGCACTGTGGGAGCCCCTTTCTGGGCTGGCCAAGGCCGGAGCCGGCTCCCTCAGCTTGCAAGGAGGTGTGGAGGGAGAGGCGCGAGCGGGAACCCGGGCTGCGCCCGGCGCTTGCAGACCAGCCGGAGTTCAGGGTGGGCGTGGGCTTGGCGGGCCCCGCACTCGGAGCAGTGAGGGCAATGAGGGGCTTAGCACCCGGGCCAGCGGCTGAGGAGGGTGTACTGGGTCCCCCAGCAGTGCCAGCCCACCGGCGCTGTGCTCGATTTCTCGCGGGGCCTTAGCTGCCTTCCCGCGGGGCGGGGCTCGGGACCTGCAGCCCGCCATGCCTGAGCCTCCCGCCCCCTCCGTGGGCTCCTGTGCGGCCGGGGCCTCCCCGATGAGCGCCGCCCCCTGCTCCACGGCGCCGCCCACCGGTTTTTCTGCCACTTTTGCAAGGGCGAGGTCAGCCCCAAACTACCGGTAAGAGCGCTGTGTTCTCTATACTTGGGAACCTCATAGATTCCTGGCCCCGATTTCCCGGAACTGGGTCTGGAGCTTTCTGCACATCATTGACTCCCCGGACATCGGTCTGCCGAATACCTGCTGCCCACTTCTAAGCCGCCGGCCCTAAACCCTGGGCATCACGGCCTCGGCCCCGTACCTCCTGCCCACCTCTTAATTCATCCTGGGCTGCTCCACCTGACCTCACCTCTTCACCTCCCGTGTCCTTAATTTTTTTTTTTTCTTAGCAAGTTTCCCTCTGATAACTCTCCCCTCAATTTTCTTGCATTCTTTTATACCTGGTCTTTTTCCTACGATGACCTCCCCCCACACTTCTTCCACTGTGTCTTCTCACCTTCCTCTGTGTTCTTTTCCACTTTTCACCCCCCACCGCCCCCGCCACCTCCCTTGTCAGTGAAGCGAAATAGCGGATTGCTGAGGATTGTCACTCTTCGGTTTTTTCTAGGGAAGGAAGCACAGAAAGGGGGTTGGAAGGTATCTGTGGGGCGAAAAGGGGGATTTTGCTCTTCAGTGGTTTCCAGGGTCCTTGTGACAGTGAAGACAGCAGCGTACTAATGACTTGCAGACGGTCTGCACTCCTATCGCTGTTGAAGGAAATGGCTTTAGGAAGAAGGCAGGACGTACTGTTTCAACTTCGTTTATTTTGGTTGTCATGCTGCCAGTGTCTTTAATATCATTGTTCCGCCCCCCGCCCTGTCCCTTTCTTCACCTAAGAAAAAGAGCCGGGACAGAATGTTGGGGATGCTTCCTCTGACGTGAAATTGGTTTTCACGAGTTTCTGCCAGAGTGTTAGCCCCTTGAGAGGCAGTGCTGTGGTTGGGAAGAAAACACTTTTGTAGGTCAGGCGCGGTGGCTTAGGTCTGTAATCCCAGTGCTTTGGGAGGACGAGGCAGGAGGATTGCTTGAGGCCAGGAGTTTGAGACCAGCCTGGGCAACAGAGTGAGACCCCTCTCTACAAAAACAAACAACATTTATGCAGCATACTAGCCAGCACCAGCATCACAAACCCAGAAGCTGTTTTGGGTTGGCTTGTAGCTACTACGAGGAGCTCCCCCAGGGTGAATGTCAATCCTGTCCTTGGCCAACTGTCTTTATGGTTGTTCCTTTCCTTACAAGTGTCCAGGTTCAGTCTTGTGATAGAGTGGCAACATAATGTATGTTTCTATTTATGGTGTCTCAGATACAGTGTAGGAGAAAACCTTCTGAAGTGAGTCTGTATATCTTATTTCTTAGAAACACAAATGGAGTCCAGTGAATAAGTGCTTAAAGGGTGTTTTATAGTCTTCTCTCACTCAAAAGTTTTGTTTAAGGCATTATGATACATTCTTTCCTCTCTACTTGCCGCACCCCCTACTTCAGAGTCATAGTTTCATCTAAATGCTACTTAGCTGTTTTTCTTTTTTCTTTTTTTTTTTTTTGAGACAGCCTCTGTCTATCACCCAGGAGCATGATTTCGGCTGACTGCAACCTCCACCTGCTGGGTTCAAGAGAGTCTCCTGCCTCGGCCTCCGGGTAGCTGGGACTATAGGTGCACGACCACCGCACCCTGGCTAATTTTTGTGTTTTTAGTAGAGATGCAGTTTCACCATGTTGGCCAGGCTGGTCTCAAACTCTTGACCTCAAGTGATCCACCCGACTCGGGCTCCCAGAGTGCTGGGATTACAGGCGTGAGCCACTGCTCCCCGCCTAAATGCTACTTAGTTTTGTTTGCTGATTTTGCTGTGTGTTTATGTTTTTTTTTTTTTTGGCCATATTTCAGTGCTGGGAAGAGCAGGTGTCTAGTTTTTTTCCAGCCAACATCAGAGCCTGCAGAACTCTTTTACCATAGAGAGGGAGTCTGGAATTCAGCCAGTATGTGTGTGACCAGTGGTGTGTTGTTGAATGTGATGCCTTGTTGAATATTCCATCCTTAGCTTTTTTGATCTTTAAGTTGCTGTTCACTATTTTGCCTTTAAGAGTGAGAAGTTGGCCAGGCGTGGTGGCTCAGGCCTGTAATCCCAATACTTTGGGAGTCCAAGGCAGGCAGATCGCTTGAGCTCAGGAGTTCGAGACTAGCCTGGGCAACATGGAGAAACCCCGTCTCTACCAAAAAATAAAAAAATTTGCCGTGTGTGTGGTGGCATGCACCTGTAGTCCCAGCTATTCAGGAGGCTGAGGTAGGAGGATTGCCTGACCCCAGGAAGCAGAGGTTGCAGTGAGCTGAGATCGCACCATTGCACTCCAGCCTGGGCAATAGAGCCAGACCCTGTCTCAAAAAAAAAAAAAAAAAAAAAAAAAAAAAAAAGAGTGAGAAGACAGTCTAAACTTCCCCAATTGATTATATCTTTTCTTCTCACCTTTAAGTCCTTACTTCAAAGGGATAATTTGAAAGGCTGAATAGGTGTTTTTCTAAGCCTTAGTTAATGCCTGGAGAAGTTTCTTGATCTTTTTGGTGTGATATATTATTTGTCATGTCTGATTTGTAAATTGAGGCCTAACACAATTGAGTATAACCGGATTCTTCCTAAATATATCCAAGGTTCTCTGCTGAGTGTCCTGGAGGTGATAGGGAGTGATATGTGGCTCCTGCCCTTAAGGATCTTACAGCTTTTGGGGAAAGACAAGGCAAACATAGAAAAAGTAACAGCATAAAGGGAATGAGGATATGTGCTTTAGGATTCAGAGAGGGGAATTTCATAGCATTGGTGTGGCCAGTGGGATTTAAATTGAGTTTTGAGGGATGGGTACATTTCAGATTGAGAATTCCAAAGACTGTGAGGTAGCAAAAGGAAGAGGGAGTTGATGAAGAAGGGAGAAATATTTAATAAATCATGTTTTTTTCACAACTAAAAGTTGTATACTATATTTTTTATAGTGTTCAGCATGATTTGATATATGTATACACTGAATGGTTAAATCAAGCTATTTAACATGCATTACCTCACATACTTATTTTTGCGTGGTGAGAACACTTAAAATCTGTCTTAGCAATTTTCAAATATACAGTATATTCCCTTTTATTTTTTTTTGAGACTGAGTCTCGCTCTGTCACCAGGCTGGAGTGCAGTGGTGCGATCTCGGTTCACTACATCCTCCACCTCCTGGGTTCAAGCAATCCTCGTGCCTCGGCCTCCCAAGTAGTGGGGACTACAGGCACGTCCCACCATGCCCAGCTAAATTTTGTATTTTTAGTAGAGACGGGGTTTCACCATGTTGGCCAGGATGGTCTCCATCTCGACCTTGTGATATGCCCACCTTGGCCTCCCAAAGTGGTGGGATTACAGGTGTGAGCCACCACACCCGGCCTCTTTTTTTCTTTTTAAATAGAGACAGAATTTATTCTGTCTTGTTGCCCAGGCTGTTCTTGAATTTGTGGGCTCAATGTGTCCTCCCACTATATCCTCCTGAGTAGTAGTAGATAGGTGCGTTCCACCATGCCTGGCTAATTTTTTTTTTCTTTTTTGTAGAGATGGGATTTTGCCATGTTGCCCCGGCTGGTCTCAAATTTCTGGGCTTAAGCAATCTGCCTGCCTCAGCCTCCCAAAGTGCTGGGGTTACAGGCATGAGCTATTGCGGCTGGCCTGATATGTGGTATTTGTTTTTAATTCTGTTTATGTGATGAATCACATTTATTGATTTGCCTATGTTGAACTAACCTTGCATCCCAGGAGTAAAGACTACTTGATTGTGGTAGATTAGCTTTTAATTTTTATTTATTTATTTTTTTGAGACGGAGTCTTGCTCTTTAGCCCAGGCTGGAGTGCAGTGGAACGAGCTCAGCTCACTGCAACCTCTGCCTCCTGGGTTCAAGCGATTCTCGTGCCTCAGCCTCCCAGATACCTGGGATTACAGGTTTGCACCACTAGACCTGTCTAATTTTTGTATTTTTGGTAGAGATGGGGTTTCCCCGTGTTGGCCGGGTTGGCTTTGAAATCCTGACCTCAAGTGATCTGCCTGCCTTGGCCCCACAAAGTGCTGAGATTACAGGTGTGAGCCACCACACTGGCCTGCATTAGCTTTTTAATGTGCTGCTGGTTCAGTTTGTTAGTATTTTATTTAGAATTTTTGTGTCTGTGTTCATTAGGGATATTGGCCCGGGGTTTTCTTTTTTCATTGTGTCTTTGCCAGGTTTTGGTATCAGAATGCTGCTGGCCTCATGGAATGGGTTAGGGAAGAGTCCCTCTTCGATTTTTTGGAATAATTTCAGTAGGATTGGTACTAGCTCTTCTTCGTGTCTGGTGGGGTTTGGCTGTGAGTCCATCTGGTCCAGGGCCTTTTCTGATTGGTAAGTTTTTTATTTTTCATTATTTTTTGAGACAGGGTCTCACTGTGTCACCCATACTGGAGTTCAGTGGCATGATCACGGCTCACTGCAGCCTCGACTTCCCAGACTCAGGTGATCCTCCCACCTTAGCCTCCTGAGTAGCTGGACCTACGGGTATGTGCTACCACACCTGGCTGTTTTTTTTTTTTTTTTTTTTTTTTGAGAGATAAGGTTTCGTCATGTTGCCCAGGCTGGTCTTGAACTCCTAGGCTCAAGCGATCCGCCTGCCTTTGCCTCCCAAAGTGCTGGGATTGTAGGCATGAGCCATGGCCCTGGCCAGGTTTTTTATTACTGATTCAATTTTGGAACTCGTCATTGGTCTGTTCAGAATTTCAGTTTCTTCCTGGTTCAGTCTTGTGAGGTTGTATGTTTCCAGGAATTTATCTGGAATTTTAGGTTTTCTAGTTTGTGTGCATAAAGGTGTTTGTAATAGTCTCTGAGGGTTCTTTGTATTTCTGTGGGATTGGTGGTAATGTCAGTTTTGTCATTTCTGATGGTGTTTATTTAGATCGTCTCTCTTTTTTTCTTTATTAATCTAGCTAGTGGTCTATCAATTTTATTTTTTGAAAGAACCAACTTTTGGTTTCGTTTATCATTTATTTGTATGGATTTTCACATCTCAATTTCATTCAGTTCAGCACTGATTTTGGTTATTTCTTCTGCTGGCTTTGGGGTTGGTTTGTTCTTGTTTTTCTAGTTTCTCTAGGTGTGATGTTAGGTTGTTAATTTGAGATCTTTCTAGCTTTTTGATGGAAGTGTTTAGTGCTATAAACTTTCCTCTTAATACTGCTTTAACTGTATCCTAGTGATTCTGGTATGCTGTATCTTTGTTTTCATTAGTTTCAAAGAACTTTCTGATTTCTCCCTTAATTTCATTTTTTACTGAAAAGTCATTCAGGAACAAGTTGTCTCATTTCCATGTAATTGTATAGTTTTGAGAGACCTTTTTAGTATTGATTTCTATTTTAATTGCACTATAATCCGAGAGTGTGGTTGGTATGATTTTGGTTTTTTTGCCTACGCACTTCTCAAAAGAAGACATATATGCAGCCCAATAAGCATATGAAAAAATGCTCAGGATTACTAATCGTCAGAGAAATGCAAACCAAAACCACAGCGAGATACCATCTCACACCAGTCAGAATAGCTATTATTAGAAAGTCAAAGAATAACAGTTGTTGGCAAGGTTGTGGAGAAAAGGGAATGCCTATACACTGCCGGTGAGAATGTAAATTAGTTCAGCCACTGTGGAAGGCAGTTTGATTTCCCAGAGAACTTAAAACGGAACTACCATTCTGCCCAGCAATCCATTACTGGGTATATACCCAGAGGAATATAAATCGTTTTACCAAAAAGACACATGCACTTGTATGTTTATTGTGGCACTATTCACAAGAGCAAAGACATGGAATCAACCTAGATGCCCATCAGTGGTGGACTTAATAAAGAAAATGTGGTACATATACATCATGGGATACTATACAGCTATTTAAAAAAAACAAAACCGAAATCATGTCCTTTGCAGCAACATGGATGCAGCTGGAGGTCATTATCCTAAGTGAATTAAAGCAGGAACAGAAAGCCAAGTACCACGTGTTCTCACTTAAAAGTGGGAGCTAAACATTGAGTACACATGGGCATAAACATGGACACGAGGGCTTACTTGAGGTGGTGAGGGTAAGAGGAGGATGAGGGTCAAAAAACTGCCTATCTTGTACTATGGTCAGTTGCTGGGTGACGAAATAATCAGTACACCAAATTCCAGTGACACAGTTTATCCATGTAACAAATGTACATATGTGCCCCCAAACCTAAAATCAAAAAAAATATGTATAGAAAACAAAGAGCAAAATGAAGGACCTAAAACCTAAAAACCATTTATAGTCAATATATAAAAAGGCTTAATACCCCAGTCAAAATCAGATATGGATAAATTTTATAAAAACAAAGTAAACAAAGAGGGTACTGACTCTTGTGATAGTTGGATACCAAGAACCATCCCTCACTGGGGCATGCTGTGGCTCACACCTGTTATACCAACACTTTGGGAACCCAAGGCAGGAGAGGATTGCTTGAGCCCAGGAGTTTGGCACTAGCCTGGGCAACAAAGTGAGACCCTATCTCTACAAAAATTAAAAAAATTAGCCAGGGGTGGTGGTGTGTGTCTGTGGTCCTAGCTACTCAGGAGGCTGAGTCGGGGAAGATTGCTCAAGCCCGGGAGGTCGAGGCTGCAGTGAGCTGTGATTGTGCCATTACACTCCAGTCTGGGTGACAGAGCAAGAGCTTATCTCAAAAAAGAAAAAGACTCCATGATTTAATCTAATCAACTTCAAAAACCCAACTCATTCCTCCACACGCCCTGTGCCTTGGCCATAGCATTTACCTCACCATTCTCCTATGCATTATCTATTTTTAGACCTCTGTCTCCCTTTGTTTAAAATGTTCTCCCAGCCTGGATAACATAGCAAGACCCTGTCTCAACAAAAAAAATAAAAATTAGCTGGGTATGGTGGCATGTGCTTGTAGTCCTAGCTACTTGGGAGGCTGAGGTGGAAGAATTACTTGAGCCCAGGATATTTGAGGTTACAGTGAGCTATGGTTGTGCCACTGTACTCCAGCCTGGGCAACAGAGACCCAGTCTGGATGAGAGAGAAGAGAGAGGGGAGAGAGGAGAGAAAAAAGAAAAGAAAAGAAAAAGAAAGAAAGAACCCATCATCTATGAGTGCTGTCCTCACTGAACACCAGAGGCTGGGTATTGAGTTTACATCAGCTTTTAATGAGCTCTCACTAGGTTTCTTCACCCATTCAATGGGAAGGTCTGCTTCAGAGCCATAATTGTGTTCAACGGGACTAGGTTGCAAGGTTTAATAACTCTTCTCTTCTTTTTAAAATTTAATTACTTTATTATTTCACCTTTTTTTTTAAAGCCACATGTAGGCTGAATTCATTTAATTTGACAGAATAACACTCCTTACTGCTAATCCTGATCAATTTTAGCTTTGTGTGTCTTTGGGTTGGATCCACTCAGATAAGAGGACAAAAGAGGGCCGGGCATGGTGACTAGTGCCTGTAATCCTAGCACTTTGGGAGGCCAAGGTGGGCGGATCACCTGAGGTCAGGACTTCAAAACCAGCCTGGCCAACATGGTGAAACCCCTGTCTCTACTAAAAATACAAAAATTAGCCTGGCGTGGTGGTGGGCGCCTCTAATCTAAGCAATTTAGTGATTTGAGCTGGGCTCGGGAGGCTGAGGCAGGAGAATCGCTTGAAAACCCAGGAGGCGGAGCTTGCAGTGAGCTGAGATCGTGCCATTGCACTCGCAAAAAGAGCGAGACTCCATCTCAAAAAAAAAAAAAAAACCATTCAAAAAGAGGACAAAAGGTTCATTTGGAAAGAGGACATTAAGAAATAAGGAGAAATCATGAAGGGAATTTTAAAATGAAAACATATTTAGTGGCATTGTTTTCTGTTAGGTTTCAAAAAAGTCTCCATTCCAAGTGAGTATTGGTTTAGGAATTTCTTTCTCCTTATTAAAAGTGTTTTCCTATTTACAGTGAAAATAACTTTAGTAAAATTTTGTGAGTACTAAACTTGGATTTTAAAATCAGAGATTTCGATTATATAGTCTGGAGCCTCAGGATTTTAAGTTTCTGTAGGATTGGGTAAAATGCCATTGTAGATTTTTTGGTCATCAGATTATAGAATAAATACTTAAAGTAACTTCAGATTATTATTTTCAAAACCATAGCAGAAACTCCTACCTTACCTATCTTATTGAGAGACAATGTGAAGCCAAGACTAATGGAGTTAGTATGCCACATTGATGATGAATGACTGGGTAGTACACCACAGAGGGCTGTGTCATGGAGCGTAAAGGTGTTATTCCATTCCTACACCCTACCATCCGTCTTTCCCCATTAAATCAAGGTCAGGGAATGTTACCTTATGTGATTAAATCTGGTAGAGTCATCATTAAACAGGTGAGATAAATCATATGCAGAGTAACCTACTTTTGGTATTGATGAGACTAGGGTGGTTCTTAAGTATTTTATGGAGATCAGGGTATCTTCCTAAATCCAGATGAAGAGATCAGGTTAAGGACTGCTCGCTTTCAGGCTCCACCTGAAGAAACTATGTAGTAGGCTTCTCTCCCTCTATCTTCTTATTTTATCATCTTCTTTGATCTAATAAAATGTTTTCCTTATCAATAAGTAATGTTATCTAGGTGCTAGAGAAGGCATTCATCATTGTATTGTACTTGCAATAACTCTAATACAGGAAAATGTTCAAACCACCCATAATAAAAGTAGCTAAAAAGCAGATTTCTTAAAGACTTTGTGACCGTTTAAGCTCAACTGACCTTTCTAAGTTGCATGATTCTTAGAAAGGTCCCAGAGAGATGTCTATCTGGTGCTATATAGCAGTTGCTAATTAAATGTTTTTTAATTGAATGATTTATATGAGTTGAACACCCAGTAATTATATTTAAAAAGTGATGACTTCAGTGTTTTGACGCCTTTAAAAGGCTACAGTGGTACAAAATGTAGGTGCTACCATGTGAAATTTGAACGTACAGTGAAGTACATATATTCACTGCAATATCTAGAAATAAATATGTATTCTTATAGGTAGAGGCTAGTTTATCCTTGTAATTCTACTGATAAATATAAATGTATATATTGGGGAAATTTGTGGGACTTTTTCAGTATAAGGAAGAAAAAAATCTGAAAATTGAACTCACTGCAGAAGAAATTTTTTTGTATTTTCGGGGGAAGTACCAACTAGATGTGCTAACACTTTGTATTTCTTTATGTTTAGTTGCCTCTTTTTTTTTTTTTTAAACGGAGTTTCCCTCTTTCACCCAGGCTGGAGTGCAGTAGCACAATCTCGGCTCACTGCATCCTCTGCCTTACAGTTTCA
Source organism: Homo sapiens (assembly GCF_000001405.40). NCBI lineage: Eukaryota > Metazoa > Chordata > Mammalia > Primates > Hominidae > Homo > Homo sapiens. The sequence goes on along the minus strand of NC_000001.11, from coordinate 145,496,585 downwards.
AGTGATTCTCCTGCCTCAGCCTCCCGAGTAGCTGGGATTACAGGCGCCTGCCACCATGCCTGGCTAATTTTTGTATTTTTAGTAGAGACGAGGGTTTCACCATGTTGGCCAGGTTGGATCTCTTCACAGCCTACTGAGCAATAAATGAGATAGCCTAGAGCAGTGGTTTTCAATTTCAGGTAGTTTTGTTTCCCAGGGAACATTTGGCAAAGTCTGTAGACAATTTTTTATCTTTTTTTTGGAGACAGAGTCTGACTTTGTTGCCCAGGTTGGAGTGCAGTGGCGTGATCACGGCTCACTGCGGCTTCCACCTCCTGGGCTCAAGCAATCCTCCCACCTCAGCCTCCCAACTAGCTGTACCACCACACCCGGCTAATTTTTTAATTTTTTGTAGAGACAGAGTCTCACTGTGTTGCCTAGGCTGGTGTCAAACTCCTGGCCTCAAGCAGTCCTGCTTCGGCCTCCCAAAGTATTGGGATGGTAGGTGTGAGCCACCACACCCAGCCTGTAGACATTTTTGATTTTTGTAACTAGGGGCTAGAGGAGGGTTGCTACTGTCATGCAGTGGGTGGAGGCCAGAGATGCTGCTGAACATGCTGCAGTGCACAGGATAGACCCCTCAAAACAAAGAATTATATTGGGCCCAAAAAGGTAAGAGGGCTGAGGTTGAGAAACCCTGGGATAGATAGAGGGATAGTCAGTGTCATCTTGTGCTAATTGTGTTTAAGGTTTTGTTTTGGTGTAGGTTTGATTTTTAATTTTGGGATCCCAGTGAATTTTCAGTAAGAAAATTGAGACCGTATAATTTTAGGCAAACCTCTGATGGGAGAGAGGGTTTAGAACAGGAACTAGGGCTCAGTTAGTGGCTGCAATTCCATTATAGCAGTATCTATTGGAGTTACTTTCTGTCTTTGGAATTACTGAGACCAGAGGAATTGGATTACCCCTCTCAAGTTACATACTGTAAGAGCAACTTATAAAAGAAAACTATCCACATTTTTTTGTCAGTTGGGAATTAATTGAGATAGAAACACTGCATGTAATTTAGTAAGACAGCTGGAAATCCCAGTTTGAAAACAAAATGAAAAGCAGACAACAAGCCTAACTTTTAGTTTTACTTTCTGTGTTTCTCTTATACCTCTCAGAAGTTTCATAAGCTCCAGAAATTTTGTGTTTAACCTTTTAGTTTCTTCAAATTCTTGGTTGAGAGGGTATATTGGAGTTATTAATCTTTGTTCTAAAATTCTTCGGGTGACTTCTCGCTGAGTCATCTGACCGTCTCAGTTTACCTAAGTATATCCCATTGTAAAATGATACTTAGGTGCACGTATTGGAAGCTTGAATGAGGAATGGAGCTGTATAATCCTAATTGAAAGGCAGTGTAAGAATCGTGAGCAATCCTTATTTGCAGAGAAATAGGGCCATTACCGTATTAGAAGCATTTTAGGTTGTTGTTATAGTTTCACATACAGAAGTTTAGGTGCTGAAAAATTATTCTTTTTTAGAAATTTCTTTTTTCAATTGTTTGCTGTTCAGAGTTTCTCAGAGGTCCCCAGATGCATGTATATCAGTTAGAAGTAGGACAGGTATGGTGGCTAACACCTGTAATCCCAGCACTTTGGGAGGCAGAGGTGGGTGGGTAACTTGAGCTCAGGAGTTTGAGACCAGCCTGGGTGATATGGCGAAACCCCATCTCTTAAAAAAAAATTTAAAAAAGAAGTGAGTTGGCGCCAGTGATTTTTAAACCAGGCATACTTTTCTTGTATGATAAGTAGACTGTTGGTGACTCTTTTCCCAAAACAGACCAGTTAGATTTTGTTTTTTGTTTTTTTTTGAGACCTGAAGCCTCACTCTGTCGCCCAGGCTGGAGTGCAGTGGTGCAATCTTGGCTCACTGCAACCTCCGCCTCCCACGTTCAAGCAATTCTTGTGCCTCAGCCTCCCGAGTAACTGAGATTATGGGTGTGCGCCACCACACCTGGCTAATTTTTGTATTTTTAGTAGAGGCGGGGTTTCACCATGTTGGCCAGGCTGGTCTCAAACTCCTGACCTTGCAAGTGATGCGCCTGCCTCGGCCTTCCAAAGTGCTGGGATTACAGGTGTTAGCCACCACGCCTGGCCAGACCAGTTAGTTTTGTCTTCCTTGAAAATCTGTTAGGACAGATTAATCTCTCTCCTTGATAATTTGAACAAGTGTCACAGGAAACTTCTTAGTAGACAAGGTAATGTCTACCTCCTTGCCACTCACTTTGATGTTGTACAGATTTGAATAGACTTTTAACCCATAGTACCATCTTCCAGAAGTTTCATCTTGCTTACCTTTCACCATGCTTAGAATTTACATTCTCAAAAGAAAAAACAGTTATAGTTACATGCTCTTTCTTACCTTTTGCTGGATTAACTGAGACCTGCAGGTATCCTACAATGATGCTGATCTTCTAGCCCGTTAATTCTCAGACCTCTCAGATTCAGTGCCCTCTTCTTATAAGTATTTTGAAATACTCTCTTTAGTGAAATGAAATCCACAGGTAATACAGCTTTTCTACATATATGTGTGTGTGTGTATATATATATATATATATATGTTTTTTTTTTGTTTTTTTTTTTTTTTTTTTGTGAGACAGAATCTCTGTCAACCAGGCTGCAGTGCAGTGGCGTGATCTTGGCTCACTGTATCCTCTGCCTCCTGGGTGCTTCAAGCGATGCTCGTGCCTCAGCCTTCCAAGTAGCTGAGATTACAAGCGTGCATCACCACACCTGGCTAATTTTTTTGTATTATTATTTATTCTTTGTAGAGACAGGGTTTCACCATGTTGGCCAGGCTGGTCTCGAACTCCTGGCCTCAAGTGCGCCCACCTCGGCCTCCCAAAGTGCTGGGGTTATAGGCGTGAGCCACCACACCCGGCCCTACATATATAATTAAAAAAATTATCTTGCAGTAAGATAAAGGATAAATAGAAAATATTTCTGACAGATTAGCTTGACATGACAGCTACCTGAGTAGACTGCTATAAGGGTATTTGCAACTTAAATACCAGGAGAAGCAAACCAGTACAGTGAACAATTCTTTGCAAATGTACAAATAAAACTCAAGTACAACTTCTTTCTTCTTCTTCTTTTTTTTTTTTTTTTTTTTTTTTTTTTTGGTAGTGATGGGGTCTCACTTAGTTGCCCAGGCTGGTTTTGAATTAGGCTCAAGCTGTCCTCCTCCTTGGCCTCCCAAAGTGCTGAGATTACAAACGTGAGCCACTGCATCTGCCCCAAAGTACAGTTTTCTCTTACTTTATTCAGCAGTTGCTTTTCTGGACATTTAGTACATATTAAAATTATGGACTGGGCACGGTGGCTTACGCCTGTAATCCCAGCACTTTGGGATACCAAGGCGGTTGGATCACTTGAGCCCAGGAGTTGGAGACCAGCCTGGGCAACATGGTAAAACCCTGTCTCTACAAAAAATTTTTTTAAAAATTAGCCGGGCTTGGTGGCACGTGCCTGAAGTCCCAGCTACCTGGGAGGCTGAGGTGGGAGGATTACCTGAGCCCAAGAGGTCAAGGCTGTAGTGAACCGTGATCACACCGCTGCACTCCAGCCTGGGTGACAGAGTGAGACCCTGTCTCAAAAAAAAATAAATAAATAAATAAAATTATGCAGAAGGACTTGGTGCTTATACGTAGAATGTAATTAGGTTCTAGGCTTTGGTAATTATACAGATTTTAAAAATCCAGTTAACTATTCATAAGGAAGTTTGAGAATAAAGACATTTTTTCTTTGTGCTGGACTTGCCTATGCTTTCCTGGCCTCTGCCAATTGAATGTCAGTAACACTTTTTTTTTTTTTCTGCAACTTTTATTTTAAGTCCCGGGGCACATGTGCAGGATGTGCAGGTTTTGTTATGTAGGCAAACCTGTGCCATGGTGGTTGGCTGCACAGATCAACTCATCACCTAGCTATTAAGCCCAGCATCCATTAGATATTCTTCCTGAGGCTCCCTCAACAGGCCCCAGTGTGTGTTGTTCCCCACCATGTGTCCTCCTCATTTAGCCCCTACTTACAAATGAGAACGTGTGATGTGTGGTTTTCTGTTCCTATGTTAGTTTGCTGAGGATAACGGCTTCCAGCTCCATCCACATCCCTGCAAAGTAATCACTCGTCCTTTTTATGGCTGAATGGTATTCCATGGTGTATATGTACCACATTTTCTTTATCTAGTCTCTCACTGATGGGCATTTGGGTTTATTCCATGTCTTTGCTATTGTGAATAGTGAGAAGCACTTCTTAACTGCTGTGACAACCAAAGCACTTCCATAGATGTCCCAACTATCCCCTAGATGATTGTGTTGTCCTCATTAAGAATGACCTCTAGTCATACAGGAAAACATTTTTCTGTTTTATCATTCACTCTTCTTTTTTTTTTCTTGCTTATTATTCACTACTTTAGCACAGCCTTTTAGTCTAAAAGACAAAGATTTACTTGGCCTTTAGACAATTCCTATATGTCTTTAAATTTCTTATTTCCTCACCACTCTTATTATTGATGTTTTCTTTTTCATAAGTGTTAGGACAGTGCCTTGGTACATAGTAGATACTCAATTAGTATTTGTTGAATGAAGGAAACTTAACTGTAGGCTTTTTCTTCTTGCCACTTTCTGCTTTTTGTACCTGTTGAAAATGATGGAGGTACCAGTGTTCATAAAAACCTTGAAAACAGGCTGGGTGCAGTGGCTCATGCCTGTAATCCCAGCACTTTGGGAGGCCGAGGCAGGCAGATCACTCGAGGTCAGGAGTTCAAGACCAACCTGATCAACATGGTGAAACCCCGTCTGTACTAAAAATACAAAATTAGCCAGGTATGGTGGCGCATGCCTGTAATCCCAGCTACTCGGGAGGCTGACGCAGAAGAATTGCTTGAACCTGGAAGGTGGAGATTGCAGTGAGCCAAGATCGCACTACTGCACTCCAGCCTGGGCAACAAGAGTGAAAGTCTTGTCTCCAAAAAAAAAAAAAAAAAAAAATTAGCTGGGTCTGGGTGCAGTGGCACACGCCTATAATCTCAGCACTTTGGGAGGCTGAAGCGGGCAGATCACCTGAGGTTGGGAGTTTGAGACCAGCCAGCATAGTCTGGAATTCAGCCAGTATGTGTGTGACCAGTGGTGGGTGTTGGGGCCTTCCAAACCCTTTCCCCCCAACCTTGACAAAAACATCAGTACTTTCCCCAAAAAGGCCTTCAGAACCCAGGGACCCCGGTTCGGAAAGCTGGACTCTTGGCACTATACCTGGGATACTCCCGGAGACCTGGGTGATAATTGAGCTTCTTTCCTCATATACCTATTTCGAATTCCTGGAAAACTCCGAAGATCAGATCTTGCTTTTTAACTTCTTATGCCTTACAGAGACCAAAACAAGAGCAAAGAAATGGACATTGCACTCCAAGATTTTTTCCCTTCACCATGCCCTGGTTGGCCACCCAAGGAGGCCAGTTCAGGGAAAAACAGTTCCATTCGATTCCATTCGACTTTAGTTAGATGCTAGGATATTACTCCTTTAGCTAATATAAAGCATTGTTTTGCTGTTTGCCTTTGTCTGATACCCATGTTTTCACTCTCATTCTTTTGTTTCCAATAAGCCTGGTACAGATTTGCACCACTCTTTTTGTTGTTATTGTTGTTGTTTGTTTTCTTTTCTTTTTAAATGTTTTACTTCCAGTTTTACTTTAAATTTAGGGGTACATGTGCAGGATGTGCAGGTTTGTTCCATAGGTAAATGTGTGTCATGGTGGTTTGCTGCACGGATCATCCCATCACCCAGGTACTAAGCCCACCATCCATTAGCTCCTCTTTCTGATGCTCTCCCTCTTCCCAGCCCCACCTTCTGGCAGGCTCCAGTGTGTGCTGTCCCCACCCCCATCCTATCTGTCCACATGTTCTCATCATTCAGCTCCCGCTTATAAGTGAGAACATGTGGTATTTGGTTTTCTGATCCTGCATTAGTTTGCTAAGGATAATAAGCACTGCTTTTAATATTTAACCCTTTTCTGTCCATTAAACTGTTAGAGCCAGCATTTCCTTTTCTATCCAATCTGAGAGATTTAGATTCATTACAATTAGCAGTAATTAGTGTTATGTTGGAGATGATGGGCATAGTCTCATTCCCAGCATCTCATTGTATGATTTCTCTGTTTTTGCTTTGTTTTTTAAAGTCTCTTCCTGCCTTTCTTATCTAGACTGGTCTGTCTGGGTGAACTTTCTGTTTTCAAAATTCCATGTCCTTAGCACAGGGCACAGTATGGTGGCTGCTCTGAGCAAGGCCCTTACTGTCTCTCCTTTTCTCTGTTTATCGCATTCCCATTCCCTTGTCCACTTCCAGAAACTCGTTCTGAGATGTTTAGTATATGCTCTTTTATCCCACACTTTCTCTGCGTATTTCAATAAGGGGATGTCTTTGGAAAACATACATTGTTCTTGAACAATGTGTTAACCATAAAATGTGAGTTGGTTCCCCAAACCCATTCCAGCCTCTTTACTCCATTCTGTGTACTAGCTTCTCAATTTTTCTATTCTAACAGTAAAGTTTATGTAAAAATGGGTGAGGGGAAAGAGTCAAGCCAATTTAAAATGAACAAAACACTTGAACAGTGTTTGTTCACAAAAGAGGATTTCTTCATGTCCAAATGTCAAAAGAAAGAATTATCAGCATCGTCACTCATTCAGAAAACACAAATTTAAAATGCCGTGATACACCATTACACGCCCATCAGAATGGGCAACATTTAAGAGACAGGGAAAACCACTAGCTTATAAGAGTGCGGAGCAAATGTATTCCTTGTTGCTGGCAAGAGAATATGATAGTGCAACCATTCTAAAAGAGTGTCTGATAGTTTCTTTCTAATAAAGTTAAAAATATGCCTGCTCCATGACCTGGCCATTCCATTACCAGGTTTATACTCAAGAGAAATGAAGGCACAGGTCCATAAAAAGGCCCATAAACACCTTATTCACAATAGCCAAAAGTAGAAATATTCCAATCTTCCATCAATGGTATTGTATTCATCAATAACATCAAAAAGTTGAGATACATGCCATAAAATGAATGTATCTCAAAACCATTGTTGCATTCAAAAAAGAAACAGAATCAGTATATTCCTTTACGTGAATTTCAAGAAGAAGCAAAAGTAACCCATGGAGATAGAAATCAGAATGTTGATTGCCTAAGTGGGGATGGGGTGAGGACTGACTGGAAAGGGGCTCTGATGACTTTTTGGGCTGGTGAAAATGTCCCGTAACTTGATCTGGGTGATGGTTTCTTACGTCAAAATGCACTGGGCTGTGCACTTCAGATTGGAACACTTTGGTCTGTGTGGATTATACTTCAGTCATTTACTGATAGCAAAAATACATAAACAAATAAATAAATAAAAACAAATAACATTTGGGTGTTGGGGAATGACATTAAGTTTAGATTTTATTGTATTCTTTAGGCTTTACTTAAAATTCCCAGTTGGAGTGCAAACTAGCCTCATGTCCTCTCGCTTGTTTCTGATTCGGCCTTAAAAGGCCCCACGGATGTTTGAAATATCTGAACCAGAAAAACGGTTATGGCCACATCGTGGTAATAGTGGAGGATTCCAATAAGGCTGACTGAGAGGGAGCACCTCACCTTTTGGGTGCTGCACTTGCTCAGAGAGGGGGCAAAAGCCCAGCCTTTCAAGATGACTGGACCCCAGCATGCAAGGTAGGGGTTCCTTCTATTCTCACCACTGCACAGAGCTCCGAAGGCACTGGTAAGTTGTAACCTCTCTAGTCGCAGGTAAAAGCGCAGCCTAGGCAGAGGTTGGAGTCTAAAGGAAAGGAGGAGTGCCACGCCCCAGGAGGGACACTGCCATGACTGGGATTCCACCCTTGGCCGCGATGCAGAGTACTAACCAATATACCATCACAGGAAGCCGCCTGCTTTCTTCTTTAAACTTAATATAGGGCTGCTTCGGCCTAAGGGTCCCCATGATTTTCCTTCTTTCTTGGTGTCTCTCCATTTTTCCTGGCGTTCTCCCCACTCTGCTACAGTAGAAAAGATGATTTTTGTCTCTCAGGGATCCGGTCCTTACCGCTGAACAAAGCTACTGGGAAGTTTCCTCGCCAGGGTCGCCGCCTCTGCCGACTTCCTTGCTCTCCTCCTTGCAGTTACCCGTTGGACCCACCCAGTGCCCCGCTCCCGCCCTAGTGCCCCAGGCACCCACCCAAAAACAGCGCAGCTGAGCCCCCGCAGCTCCATCGCGCAGAAGGTTTACTGGAGGCCTCAGCCCGTTGTCTGCCCCACGGGATGCCAGGAAATCCATCGGAATAAACGCTTTTTAAAAAGAATTTACCGCCGGGCGCGGTGGCTCACGCCTGTAATCCCAGCACTTTGGGAGGCCGAGGCAGGCGGATCACGAGGTCAGGAGATCGAGACCATCCTGGCCAACACGGTGAAACCCCGTATCTACTAAAAAGAAAGAAAGAAAGAAAGAAAGAAAGAAAGAAAGAAAGAGAAAAAAAATTAGCCGGGAGTTGTGGCGGGCGCCTGTAGTCCCAGCTACTGGGGAGGCTGAGCCAGGAAATGGCGTGAACCCCGGAGGCGGAGCTTGCAGTGAGCCGAGTTCGCGCCACTGCACTCCAGCCTGGGCGACAGAGCGAGACCCTGTATCAAAAAAAAAAACAAAAAAAACAAAACAAAACAAAAAAAAAACTTACTTTCCCTTCGCGACCAGCCTGGGCAACACGGTGAAATCCCGTCTCTACAAAAAATACAAAAATTAGCCCATCGTGTGGCGCACGCCTGTAGTCCCAGCTCCTTGGGGCGCTGAGGCAAGAAAATCGCTCGGCCCCAGGAGGTCGAGGCTGCAGTGAGCCGTGTTTGCATCACTGCACTCCAGCCTGGGCTACCAAGTGAGACCCTGTCTCACAAACAGAACAAAACAAAACTTCCCCATGGAAAAACAGTTCATGATTTCTATTTTCAGAGCTCTTCAAAAGACTAAAAACTGAATGCGACGATGGATTAATTCAAGTCCTAGTCGTGCGCTCTGGTGAGTGCCATACCCTGTTTCCCGCGAGGGGACCCACGAGCGACCCTCACCATCATCACTGCCCTGGTGGAGCCCCCGTGCGGGACACAGGATCCGAAGATGGCAGCGGAAGCTCCGCAGCGGCCCCGAAAGCGACTGGGCAGGGTGGGCACAGGCTCCCTCAGTGGGTGAAGGCGGCGCAAAGAACGCGAAGATGCATCCCAGGAGCCCACCGAGCGTTCAGCTTCCCCTGAGCCTCGAGGCGGCGGCTCGGGTCGCGGACGAGGGCGTTTCCTCGGGCTTCTGAAGCAGGCGAGGGGCAGGGCGGGCGAAGGCCATTCGGCTGTCCTTCGTGCTCTAGAATATCCCAACGCGCAGGTGTCCAACACTACAATTCACCGCTCTAATCTCTCCGGTTTTCCAAGGACCTGGAACTTGCACAGTCGTCCTGCCAGGAGGGCCCCTGAAGATTGAGGGGATGGGGAGTTTGCTGAGTGCACCCTTCCTATAGCGCCCAGAAGAAGGCACGGAACGTGTACCTGCAGCGCAATTCGTTAGAGCATTCTGCTGTTAATAGAAAGGTTGGTAGTTCCAGCCGGGGCCCTGGGGCTTTATTTTAACCTGTTTCTGTTGATGGGACAACCAACTCCTGATTGATCACAAGACACACATGTCCCCACTTCCTATCCACCTTAAGTCTGAGGCTTGGCAAGGGCCACCGCGCGTTATACCTATCAAACTCAGGAATCCCATAGACCTTAGAAAGGATCTCACCTGTGGTGTGATAAAAATCTTCCTTGCTCCCATGACTTGGGTCAGTTAGGTGGACATTTTGTGCTTCAAGTTTTTCATGTTTAATAATAGGAGGCCTATTACAGTAGTATCCTATCCCCAGGATGTGCCTGGGTTTACTGATTGCTCTATCAATAATGTGACCAGTGGAATCAGTCATCCTCATGGTGATCATCGCCAGTGTTTGTGAGAACAGCATTTCTTCTTGAGTTTGTGCATGATTTATTTAACCCTTTTCAAAATGTTTTTGAAGTGAGGTGCGTTTCATAGTTTTAGGATTACAAATGATGCTGCAATCACCATCATTCTTGTACACATATCTTCGGTCACTTGTGCAGATATTTCTATAGTGTGGACAACAGGATGTGCTAATTTTACATTATAGAATTTATTTAATGTTTCCAATTTGAGTACATTCTGCAAATTTATCTTTCGTGGGAGCGGTACCAAATCGTATTCCAATTTGTTTCTCAGTTCTGTTAATGTCCCCTTTGTCATTTACTTGCCGGCACAACAAACTTTCTACACATGGATGTATGATATTCCAGCCTTGGTCACCCAGGTTGGCATGCAGTAGTGCAAACATGGCTCACTGCAGCCTCGACCTCCTGGGGCCGAGCGATTTTCTTGCCTCAGCACCCCAAGGAGCTGGGACTACAGGCGTGCGCCATACTATGGGCTAATTTTTGTATTTTTTGTAGAGACGGGATTTCGCCGTGTTGCCCAGGCTGGTCGTGAGGGGAGAGGCACCCTCCTGGCTTAACTGAGGGGTTGTACAACAGAAGGACATGGTGGACATTGCACACAGAAACTCTGTGACATAGGATGAACTGCTAAACTTCTAAGATATTTTAAAGTCCTCCAACATCTGTGATTGTTTTCTGTGATGACTAAGTCACACTGGTCCAGAGAAGATGGGCCACAGCGACCTCTTGGAAAGCTTTCTGTCAAGTCCCTTACACAAGGGGAGCAAAATCACAAAGGTCCCAGGCAATTTTTTTCTTCTCCCCTTTCCTCTTTTCTTCATAAATCTTGGTTTTTCTTTTATTTGCCAAAACCAATCTAATGCCCTTTCTCCCTCCTATACAATGGTAAATTACCATGCAGATAGCTGTCCCTGTATTATTATTTGATAGATTTTTTCAGGGGCTATGTCCATAACAATTAGCACATCTGAGAAACATCACTGGAGCCAACAGAACCCTCCACCCAACGGGCATCTTGTGTAGACCTGAACCCTCAGAGCTATTAGCTCCTGTTTCCTTGCTTCTTTTAATGAATATCATGAATAGAAATTGAGCTCTTTGGCTTTTAATCACTAAGTATGGCTGTAGTACATGTCTCTGTCTCCCTCTATGTCTTCTCTCTCTCTCTCTCTCTCTCACTGTTTCTTTCTCATTTTTGCATTATTATTTTCTGTCATCAGTGGCACCAATGTGGGTTTCTGGTTTTGATGTTATGGAGTGAACTTCTGGGGACAATCTCTGTTAGGTGGTGGTTGACAAGGATCCATTCCCTGATTGGCAGTACATGACAGCTAATCTAGTCTGTGAGTCTTTCTTGATTGTCCATTATCCTAAAGATTCTGGTCTTTCCTGACATTTGAGACTGCAGCAATGAGAAGGTTTTCATATCTTGTCTATCTGATGTTTGGTAAAAGTCTTAGGGACACATTAGCTGTCAATATCTGCAAGAATGGCATCTCTGTAATAAGGATGATCTTAATACACACTATGCCACACCCCATTTCATAGGAACTCTTGGCTCCAGGAAAGTGCTATACCTAAATGGATCTTAGCACAGGAAAGAAACTAAATTCCTAGCATGTGAGGGGAACCTTTCTTTGATTGGCATATTCAAGTTTTTCACAGCTGAAAAGTATCAAATTAATCTCCTCTAAGGATTGTGTAAATTACAGCACAGGAAGGAGAAAAAAGACAATTATAACATCCCAAATAGGCAACTGAGTCAGCAACATGAGCACTTGTGATAATTATACGAATCAAGACCTCATAATTTCCTGGAATTTAAGCAAGTCCAGCCCTTAGTAAAAATGGATGAAAAGCAATGACCTGTAAAAGTTGTCAGAATGAAAAATGGAGTCACGTATGCCAAATCCTAACAAAATTCAATCAGGAGATCATAAAGGAGGGGTGCTCACACACACATGCCTGTGATAAAAACTATTACAAGAACTCTCTGAAAACCATAACTTTGCACAAAGGCCACCACAACCTTACCCAAAGAATCTCTCTGCAATGACATCTGCCCAGCAACTGCCTATTCATCCTTGGACTGATGCCACCCTTGTGATTATTCCTTGTGGCCAAGGATAATTGTTTCAAAACAACTATGTAACCTTCCTCATTTTCGCTGTTAAAGGTTCCCCTTCTCAGCCTGCCTGGTTGTGCCTTTGGGTCCTCATACGATAGTGCGCATATCCTGGATTGAAATCCTCTGTTTATCCCCAAACATTCACTTCTTTGGAGAACCACTCTCTCTTGGTTGTTCTTTTAGGTTGGCAACTTCGTACTCTGGAAAAGAGAATAACCTGCTAGACTCAAAAGTGTATCACAGAATTACTGAGATTTTTGGCAGAGGGGCCCTTCAGGTATCCAAGGGTGCTTAATGATTCCTTTTGTTTCCCTCACTGATAAGCATCCTTGATAGACACCACTGCCTCTGTTTCCACTTTAAATGATATTACTTATGACATTTAGATGCTTTAGAATGCCCAGTATTTTAATGGATTTTTTTCATATATAAATACACAGTATTTTCTCAGGAAACAAAGTAGAATACTTTGTCTTCCTCTGGAGGGTATAGACAAATCGAGTATCTGATCAATATAAAGGAGGTACTGCCCCAATTGTCTTATTATTACTATATGATTATTATTAATTTTCAGAGACGGGGTCTCTATTCCTCACCCAGGCTGGAGTGCAGTGGCATGATCTAGCTCACTGCTGCCTTGAACCCCTGGACTCAAGTGCTCCTCCTGCCCCAGCCTCCTGAGTAGCTGGGACTGCAGGCACATGCCACCATGCCTGCCTAGTGTTTTTATTTTTCATAGTTACGGGGTCTCACTGTGTTGCCCAGGCTAGCCCAATTAGCTTAAGAACAGTAATAACCATGTGTTTAAATTTACAATAAGAAAACTAAGACTTTTTATGAAAAAAACCCCACCTTTTTCTATGTATGCTTTAAATGTGATGTTTCTCTGAGGGAAAAATCCTGCTGCTGAGTTTCCCAAGAGGAAAAACAAGCTGCAGGTCAGCCGAGACAGAGATGGGGTTGAGGTGATCTGTGCCTCTGGTGCCTGCCAGGGGCAGAGGGGAATTCATCTTCAGAGACAGAGAACACGACTCAGTCCTTTCATAATTTTTCACAGAGACCCACCATTCAGTCATAGTATTCTAGGCATATAAAGAAGCAGAGGCAAGAGAAAACAAACTCAAAACAGGAAACAGTAGGTTTTTCACAGATGATGGAGACATCGAGGTTATAAGACAGTACCATTCAAATGATATGATTTAGATGTTCAGAAGAATGGAAGAGACGGTAAAAATTTTCACCAGAAAATAATAACCTATTTTGAAATAAAATGGAAATTATACAAATAAAATACGGTAATGGTAGAAATAACATAGAGATGTAATAAATACTTATAATTGGAAAGAAAATCTATTAAAGTTAGAAATAAAATGCAATAGTTATTATTTTAAAAAGTCAATAGATTGGTGTAATGGCAGTTTGGATCCATGTGAAGATGGATTACTAGCCTGAAGATAAGTAAGCGGAGACTTTCCAGACAAGCGGAGAGAGAGCTAGCAGGAAGGAAAACTAAGAAACAAGTGTGTGTGTATATATATATATATATATATATAAGTTATGTCATAAATGCTTAAAATAAATTGTCACTAATGTCCTGGAAGCTGGAGGAGACAGAAAATGGGACAGAAGCAATACTGAAAAGAAATAGTTGTTACCTATGGACAATTAAGAGAAACAAACCCAACGAGGCATCAAGCCACATGTGCAAGAAGAGCTATGAACTCCAAGCAGCATAAGGACAAACAAACGACACCTAAGCATGTCATCAGGACACTGCTGAACGCCCAAGGCACATGGGAAAACCAGAGCAGCCCCCAGAGGGGGAAATTCCTATTGTGTCCAAAGGTCAGGTGCTAAATTCACAGCAGTGAAAAAGTAAGACATCATAGAGTTCTAAAATACTACCATTTTCAACTGACTGCTGGCTCCTAACCCAAGACTACAGATCTTTCAAGTGAAGGTGAAGTGCAGACCTTTCTGGAGAAGCAGCACATGCTAACTAAGGGAAATGCAAAAATGTGAAATATCCCCGGGGAATGTGGAAAGGGAACGAAGGAACGCAGGGCGATGTGTAGGTTTAATGTGTGGCTCAGTCAAATAGTACGTTTTACTAATCCAATGATCATAATGATGTCCATGTGACTTAAAATATATGGTGCCTTAAAATTAATGAGAGTAACTTGAGAATCACAAGGAGGGTAAATGGAATTAAGATGTTCCAGACTTCTAGCATTGTGTAGGAAGAGTAAAAAGGTCTAATTTACTCCAAACTTTATTATACAGATTTTACGTATGTATATAAGTAAAAAATATATCTCAGGGTTAAACCAATACTAAAACAAGTATTCATTTTGGGATTTCGGCAGTTTAAAAATAATTAACATTATTTTTATATTAAAAATGTAAATGTAAAAAGTGTACCATGAAGCTTAATAAATGTATAGACCCTTGTAAGTATCAACTAGACCAAGCCACATAGAACATTTCCATCAACCCAGGAAGTTTTCCATCAAAGTACCTCAAAGAGGGAGCCACTGTTGAGTCCTGATGCTTCATATAAATGGAATTACACAGGAGTATCAGACAGGTACATTAAGATAAATTTGTTTTAGATGTTCAAAGGATACTTTTATAGGAAACTTTTGCTAAGTATAGTGTTTGGAGGGTTTTACCCATGTTACTGTGTTTTTTCATACTTTTCCTACTTTTTTTTTTTTGCTTGTTTTTGTTTGCTGTGCATGAGGTCATTTTATGACTATATAACAGTAGGTATTAAATTCTTCTGTTGATGAAGACTGTGTTGTACCCAGTTTTTCCTTAGTATAAAAATAAGGTTGCTATGAGCATTTTTTGTAGAAGCCTTATTGGATGTATATGTTCATTTTTCATGGGTAATGAATGAAAGTAAATTTGCTTCCTTATAGGGTAGGCTTAACTCTGCAAGAAACTGCCAAATATTAGAAAAGGTGTTGTGCTAAATTGCAGTCCAACAAACACCGCACAGCAATATCGTACACGCTCTGAATGAGGAAGAAGGAGAGGCGGCAACTTTCAAAATCAGGTTTTCTGTGTTTCCTTCCATTTTCTCGCAAGCCTTTAATGACATTTTTGAAGGTGGCTATGGGGACATCAAGTGTCATCACCAGCCTATTCAAGTCTTGCCACAGAGCCATGGAGATATACCCCAGGGAAGCCCAGCCAAGTGTCAGGCTTATAAACATCAGGCAGGAATAGATACCTACGAAATGAAAAGGGTCAGGTGATCCCTCCCTCTCCTCCCATGTCTGTGCCTCTCTTTGCAGCTGCCTTGTCCCTAAAAATCATCGCTCCACTTATTTTGTCGAAGATAAAGCCAGACATTAGTTAAAGCAGAGAAAACAGATTTTATTCAGTAACTACTGATAGTAGAGAACGGGGCTGAGCTGTGTTCCCATTTGTACAGAGGTGATGGCATTATAGGGGGAGAGGGAGGTAGGGGAGAGGGCAGGGGGCAGGGCACAAGTGAAACATTGTGAATGTCTGCCTCATCAGGCCAGCTGTGTCTGCTAGCTGACAATATTAGAAGATAGGATTCTAACCTCCCACAGAGACTGGAAGACAGAGGCTCAGTCCTTCCTGAGAACTACAGCTCAAAGGAATGGCTTTCAGATCCTAGGGAAAGACACACTGGAGTCCCTAGGAGATACAAACACATCTCAAAGGGATGGAGGAAGGATTCCCTTCTTAGTAAGTGCTATACAAAAGGGAGATCCTGAACCTACCATCATCAGCAGGTATTGGCTGGAACTAAAGTAAGTTCCTCTGGCAGCCTTGAGCTTTCTGGGGTAGGCATTGTCATGGGAGCCTACAGTCACCCTCCGGACAAAGCCTTATGTCCCAGAAGCCATGATAGATCTCTTAGCCCAGAGATTTAAACTGAGTCATTGTGTGCTGAGTTTGGTGTTTCTCACTTTCCATCCCCCCATTCCATGGCTTAGATTTTAGTCCACTCTGTCAGATGTACAAGGCCACGGGCCATTTTCAGTGGCTTTCAGGCAGCCCAGGCATATCTATTGAGACCTGAATGAAAATTTAAAAAAATTAAAAAACCCCATGAGATTGAGAGTGGGCCCCACAATAGGTATCCATTACCCATATTCAAGGAGATGGACATGAATATTTCTAGGCTTTATCAAAATGGAAAGTGGCTTATGGAGTCAGGATGAAATTCAAACTTACATTAGCACTGCATATAGCTTATTGATATATTTTTATATCAAAGCCATGACAAAATGACAATCCACAAGTGCAAAGGTATGTAGGGGTTGGGGAGAGACTCCATAAGGTCAAAATTAACCTCACTCTATTTATTTATTTTTATTTTTAATTTTTTTGAAATGGAGTTTCACTCTTGTTGCCCAGGCTGGAGTGCAATGGCGGGATCTTGGCTCACTGCAATCTCCACCTCCCGGGTTCACATGATTCTCCTGCCTCAGCCTCCCGAGTAGCTGGGATTACAGGCATGCGCAACCATGCCCGACTAATTTTTTGTATTTTTAGTAGAAATGGGGTTTCACCATGTTAGCCAGGCTGGTCTCAAACTCCTGAGCTCAGATGATCTGCCCGCCTCAGCCTCCGAAAGTGCTAGGATTACAGGGGTGAGCCACTGTGCCCGGGCAACCTTACTTTCAATGAAACTGTTACATGTTGCTTCTGTAAGAGAAAGGAAGACAATGTTGGGCTGGAATACATTAATTGTCATGGGATAAACAGGCAGGACATGATGCTACATTTGTTAGTCACTTTTATTGAGAGTATTTGTGAAGATGAATTTTTCTGTCAGTTTGAACGGGCCATGGGGTGCCCAGATATTTGGTTAAACATTATTTCTCACTGTGTCTCTGAGAGTGTTTCTGGATGAGATTGACATTTGAATCGGTAAACTGAGTAAAGCAGATTGCCCTCCCCAGTGTGAGTGGGCCTCATCCAACCCACAGAAGGCTTGAATAGAATGAAAGGCTAAGAAAGAAGTCTCTGCTCCACTGTCTTTGAGCTGGGACATCAGTCTTCTGCCTTGGGCCTTGGACTTGGTAGAGAACTATATTCCACTCTCCTGGGTCTAGAGCTTACTCAGTGTAGACCTTGGACTTCTCTGCTTCCATAATCACATTAGCCAATGTAAATCTCTGTGTGTGTGTGTGTGTGTATGTGTGTGTGTATGTCTGTGTGTATCCTGCTCGTTTTCTTTTTCTGGAGAACTCAGACTAATGTAGTAATATATACCACTTGCCAGTCTTTGTCTCTATGCTTTTAAAAGGTGTGTAATAAATAAATAAAACCCTGGAGGTTTCTCAAAGAAGAACAGCAAAGGAAATGAATTCTGACAGGTTTTGCACTGAGGACATTCAGGTGTGAGGAAAACATGAAAACCACTATGCTAGGGAAAGCAAATGCTGTTGAGAATGTCTCACAAACACAACTTACACGTCAGTAGGTAGGTTTGACCCTCAGAGTGGGCACATTTTACTCTAAGTGCACTTTCGGTGAAACTTAAGATGAATCTAGGACTCTCACGATGGACATATTTCTCTCTGTGTGTATACATATATCTATAGAGAGAGAGTGTGTGTATATATTATATATATATAATATATATACACAGAGAGAATGTGTATATATATATTTTTTAATATATATATATATACACACACATATATATATATACACACACAGAGAGAGAGAGAGAGAGAGAGAGAGTCTTACTATCTAATCCAGGCTGGTCTCCAACTCTGGGCCTCAATCGATCATCCCGCCTCCCCCTCTCAAAGTGCTCAGATTACAGGCGTGAGCCACCTCATCCAGCCCATTTTCATATTTTTAATTTAGTTCAACCATTGTGCAAGACACTGTGGCGATTTCTCAAGGATCTAGAATCAGAAACACCATTTGACCCAGCAATCCCATCACTGGGTATATACCCAAAAGATTATAAATCATTGTACTATAGAGACACATGCACACGTATGTTTATTGCAGCACTATTCACAGTAGCAAAGACGTGGAACCAACCCAAATGCCCATCAATGATAGACTGGATAAAGAAAATGTGGCACATATACAGCATGGAATACTCTGCAGCCATAAAAAAGAAGGAGTTCATGTCCTTCACAGGGACATAGATGAAGCTGGAAACCATCATTCTCAGCAAACTAACACAGGAACAGAAAACCAAACACCGCATGTTCTCACTCATAAGTGGAAGTTGAAAAATGAGAACACATGGACACATGGAGGGGAACATCACACACTGGGGCCTATAGGGGGGTGGGGGGCAAAGGGAGGGATAGCATTAGGAGGAATACCTAATGTAGATGGTGGGTTGATGGGTGCAGCAAACCACCATGGCACATGTGTACCTATGTAACAAACCTGGACGTTCTGCACATGTATCTCAGGACTTAAAGTATAACAATTTTTTTTAAATTTAAGTACACATTCCAAAAATTATATAACAAGTACAGGAAGCCTCCTTTATGCCAGTTTTACAAAAACAGAAAAGATGATATATCAATGACAAGGCATCAAAGTGGCAACATAAAGTAGTGAGAGAGAGAAAAAAAGTTATTTTGGAATTCTATGCCACAATGAAAAATCTCTAAAAAATGTGACTGAAATAAGGACATTTAAAGACATACACATGCGCAGTGGCTCACACATGTATCCCAGCACTTTGGGAAGCCGAGGCGGGCGGATCACTTGAGGTCGGGGAGTTGGAGACCAGCCTGGCCAACATGGCAAAACTTCGTCTCTACTAAAAATACAAAAATTAGCCAGGTGAGGTGGCACATGCCTGTAATCCCAGCTACTCAGGAGGCTGAGGCATGAGAATCACTTTTACCCAGGAGGTGGAGGTTGCAGTGAGCCCAGATCATGCCACTGTACTCCAGCCTGGGTGACAGAGTGAGACTCCATCTTAAAAAAATACAAATAAAAATAAAGACATACAAATAAATGAAAGCATTCACCGACCCACACTACAAGAAATGTTGAAGGAGTCCTCCAGGCCTAAGGATAAGGATACCAGACAGAAATCTGAACCTACACAAATAAATGGAGACGACTGGAAATCGCTATGTATGTACTTAGATGTTGGGGTTTATAACATGTCTAAAATCAAATGACATGGCAACACTAGCATAAAGGCCAGAAGGGAAGGTATAATGTCACTTGAGGGCAGACTGATAAAGATATATTCTAGAAACCTTAAAGCTATCACTGACATAACAAAAGAAAGAATTATAGCTAATAAGCCAAAAAAGGAAAGAAAATGGAATGATATAAAAAAACATGTAATCACTATGCTGGAGCAGCTGCTCTCCAGGCCTCTATCCTATAGAAATACACCAGTGGCCAATGAGAAGTGTACAAGAATGATGACTGCAGCATTGTTTGTAATCATAAAGTAATAGAACCAACGTAATTTCTTTCTTTCTTTCTTTCTTTCTTTCTTTTTTTTTTTTTTTTTTTTTTTTTTTTTGAGACAGAGTCTCCCTTTGTCGCCCAGGCTGGAGTGCAGTGGCGCGATCTCGGCTCACTGCAAGCTCTGCCTCCCAGGTTCACGCCATTCTCCTGCCTCAGCCTCCCGAGTAGCTCGGACTACGGGCGCCCGCCACTACGCCCGGCTAATTTTTTGTATTTTTCAGTAGAGACGGGGTTTCACTGTGTTAGCCAGGATAGTCTCGATCTCCTGACCTCGTGATCCGCCCGCCTCGGCCTCCCAGAGTGCTGGGATTACAGGCGTGAGCCACCGCGCTCGGCCAAACCAACGTAATTTCAAAGATACATGAAAAGGTTTTATTTATTAAACAAACACAACAATTTAACAAACAAACAATGGAAGCAAGTCCTTATGCCAAAAGGAACACAGAGGGTCATGATGATGCTACTCCTCCAAGGATGTCAGGGTTCCCAGACGCCTAGTTTTCGGTCTAATTTTTCTGGAAGATCTTATTCTTGGGGAGTTACAGATTCTCACGTTTGGGGCTCTTTCAGGTTCTATCTCCGTTTTCCCCTCAATTCCTCCCCATTCTGCTACAATAAAAAAACAATTCTCACCTCCGGAAGATCCCGCCTCTGCCTCCGCACGAGCCTTTCAGGTCTAGATGTCTGGTCCACCGCTCTCCGGCTTCTTTCCCCGCTTTTGCTTTTCCCTTCCCCCGCTCCCGCCCTCCAGCCCCACGACCCGACCACTGTCCAGCTGAGCCCCCGCGGCTCCACTGCGCAGAAGGTGCACTGGAAGCCCTGCCCGTTGCCCTCCCCGCGGGGTGCCGAGAAATCAATCTGAATAAACGTTTCGTAAAAAGAACTTCCCCCATGGAAAAATCTCTCATGATTTCCATTCTCAAGGCTCTTCAAAGGACTAAAAGATAAAGGCGACGACGGATTCATTCAACAAGTCCTAGTCGTGCGCCCTGGTGAGTGCCAGACCCTGCTCCCCGCGAGGGGATCCACGAGCGACCCTCACCACGATCCCTGCCCTGGTGGAGCCCCGGTGCCGAACGCAGGATCCGAAGAAGGCAGCGGAAGCTCCGCAGCGCCCCGAATGCGACTGAGCAGGGAGGGCACAGGCTCCCTCACTGGGTGAAGGCTGTGCAAAGAACGGGAAGAGCCATCCCGGGAGCCCACCAGGCGTTCAGCTTCCCTTGAGCCCCCTGGCTGCTCGAACCCGGGTCGCAGACCGGGGCGTTTCCAGGGGCTTCTGAAGCAGGCGAGGGGCAGGGCGGGCGAAGGCCATTCGGCTGTCCTTCTGGCTCCAGAATCTCCTAACGCGCAGGTGTCCAACGTGACCAGCGCGATTCACCGCTCTAATCGCTCCGGTTTTCCAAGGCCTTGCTCAGTCATCCTGCCGGACGAGCCCTGAAGCTGGAAGGCACAGGGGAAATTTGTTGAAGGCGCCCTTCCCATAGCGCACAGTAAAAGCAGTAGTTCTTGTCTCTGTGGCGCAATCGGTTAGCGCGTTCGGCTGTTAACTGAAAGGTTGGTGGTTCGAGCCCACCCGGGGACGCTTGCTCTAGCTTTTAAAGCGTTCGTGTATTATCAATCACTAGAGAATCTCCCCCGTTCGTGTATTATCGATCACTAGAGAATCTTCCCTTTTTCTTCCCATAGTCCTAAGTCCTATAGGTTCCAGGCCAGCCAGGGATGCTTACTGCAGGGAAGGTTTTATCTTCTCAGGATTCTAGGCACAGTTAACAGAGATCCCTGTCAAGGGCCATTCCCCACACTCCCCACACCCTCGCCTCACAGATCCGATTCAGACAGAGAATCTCCTGAAATGTCATGCTGTCTTGTGCCTGTGTACAAGAAACAGAGACCAAATGAGTCACTTCTGGTGCCGACAAAATCCTCATGCTGCCCCTTATAGGCTTGGATGGGTTATATGCCAACCTTAATTTTTTCATTGTTAATAGGAGGCCTAGAGAGATATCCTATCCCCAGGATGGGCCTGGATTTACTGGTTGCTCTATCAATAATATGGATAGAAAGTGGAATCATTCATCATCATAATGATCCTCTTCATCATTTTTGAAAACAGCATTTTTTTATCAGTCAGTTTGTGCATGATTTATTTAACCGTTTTCAAAATGTGTTTGAAATAAGGTTGGCTTCATGGTTTTAGGATTTCAGAGAATCCTGAAATCGTCATTCTTGTACACATATCTTTGGCCACTGATAGTTCTATAGTAGCGTAGAGAACTGGATGTGCCACTGCTATATTACAGGCTTTTTAATTTTAATTTTTAGTTTTTGTGACAGGGTCTCATTCTGTCTCTAAGGCTGGAGTGCAGTGGCCTGATTGCGTCTCACTGTAGCCTCAACTTCTCAGGCTCAAGCGATCCTCCCATCTCTCAGCCTTCCAAGTAGCTGAGACTGCAGGAGTGGGCCATCATGCCCTGCTAATTTTTATTTGTTTTGTAGAGAAGGGGTTTCACCATGTTGCACAGGCTGGTCTCCAAACTCCTGGGCTCAAGCAGCTCCGCGGCCTTGCAAAGTGCCAGGATTTACAGGCATGAGCAACTGCAATGGGTCTTATGTAATGCCTCTAACTTCAGCACTTTTAGCAAATTTATCTTCTGCGGGAGAGGTATCAAATCATATTCCAATTTATTTCTCAACTCTAATACTGTCCCTTTCTTCATTTACTTGCTGGCACAACAAACTTTCTCCCCCTTCCCCTGCTTTTTTTAGACTAGGTCTCACTCTGTCACCCAGGATGGAAGGCAGTGGCGTGATCTCAGCTCACTGCAGCCTCCACCCCCTGGGCTCTAGTTATCCTCCCACCTCAGCCTCCAGAGTAGCTGGATCTGCAGACATGCACCACCGCATTCAGCTATTTTTTTTTTTTTTTTTTGTAGAGATAGGGCCTTGCTATGTTGCCCAGGTTGGTCTCCAACTCCTGGGCTCAAGAGATCTATGTGCCTCAGCCTCCCACAGTGCTGGGATTTCAGGCGTGAGCCACTGTGCTAGCCATGAGCCCATGATATTCTAATAAGGGGACAGGTGCCTTCCTGGCTTAACTAAGGGGATGATACAACAGAAGGACATGGTGGACATGACACATAGATATTCTGCTGCATAGGATGGACAGCTAAACTTCTAAGACATTTTATTTTATTTTATTTTTTGAGACAAGGTCTTTCTCTGTTGCCCAGGCTGCAGTGCAGTGGCACAATCATAGTTCACTGTAGCCTGAACCTCCTGGGCTCCAGTGATCCTCCCACCTTAGCCTTCCAAGTAGCTGGGACTGCAGGTATGCACCATCATACTTGGCTATTAAGAAAAATAATAATTCTGTAGAGATGTGGTCTCACTAAATTGCCCAGGCTGGTCTCCAACTGCTGAGCTCAAGTGATCCTCCTGCTTCAGCCTCCCAAAGAGCTGTGCTGAGATTACAGGCATGAGCCACCATGGTTGGCCCTGTTTCTTTTTAAAATTTAATTAATTTATTTTGAGTCAATATTTTATTTTCTCTGGAAAGATAAAGGGAACAAGTTTTTTCCAGAAACACACATATGGTATGGGCCCAGTGATACCCTGATCCACCCCTTAGGCTTCAATTACCCATTTTAAAGTAGTTCATAAGCTGACTCGTTGGAATTCAGACAAAATGATAGCATGGGGAAAGCAGTGTATTGAAAATCATCGCCTACCATTGTGCAAAAGGTTTATTCTTGCTGTACTTTCTGTTCTGTCCCAAACATAATCCTGGAAAACCCCTTCATGTGTCACAGGGACATTGCATCTTTAGGACCTTTTGAGACATGGCAGTTAGACTTTATCCAGCTGTCTCCATCTCAGGGTCACAGATACTTTCTGGTGCTAATTTATATGTGCTGTCGCTGGAGTGAAACATTTCTGTGCCAATGAGCCACAGCCCAAGCAGCTGGTAGACTGTGATTAGAGAAAATCATTCCTCATGGGGAGTGCCATCTGATCTCCATAGCAACTGAGGAACACACCTTATCAGTCAGATAGTTGGATCCATTTGTAACGTTTGACCTATGTCCCAACATTTCCATTGTGCCTATCACCCCTAATCCTCTGGACTAGTGCAACTTAATAATGATAAGATAAAAACTCAATTGGCAAAGCTAACAGAAGTTTTTAACCTTCTCTGGCCAAAGATCCCCCACTGTTTCTGGAAAACTTTCACTCCCTCCCTTTGAAATTAGAACAGGAAGACCCATGCAGTGGTTAGATGAAGGGGCTTATGAACCTGCACTGCACTTCTTAAAGGTAACATTCTCCATTATTTCTAAGGTCTCACAAAACTTCTTATGAAGAGCTCCAAATTAATAAAGGATGCCTTTCATAATGAGCTGATGGGAGATGAAAATATCAAAAACTATGCCTATAAACTGGAGATGTCGCTTACTGGAAACAACATCAAATAAAATACTCCCTCCAAGTCCACTGGAGGGCACCACGTAGGTATTATTAATATTAATTTATTTTTTTGAGATGGGGTCTCACTCTGTTGCCCAGGCCGGAATGCAGTGGCGTAATTATGACTCAATGTAGCCTTTATCTCCTGGGGTCAAGCCATCTTCCTGCCTCAGTCTCCCAAATAGCTGGGACCAGAGGTGTGGGCCACTGCACCTGGCTCACATCAGGTATTATTGCCTCATCTCTGTGGCAGTAAATATAAGGGCATTGACACACAGATTCATGTTTCTCATATCTAAAAGGCAACCCTACCAGAGTGGACATCTGTCAGTGGAGGTTTTCACTTAAAGGTGACCTGCCATCTTCCTGACGAAGATGGCAAGTAGCTGACATCTGTTGTAGCCCACTTCCACCCAAGATACTGGCCTGTATAACCAGCTGTTCACAATTCCAGTGCTCACTGCACCTGGAAGAGTTAGTCTCTTTTTCTCTTGACTGGAATACATACACCATCAGGGCTCCTTTAAGTTGTAGGGGTCGTATCCTATTGGTTTTGGTAAAATCACCCTATATGTATATTCTCTAAAGATATGACACACTAGTCCTATTGCACGTACATGTATATACATATACATACATACATAGCAAAATGCCTATGATCAGATTTCTGTTTTACTGTCCTTAATTAATTTGATTACATCAGGGAGGGATAATTCTCTGATCAGAATCTCACAAACCATTGCCACTGTGGGAAATGTGACAAGGTGCTGGGTTTGCCACCTTAAACCACCAACCACTTTTGACCATAATGACCCATTGGTACATCCTGTGCCAAATTTCACCTGTATTCCTCCTGATTGAACTCACGATGCAACTCGGGGTTACATCAAGCAAAACCTGTTTATCGAACCTGTCTGACTCATCCTAACCTTCCTGCCGTACGTCTCAGTTTAACCCATCATAATTGTACTGTCAAAATAACTGCCTGTAATCCCAGCACTTTGGGATATCGAGGCAGGAGGATCACTTGAGCCCTGGAGTTTGAGACTATCTTCCTGGGCAAAATGGTGAAACAATTTCTACAAAATATACAAAAATATACAGTTGGGTGCATGGTGGCACCCAACTGTAGTCCCAGCTACTCAGGAGTATGAGTTGAGAGGATGACTTGAGCCCAGGAGTTCGAGCCTGCAGTGAATCCAGATGACACCACTGCACTCCAGACTGGGCAAAAGAGTGAGACCCTGTCTCAGAAAGTAAATAAATAAGCTGGGCGTGGTGGTGTGTGCCTAACTCCAGCACTTGGGAAGCTGAGGTAGGATGATTCATTGAGCCCTGAAGGTCAAGAGGTCAAGACTGTACTGGGCTGTCATGTTGCCACAGCATTCCAGCCTGGGCAACAGTGAGACCCCGGTTGCAAAAAAAACCAAAGATCAGAAAGAAAACCAACAAAAAATTGTTGTCTCACTCTGAAATGACAGTGGTAAACACCATGATGCTATTGGAAAGTTAAGAGAAAAACACTCCCTCCTGCTATCAGGATCCAACCTGCCCTCTTGCTCTAACATGTCTGACCCATGCATGGTTTAAATGCCGAAAGCTGATGTACCCAAATTATACTACACTTACCTGTTGTGCACCAGCATTTATTTGGTCTGTGGAGGAGATCACCATCCATGGCCCTTAAATGTCTAAAGACATGGAATGATGAAGTGCAATGTCTTTTAGGATATTTGGTCATGCCTATATATATATATATAGCTCTGAAGAAACCCAACATTGGATGAGTGGGGAGGCCGAGGCGGGTGGATCACCTGAGGTCAGGGGTGCAAGACCAGCCTGGCCAACACTGTGAAACCCCGTCTCTACTAAAAATACAAAAATTAGCTGGGTATGGTGGTGTTCACATGTATTCCCAGCTACTCAGGAGGCTGAGGTAGGAGAATCACTTGAACCTGCGAGGCAGAGGTTGCAGTGAGCCAAGATCATGCCACTGCACTTCAGCCTAGGAGACAGAGCGAGACTCCATCTCAAAAAAAAAAAAAAAGAATTGGATGAGCGTCCTCAAACTTTTCACTAGGCATGCCCACCACTCTATTTTATTAATAGATGGAGATCCTATTGGGAGAAAACTTGCTAATTACCTGCCTGACCATTAAGAAAGTAGCTCCATACATTTTTGGGGGAGCACGCTTTTGCTTTGATGGGATGTTGTTTCCCGTGGTTCGAAATCCTTCTTTAACCTTAGGTAACATTGCTGATAAAAACCGGGCATGGGAGCTCTGGCCTATAATCCCAGTGACTCAGAGGCTGAGGTGGAAGGATCACTTAAACCCAGGAGTTCCAGGCTGCAGTGACCTATGATGGCGACAGTGCACTCCAGCCTGGGCGACAGAGCCACTCCTTCTCTCTGAAAGAAAAATAAAGAGTCCAGGCTTGGGGGCCTATGCTTGTAATTCCAGCACTTTGAGAGGCTCAGCTGGGAGGATTGCTTGAGCTCAGGAATTTGTGACCATTCTGAGCAAGATAGCGAGACCCTGTCTTTCAACAAACAAACAAAACAATCAAACAAACAAAAACAAAATTAGCCAGGCATAGTGGTGCATGTCTGTAGTCCCAGCTACTCGGGAGGCTGAGGTGGGAGGATTGCTTGAGCGAGGGAGGTTGAGGCTGCAGTGAGCTGAGACTGCACCACTGCACTCTAGCCTGGGCAACACAGCAAGACTGTGTCTTAAAAAAAAAAAAAAGAAGAAAGACAAAAGAAAGAAAGAAAGAAAGAAAGAAATATTGCTGATGAAACTGTAGCCTCTTTCACAGCTCAACAAAAAGCTATTTATTCACTGGCTAAGATTGTACTAGATAATTGCATTACTTTAGATGATATATATTTTCAAAGACAATATTATTCTTATTTAAAAATGGTTAGAACCTGGGCACGGTGGCTCATGCCTGTAATCCCAGCACTTTGGGAGGCCGAGGCAGGTGGGTCACCTGAGTTCAGGAGTTCGAGATCAGCCTGGCCAACATGGTGAATCCCCATCTCTACTAAAAATACAAAAATTAGCTGCACACAGTGGCGTGTGCCTGTAGTCCCAGCAACTTGGGAGGCTGTGGCAGGAGAATCACTTGAACCCAGGAGGCAGAGGTTGCAGAGAGCCGAGATTGTGCCACTGCACTCCAGCCTGGGAGACAGAGAGTCTGTCTCAAAAAACAAAACAAAACAAAAACAATGGGTAGATACAGCAGCACTTACAAGAGTTCATAAAAGGAATTGTACATTGTCAAGTGATAGTGTGGAGAGAGCAGCCCCCTGCCCACCTGGTTGTGATCTCTGCATAACGCTTGCCCACAACCACCTTCTCCACTTAGTACAACGCAGCCCAGAACACCAAGGGGAGAGCCCCAGCAACAGCAGCCTCCGCAGCCCGCTTTAGATGATAGATTTAGCTGAGCAGGGAGGTGGATGTGTGGTGTTTACAACCTCTTGTTGCATATACAAAAATAAATACTCCCATGACATAGAACCTCATCTAGAAAAAATTAGAAGTCATTTGGCTACAAGAAATCATGAAAGAAGAACTGGGATGTCATGTTTTCCCTGATGTTTTTTCGTTGGCTCCCTAATGGAATAGGTTCCCTTACTGTTCTGGCATACGGATTCTCTTTGTGATTCTCATTCTTGTGTGAATTATATCTGTGCTATTCAAATTATTAATGTTATATATTTCCTGTTTTACTTCTGAGAAAACTGATTTTATGGTATCTGAAGACGAGAGATGATTAAACAAGTGACAGCTGTAGATTTAACTGAAGTCTCTCTCTCTTCTTTTCTTTTCTTCTTTTTTTTTTTCTACTCTGTGACGTACTTTCAATTGGGCTTTGGGGCGCTCTTAAAAATTCCTCAGTGAGGCAGCTCCTTTCCTCCCCTGCCCTCACCGTGGGAAAGACTATCCGGGAATGAGTGTTCCTGGCAAAGAGGGACACCTTGGCTGAGCTTTTGATCATCAATGCTTTAAAGAAGAAAGATTTTTAAAAGAATTTTTATCTGAGGAATGTGAGCCACTTCACATGATCAGAGAGACATTAAATCAAGACAGCAACCACTTTCTGCTTCCTTCCTTTTGAGCTATGTATTCATCTGTTGAAACTGCTTGCTATCACCCCAGGTAGCTGTAAATTAATCTAATAATGCCACACCAAACACTGTATCCCACACCCTATAACAAGGGATAGCCAAGCTCTCATCAATGCTATTTCTGAAAACCAATGAGAATTCCTGACAGGCACCTTTCTGTCAGCCCATTGTGCATCCCCCCTTTTGACCTTTAAAAACCTGCTTGTGACAAAGGCCAAAGGGAGCTCAGATCCAAGGTTCTTTTGGTGTGAGTCTTCCAGGCAGCTGTCTTCATGTTGGCTCAAGTAAACTCTAGATTCTATTTTGTGCTTCAGCCTCTTTCTTTTAGGTCAACATGTTCAGCAACAGTAGAATAAATAAATAAATTGGCCTATATTCATACAAAGGAATACACACAGAAACAAATAACCACATGAATAACATGAAAAATTCATAGATGTAAGACTGAGTGAAAGAAGTCAAACCTATGCCTCTGCTCCTGAGACCGACTTTGCAAAAATTATAACTGGGAGAATTATCACAGCGAAAGAGATCTGACCTAACTGCTTCTGTCTTGCTTCCAGCATCCAAGCTGTCCTTGTTCATTCCTGGGCACAGGCCAAAATAACTTTGAGAGGAACTTAGTTTATGGTTTAGCTGTGAAACAAAGATGATAACAGCCCTTTCCCAAAACAAATCCCCTTCCTGCCTGGGGAGTAGACTGCCTTTTCAGGACTAACAAATTAGCCACAAGATTAGAAATGATGGTTTAGGATCATGCAGCCTCCAACTTATGAGATTCTAAACCTCCCTGAATTGTGCCTGGGGATCACATCACTATTGTAAAACCTAAGACCAGTGCGTGAGGTATTTTGTAGCCCTGCACTTGATGCATCAGCTGGCACCACCCAGATGGATAAACCAGCTCATCTGATCTTGTGGCCCCCACCCAGGAACTGACCCAGCTCAAGAGGATGCTTTAGCTCCCTTTGAGTTCATCTCCGACCTGACCAATCAGAACTCCCAACTCACTGGCCCCCAGCCACCAAATTATCCTTAAAAATTCGGGTCCCAGAATACTCAGGAAGACTGATTTGGGTAATAATAAAACTGGTCTCTCACACAGCTGGCTCTGGGTAAATAACTTTCTTTATTGCAATTCCCCTGTCTTGATAAATTGGTTCTGTCTAGGCAGCAGGCAACATGAACCCATTGGGCAGTTATATTCCCCCAAAACCCACTATACACTTTATGATTCAGTTTATATGAAAGCAAAGGACAGGAAAAACTTGCCTGATAGATTTGGAGTCTGTGGAGTATTGTCAGAGTTTGGTGTTGTATTCTACAGATTAAAAGTAATCTGTTAAGCACCTCAAATAAAGTTTCCCCCAAATATATATATATTTTTTCCAAATTTGGACCACTTTGTTTCTGTCTTTGCAGAACATAAAGTGCTAACATGAGGTAAGTGCTAAGGTCTGGAGAAGGCCGTGGAAGAGATGACAAACTCCAGCATCATGCCTGAGTGTCCAGTGTGCTCTGCTGGGGCAGCATATTTGTACATTGCTGTATTTGAAAGAACCCTACAAGATTCCTGAAATTGGACCACCGTCCTTATAACACTACTAGTGGTAAAACAAGTAAGGATGGCTGGTTTGCAGTCATCTGAGCAGCCTCTCTAGTTTCATAGATATGGTTTCTCTGATATCGAACGGCTTCCAATTTCAAGTAGAATGCTACATCACAAGGATAATGATGTGAAGTGAACCAGTTTCTTGTGTAATCCTCCATGTTTTAGTCTGCGCATTACAAGCCATTATTTGAAGAAGGGTGGACAGGCTCCAGATTTCTGCCAAAGAGGTCCTCGGCAACACAGGCTAAGAACTGGCTTCTGGGCAGTCGTGATGGCTCACGCCTGTAATCTCAGCACTTTGGGAGGCCGAGGTCGGCGGATTACCTGAGGTCAGGAGTTCGAGATCAGCCTGGCCAACATGGTGAAACCCCGTCTCTACTAAAAACACAAAAATTAGCCGGGCTTGGTGGCGTGTGCCTGTAATCCCAGCTATGTGGAAGCCTGAGGCAGGAGAATCGCTTCAACCCGAGAGGCGGAGGTTGCAGGGAGCCGAGATCATGCGACTGCACTCCAGCCTGGGCGACAGAGCGAGACGGCGCAAAACAAAAAACAAACAAAAAACTACAACAGAAACACCCGCTTCTTTGGGGAAGACCATGGGCGGGGAAGAGAGGGAAAGGAGGCAGAGGCAGACATCACTGCCCCCGCAGGCTCTGGCACCATGTTGGTCGGCTGAGTGGCGGAGGGTGGGGCAGAAAAGCAGACCGGGACGAGGAAGGCGCTGTCGGTGACATCACGGATAGGGCGACTTCTATGTAGATGAGGCAGCGCAGGGGCTGCTGCTTCGCCACTGGCTGTTTCACCACGAAGGAGCTCCCGTGCCGTGGGAGCGGGTTCAGGACCGCTGGTCGGACCTGAGGGTCCCAGCTGTGTGTCAGGGCTAGGAAGGCTCGGGGGTGCGCGGGGCAAGTGACCATGTGTGTAAAGGGTGAGGTATATGGGGCTGTGACAGGGCAGAAGTGTGTGAAGTCATACTTACCTGGCAGGGGAGATACCATGATCACGAAGGTGGTTTTCCCTGGGCGAGGCTTATCCATTGCACTCCGGATGTGCTGACCCCTGCGATTTCCCCAAATGTGGGAAACTTGACTGCATAATTTGTGGTAGTGGGGGACTGCGTTCGCGCTTTCCCCTGAATTTTTGTAATGAAAAAATAGACGGCAAGGGTTATTCTTAAAACTGCAGTTTTGTAGCTTGGGTGGCATGTTAAGTGTTCTCCTTACAGTCGCAACGATGGGAAACAGAAAGTAACGTGTTATCCTCTCCGCCGCCGTGAGCTCTTTTAACACTAGCTAAGTGGCCGCAGGGCTCTTCTCTTTCCTTTCCACTTGGGGCTGCTTTTTGCAGATCGCTTCATAGTCTCCAGTCTTTTGGGTTCTCATGCTCTGTGAAAACCTTCGTGTTTTTTCATAGCCCCCAGAGTCACCCTTCACACAGCCTCTGCTTCTAACCGCAGCCTCCGCAGGAGTTTGTAGGATGTCTGTGCTAGCGGGGAATGTGTTCTCACCTCCTAGAGCCAGGGAAGAAACTACGCAGTCGGGTGCTGTTCTTTGGGATGAAAGCAGGGTCCCCGTTCGGTTGTTAACATAACACGCTTGCTTTCTGTAGGGGAAGGGAGGTCTCTCCCGGCGCCCAGGTGCCCTTGCTCATGTTCACCGAGGCCTGCAGGTCAGAACCGCAGTCTCACCTGTCGCCAGAATGTGCTGCGATCTACCCCAACTACCCGAACTACCCAGCAATAAAATAGGACACATTACGGAAACATGAAATAGCGTGGATCATCTCAAAAACATTATGCCGAGTGATGAAAAGAGTGCACCCTGTGTGGCGGCATCAAGGTGAATTTCTACAACAGTTAAAACTAACCTGTATAGTGACAGAAACTACATCATTGACTGCTGGCCTCAGGGGGAGGGCGGAACTGACTGCAAAGGGCACAAGAGGACCTTTTAGAGTAATAGACACGTCATCAAACTTGAAATGGATGCATTGTACCAAAGTCAACTCACACCTTAATCAACCTGATTGTAAAAAGGAATAAGAAAACCACTCCAAATCTTAATGTCTTCTACTTAATTTAGTGTACGTTTATCCTTAGAAGATTCCTTTAGAAAAATATCTCTCTAACTGTAATCGGGAGTTGAGGAATTCCTTCGTTTCTGTTTCTGTCTCTTTGTCTGCAGTTAAGTTCATGCACTATTAAATGGAATGTTTGTAAAATAAAAATAGAGTCTCAGCTAAATTTTATAAAGGCATACATATATGCGTCTTTATTATTTTATTATTTTTTCAGGTATATATATCCTTCTTTATTATTTTTTCTTCCTTTTTCTTTTAGGGACAGTCTAGCTAAAATATACATTCTTCTCCCTGTAGATGTACCACAAGACTGTAACTCCAGGGTTGCCCAAATGTTATGAGAAGTTATTTTTGAACGTAAGGTTTTCAAAAATTTTACATATGTTTACATCTTCTCTACTGTTAGTATGGTCTATGCTTAGCATGTGTAGTTTAACAATGATTTGGAAGAAAAATATGTAGGTATGTTAACAGTAGTTAATTCCAGGAGGTGGGAATATGGATGACTGGTTATCTTCCGCTTTATGAATTTTTTATATTTTTAAATGGAAAATTCTCAATGACCTGGAAGTTAAAGAACAGATTAGATATGGAAGGGGTGTAGGGTAGGTGAGAGGAAAATGTAAAGGGAAGGACAAACCCAGTTCTGGCAGGACCATGTTTAAGTTGAAGGTTTCTGGGGAGAAGTTGTTGGGATAAGAAGGATACGAAGGAGGCAGGAGAATCATGAAAATATTTAGGACAGTGTATTTATTGCCTGTCTTATCATTCCTCCTCCTTTTGTGTTTCTTCCAAAGAAATACACAGACTTATATTTCTTTTCAAGCATGCTTACCATTTGTGTTTCTCTTTTATTAATGTAACTGCCTGGTAGGTTTATCTTGCCCATTGCCCAGGTAAGCCAATGGAGCTGAGAACAGCAGGCTTTCTAAAATAGAGAAAGAATTTAATAAATGCAGAAGCAGCTGAGGGACCACGACAGGGGTTTATTATTACTCAAATCTGCCTCCCCCAAAATTCAAAGACTAGGGTTTTTTTTTTCTTTTTTCTTTTTCTTTTTTTTTTGGATAGTTTGGCAGGCAAGGGGCTAGGGAATGTGCAAAGCTGATTGGTTGGGTTGGGGATGAAATCACAGTGTCAGAGCTTGTTCACTGCACTGAGTCAGTCCCTGAGTGGGGGCCACAGGACCAGATGAGCCAGTTTACCGGTCTGGGTGTGCCAGCTAGTCCATCATAAGGCAGGGTCTGAAAAATACCTTGAACACCAATCTTAGGTTTGACACCAATAATCTTATATACAGGCACAGTTGGGGAGCTTAGGAATCATGTGGCTTCTGGCTGCATGGCTCCTGAGCAATAATTTCCAATCTCGCACCTAATTTGTTAGCTTTGCTAAGGAGGTCTGATCCCCAAGATAGGAAGGAGTTTGTCTCAGGAAGACATCTTTGTTTCAGACTTAGACTTGGAACTAAACTTCTCTCATAGTTAGCCTGGCCTATGCCCAGGAGTGGACAAAGGCAGCTCAGAGGTTAGAAGTAAGATGCAGTCAGTTAGGTCAGATTTCTTTCACAGTCATAGTTTTCCTATGTCAGGTTTTTCTCACTGTCATAATTTTTGCAACGGTGGTTTTGTTAGGAGCAGTATAAATGCAGTGGTTCTGAGAATGTCTTCTGGAGACAGGCTGCCTTCACTTCAAATTCCTGCTTTCAAATCCTCCTTTGCTGGCTGAGTGACCCTGGACAGGTCACTTAACGTCTTTGTGCATCTCACATGGAAGATGAAGGTGATAGTGTGACCTCGGCCTGAGGTAAGGACTGAATGAGTAAACACATGCACATAATCAACTGTGCCTGACATGTGGCACTTTGTGTTGCAGACACAGCTGATGATGTGCATGTGTTACTCATGTGCATGTTAGCTCTTGTATTTTGCCTGCAACACTGCACAAAGAGCAGATGTGACGAAAACCAGTTGTATTGAAGTTACAGCAGTGATACTTTCCAGTGGCCGTGCACCCTCCCAGGGAGACTGCAGCAATCTTCTCACCAGCAGTAACCTCCTGGGCTGGGAGATCCCAGGAAGGCCCCTCAATCTCCAGCAGGTTTGACCCTCAAGGAGCTTCGGGGAATGAACTAGAGAAGTATTTCTATCTGGGAGGAACTGGGAGTTTATTAGCTCATGTGTTCAGCTCATCCAAAGGGGAATAATGATTCAATTTCTTGCTTCAAATCTGCCCCAGTAAAATTCTTATAGTTTTGCCCAGGTGCAGTGGCTCATGCCTGTAATCCCAGCACTTTGGGAGGCCGAGGCGGGCGGATCACCTGAGGTCAGGAGTTCGAGACCAGCCCGGCCAACAAGGTGAAACCCCATCTCTACTAAAAATACAAAAAGTAGCCGGACGTGGTGGCAGGCACCTGTAATCCCAGCTACTTGGGAGGCTGAGGCCGGAAAATGGCTTGAACCCGGGAGGCGGAGGTTGCAGTGAGCTGATATCGTGCCATTGCACTCCAGCCTGGACAACAGAGTGAGACCCTGTCAAAAAAAAAAAAAAACATATAGCTTTACAGTGGAAGACATTTGTACATGTCGGGGAGGAAATATGACTTTTTCTCACCCAGCCTAGGTTCGCTGCTGAGACCCTCACAGCAAAACACAGACTAACAAGAGAAGAGCATACAGATTTATTTAATGTAAATTTTACATGACAGGAACGCCTTCCAAAGGAAATGAAGGCCCATGGAAACAGCTAAACCTCAGTTTTTGTTTTTGTTTTTTTAACAGTAGGTTTATTCAAGAATGAATAGTCATGGAGAAGTATGATAAGTCAATAAAAGTATGATCTAACAGTAACAAAGTGGGGGAAAGGTAGCCAGGCCTCTGCGTTCAGGCTCTTCTCTGTGTCCCTGTGTCTTCAGAATCAAGGATGCACCTTTCCTCTGGGTACAGAGAGGGCACCTCTCACATAAGAGTCTTATACTGGACTTCAGGGAGGAAGGGCAGGGGGAGGGTGACAGTGACCTTCCTGCTTCTGTGGTTTACTCATATTCCTTTAGCATAAAATATTCAATACCCCAAGATGTTATACTTTGGAGTAGCATGTCCTGAATCCCATCATGCACATGCAGCAAAACCCAGAATCTTTGAAGAGTGATGACTACAAAATATTTAAATTCAAAATACAAATGATGGCCAAGTGGGGTGGCTCATGCCTGTAATCCCAGCAGGGAGGTGTAGGGAGGCCCAGGCAGGCGGATCACTTGAGTTCTGGAGTTCGAGAGCTGCCTGGCCAATATGGCGAAACCCCATCTCTACTAAAAATACAAAAATGAGCCCAGCACGTGGTGCACACCTGTTGTCCCAGCTACTTTCAGGGGGTGGGGAACGGGCGGGCTGGCGATCAACTGAAACAATATCATATTTAAGAATGATTCTTTTTTCCTATAGGGCTAGTCAAGTGAAGCAGTGGAAGTGGAGAAGGAACAAAGAAACCTGTAACTGGTTGTGATCAAATATTTGTGAACAGGAATGAATTTTTATGCACTATACACTGTTATCAAAGTTACATATGCTGCAAAGCTGGTGGTGAACAGCAGTGCCCTGGTCCCTTCCTACACTTATCTGTAGGGATAACAATTTTTAATGCACGCAACCCACCTCTACATAAATATTGTTACTCTTTGACTGTCCAATTTTCCATCCCAGGTCCTGCAGTTCTGCCTGCAAGGGGAAACGGAGTTTGTGTTTCCTTACCTGCCAGTCCACTCCAAGGAGCCAAGAAGGCGTCAACCCCCCTCAACCCCGGCTCGTCCTCCAAACTGAGCCCCTCAAAGACTGCGGTATTTTTCAGTCCTTTGTAACCGCTCTCAGCCCCAAAATATGAAAATGAGAGCGATGGTCCTGAGCGCCTGGAGTGACATCTTAGTTCGCTCCCAAGACCCATCAGGAACCTCATCCCAAGTGCTCTGAAGAGCAGGAGAAAACATTTTTAACTAAGGCGTCTTCTCCTTGGGGCAGGGTCCTGACGGGAGAAGGGGGAGCCCCATCTTCAGAGACTCGCCCCTCAGAGCTGCTCAGGTTCCTCTTCCCCGTGGCCCTGAGGGAGCTCGGCCGGGGCGACCCAGGATCAGAACCCGCGCTCCCAGCCCGCGCGCTTGAAGACGCCGCCGCGCGGAACTCTCTTTCTGGCTGAGATCTTGGGACGAAAGAATGAGATTTCCCGGAGTCAGGTTCCAAAGCTTAGTGAAACAGCGACTTTTAGGGCCCGCAATAGAGACGCAGGAGCTAGAAATTCGGCATAAAAATCTGAATATGAAGAACAGAGCAAATTAACATTCGGAATAGGATGGGCCATCTGAATAAAGCAGTGCTACTGCCAAGTTAGGTCTGGAACCATCGATCCTAAACTGAGACACACTCTCCAATGACTGAGCTAACCCCATCAGAATTTCTCACGCCACCGTTTACTTACCAAAAAGACAATGGGTGCCATTAGGAGATTCCCGAGTGAAAGGAATCTCGGGGTGTAGGATAGAGGGGCAGCAGCCTTTTTAGTGGAGGAGACCTGTCAGCCCGAGGCCCAGGGTCGCTCTGAGAGGGGGTGGGGACTTCCTGGGTCGCTGGGTCCCTGGCGGGGGTGTCCGGGCCTCCGATTGCTGGGTGCCAGGAGGCTCGCCCAGGAAGGGGACCCTGCAGGCTCGCTGATCCCGACTGGATGACTCGGCAATTTCCCTGTGGTCCGGGCCACTGCGAGAACCCGGTTTCTGGGACCCCGAACACCGAAGAGGGAGACGAAGAGGGGACGAGGAGCGCGGGGTACATCGCGAGGCTCAGACAGCGGGAGCAGAAGGGACACGGAGGCCCACAGCGCAGAGTTTCTGAACGTCAGCGGAATCCCCATTCCATTTAGGGAGTAAAACACAACATTGCCGTCCTAATTAAACAGAAAGGTTCCACCGAGACTCGAACTCGGATCGCTGGATTCAGAGTCCAGAGTGCTCACCATTACACCATGGAACCTCATCGTGCAAGTTTGCCGGAAGCGTCTGAATTCCCAATAAGTAGCAATAGTTCCCACTCAACCATGTCAAGGCATTTCTATTATCCCACAAGCAACACTCGAGGAAGGTGGACCTGCAGGAAGGAGCCATCCTTCTTACTTTCTCTCTGCCCTCTCCTTTGATCGACTTCCATCATTTCATTTGCACCTCGGAAAATGAGGCAAAATCCACTGTGAGTTTAGGGCCAGAGAAGAGCCCTTGAAGCCTCGGTCATAGAGTTTCCTGTGCCACAGTGAAATTTCTTTCTTCCTTTCTTTCTCTCTCTCTTTCTTTGTCTCTCTTGTTTCTTTCTTTTTCTTTCTTTCTTTCTTGTCTTTCTTTCCTTCTTTTTTCTTTCTCTTTCTTTCCTTTCTTTCTTTCCCTTTCTCTTTCTTTCTTTCATTTTCTTCCTCCCTCCCTCCCTCCTTCCCTTCTTCCCTCCTTCCTTCTTTCCTTCCTTCCTTCCTCTCTCTCCCTCCCTTCCTCCCTCCCTTCCTCCCTCACTTTCTTTCTTTCTTTCTTTTCTTTCTTTCTTTCTTTCTTTCTTTCTCTCTCTTTCTTTCATTGAGACAGAGTCTCCTTCTGTTGCTCAGGCTGGAGTGCAGTGCAGTGGCAGTGGGCGATCTCCCCTCACTGCAACCTCTGTCTGCTGGGTTCAAGTGATTGTAATCCGCAGTAGCTGGGATTACAAGCGTGGGCCACCATGCCTGGTTAAATTTTGTATATTTAGTGGAGATGAGGTTTTGCCAGGTTGGCCAGGCTGGTCTTGAACTCTTGACTTTCAGTGATTTGCCCACCTTGGGCTCCCAAAGTGCTGGGATTACAGGCGTGAGCCACTGCGCCCAGACCGGAGATGAAATTTCTGCAAAATTTCTGTTATTTTCTTTATGCTTTCCCTGTTTTCTGTTTGCCCAAGGAGGCCAGATGATTATCAAAACAGGACGTGGGACTTCCTGGGCACCTTGCCCCCTTCCTCCCTTAGTATATAACAGAAGACAGCAATCAAGTGAGATTGGGAAGCAGGGAATCCCTTATTTTTTTATTCATATTCTTCTATGTTTGTTTGTTTGGTTGGTTTTAAAAAAATTTTCTCACCAGAAATGGAGATATGTTGGATTTAAAATAAATGCGATCAGCCATATTTTATATTTCTATAAAACACTGAAACCAGGCCATACTCACCTGCTATGACTCAAAATCAACCATATACTGTCGAGGTCAGGAGGCAGGGCCCTGACATTTAAGCACAGTGTGTTTTCTCAGAATTGGCCAAGTTGATGCCATTCCAATTTCTCAATATCTCATGACCCATTAATTGCAGTGTTTAAAAGTGTACATGCATCGTTACTGAAAGCCCAGGAGTTCCGTCTAGGCCCTGCTGCTCAGCTCACAGAAAGCCAATCATTGAGACATTGAGTATTGCCGAGGAAGAAGGCTTTAATTGGGTGCTGCAGCTGAGGAGATGGGAGATCAGTCTCAAATCAATCTCCCTGATCAACTAAAACGAGGGGTTTATACAGCAGGGAAGAAACGTAACTGTGTGTGGGAAAAGAGGAACTAGGGAAGGGTGAGGAAGCACTCATGATGAGTGAAGGGACTGGCAAGTCATTGTCTGGATGCTGTGATCTGCTGAGTTTCAGGTCTATGATGCTTTTTGAGAGGCTGAGGGTCCTTTCCTGAGGAAGGAACTCAGATAAAACAAATGTAAGTTTCAAGCTTTAAGACCAGAAGGGTCCATTTTTAAGTCTATCCAAAAACACTGTATGTGGGACTATTGGGTCGATTTCAGTCCCCACTTTCTATTTGTCAGTTCCTCAATCATGGGGAATCTGGTCATGCATCTTTCTGGCTTTGTCATGAGGAGAAGGGGCATCCTGAGCAGCTCCACACCATGGGTGACCGCATGGCCACCCAGGAATCAAACATTCATCTAATACTGTAGTTTCTCCTGAAACACAATCTTCCTCTGTCCAGTTCCCCATTTCCACTAAAGACAAAACACAGCAGGACCAACCTACCTGCAAAAGAAGCTTCAGTCCCATATACTTGGCCTGATTACCCACACAAAGTGCAGCAAGAATCCTTGTCCATATAGGCTCTCCTAAATGGGCTTTGCTGGAACATTTCACAACACCATTTCAGGCAAAGCCCTGAGAAGATTACCAGTTCCTCCACCTGTGTCCTGTTATAAAAGAAAACAGAATCTTATTGAACTTATGCAAACAAACACATCATCATGAGTTAAGAATATTCAGTTTACAAATTCTGGAGAAATTCGGCAGAGAGAGAAAAATATGCCTCAAATTCTGTTTAGAAGACTATTCTACTCAATTGTTGCAGGCTATAAATAGCTCAAAATGACAAAAGTTCTCCAGGCTTTGAAGAATAAACAATGTTTTAAACAAACAAACAAAGACCATAAAAACTTACTTCAGTCCTCCATTAGTTCAGTCCATACAATCAGCTCCTGCTCTGCTTCATAGTGGGCTAGCAATCTTTATGAACATATCAGCCTTTCTATTAGTGCCCTGGGTGAAATTTTCTTTTTACTTCAATGGCACAATCTCCAAAGTTATCAGAAACCTGCATCCAAGAGTCCTTTTCGTGGACTTCCCCAAAGAAGCAAGGCCTGGACTGTAACTGATTATAAGTCACTTTTTGAGAAGAATCAAAGCAAAACAACAATTGTGGATAACAAAAGCCTTAAGACAGCCATGGTTATAGACACAGTTGACAAGGGAATTCTGTTGCTTCTGTGGCACACACAATTTAACATAATAATCATAATTATTACTGACAGCATAGCAGAACTCTAGGAATCTCATACTATCCTGGAACACACATTAACAACACATCTGTGTCAATAGAACCCAAAGGAAGTGAAACACCACCTCAGATTTGACAATGCTTCTTGCAGAATTCTACATAACAAATAAGCCTAAGAAGCCTAATATATCTCTCTTGGACTTCAAGAACCTAATATCCAAAAAGTTAATTTGAGGCCCAAAAGGCTCAATATGAAAATTTTACTCTTAGAAAGTTAGCCAAAGTTTTGAGAGACTTGATATCACAAAATAGAATCACAGGTCACCTTAAAATAGTCAATCATTTAGGCAAAAGGTAAACAAAAATATTTTATTTTATTAATATTAATAATTTTTATTTTTTAAAATAAAATTTAAAATAAATTTTTAAAAAATTTTTCAAAATAATTAATAATTTTTATTAATATTACACAAACATTTTGATCAAGAGAAAACCAAATTTTGCCTTTGTGTGATGTATTAAAATGTTAAAGCTAATTTTAATGAAACCTTATACACAAATTTAATTATAATCAGTTCAACCATAAGGTAAGAGTTTCAAAAACCTTTCATGACCTTTTATACTTTTCTATGAAAAAGCAGATGAATGCTCAAGAAAACCCTGTTATTCTGACACACGGGCCCAGTTGCTGGCCTTGCATCAGTGTGTTTCTGAGTGTAAAGTCTAATTTATAGAAAAATCTCTGAATTTGAGAGGCCAGGGTGGGTGGATCACTTGAACTTAGGAGTTTGAGTCTAGCCTGGGCAATATGGTGAAACATTGTGTCTACCAAAAAAAAAAAAAAAAAAAAAAAAAGAGAAAGAGAGGAAGGAAGGAAGGAAAAGAAAAGAAAAGAGAAGAGGGAAAGAAAAGAAAGTCTCTGAACTAAACTTATCTCTCAGACTCCAGCCTTAAAATTCTCATGTGCCCACCTCTTCTGTCCAGAGGAAGAGGGGGCATGAGGTGGAAAAGGGTGCATGTGGGATTGTTGGGCCTAGAGGGATGGAATGGTTTCAATTTCTGGTTCTGTGTCTCATGGAAGCAGTTCATTTTGATTGTCATCTTCCCCAGGGTCTGAAGACGAGGCATTCATTGGCATCAGTATTCAAGATTTAGCAGAAGTATGTGCCTTTTTCAGACCCAGGAGTCTAAGCCCTGTAAGCTAATAGCACAAGGATTAGTTCACAGGACATTTGTACTGCAGAAAGTTCTATTTCTCTCTCTCATGTCACTGTGATCTGCTGTCCAGTAGTTACTGCCTGCAGCACTTCAAACCATTGTATTAAAGTGGTTAGGATATTCCTTGCATGTAACTAGTTGCCAGCATTCTA
The DNA here is from genome assembly GCF_000001405.40 of Homo sapiens. Taxonomy (NCBI): domain Eukaryota; kingdom Metazoa; phylum Chordata; class Mammalia; order Primates; family Hominidae; genus Homo; species Homo sapiens. The sequence goes on along the minus strand of NC_000001.11, from coordinate 145,455,501 downwards.
ATGACAGAACTGTGATCGAAAGCATCAAAAATGTGACAGAACCTATGCCAAACTTTTCAAAGTAAGACAATTAAATTTTCTCTCCATCATTTAACAAAATGCTAAATGCAAATATCACTTTTAGAAATTCAGTATGAGGATAAATAATCTCCTTTTATTTAAATACTATACAACAAAACAAGAACAAAGTGAGAGTAAACACACTGTCATTTCTTTTCAGCTATTTTATTTATTTATTTTGAGACAGAATCTCCCTCTGTCACCCAGGTTGGGGTACAGTGGCAGGATCTCAGCTCACTGCAGCCTCCACCTTCGAGTCCAAGGTTCAATGGATTCTCTTGCTCAGCCTCCCGAGTAGCTGGAATTACAGGTGGGCACCACCATGCCCAGCTGATTTTTGTGTTTTTAGTAAAGACAGGGTCTCACCATGTTGAACTCCTGGCCTTCAGTGATCTGCCCACCTCGGCCTCTCAAAGTGTGGAATTATAGGAATGAGCCACAACACCCAGCCTTCTTTTCAGCTATTTTAAAAGAGCATAATCACATATTTCCAAGATTCGTTTCTAGATACAGTACTGATTACTGATTAGGTCACTTCCACCATTAAAATCTTCAAACCAGTGCAACAATTGTACATGTTTTGTTTTCAAGTACACACATGAAGACCCAACAGTGATACAAGGCTTGGGATCAAAAATCACTAGAAATTCTCACAACCTGTTTGTATTACCACTTCTTCCAAGTGAATGTCACTTAATTTTAATAATGGTAAACACAACTTAAGGAGGTTGAGAGAAATCCAATCAATATAATATCTGTAAGGACAAGGCCGAGTCGGGTGAGGCGGCGGCGGCTGCGGCGGTGGGGCCGGGCGAGGTCTGCTGCGGTCCCGGCGGCTCCGTGGCTGCTCCGCTCTGAGCGTCTGGCGCGCCCCGCGCCCTCCCTGCCGGGGCCGCTGGGCCGGGGATGCACGCGGGGCCCGGGAGCCATGGTCCGCTTCGGGGACGAGCTGGGCGGCCGCTATGGGGGCCCCGGCGGCGGAGAGCGGGCCCGGGGCGGCGGGGCCGGCGGGGCGGGGGTCCCGGGTCCCGGGGGGCTGCAGCCCGGCCAGCGGGTCCTCTACAAGCAATCGATCGCGCAGCGCGCGCGGACCATGGCGCTGTACAACCCCATCCCGGTCAAGCAGAACTGCTTCACCGTCAACCGCTCGCTCTTCGTCTTCAGCGAGGACAACGTCGTCCGCAAATACGCGAAGCGCATCACCGAGTGGCCTCCATTCGAGTATATGATCCTGGCCACCATCATCGCCAACTGCATCGTGCTGGCCCTGGAGCAGCACCTCCCTGATGGGGACAAAACGCCCATGTCCGAGCGGCTGGACGACACGGAGCCCTATTTCATCGGGATCTTTTGCTTCGAGGCAGGGATCAAAATCATCGCTCTGGGCTTTGTCTTCCACAAGGGCTCTTACCTGCGGAACGGCTGGAAGGTCATGGACTTCGTGGTCGTCCTCACAGGGTAGGCAAGCTGAGGCCAGGAGGCCCAGCGTGTGCGGCCCGGGCGTGTGCTCTCTGAAGCTCAGTTGCGCCGTGGAGCTGGGGCAGCTGCAGTCCCTTCACTGGGGTCCCCTCACAGCCCTGCTGGAGATGAACGAATGTGAGACAGTCTGTTTGCCACCCTGTGTGCTATGGGGGTGCTTCTCCCAGAGGTGCCAGTGCTGTATTTCTCGCTGACGGAAGGATCACAGTGACCTGTCCCCAGGAGGCGCTGGCTTGCAGAGCGCACAGGCCAGGGGCCACCAGCTTCCATGGCTGGCCTGAGCCAGCATGGTGCCTGTTGGAGGTGGCTTTGCTGCCCAGGTGAGGGGCTTCCTAGCGAGGAGGAGGGCTGGACTTCTGGCCTCACCCAAGCCTGTGGTCTGGGAGGGGCACTTGGCGGTTTGAATTCTGTGCCTGCCTGAGACGCTCACCTGTGGTGTCCACCTCGCTCAGAGCCCTTGTGCTGCCTGGGATGAGGCTGTGTGTGTCGAGTGCTTTCACAGTTCCTGTGCCAGGAAGGTGCTTCGGCAGTTTCTCCTCAACCACTTACCCTAACAACAGCTTGTGATTGCCAAAGTAACCAGCACATCTAGAAGATGGACCCAAGGGGCCTGGATGGGAGCTCAGGTCCAGTGCTCTGCACCCCACCCTCCAGGGTGTTAACTCCCCAACCTGTGCAGTGGGCACTGTGAGGTCCCCTTTCCTGCTTCCCTGACTGGCAGGCGGAAGGCTGGGCTGGGCTGCTGTGGCTCTGGTGTGGAGAGTGGTGGCTGGGGAGTGAGTGCTTGGGGAGTTGCCCCCACAGAGCCTGTTAGCGCTTCAGTGTCAGAGGCCCTGTGCTGGGCCAGAGACCACTGTCTGCTCTTTTCTGAGCCTTATGGTTCCGAGGCTCAGAGCCCAGATGGAAGAGGAGGGAGCAGGCCCCACAGCAGGCGAGAGCTCTCCTTCCAGAGCCCCATCCTCACCCAGTGACTGCCCCAAGATGCCTGGTGCACAGGAGGGTATATGGAGGGGTGTTTGGGCTGGTGGCAGAGGAGGAAGGAGATGGCTGTGGAGTCCTCGAGTCTGGGGCTCATGCCTTCAAGGTTCTGTGTGTGTGAGGAAGAAGCAGTCGGCTACATGGCCTCTGGTCTCTTGGGTGAGGCCCTCAGAGGGAGCCTCGCATTGCCTGCCTGGATCCCGGGGTGCTGCCCCCATCTGCTCTGCCTGCTCCTGAGCCTGGGGCTGGCCCCTGCTGGATGAGAGCAGCATGTACAGAACTGGGCTTGGGGGTGTCGCATGGAAGGCTCAGCCCCCAGAGCTGTCTGGGCTTGGGAGTGTCACACGGAAGGCTCAGCCCCCAGAGCTGTCTGTGATGTGCTGGGCACAGCAGCATTGAGGTGGATTCTGTGCCTTTCTGCAGCACGGCCCTGGGGTAGAATTTATGGAAGGCCCTGTGGGGGTCTGTGGCTCCACGGCCCTGGGGTAGAATTTATGGAAGGCCCTGTGGGGGTCTGTGGTTCCGCTAGCAATGCCCGTTGGGGGCTGGGGTGGGAGGTGGCTGGTGGAGAGTGTGGCCTCTCAGAGGACTGGGCGCTCCCACATCCAGTGGGCACTCCCAGAAGCAGCCCAGGAGTCATGGTAGCTGTTTACCCCTCTCTCTCCCTGTGGACCCAAGTCCCTGAGGACAACGGTGCCTTATTTTTTTCAGGAGGTCCCTAGAGCCTCACTTGGAGTGGGCACCCAGGAGGGGCAGTGTGCCTCTGCTGAAGTAATGAATTGTTGGGGTGTAAGCAGTGCTGGGGGGTGCGGGCCAGCGGGCAGCTGGGTAGAGGCGGCAGGACCCGGCCTCATGGGGCGCTGTCCATGGTGCTGAGTGTGTCGGCCCTTGAGGGCCAGGAGAGGAGGCAGGAGGAGTTGTACCAAGCCCTGGGCAGGACCCCTGGATCTCCCAGCACACATAGACTGGGTCCAGGGCTGCTCCTCCTTCCCCTCCCCTTCTTCCCCCTCCCCCTCCTCTTCCCGCCTCCCTCTTCTGTTTCTCTTCATCTCTCTCCCTCTCCCTCCTCTCCCATCTTTCCCCCTCCCCCTCCCTCCTCCTCCCACTTTGCCTGTCTAGCCCTTTGTCTCCTCTCCACGCTCTCTGTCTCTGGCCCTCTTGGTGTCTTGGTGTCTCTCTGCCTCTCCCTCTTTTCTTCTGCCCCTCTTTCCCTTGGCTTGGGCACGTCTCTGCTCGCCTGTGTCTGCAGCAGGGCCTGGGCGTTGCTGGGGTGGCTCCCAGGTTCCTCTGCCTCCACACGTCTTCCCTCCAGGCAGCCTGGGTTGTGCAGGGAACCCCGGGTTGGAGGTGATCTGTGTCCCACGGGGCCACATGCTGGCTCCAAGTCACAGGAGGGAGCCGCTTTGCTGCTCTCGTGTGGGGCACCTGGGGACACGTGAACCCCTGTGTGCGTATCTGTGTGTGGAGGGGGCTGGGTCTGCTGTGGGGCGAGTGCTGGTCCATGGGGAGCCCAGGGAGGAACCCTCACCTCACCCTTGTGAGCCAAGGGCCTGTGGGTAGTGGGCGGTATTTCTCATTAGTTTGTTGTTTTTAATTAGAGTTGATTTAATTGGTGCTCAGAGGGTTGGAGGGAGAGGCAGACACCCTGGCCTGTTGCTTGGCAAAGCCTTGAGCACCCTCAGAGGCCAGCTGGGGCCGCTCTGCTCCTGAGGCTGGTGTGGAGCTATGGAGGAGGCCCTGGGTCCATGCCTCCTGCTGCCTGGAGAGGCTCTGAGCCTCCGTGTTCTCACCTGGGAGGGAAGGCGGGCGCTCTGTCCCCTTGTCTCCGCTTTGCTTCTCTCCCAGGACTTTGGGGCACCCTTTGTTAGCCTGCGTGAGTGCGTCTGGGCTGTGGGGGGGCTGTAGTCGGCTGTAATGCTGCCGAGCTCCTGCTGCCCTGGGGAGCAGCTGTGGGGCCTGGGCTGGGGTACTGTGAGGATCATCAGAGTGTGCTTCTGAGAAACCCTAGGCCTGTGAGGGCTGCTGGCAGCTTCCTGCTCTTGTGTGTGCCCAGGGCCTCCAGGCCCTCAGTTCCCAGCCATGCTCTTGACTGGGTCAGCCCATGTGTGGCCACCTGGAGCTCCTCTGACTCGCTTGGGCCGGGGTGAGGTCACAGTGGCTGGGTCCCTGCCACAGGACTCTGCCTCCTTTCCAGGAGGGCTCCTGGCGCCTGGCCGTCTCCTGTGGTCGTCTGAGTGGATCATTTGCCAAGAGAGATTCTGGGCCCAGGAGTGAGGCTTCCCTTCCCCGCTTCCAATAACACCGTGCTACCAGGGTGGGGTCGGGGCTGAGCCGGCTCCCCACACAGAGTGGGCCTGGGGTGAGGACAGGGGTCCGGTTGTGTCTGACATGGGGGCCTCCAGCAGTTCACTCCAGCAAGAGCCCCACTGAGTGCTAGGGCGCAGCTCTTAAGGACCTCAGGCCACGGGGAGGAGGTGGGAGGAGGCGGGAAGGCCGCCACTTCCCTGCCTCCGTCTGCCTTCCCGTCCATGCCCCATCCACCATCCTGCCCTCTGCTCAGCTCTCTGGCCCTGTGTCTGTCCAGCCAGGTGGGCAGCCCTGCTGCCAGCCCTCCCTCCACCTGTTCATCATTCATTCATTCAGTGTTCATGGAGCCTCTGCCAGGTGCTGAGGACTCAGGAGTGAAGGAAGACAGCTGAACCTCTGCCCGGTGGCCCATGTTCTGGGGACAAGACACCTCCCGGGCCTGGTCTCTTTGCAGCCTGGTGTGGTGCACAGCGGCATAGGCGTGCCCCAGAGAGCAGTCGGCGGGTGGACGGATGACCAGAGAGCAGTCGGCGGGTGGACGGATGAGTGGATGGTGATGAGTTGCGGCATGGGCGTGCCCCAGAGAGCAGTCGGCGGGTGGACGGATGAGTGGATGGTGATGAGTTGCGGGCTTTTTTTCCCCACATGTGAAATGAGATAAAGCATGCAGGTTGCAGGCCTGGAGGTGCCACTTTGCATAGGGTCTTCAGAGGAAGGACTGGAGAGCGTGAGGGGTGAGCCATCTAGCAGCCTGGGAAGAGGTATGGCTGGAGGTGGTGATTCGAGGGACATGGGTGTCCCAGTCATCTTCAGAGCTTGAGACCACCCAGGATCCCCAGGGAATGGGAAGTGTGGAGGAAGAGCTGCCCTGTGATGGAGACCAGGGCACCTGGACTTACAAGTGGCAGCTGGCGGTGAGGTTGGCGGAGCAGCGGAGGTGTGCCTGGCGTAGACGGTGTTCTGGGAAGGAAGAGCATGCAGAGGCCTCTGCAGAGGCCACGAGAGGACCCAAGGCTGTGCACTGCGCCCCGTGGGTCTGAGGCAGGAGCTGGTCCAGCCATGTGGTGGGGGTGAGGGCTTGCTGGGAATGGGAGGAGAGGGGTTGTGGTGGGCACCTGTAGGCAATGCTTGTCTTTTAGAGAGTTTTGCAGCAAAGTGAGGCAGAGTGACAGGGGCAGGGGCAGGAGGGAGATGGAGGCCAGGAGAGTTTTATGAAGTTGGGGGTTTACAGCCCGTCCATGCCACGTGCATAGTCCAGGAGGGAAGGACAAGTGGACAGTGTGGACAGAAAGGGGACAGCCCTGGAGCCGTGAGGGAAGCAGAGTCCAGGACCTCCGGGAGTGCGGGCCTGTGCATCTGCATAGACCAGCAGATGCAGGAAGGGTGGCGTGGAAGTCCTCTAACTGTGTCCAAGTTTCCACTGAATTTGGAAGCACGTCCATCAGCCAAGGTGGGGTGCGAAGTGAGACAGAGGGAGAGGGAGCGAGTGAGTGAGTGCGTGGACTAGAAGCCCCTCCATCCGCTGCCCCAGCCTCTCACTCCCCCTGCCCCACCCTCCATCCACCCCTTCTTTGTCCCCTTGTCATCCATTCACTCATTCCTTAGGAAGGGGCTCGTCGAGCGCAGCTACTACCTCCTCGTCCCTGTTCCAGTTGCTGGGGACACAGTAGTGCACAACACAGGCCGTTCCTGCCCTCTCAGAGGCTGCGTCCTCCTGGGCGAGGCAGGCAGTGAGTGTTGCAGGGCAGTCGGGGTGTAGTGTGTCCTTCCACTGGGGTGGGGTGGCCCCTGGGGAGCAGCTCCAGCAGGGGAGAGGCTGGGAGGGTGGTGGGGGCAGGGGGGCCTTGGCTCGGGCGTTGGAGGGCTCTGAGCACAGGTGTGGCCCAATTGACTCGTGATGGGTGCTGGGGGCACAGTGTAGACGGTAGGGAAGGAGAGTGGGAGCCGGAAGCAGTGATCCAGGTGGGAGTGGTGAGGGTTTGTACCAGGGAGTGGCGCTGGAGAACGTGGCAGGTGGGCTCTGACACCCAGAAAAGGTAGAGCCCACGGGAAGCCCCGTGGTGCCTCCGGAGTCTGTCACCCATCGGCGCAGGTGCCTTTCCCCTTCCGTGCCCCAGCCAGTCTCACGTGCGTCCATGCTCCCAGTCCTGTCCCCACGTCACTGCCTCTGCCCTCCCGGGCCCCTCAGGAAGCCCCTGTCAAGCCTCTGGCCCTGTGGGGCTGGTTGCACCTGGGGGTCAGGGACATGGGCAGGGTGACAAGTCAGGGCCCCCAGAACCCCAAAGCCCTGGGCGTCCCCACCCCTGTTGTGGCTCCAGTCTGGTGCTACCCTCCATGGCCCTTGGGGACATCAGAGAAACACATCCTGGCTCAGGCAGGTGGCTCTCCGGGGGAGCTTTCCAACCACGGCTTCTTGTTTTAGTCTAAATTAAACTGGGATTTCTTTCCAGGACATGTAATTAGAGCCCAGCTTTCTCCCTGGACCCGGCCTCCTGTGGGTTGAAGAGAGGGTGTGTGGGTGTGTGGCCGCTGCACCAGGAGGCAGTCTGGTCAGCGGAGCTCAGGGGCCGAGGCACTGCTGACCCTGAGCTTCCTGGGCAACCACTGTGGCCTCCTGTTCTTTTGGGCTTTGTGGACGCAGGCCAATTCAGATGGTGGCAGGCACTTCTCAGGGAGAAGCCAGGCCCAGCTCAGGGCCCCACAGAGGGTCCCCATGGGCAAGGAGGGTCCACCCAGGGGAGCAGCAGCCCATGTGCAAGTGTGCGGCTCAGGGATGACCTGATGCTGTGTCTGAACACAGGTGACAGCCCAGAGACGCTGCCTTCCCACAAGGCGACCTGACGCTGTGTCTGAACACAGGTGACAGCCCAGAGACGCTGCCTTCCCGCAAGGCGACCTGACGCTGTGTCTGAAAACAGGTGACAGCCCAGAGACGCTGCCTTCCCGCAAGGCGACCTGACGCTGTGTCTGAACACAGGTGACAGCCCAGAGACGCTGCCTTCCCGCAAGGCGACCTGACGCTGTGTCTGAACACAGGTGACAGCCCAGAGACGCTGCCTTCCCGCAAGGCGACCTGACGCTGTGTCTGAACACAGGTGACAGCCCAGAGACGCTGCCTTCCCGCAAGGCGACCTGACGCTGTGTCTGAACACAGGTGACAGCCCAGAGACGCTGCCTTCCCGCAAGGCGACCTGACGCTGTGTCTGAAAACAGGTGACAGCCCAGAGACGCTGCCTTCCCGCAAGGCGACCTGACGCTGTGTCTGAACACAGGTGACAGCCCAGAGACGCTGCCTTCCCGCAAGGCGACCTGACGCTGTGTCTGAACACAGGTGACAGCCCAGAGACGCTGCCTTCCCGCAAGGCGACCTGACGCTGTGTCTGAAAACAGGTGACAGCCCAGAGACGCTGCCTTCCCACAAGGCGACCTGACGCTGTGTCTGAACACAGGTGACAAGAGACACTGTGCCCGAGGGGCCAGGACACGTTGGAGCATGGACCGAGCTGGGTGTGTCCATGCTGTGACGGGACTCTTCTGCCACAGGCTCTGCTTCAGCCTGGGGTCCTTGGACTGCAGCCCTGCGGGAGGTGCAGCACCCCGACCTCCAGTGCCGGGTCGGGCTGGGGTTTGCCAGACATTCTCTCCCTTTCCCTACCAGAGGCTGGAAATGGCCTTTGTAGGCCCTGACCCTCCCTCCCTCACCCCTAGTGTGGCTGGAACCGGTGGAGCGGGGGCTGAGTTCTGACAAGTCCCTGGAAAGCAGGGAGAGCCCCCGTGTTCTGGGGCTGGGGCTGGGATCACTCCAGGCATTGCCTGACTGGGGGCTCCACAGCCCCCCTCGTGTCAGTGAGAACCCACCAACTCCACCCCACAATGCAGGGCCCTGGCCCACGTGCAGTCCATGTGGTGTGGCTGTGAGGACCAGGTGGGGCGGTGGCGGGTGGCTGCTGATCTAGGACCCTGTGACCAAGCTCTGGTGCCCCTTCCTGACAGTGGCCTCCCATCGGGCCTCCATGTCCGTGGGGACAGGCCTGGCAGCCATGCTGGGGATGTAACAGCCTGAGGAGGTGCTGCTCTGATAGGGTGGGATCCTGGCCCCCTCTTCAGCACACGCCCCTGGCTGGGTCCTTATGGAGGGCCTGGCCCATGCCCCCGCTCTCTTTCTCTGTGTCTCCCCCCTCCCTCTCTGCCTCCTTCCTGCATTTCAGGGTTCTTAACACTCTCCTGGACTGGGGGGCAGAACTGGGCCCACTGAGAGCCCCCAGGGTCCCCTGATTCTGTGCGGGGTGAGGGTCCACACTGCCCGGGCGTGAGACCTGGGGCTTGGCTGTGCTGTGCTTGGGAGGCTGACCCTGGCCTTGGGCTCCAGTCCTGTGGGGTCTTCTCTGGGGTCTCCGCGTCTCCATGTGTGCTCTGCTGCCTGAGGAGCCCAAATCCAGAGACTCCCTGGATAGAAGCAGCATGGGGCTGGCTCACTGGATGGGCATCGGGCCAGCGTTGCAGACGCCTGGGGCCTCTCATATGCCCGCCTGGCATAGCCGACCCAAGGGAGGGTTGGCCTCTCTGCGGATCTTTCACCATGGGGACTGGAGAGCTGAAGGAGCCCAGGGCTGCCCTTGGATACCGCAGACTTTCCCAGGGGGACGGGGGACATGGGTGGGAGATAAGGAAGGGAGGTTTCAGCTCAACCCAGAGAAGGACTTTCATCATTCATGGGGGTCTGGGCTGCTGTCCTCAGGCAAGTGGGGACTGGACCAGGTGGTCTGTTCTTCACTCATATGTCCCTGATATGGGCCAGGTACTTGCTGGGCACGATGGAGCCAGGGCCCTTCCCCCCAGGGTGCGTGTTCTGCCAACGGCAAAGTCCCCATGCCCCAGGATCCACTCTGTGCTCCAGGCCTCTCCTCTCGACGGTGACTGCAGGCCGGGCTCCAGGGATGGGCGGTTCTGCAGGTGTGCAGAGTCCCTCTTACGCAGGTGTGCACAGAGTCCCCCTTACACGCCTTTCTCTTCAGGGGTCCCACCAGGAGGGTCAGTCGGAGGCTTGATTTCCTGCCCCAGCAGCTGGAGGGGTGGGGGTCCAGGGAGAGTGTGGTGGGGACAGTGAGCGGCAGAGCTGGAGGCCGTGAGGCTGGGGTGAGCTGTGTGAGAAGCCTTGAAGGTCACAGTTTGGGGAGTCTCAGCCCAGGACCCAGCTCTGAGGGGACAGTGCGGGAGGGATGGGGCAGGTAGGCAGGGCGGCCTGGGGACCTGGGACTGGCCATGCTCGTCTCTCTCCGTGGTGCTGATCTTTCCAGCTCTGCCTGTGGGTGGGGGATGGAAGGGAGGGACACAGCTGTGTGGTGTCGGGGGCACACGCCCACTCCTGGGACCATGGCTGGCCTGTGCGTGGCCAGGCAGGTTGGGCTCTCGGGGCGCATGGCTACTTTGAATTTTGGGTCTGTGGCTGTTGGGCTGATGGAGCACAGCCAGGGATCTGAGATGGGCTCTAAACTTGCTGTCAGTATTTAAGAAGGAACTTTCACGCAAAAAAAAAAAAAAAAAAAAAAAGGACAAGGCCAATCTTTCTGAACGTGGAAACTTTGTACCCACATCACAGTTTTTCCTCATTAGAGGAAAGGGTCTGCAACCAACTCAAATGATTGGTCGAAACCAACTCACATTACTGATTGCACTGAATGTGTATCAAGCCTCAGGCCATGGATACCTGGGTCCTAGTGTTCCTGTGACATCCCCTTGGGGTAGCGGAACACTACCTTTCAATGATGGGAAGTCTTGGGCAAGAGCAAGTCTCCTCCCCTTGTCCAATACAGACAGTTTTTCTGTCTAACCCTACCTCAGCAGTTGCCCTATCCCTGGGGCCAAGGGTTGGACGAGTTCCTAGCTCCAACATCAGTGGTAGATGCCTTTTGTTTTATGTGAGAAGCAACCAGGTTTTGTGCCTGTACTCTGGTGGTGGTCGATCATGTGATCATGACTTTTATGCCTACGCCACTGTGGCAAGCTTGAGAAATCCTCTTTCCCTGTTACATGTGTCTTGTCAGCACTAAGGATGTGGGAGGAAGGACCCAGCAAATGGGCAAAACCATGCTATGTATCTGGGACTCTCAGAGTTTCTAATCTGTCACAATAGTTCACACTTGGCCTTTAAGAAATGATGAAATCTTCAGTGATTTTCTCCAATGAACATTTATGGCTGCCATCTTTTCCTTCCATTATCTGTCAAAGATGAACTGCTTCATGTGTTTGTCCTTCTATAGGGGGTTTTCTCACGCTTTGGACTTCAGCTGACTCAGGGGCCTTGCAACTTCAGCTCTCTGGTGGGATCAAAGCACGTATGATTTTGCAGACCATACAGCTTTTTCTTGTCATTAGAGTGGGAACAACTGTCTCTTACAGCTTTCTGCATCTTAAACAACTGTTGAATCACATGTCTGTTTTAAAAAATCCTTATCTTTTCCTCTATATCTGGATTAATTTCCCTTCAGGATACTACACAAATTCTGTTAGCTGATCACTTCTTTTGAGGCTATGAGGTAGACATAGTGAGCATCTTGACGATCCCTGCAAATGAGTCTATTCATTAGGTGCTCACGGGAAACCTGGGCCCAGACCAGTAGTGAGACACACAACTGTCACCCACAGCTCTAGTTGAATTTTTGTCATGAGGCTCTTTCTCCTCAGTCAGCATACAAGTCTTAGAACAAGTTTGAGATTGGGACTATCTTAAAATAGGCTTCCTGAGTGGCTAGTAAGATTTGCTGGGACTCCAATTTCTGGTCAAATGTGAGCCAGCAGAGTAAAGACAACATTCTTGACCCAGGAGAAGGCAACAGTACATGGATACACCATATTTTTCATCAACCTCAGAATAATTACCTCAATGAATATTTAAATTAGTGATTGAAATACTTGTTTTCCCAAGCGTGTGATGCTGAAAATTGGAAAAGTTGCCTTGGTTGTCTAAATGATTGTGCGCTCAGATTGAATTTGAGTGTACACAAGGTGCAGTCTCCATTGGAAAAGATTCTAAGAACTGGATGTGGGTAGAGGATGCAATTATGGAACTTGGTATCTTTCCCACTTTCTTTTCTTTCTTCCCATTTCGACTAGTCTTGTAATGCTAGGCCCAGGCATCAATATACACACAACTAAAAAAGGCAAAATCAGTGCAAAAGACACAATATCTATACAATGAAATCAAATGGTGCCTATTGCTAAAGTTACTTTAACTTCTCATCATGTAGCCCAATAAGGTGAATGCTGCCCACCTACCAAGGGTGTTAGTCAGCTCAGGCTGCCATAGAAAGATACCAAAGGTTGGGTGGTTTAACAGCAGACTTTTATTTTCTCAATGTTCTAGAGGCCAAAAGTCCAAGATCGATGTGCTGGTAGAGTTGGTTTCTGGGGAGGCCTCTCTTCCTGGCTTGCAGAAGGCCACTTTCTTGCTTTGTGCTCCCATAGCCTTTCCTCTGTGCCTGTGTGGAGAAAGAGAGAGATTCTTTGATGCCCTTCCTCTTCTTATATGGACACCATTCTGACCAGATTAGGGCCCCACTTGTATGGTCTAATTAACCTTAATTACCTCCTTAAAGACTCTATATCTAAATACAGTCAAGTTGGGGGTTAAGCTTTCAACATATAAATTCAGGGGAAAACAATTCATTTTATAACACCAAGCAATAGGGACGAGCCTAAGATTCCTTTTTTTTTTTTTTTTTTTTTTTTGAGACAGAGTTTAGTTCTTGTTGCCCAGGCTGGAGTGCAGTGGCATGATCTAGGCTCACTGCAACCTCTGCCTCCCGGGTTCAAACGATACTCCTGCCTCGGCCTCCCAAAGTGCTGGGATTACAGGTGTGAGCCACTGCGCCTGGCAATCCTATGATTCTTTACCTATTAAATCCTATGACATTTGCCTGGTGGTGGGGCCAGGAAGAAGTTAGCAAGGCTGCTATTATTGCTCATTCTACAATTAGGAAAGCACACCTGAGCCGAAGTGCCTGGCTTATGGGAAAGAGTGCGGGTCAAACAGGTATGAAATAAAAATAGGGGAAAATGGTAGTAAACAAAAGCAGTGCTCTTACGTGAGTCATGCATCCAGGAAGGATTAAAATTGTGCAATTTCATGGAAATCCTATTATCAGGAGAATGACTTTACAAGTTTTATTAACTGGGGGGGGCGGGGTGAAAAGGATGGTGTCGATTAAGGACAACACCTGATTGCCCAGCATAATGTGAATTCTTGACTAAACAGCTATAGGATGTGAAGGAAAGATCAGCAGTCAAAGAAAACTCAAAGATTTTTAGACTGAGCATATGGAAGGGTGGTGTTTCCATCCACAGAGGTGAGAAAATAGCATGTGCTGCAGGTTGTAGGAAGAAAAACAGAGATCAGCTCAGGGCCCCAAAACCTTGCTAGAGTTTTCCATTCACCCTGTCCCCATTTCTACATCCCCTTGAGATTTTTGTGAGGCTGAATGCAGAGGTGCTTGGCCACTTCTCCCCCTGGGCACCAGTCCTCTCACCTCCTCCTGACAGCGTCTTCCATGGCCCTGTCTCTGATGACCATCTCCCAACAAGATGTCATCCTGCAAAGGTGATCTGAGCCATAGCTGGGGCAAGGCCATCCACTCCTTGACTTGTGTGGCCTTGGTGGGCCCCAGGAGCACTTCACCGCTTCTCAGGGTAGTAGATCTTTTGTTTGGAACTCTTCTTCTGAGGAAAACAGGGAGGGAAACAGCCTGAGGGGTGGAAAGGGAGGGCTGTACCAGGGAGCCTAGGAAAGTTGAGCCTAGGCTCTCAATGCAAAGAACATTTACCACCTGAGAAGTTCTACTCAGTTACTATTGTTAGTTTAGAATCTCATCAATGAAAATGGTATAGAAATTTGCCTTCTTCCTGGTTATATGTGCACCTACATAATATCCTTAATTTTGCCTCTTGGCTCACAAGCCTAGAATATTTCCTATCTCCCTGGCCCTTTACAGAAAAAGTTTGCTGAACTCTATAGACAACAATGCCCCACACTTTACAGAAAAAGACACCCAGGAATGTCTTTTACTAATTTTCATTTGTTGGACATTTTTCCTGGTCACCAATAAGTTCCCTTTCTTGGCTTGTAATGATTAGTCTGTGGTTGGTTGTCATTTGCAATGACACAATATATACTGGGACCTCAAAGCAGAAAAAGTGTAGAAGAAAACCTAGGAAATATCATTCTCAACATCAGCCGTGGCAAAGAATTTATGGCCAAGTCCACAAAAGCAATTGTAGCAAAAACAAAAATTCACAAGTAGGACCTAATTCAATGAGAGAGCTTCTGCACAGTAAAAGAAACCATCAACAGGGTCAACAGACCACCTACAGAATGGGAGAAAATGTTCACAAACTGTGAATCTGACAAAGGTCTAATGTCCAAAACCTATTAGGAACTTTAAAAAATCAGCAAGAAAAAAAATAATCCCATTACAAAGTGGGCAAGGTGACATGAACAGGCACTTCTTAAAAGAAGACATACAAGCAGCCAGCAAACACAGGAATAAATGCTCATCATCACTAATAATCAGAGAAATGCAAGTCAAAGCTACAATGAGATACCATCTCACACCACTCAGAATGGCCATTATTAAAAAGTCAAAAACCAACAGATGCTGATAAGGCTGTGGAGAGAAAGCATATAAACACTTGGAGTGAATGTAAATTAGTTCAGTCTCTGTGGAAAGCAATTTGGAGATTTCTCAAAGAACCTACAACAGAGCTGTTTTTCAACCAGTAATCTCATTACTGGGTATATACCCAAAGGAATGTAAATCATTAAAACAAAAAGACACATGCGCTCCTATGATCACCACCAGGCTATTCACAATAGCAAAGACATGGAGTCAAACTAGGTGCCCATCAATGGTGGATTAAATAAAGAAAATGTGGTACATACACAACATGGAATACTGCACACCCATAAAAAAGAATGAAATCATGTCTTTTGCAATAACATGGATAGAACAGGAGGCCATAATCTGGAAGAAACTAATGCGGAAACAGAAAATGAAATACTGAATGTTCTCACTTAGGAATGGGACCTAAATATTGAGCTCACATGGACATAAACTTGAGAACTATAGACACTGTGGACTACCATGAGGTAGGTAGGGAGGGAGGGAGAGTGGGTTGAAAAACTAGCTATTGGGTACTATGCAAACTATCTGGAC
This sequence comes from Homo sapiens, assembly GCF_000001405.40. NCBI lineage: Eukaryota > Metazoa > Chordata > Mammalia > Primates > Hominidae > Homo > Homo sapiens. The sequence goes on along the minus strand of NC_000001.11, from coordinate 145,440,469 downwards.
CCAATATACCCATGTAACAATGCTACACTTGTACCCTTGGTACACAACAAAAAACTGAGATTTTAACAAGAACAAAAATTATAGTACACTAAAAAAATTATTGCACAGAAAGTAAAATAATCATGGATTTTAAAAATTAAATATTACAAATAAAGATCTAAAATCAATAATCCAAACTTACACTTTAGGAAACTCAAAGAAAACAAGAGCAAATTAAGTCCAAAGTGAGTGGAAGACAAGAAACAATAAACACTAGAGCAGAAATCAAGGAAATTGAAAACCAGAAATCAATAGAAAAAAGTCAAAAAAACCTGAAGAGTGTTCTTTGAAAGGACCGATAAAATTGATAAACCTTTAGCTGGTGAACCAAGAAACAATGAGAAGATACAAATTACTAATATGAGAAAGAAAACAATGACCCTCACTTCTGATCTCGTGGACATTAAAAGCATAGTAGAGGACTATTATGCACAATTCTCTGCTCACAAATTTGATAACTTCGATGAATTGGATCAACTACTTGAAAGATAAAGTTGACCAAAACTCTACAAGGAGAAATAGATACACTAAATAGGTCTCTATCTATTGACGAAATTGAAGCAACAATTAATAACCTTCCAGAACAAAGCGCCAGGTCTAGATGGTTTCACAACCAAACACTTAAGGAAGAAACTATATCAATTCTCTCTAGAAAACAGAAGCCGAGGGAACACGTCTTAACTCTGGTCTAGGAGGCAAGCTTCACCCTAGTAGCAAAACCAGACAAACGATTTTGAACCAGGATGTTGAACTAGCCTGGACTGCTGACCAGCTCCTGAAACTCAATCCTGGAAGAACTGTAGAAGCGAGAAGAAAACATGGCTTACGGGAACTGTAAAAAATGGTAAACCGGCCGGGCGCGGTGGCTCACGCCTGTAATCCCAGCACTTTGGGAGGCCGAGGCGGGCGGATCACGAGGTCAGGAGATCGAGACCATCCCGGCTAAAACGGTGAAACCCCGTCTCTACTAAAAATACAAAAAATTAGCCGGGCGTAGTGGCAGGCGCCTGTAGTCCCAGCTACTTGGGAGGCTGAGGCAGGAGAATGGCGTGAACCCGGGAGGCGGAGCTTGCAGTGAGCCGAGATCCCGCCACTGCACTCCAGCCTGGGCGACAGAGCGAGACTCCCTCTCAAAAAAAAAAAAAAAAAAAAAAAAAAATGGTAAACCTCCTGTAGAGACCAAGGCAGTATTGACCCGGTGTGTGTGGAAGGTTAATGTTCACCGACAGCAGAGAGAAAACAAGATGGAGAAAAGTATTTTCGGTTCTGCTCTTGCGTCTCTCTCCATGGCTCTGGGCCAGCTGCGCTTCTTACCCCTTCCCGAAAGAGATTTGTCAGCGGCTCTTAACCCTCCAATGCGGTAGCTGCGATGTGACATCGGGAACCCATATAGGCTTCGCTGAGGAAAAGAGTAGATGAAAACAGGGGTGAAACCGGATGATCGCGGGGCTTTCCTCTTCAGAGTGTCCTCCTCAGGCCTCCAGAGCTAATGATTGCCATGGCCTCCCCACCACACTGCTTAAAGAGAAGTATTAAAAAGAATCCTGTGGACGGAAGATTTGCCTGGTGGAGTGTAAAACAAACAGGGCTGATAGAAATGAGTTTTGGGGACGTGCTGCTCTCCACTTGGGGCCCATTCTTCATTTTGCCGAGACCACCAAAGACTGGGCCTTCCTCGACAGGAAGGTCAGAGGCCCCTCTCCGCAGCTCCCCTCATCTGCACTCGGGTTCCTCCTCACATGCCTCCCCTTTCCCTGGGCCCCAGTTCCCCACCACTGCTTGTGTCCGCCCCACCCCACAGCTTCTCTCCTTTCGGGGAGTCTCGCTCTGTCACCCAGGCTGGAGTGCAGTGGCGTGATCTCGGCTCACTGCAAGCTCCGCCTCCCGGGTTCACGCCATTCTCCCTCCTCGGCCTCCTGAGTAGCTGGGATTACAGGCGCCCGCCACCACCCCCGGCTAATTTTTTGTATTTTTAGTAGAGACGGGTTTTCACCATGTTAGCCAGGATGGTCTCGATCTCCTGACCTCGTGCTCCGCCCGCCTCAGCCTCCCAAAGTGCTGGGATTACAGGCGTGAGCCACCGCGCCCGGCCGGGAATGTCATTTCTTGAGCCGCACTCCATCGCGAGATGTGGTCTAATGGTCTATCCAAGGTCCAAGTAGAGAATCAGTGACCAGGTACCTCTTTGTATTGCAGGGATCCGACAGCAGAGACGATAAAGTCGCGCCGGTTTTAGGGCCAAATACGTAGAAACGCAGAGACCAAGCAGACCCACTGGCTGCTTCAAAGACAGTCTCTGCAAAGTCTCGGCTTAGATAAATTCCTCTCCGGGGCCCGGGCTCACGCCTGTAATCCCACCACTTTGGGAGGCCGAAGCTGGTGGATCATGTGAGGTCAGTAGTTCAAGATCAGCCTAGCCAACATGGTGAAACCCCGTCTCTACTGAAAATACAAAAATTAGCAGGAAATGGTGACACGTGCCTGTAATCGCAGCTACTTGGGAGGCTGAGGCATGAGAATCTCTTGAGCCTGGAAGGTGGAGGTTGCAGTGAGCCAGGATCGTGCAACTGCACTCCAATCTGGGGGACAGACAGAGACTCTGTCTCAAACGAACAAACAAAAATAAATAAAAGAAAAATAAATTCCGCTACGGAAAGAACCCAAGGACTATACAGTAGTTCCCCCCTTCCCCTCCTTTTTTTTCTTTATTAGCGCGGCACAGTAAGTAAATGTAAAAACCACAGGGCACAAAGACAGGACGCTGCATTTGCCGGAAATGGAATCCAGGTCTCCCGGGTGGGAGGCGAGAATTGTACCACTGAACTGCCAACGCCTCCTGACCCCGAGCTGTGCAGCCTTGGAAAGAGTTAAGACACAGACTTGGGAACAGGAGTCAAGATTTTCACCGTGTTCTCTTTGCAAGATGTGACAAACAAAAAAGACACCTAGAGCAATGGCTCGCAGTGGAGAATTGCCATCAGGCAATACCACAAAGTTATGGCTTCACATTAAAAGAGCTGACTTGAAAAAGCCTTATTCTGAGTAGGCTCTGAAGCAACTGCATAACAAACCTCTGTAGGAAAATATCAGAAACTCACCCAGCTTCTTGTCTCTGGTCCTGTATCCAGTGTGAGCCTGTGGAAAGTTCTTGCCTCGCTTGTTGATGTCTTCTCTTTGCCTCCCTGTTGCTTGGTTCCTCCCAAACCCTTTCTTCCCAACCTTGACACGAACATCAGTACTTTCCCCAAAAAGGCCTTCAGGACCCAGGAACTCGAGTATGAAAAGCTGAACTCCTGGGACTGTGCCTGGGATACTCCAGGAGACCAGGGTGATAATTGAGCTTCTCTCCTCCTACACCTCTTTTGAGTTCCTGGAAAACGCCAGGGATCAGATCTTGCTTTTAACTTCTTATGCCTTACAGAGACCAAAACAAGAGGGAATAAATGGACGTTTCACTCCCAGAATTCTTCTCTTCACCTGGCCCTGGTCGGCCACCCAAGGAGGCCAGTTCAGGGAAAAACAGTTCCATTTGATTCTAGGTAGATGCTAGGATATTACTCCTCTAGTTAACATAAAGCGTTCTTTTGCTGTTTACTTTTGTCGGATATTCATGTTTTCACCCTCATTCTTTTGTTTCTAATGAGCGTGGTATAGATTTGCACCGTCCTTTTTGTTGTTGTTGTTTATTTTCTTTCCTTTTTACATTTTTTATTTCCAACTTTTATTTTAAGTTCAGGGGTACATGTGCAGGATGTGCAGGTTTGTCTCATAGGTAAACCTGTGTCATGGTGGTTTGATGCACAGATCATCCCATCACCCAGGTACTAAGCCCAGCATCCATTAGCTACTCTTCCTGATGCTCTCCCTCCTCCCAACCCCCACCCTCCAACAGGCTCCAGTGTCTGTTGTCCTTGCCCCCTAACCCCATTTATCCATGTGTTCTCGCATTCAGCTCCCAGTTATAAGTGAGAACACACGGTGTTTGGTTTTCTGTTTCTGTGTTAGCTTGCTAAAGATAATGTGCACTGCTTTTGACCCGGTGTGGTGGTTCACATCTGTAATCTCAGCACTTTGGGAGGTCGAGGTGGGTGGATCACGAGGTCAGGAGTTCGAGACCAGCCTGGCCAATATGGTGAAACCCCATCTCTACTAAAAATACAAAAATTAGCTGGGCATGGTGGCACGTGCCTATAGTCCCAGCTACTCGGGAGGCTGAGGCAGAAGAATCCCTTGAACCTGGGAGGTAGAGGTTGCAGTGAGCCGAGATCTGGCCACTGCACCCTAGCCTGGTGACAGAGCGAGACTCTGTCTCAAAATAATGATAATAATAATAATAATAATAATAATAGGCTGGGTGCAGTGGCTCATGCCTGTAATCCCAGCACTTTGGGAGGCCGAGGTGGGCGGATCACCTGAGGTCAGGAGTTCGAGACCAGCCTGACCAACATGGAGAAACCCCTTTTCTACTAAAAATACAAAATTAGCTGGGTATGGTCGCACATGCCTGTAATCCCAGCTACTAGGGAGGCTGAGGCAGGAGAATTGCTTGAACCTGGGAGGCGGAGGTTGTGGTGAGCTGAGATCACACCATTGCACTCCAGCCTGGGCAGCAAGAGTGAAACTCTGTCTCAAATAATAATAATAATAATAATAATAATAATAATAATGTGCACTGCTTTGAATATTTAACCCTTTTCTGCCATTGAACCATTAGAGTCCGCATTTCCTTTTCTATCCAATATGAGAGACTTAGATCCATTATAATTAGCAGTAATTAGTGTTATGTTGGAGATGATGGGCATAGTTAGTCTCATTCCCACCACCTCATTGTATGATTTCTGTGTTTTCGCTTTGTTTATAAAATCTCTTCCTGCCTTTTTTTTCTTTTCTTTCTTTTTTTTTTTTTTTTGAGACGGAGTCTCGCTCTGTTGCCCAGGCTGGAGTGCAGTGGCATGATCACGGCTCACTGCAAGCTCTGCCTCCCAGGTTCATGCCATTCTCCTGCCTCAATCTCAGGAGTAGCTGGGACTAAAGGCACCCGCCACCACGCCTGGCTATTTTTTTTGTATTTTTAGTAGAGATGGGGTTTCACCATGTTAGCCAGGATGGTCTCGATCTCCTGACCTCGTGATCCGCCCGCCTCGGCCTCCCAGAGTGCTGGGATTACAGGCATGACCCACCGCGCCCGGCCTCTTCCTGCCTTTCTTAAGTAGACTGTTCTGTTTGGGTAAATTTGTTGTTTTCCCGTAGTGTTTTTGAAATTCCATATCCCTGATTTGTTAATATATTCTCTTAGATCTCAGGTGCACAGGAAGAAGGTAATCATGTACCTTAGCTCAGGGCACATTATGGTGGCTGCTCTCAGCAAGGCCCTTACTGTCTTTCCTTCTTTTCTCTGTTCATCCCACTCCCATTCCCCTGTCCACTTCCAGACACACATTCTGAGGAGTTTAGCATATGCTCTTTTATCCTACACTTTCTCTGCATATTTTAATAAAGGGATGTCTGGGGAGAACACACATTGTTCTTTGGGGGTGAGGGGTGTTAACTTTATTTTATTTTATTTTATTTATTTATTTATTTTGAGACGGAGTCTCGCTCTGTCACCCAGGCTAGAGTGCAGTGGCCCGATCTTGGCTCACTGCCAGCTCCACTTCCCAGGTTCACGCCATTCTCCTGCCTCAGCCTCCTGAGTAGCTGGGACTACAGGTGCCCGCCACCACGCCTGGCTAATTTTTTGTTTGTATTTTTCGTAGAGACGGGGTTTCACCATGTTAGCCAGGATGGTCTCGATCTCCTGACCTCGTGATCCACCCACCTCGGCCTCCCAAAGTGCTGGGATTACAGGCATGAACCACCGCGCCTGGCCTAAAACAACTTTAAAATGTGAATGGTTTCCAAAAACCCATTTCATCCTCTTTACTCCATTCTGTGAACTATCTTCTCAACTTTTCTATTCTAATACAAAAGTTTGTGTATAGGCCGGGCGCGATGGCTCACGCCTGTAATCCCAGCACTTCGGGAGGCTGAGGGGGGCAGATCACGAGGTCAGGAGATTGAGACCATCCTGGCTAATATGGTGAAACCCCTGTCTCTACTAAAAATACAAAAAATTAGCTGGGTGTCCTGGCACGCACCTGTAGTCCCAGCTACTCTGGAGGCTGAAGCAGGAGAATCGCTTGAACCCAGGAGGCGGAGGGTGCAGTGAGCCAATATCGCACCACTGCACTCCAGCCTGGGCGACAGAGTGAGACTCCATCTAAAAAAAGAAAAAGAAAAAAAAGATAGAAAGCAAGCAAGCAAGCAAGACAAAACCAAAATATCAGAGATGATAAATTCGCTGGATGGGATTAACAGCAGATTAGACGTTGCAGAAGAAATGATCAGGGAATATGGAACCATGAATAATTGAAAATATGCAAAATGAAACTCACAGACAAAAGATTTTTTTTTAAATGAAAAGATTATCAGTGAACTGTAGGGCAGATTTAAGAGGCCTAATTTATGAGTAATGTGAGTCCCTGAAAAGGAGCGGGGAGGAAAGGAAGCATTTATTTTCTTTCTTTGTTATTTTTATTACGAGTGGGGTTTCAGCATGTTGCTCAGGCTGGTCTCCAATTCCCGGCCTCACTCAACACCTCCTGACTCCTGAAGGTGTGAGCCACTTTTCCCAGCCAATTTTTGAAGAAACAATAGCTGAAAAGTTCCCAACCATAATGAAAATTATAAATCCAGTGACCCAAGGAGCTGAGGAAACCAAAGCACAAGAAACATGAAGAAAACCACTGCTAGATACCTCATAATAACATTGCTGAAATCCAGCCAGAAGAAAAAGACATTGTACCTACACAGGAACAAAGATGAGAATTGCCATCAACTTTCTTTCTGCTCTCGCCGGCCCCCACTGGGAGCAGCAATGCAATGGGAGCAGACAGAGAAGCAACATCTTTAAGGTACTGAGGGCAGAGGAAGTTAACCTAGAATACTCTGCCAGAAAAAATAAATTCCCAAAACTGGAAGTGAAGTAAGGACATTTAGAGACTTACATAAGCTGACCGAATTCACTACCAGCTGACCCACACTACAGAAACGTCAAAGGAGTCTTCCGGGCAGAAGGAATCCAATACCAGATGAAAATCCAGATCTACATGAGGAAATGAAGAACACCAGAAATAGGTAACTATACTAGGTATTTTCTTATTTTGTAAATTTCTTTTGTAAAAGTTTGACCATTTAAACAAAAGCAATAACAATGGGTTGTGGGTTTATAACATGCGTAAAAGCAAAGTACATGTCAGCAATAACTTCAAGGCCAGAAGGCGAGGTTTAATATCACTTGAAGGTTGACTGTGATCAGTTAAAAAGGTTTGCTATAAGCCCTAAGGGAATTACTAAAATAACAAAAGAAAGAGTTATAGCTAATAAGCCAACAGAGGAGAGAGAATGGAATGATATAAAAACCGTGTGAACACTATGATGGAGTAATTGCTCTTCCTATAGTAATTGCACCTCTATCCTATAGAAATACACCAGTGGCTGAAAACGCCGAAAATGCCCGTACAAGAATGACTAGAACATTATATGTAATCATAAAATCACAGAACCAATTTAACTTCAAAAGCGTATGGAAAGGGCTAAATGAATGACAGTAAACAAACAAACAAACAAACAAACAAAATAGAAGGCCGGGCGCGGTGGCTCAAGCCTGTAATCCCAACACTTTAGGAGGCAAAGGCGGGCGCATCACGAGGTCAGGAGATTGATACCATCCTGGCCAACATGATGAAACCCCCGTCTCTACTATAAATACAAAAATTAGCTGGGCGTGGTGGCGCGTGCCTATAATCCCAGCTACTCGGGAGGCTGAGGCAGGAGAATCGCTTGAACCAGGGAGTCGGAGGTTGGAATGAGCCGAGATCGCGCCACTGCACTCCAGCCTGGTGACAGAGAGAGACTCCGTCGAGAGAGAGAGAGAGAGAGAGAGAGAGAGAGAGAGAGAGAGAGAGAGAGAGAGAGAGAGAGAGAGATCCTAGAATCCTAGCGGACCTTGATTTACGTCCTCATGTCGTATGGGAGACACGGAGGAGAGGCGGGTAAAGTTGGTCTTGCTCTGCCATTCCATGAGAGAATGTGCTGGGTAGAAGAAAGTTGCCAGCGGTTTAAGCATTTTTAAAATGCAAGAAACGCTCAGTAGAACGAGCTTGAACCAGCCAACTCCAGACTTGGAAGCAAGCACACCACCCGACTGCGACAGACGGACAGTCGACCCTCGCTCCGGCATCACCATGCAGAGCAAGCGCCCATCCAATGCTAGGCGGAGCCACCGTCTTTTGCAGAACAATTGTGCAGGTTCCAAAGCCTCGGAAAACCGGAGAGGCGCATCTTGCCGGCTACGGTTGAAACCCGTTCACTGGGTGATTCTGAAGCTAGAAGGGCAGCCGAACGGCCTTTCCCCCGTCCTGCCCCTCGTCCACTGTAAGCTCAGGGGGGAGCGGGACCCAGGGAGGTGAAGTGCACAGACTCGGCAGAGGCGGCGGGCAGAACCGCGGGGGTGAGAGGGCGTGGTGGCTGTGGGGCGGGAGCCGCTGCTGAAAGGAGGCCTGGGTTGTTGGGAGGGTGACTGTCCGTGGAATCTTTGGCGGAGGGTGGTTTGGAAGAATGGCGAGGGGAGAGCAGAGGAGAAGGTGGTGACCCTGATCGTCCGCCAGGGGAGAGTAGGCTGTGCTGTCCCTCCTCTCCCCTTATGTGGCGGGGGACATACAGTGGTCAGGAAGGGGGTTCTCCCCGGAGGAGGCTAGTCCACCACACTTCGGCTCCGCTGACCCCTGCGATTTCTCCACATGCGGGGCCCTCGTCCGCGGTGGTGTTTGCGCTATCCGGCGGCTGGGTTCGCGCACTCACTCTCCTGACATGCCTTGGCTCACCGCCGACGCGGATATCGCCGCCAGGGACCCTTCCCGCCCTCCTACGAATCTTGAGTGCGCTTCCTTGGTGTTCTCACCGAAGCTTACGAACAGACAGATGTGAGCTCTCTGTCTCTTACACGCTGAATTTGGCTATAGCAAAAAAGCCTTGACCAAGAGCTTGGGTCTCCTTCGGACCTGCACACGACTCCCCAACTCCCGCCTGCAACGGCGGCTCTTGGATCCCGGGCAGGCAGCGTCCACCCAGCGTGGAACCGTGGCAGCCGCAGCCCCCGCAGGTTGGAGGGCAGACACTAGCAGGAGAAAGGCCACAAGGCCTGCGTGGTGGGAAAGCATGGGAGACGTCGCTTTCCTACCGGGCGAGAAGGTCTCCCTACAGTCTTTGGAGACAAGATGGAGGGAGGCACCCCTTCCAGGAACAAGGCGGCTGCTCCTGAGGCCTGGCTCCGCACGGAGGCTCCTGGGTCCCGCGCGCCCTCTCCCTACCCGCTGTAGCCAGAGCTGCTTCACACATCTCAACCGGCCTCGTCAGGGGAGGGGTTGGTGGATTGGTCCTTTCATCATTTTATAACGTCCCTCTCTCTCTCTGATTAGTTTCTTTGTTCTGAAATATACTATATCTGGCATTAATATAGCCAGTCTTACTTTCCTTTAGCTAATGTTTGCATGATATATCTTTTTCCATCCTTTTGATTTCAACTTGCCTGTATCATCATATTTGAAGGTAGTCTCTTTGTAGCCAGGATGTAGTTGGGTCATGTCCATTAACCTACTCTGCCAATCTCTGTCTTGTAATTGGTGTACTTAGCCCATTGATATTTAATGTGATGATTGATATGGTAGGGCTTAAGTCTGCCATTTTATTTTTCCTTTTCTGTTTGTTCTCTCTGGTTTCATTTTCTGGATATGCTTTATTTTTCTTACCTGCTGTGGTGACTTAAGCATCTTTGAGAATGGTGTTTTGCCTTATCCATAGTATTTTTTAGTATATGTGTTTGTATAGCCCTCTTGGTTTTTCCAGGTATATATATATATTCATATGTCTGTGCATCTATATCTGACCACACAGTATACTGGTGTCATTGTTTCACCAGTTGAGTGAACAATAGACAAGCAACCTCCTATGTAGGTCTCTTTACCCTTCCAGTTTATAATTGTTTCCAACATTTTCTGTATGTAGAGTTAGAACCACATCGGATGGTGCTATGATTTTTTTCTGAAACCGTCAGGCATAGTTTAGAAAACACAAGAGGAGAAAGAAGGCCTATTTTGCTCACTGTTTTTTAAAAATTTTCTTTCTGACGTCCCAAGTTTCCTTCTTTAATCATTTCCTTTCTGTCTGGAGAACTCCCTTTTGCTTTTCTTTTAAGGCAGAACTGCTGGTCAGAGATTCCCTTAGCTTTTCTTAATCTGAAACTGTTTTGATCTTCCCCTTAATTCCTGAAAGATGTTTCTGTTGGACAGAGGAGTCTGGGCTGACAATTATTTTCTTTCACGGCTTGAAAAGCACTGCACAACTTCTTTCTGCCTCCATGGTTTCTGATGAGAAATCCATCATCACCAGAATTGTTTTTCCTTTCTAGGTAAGGTGTCACCTTTCTGTGTTGTTTTCCAGATATTTTCCTTGTCTTTCTTTTCCAACATTTTATTTTTTCATGTCTTGCCATAGACCTCTTTGGGTTTTTTCCTATTTGGGGTTCTAACAGCTTATTGAGCCTGTAGGTTTATGTCTTTTGCCAAATCTGGGTAGCTTTCAGCCGTTTACTTCTTTGAGTATGTTTTCAGCCTTGTCTTCTTCCTCTTCCCCTTCCAGACACTGATAGCAACATGAAAGTGAGAACTTTTGAGGTAGTTTCACAGGTCCCTGAGGTTCTGTTCACTTTCTCCCCCAGTCTATTTTTTCCCTGTTAGGATTCTGTAATTTCTGTTTTTCTCATCTGCAGTATATGGATTTGTTTGCTTCGCACCATCCATTCTGCTGCTGAGCCTATCTGCTGGACTTTTTATTTTAGTTGTTGTATTTTTCACTTCTAATACTTCCATTTGGTTCTCATTTATGTCTTGTATTTATTTGCTGAGTCTTTCTACTTGTCCATTTGTTTCAAGTGTGCTTATAAGTACCACTAAATCATTTTCATCAGGCTTGCCTGCTTTAAACTCTTTGTCAGACAATCCCAACACCTCTCTCATCTCATTGCCAGTGTGTAATTGCTGTCTATTTTCATTCAGTATGAGATTTTCCTAGTTCTTGGTATGATGAAGGATTTTCAATTGAAACTTGGACTTTTGGGTGTTATGCTATCAGAGTTTCAATTTTATTGAAACCTTCTGTTTTGACTACCTTTTTTTTGAGTCTGTTTCTGCAGGGGAAGAGGAGTGGTGCCATCTCATTGTAGCCAGATGTGTGTAGAAATCCAGGTTTCTCATCTGACTGACCTCTGTTGACACCCTGAGTGGAGGAGCTGCTAAGGTAGGAGAGGGAGTTCCAGCAGCCCACTGCTCCTCCACTGCTACCTCCCTGGCTGGGTGGGTAGGAAAGCTACCTCCACTGCTTTCCATGTGGCCTCCAGTGACACCACAGGACAAGAGCAGCCTTGTTACTGCTGGGTGTTGATGAAAGTCCTGACTCTGCACTAGGACTCCTCTGATACCAGCCTAGCAGACAGAGGGAGAGGTGCCTCATGACCATCTAATGAAGTCTAGGCTCCAAATGTAGTTTCTATTGACAGGGAGGTAAACATATTATCACCTGGCAGGGATGATGATGACAGCCCCAGCTTCCTCCTCTAACATCTGTCATTGACATTGTTTTTCCCCTCTAGGTAAGATGTCATCTTTCTCTGTTGCTTTTGAGGTATTTTCTCTGTGTTTAGTTTCCAGCATTTTAGTCATTGTGTGTCTCATGATAAATAAAATGCTGGAACCTAAAGAACCCCTGGGCAAGGTGGGGGTTTAGCATATGTCATTATACCTGTGCAAGTGTGAAACCCGAAGCCCCTCACTGGGATTTTGCTAGCTTTTATGTTGATGCAGCCACAGCTTTTCTTCCACGGTGCTTGACCTGAGGAAACTGATGATCGTATATAAGTGTCTTGTCTTGCTAGACTGCCTCTTTGCTGATCCTTTGCCTAGAGAGAGCAGGATCGTATTGGGGTTTGTTGGATCTGTAGCCGTTGGTATTTCTGGGTTGCCATCTCCTTTGGCTCTACATCTAGGATCTAGTGGGGGCATGGAGGAATCCTGGGAACCCATCTCCTGGCTTTCTGTGGGTCTTGAGGAAGCCAGATGGCCTCCTATCTTCCCTTTGCCCTTCAGTCTTCCTATGTTTGTTTTATATACAATGCCCAAGGTTTTTAGATGTAATGAGCAGGAAGAATAGGGCAAAGTTCATCTATTCCACCTTCCCAGTGTATGCCTTTGATTTCCTTGTCTTGCCTTATTGATTTGGGTAGGATAGTCATGTGAAATATCAGTGGTGAGCGTGGTCTTCCCTGCTTAGTTCCCAGTCCTAGAGGGAAAGCATGTAGTCTTTCACCGTGAGTAGGATGTTAACTGTGAATTTTTTTGTAAGTGGTCTTTATCAAGCTGACAAAGTCCTGTATTCCTATGTTTCTGATACTTGTAAAACATTCCGTTTCTTCCCTTCTTTCTATTTTGTCTTATTTCTTTTTTTGTTTGTTTTGTTTTTTTGAGACGGAGCCTCGCTCTGTCACCCAGGTTGGAGTGCAGTGGCGTGATTTCGGTTCACTGCAAATTCCGCCTCCCGGGTCCAAGCAATTCTCTGCTTCAGCCTCCTAGTAGCTGGGATAACAGGCGCCTGCCACCATGCCCAGCTAATTTTTGTATTTTTAGTAGAGACGGGGTTTCGCCATGTTGGCTAGGCTGGTCTCGAACTGTTGACCTCAGGTGATCTGCCCACCTCGGCCTCCCAAAGTTCTGGGATTACAGGCATGAGCCAAAGAGCCTGGCCTCCTTTCTTTATTTCTATCACGAATAGATGTTGAATTTGTCAAATGATTTTTCTTCATTGACTGATAAACGTTTTTGTGGTCTGGTTTTGGAGTTGGGGTAATCATAGATTTACAGAAATAGTTGAGAGGTGTTCCTTCATCTTCTATTTTCTGGAAGAGATTGTATAGAATTGACGTTAATTCGGCTGGGCGCGGTGGCTCACGCCTGTAATCCCAGCACTTTGGGAGGCCGAGGCAGGCGGATCACAAAGTCAGGGGATCGAGACCATCCTGGCTAACACGGTGAAAACCCGTCTCTACTAAAAATACAAAAAATCGGCCGGGCGTGGTGGCGGGCACCTGTAGTCCCAGCTACTCCGGAGGCTGAGGCAGGGGAATGGCATGAACCCAGAGGGCGGAGCTTGCAGTGAGCCAAGGTTGCACCACTGCACTCCAGCCTGGGAGACAGAGCAAGACTCTGCCTCAAAAAAAAAAAAAAAAGGAATTGATGTTAATTTTTCTTCAACCGTTTGGTAGAATTCTCCAGTGAAACCATCTGGACCTGGAGCTTTCCTTTCTGGAAATTTTAAAATTAGGAATCCAATTATTTTATAGTTACAGAGCTACTCAGATGACCTATTTTGCTTTAGGTAAGTTGTGGTAGTTGATACTTAAGATGAATTTGTCCAATTCATCTGGGTTGTCAAATATATGTCAAATATTATTGATCTTTTCAAAGAGACAGCTTTATTTTCACTAGTTTCCCCTTTTGTTGTTTTTTGTTTTCAATGCCATTGATTTCTGCTGTTATCTTTATTATTTCCTTCCATTTGCTTTAGGTTTTTTTTTTTTTTTTTTTTTTTTTTTTGTAGATTCAGTCTCATTCCCATGGCGCAGGCCGGAGTGCAGTGGTGCGATCTCAGCTCACTGCAACCTCCACCTCCCGGGTTCAAGCGATTCTCCTTCCTCAGCCTCCAGAATAGCTGGGATTACAGGCGGGTGCTACCACGCCCAGCTAATTTTTTTGTATTTTTAGTAGAGACGGGGTTTTGCCTTGTTGGCCAGGCTCGTTTCGAACTCCTCACCTCAGGTGATCCACCCACCTTGGCCTCCCAAAGTGCTTGTATTACCAGCGTGAGCCACCGTGCCTGGCCTGCTTTAGGTTTCTTTTACTTGCCTATTTCTTGTTTCTTGAGGGGGGAGCTTAAGTGTATTCATTTGAGACGTCCCCTCTTTTTTTTTTTTATCCCTTTTTAAAACTTTTCTATACAATTATTATTGTAGGAAGTTAGGCTTGGGCCCGCAAACTATGGAAGGACAGAATATACTAGGCCGCTGCTTTAATAGCTGGTGCCTGCTTGTCGCCCACCCCCACTCCCCCACCTTAGTTGCCTATTTCTTGGTATTTCCTAATCTTGTTGAAAAAGAAGAAGTTTTTCTTTTTCTCAAAGGCTTCAGTGGAAGCCCATCTGCAAAATCTGTTATTAATTTAAATTAGAAAATAACTACAAGTGCCATTGACATGCTGGTTATTGTTTTTTCGAGTGACCTAAGGTCACCTCTCAGGGGAGCTGGGGGTTGCCTTCCGATGTCTGCGCGTCTGCACCGCATGCCGGGGCCTGGAAGTCAGACTCGGGGGCGGTGCTGCAGCGCCAGCCTGCACTCCTAAGCCCGGGGTCGCTCCGGGCCCCCGAGGGGGTGTGTCTTCTGCCCCTTTAACCTGGCAGGGGCGGTTCAAGTGGCCCTGGAAATCAGCGATTTGCAGGGTCAAGTGCTGGTGCCTTGAAAGAGAGGCGGAGCGGAGAGAGGGATTTCCCGGTCTCTGCTGCTCTCCGTCCATCCGCTCCCTTAATCCTTTTCTTGGCCCGCGCGAACCCGCTGTGCGGCAGAGGCGGCCAGGTACCTTTAAGGCCCCGCTGCGCCTGCGCCTGCGCCTGCGCCTTGGGCTCTCTTGACGCGCCCGGCGAGACCCTGAGGATCCAGCTGGCCGCAGGCTATGGGCTGGGCGGCGGTTGAGACAGCGGCGATATTGGGAGGGGTAGGTGAGGGTCGCGAGGCTGCGTGAGCTTCTGAGTGAACGCGGTGCTTTTGGGAACGCGGGACGGGCGACCTGTGGCGCCAGGAGCGGGCCGAGGCGCGGCGGCGCGGCTGCCGTCTGGATGGGAAGTTACGGTTTACAGCGAAGTCCACCCAGCGTTTCCGAGGTGAAGGCGCCGCGCCAGGCCGGGCGGGCGGTGAGTCCGGGACCCGCGGGTACACAGCTGGGTCGAGCTGCGGCTGTCGCAAGCTTTGTTGCGAGCGACGGAGGGCGAGGCGGGGTGGGGGGTTGGGGGGGGCGTGTGTTCCGGCCCCGCCGGGGCTTAAGTTCCATGCGTTGGATTCCTCACTTGCCGCTGCCGCCCGCAGCCCTCATCTCTTGGGCGCTGGGGAAGAAACTCGCTGGCGGGTGTTCTGTGGCATCCCAGGGGGTGGAGGGACGAGCAGCTTCGGGGGCACGTCCTCGTGTATCCTGTGGAGGACCCTGACCCCGCACCCCACCCTCGAGGCCAGACATCGGTTGCCTCTGGGGACCTGAGAGGCGAGACCACTCGCGCCCCTGGGTTGCAAAGTTGGGGTCTTTATTGGCCTCCGGGATTCTGCTCCTGGCGGTTTCTCCAGGCTGGTGATGGGCAAGCCGGGTGTACCAAGTCCATGATGCACATGAGGAGCATTTGTAGCCATCACTGAATCACCTCATGACTAGCGGGACAAGCCTCAAATTCACCGCAGGATTTCCGGTAGGTTGGATTGTGGGGTTGGTGTTTGCACTCCAAAGAGGTGCTGTGATTTCCCTGTGTCTGTCTGTCTTTCTGGCTTGTTAGATCTTCTCATTTGGCGTCCTTTCTCCGAAGAGTTAACCAAGACGTTTGGCATGGTTTCCTTGCTTTCCTCCTATCTTTTGCTGCTAGAGCTGCTTTCGAAAAGAAGTCTTTTCTTGCAGTGATACCTTTTCTTTGGGTTACAGTGTTGTTCATCCTTTCTTTGCCGAAAGAATGAATCCCAGTGCTTCACGAAGTTAAAGAAAAGATCTGCTGGTAGTGTTTAGTTTTTGTTCTGAGCTGATATGTGTTAGTAGCTTTTTGTTTTTAAATTTTATTAGTAAAATTTCACCAGTGAACCAGAAGCTCTTTTTTTCTATTGTGAAATGCTAGCTTTAAGATTTCTGAGAACTTTGTGTCAAAGAAATCTTTGAAAAGTTACTGAAGTATACAGAGAGGTTCACAATTTTAAATGTGCAGGTGGTCCGGGCGCGGTAGATCACACCTGTAATCCCAGCACTTTGGGACGCCAAGGTGGGCGGATCACTTGAGCCCAGGATTTCCAGACCAGCCTGGGCAACGTGCCAAAACCCTATCTCTACTAAAATTACAAAAGTTAGCTGTGTGTGGTGGTGTGTGCCTGTAGTCCCAGCTACCTGGTAGGCTGAGGTGGGAGGATCACCAGAGCCCAGGAGGTTGAGATTGCAGTGAGCCGTGATCATGGCAGTGCACTCCCGCCTGGGTGGCAGAGTGAGACCCTGTCTCCAAAAAAAAAAAAAAAAAGTACAGGTAATGAATTTTTACCAAGTGAACCACCACAGATCAAGAAATAGAGCATTACTAGACTGGGGTATATTTGTAGGAGTGGCATTGTTGGTTTTAGAGGTATATGAATGATAAAACTTAGTATTACATATTGTTGAATGTTTTCCCAAAGTGATTGTACCATTTAGCAGGGATATTCTGGTTACCCCACATCCTTGCTGATGCCTGTCAGTTAAAAATTATTTTGCCATTCTAGTAGGGGTGCAGTAATGTATCAGTGTGATTTCATTTTGCATTTTCCTGGTATTGAGATTGAGTATCTTTTATTGTCATTTGTGTGTCCTCTTTTGTGAAGTGCCTGTTAAATCTTTTTATCCAGTTTTCATTGATATGTTTGTTTTTCTGTTGATTTGTAATACTTTTTTCCGGATATGTGTCCTTTCTACGATATATATGTATTGCATTTCCCTTTTTTCAATCTGTAGCTTGCCTTTTCGCTCTTTTAATGGTGCTTATTCATGAATGGAGATTCTCTAACTTTTTTTTTTCTTTTTGAGACAAGATCTCACTCTGTTGCCCAGGCTGGAGTGCAGTGGCACAATCACAGCTGACCGCAACCTTGACCTCCCAAGGCTCAGGTGATCCTCCTGCCTCAGCCCCCAGGTAGCTGGGACCTACAGGTGAGCACCACCACACTCAGCTCTTTTCTGTATTTTTAGTAGAGATGGGGTTTTGCCACATTGCATAGGCTGGTCTGGAATTCCTAGGCTCAGGTGAGACATCTGCCTCGGCCTCCCAAAGTGTTGGGATTACAGGCATGAGCCACTGCACCCAGCCTGAGATTCTTAATTTTAATGAAATTATACTTTATCAATCTTTTCCTTTATGGTTACTGCTTTTTGTGTCCTGTTTAAGAAATCAATGCCTAACCTAGGAGTATGAACACATTTTTCTGTGTTAACCTTATAGCAATTTTATTTTAGTTTTTGCATTTCTTTTTTTTTTTCAGACAGGGCCTCACTCTATTGCCCAGGCTAGAGTGCCGTGGCAGGATCTCAGCTCACTGCAACCTCCACCTCCTGGCTCAAGCGATCCTCCCACCTCAGCCTCCTGAGTAGCTGCGACTATAGGAGTGTGCCACCATGCCTGGCTTAATTTTCATATTTTTTGTAGAGATGGGATTCAACATGTTTCCCAGGTTGGTCTCAAACTCTTGGGCTCAAGTAATCTTCCCACTTAAGCCTCCCAGAGTGTGGGGATTACAGGCATGAGCCACCCCACCCGGCTATGATTCACTTTTTACTACGTGGATGTGTCTGCTTGATCCAGCACCATTTATTGAAAAGACTATTCTTTTCCTTCTGCACTGTTTGGCACTTTTTTTCTTAAATCGGATGACTGCATGGTCATCCAATTTATGAAATTAGTGTGGGTCTGTTTCTGTTTCTGGACCAACCTGGGCAATATAGTGAGATCCCATCTCTACAAAAAATAAAAATAATAAATAAATGAGTAAAATTTAAAAAATAAGTGCATAGAGCAGATGGAGTCATAGGTGATAATTTATAAATGATTGTCAGTTTCTTGGCTACATACGGGTGTTGGTAATTCAGATGTGTTGGGCATTCAGGGAAAATGTATTAAGGGAAGTATGTGGTGTTCACAGTGATTGCTAGATGTTCATTGTGACTTGAATTAGATGTTATTTGAGCCTCACAGAGCTACAGTTTTGACTCTTTATTTATTTATCTTTTTACAGTTTTTACAATCTTCCTGTCAAGGCAGTAACTCTTTTATACTTCATTGTTCTTAGGTATACTTAATTACCAGGAAAACTTTATGGATCGTACCTAAATAAGCGTTAAGCCATTTAAAGGGCCGACGTGATATGATGTAAACAATAGTATTCTACATAATAGTTTTAGGACTACATCGAACCATTTTTTTTTTTTTCTTGAGACAGTGTCTCGCTCTGTTTCCCAGGCTGGAGTGGAGTGGTATGATCATGGGTCTCTGCAGCCTTGACCTCTCAGGCTCAAGCAGTCTGCCCACCTCAGCTTCCTTAGTAGCTGGGTCTACAGGCATGCACCACTATGCCCGGCTAATTTTCTATTTTTTGTAGACAGGGTTTTCCTGTAGTGCCCAGACTGGTTTCAAACTCCTGGGCTCAAATGATCCTCCCACCTTGGCATCTCAAAGTGTTGGGATTACAGGCATAAGCCATCACCGCTGGCCATTTTAGTTTTAATAATTTTTATGTTTTTCTAATTTAAAAGATTTGCTAAAATCTCTTACAGCTATTATTTATGAATATAGTATTCATTGTTGTTATTATGATTATTTTGTATGTGTTCAATCTCATTTTCAACATAAGCTCCTGGAAATTTGAGATTTTGTCTCTTATTCACCACTGTATTCTCAGTACTTGACCTTGCCTGGCATGAAACAGATATTGAATAAATATTTGTTAAATGAATGAATGAATGAACATACTAATACCATATTCAACAATCTCCAAGTGTCACAGTTTTCACCATGTAACAAATAAAATAGCTTGTATACAGCAGAGTCACAGTCAACCTGACATAAAAGGAAATGTCAATGAAAAATAAACCTTTGTATGTGTTGCTGCTAAGATTTTGGGGCTTTTGTTACTGTAGCATAACCTAGCGAAAGCTCAGCGAGACAGCCTGTAGAATATACGTGTACAGATAGACCAGATAGACCAGTAGATGCGATTCCAAAGAAGCATTAACTACACCCACACACTCTTAATTCCCTAACAGAAAGAATCGAATTCTTGTTCACTAAGATCTGCCTCAAGTATTACTTGGTGAAAACTTCCCTGGCTACTCAAGTATTTAGTCAGGACTCTTTATTTTTTTTTCCCCCAGGCTGGAGTTCAGTGGTGCCATCATAGCTCACTAACCTCTAATTCAAGGCTCAAGGAATCCTCCTGCCTCAACCTTCCGAGTAGCTGAGACTACAAGTGTGTGCCACCATGCTGGGCCAATTTTTCATTTTTTATTTTCAGAGATGGGGTCTTACTATGTTGCCGAGGCTGGTGAGGACTGTTGATTACATATGACAGGAACCCAAACAATTCTAGTTCCCCACCACCTTTCAACCTGCTCCTCCCTGGGTCTTCCCAGTCTCCGTAAACGGCAGCTCCATCCTTCAAGTTGCCGAAGCCCCAAATCTCAATATTAACCATGATTTCTCTCTTTTATCTCATAGGCAATCTGAAAGCAAATCCTGTTTAGATGCAGGCGAAGGTTCCTGGTGACCCAGGCTCTCACCTTACCGTCCCTTACCGTCCTCCTGAGGGTGTCCTGGAGCTTCAGTGCTGTGTGTTCTTGGCCTCCACGCTGGGGGTGCCACCAACTCCCACTGTCCAGGGCTTCCAGTGGACTCTCCGAGGTACTGATGTAGAAACTTCCCCATTCGGTGCACCAAGAGCAACCTCACACGGTGTGGGCCGAATGAAGAGCTGCCAGATCCCACAGGTAAAAACCCTGAGGCATTGCCAGCTCGATGGAGTCAGAGAGTCCTTTTTCTATTATGACTCAGATGTGAAGGGAAGATGCCAAGGGCCCTAAACATCGCAGGGCCTTACCTGGCATGAAACAGATACTGAATTAATATTTGTTAAGTGAATGAACAAATATTCACAGCGTGTGCCACCCTCGACCTGCAGTGCCGTTGTCAGGTGGAAGTGATTTTACTTCAGGAGAGGACAGTGTTCTCTCCAGGACTTTTCCTTAGTAGCTAGATCTGCATCCCACTCCTTGCTCTTCCCCTCTTACCCCCCATTCTCTGCCCCCATTTCCGTCTCTTGTTTCCACCCTGCCGTCCCCTTTCACCTGCTTTCTCCTCTTCAGCTTTCATGGCTCACCCCCTCCCTGTCCACCCGCATCCCCCAGGCTAAGGCCCTGCACTGTCCTGGGTGGGGAGATGTGTGTGGTTTTAGGCAGTGCCCTCTAGATGTGTCCAGGATGGGGAAACATGGCTCAGTTGCCAGTATAATGGGTTAAAAGAGAGGCCACTTTTGAAGGCCGTTCCCATCTCCCATTCCAGAATCCTGTAGGACTTAGAATTTATGGGCCACAGTGGAATTCTTGGTTCCCCAGGACCTTGTGGTGGACGCCTTCTTTCACTGAGCATTCATGGGGTGACTATTAGGTACCATGCCCTGCTCTGGGCTAGAGACCCCATAATGAGTAAATCTCAGGTCACTACCCCATGGAACCCACCACTGCAGGCATTGAGAGGGGGAGAAAGAAAGGGGCATGGCCTGTTTGTATCCTTCTCACGTGGCCGTCCACCAGGTCCTGGGGGAGTGGGAGCCAGTGCGAGGAGGGAAGTCCAGTGAGAATGACAAATGGACGATGTCAGACCCAGGGGCTGAGGCCCCCACCTGCAGCTGGGCAGCTTCTGGAGTGGACAAGGAGCAGCAGGAAAGGTTGCGGCCTGGTGTTCTGGGATCCACTGTCTCATCTCATTCTTTTGGGCACCAGAACTTATCCAAAGACAAGACTCAGTGTCTCTGGCAACAGTGGGCCAGAGGAATTATGTGTTTCAGAGGAGGAAGAAGGGGTTGTACCCCATGGAAACAGTATATAGTTTTACAGTAGTGCGTCTGTCTCCAATAACTAGTTAGCGTGTTCCTGTTAATGGAAAATACTGGTGGTGTAAGTTCCCCTGGATGTTCTCATCTTCATGTAAATTTGTTCATTTCCTTCCTTCCTTCCCTACTTCTCTCCTTCCCTACTTCTCTCCCACTCTTTTTCTCTCTCTCTTTATTCTTTCCCTCCCTCCTTCCCTTCCACCCTCCCTCCCTTCCTTCCTTCCTTCCTTCCTCCCTTCCTCCCTGCCTCCCTCCCTCCCTCCCTCCCTTCCTTCCTTCCTTCCTCCCTCCCTTCCTCCTTCCTTCCCTCCCTCCATTCTTTCCTTTCTTCCTTTCTTCTTTTCTTTTTCTTTGTCTCTCATGCTCTCTCTTTTTCTTTCCTTTTTGTTCTACTTTTTTAAATAGACCACACTGCACTGAAATCTACATTACTTACCAAAACCTCTGGAGCTGCTTCTGTCTTGTAGGCAGGGAGCTCGTCCTGTAGCCCTTAGGTCCTCCCAGCCTCCTCCTCCTCTGATTTGTGGGTGCCACTGGGGCAGCTGCTGAGTCTCAGTGGTTCCTAGTCATCACCAAGTTCTGCCCACCTAGATGGTTTGCACCTGTCCTTACCAGAACCCTGCACTGTCTAGATGACTGAGGCTGCTTCTGCCTAACTGATCTGCTATCTGTGTTCCGGGGGCACCCCAGGGTTAGAGGTAAATGGCACAGGCATTGAAATCTCCAACTGCTCTGACTCCAGGTTGGTGCACTTCAATGCCAAGTACTAACCACACAATAACAGGATGCCACCAAAACCTTGGTATGGGGCTGCTGCATCCTAATTAAAAAAAAGTAATAGATGTTATTTTTTAGAACAGTTCTAGGTTTACAGAAAAATGGAGTGGATAGTACAGAGAGTTCTCCTAGGCTCCCCTGTCCTCCAGCACACAGTTTCCCCTATTAGTATGTTGTATTAGTGTGGTCCATTCGTTACAATTGATGAACCACTATTGATACATCATTATCAACTAAAGTCCATAGTTTACACTAGAGTTCATTCTTTGAGTTTCACAGATTATGGGTTTTGGCAATTATGTAATGTCCTAAATCCCCAATACAGCATCATGCAAAATAGTTTCACTGCTGAAAATTCCCTGTACTTCACCATTTCGTGCCTCCTCCTCTCCTCCACCCCTGACAACCACTCATCATTTTACTACTTCTATCTTTTTGACTTTCCAAGAATGTCCTAGAGTTGGAATTACAGTATGTAGGTTTCCAGACTGGCTTCTTTCTAGCATTATGTACTTTAAGTTCCTCCACGTCTTTTCATGACTTGACAGCTTGTTTTGTAAAATCACTGAATCAGATTTCATTGTATGGCTACAACACAGTTTGTTTATTCATTCACTTGGTGAAAGACGTCTTGGGTACTTCCAAGTTTTGACAATTATGATAAAATTGCTGCAAGTACTTATGTGCAGGATTTTGAATGAACTTAAGTTGTCCAAAGTGACTGTACACTTTTGATTTCCACTAGCTATGGAGAGTTCTGGTTGTTCCTCATCTTTGACAGCATTTGGTGTGTTCACCGTTTTGTGTTTTAGCCATTCTGATAGGTTTACAGTGATATCTCGTTGTTTTAATGTGCAATTCCCTCACAACAAATGATTTTGAGCATCTTTCTCATATGCTTATTTGCCATCTGTATATCTTATTAATGAGGTGTTGAGATCTTTCACCTTT
This sequence comes from Homo sapiens, assembly GCF_000001405.40. Lineage (NCBI taxonomy): Eukaryota > Metazoa > Chordata > Mammalia > Primates > Hominidae > Homo > Homo sapiens. The sequence continues at coordinate 145,417,638 of NC_000001.11, read as the reverse complement.
TTTTTTTTTTTTTTTTTGCTTTGTGTTGTTTAGTTCTCAGAATTCTTCATATATTTTGGCAGCAGTTTTTCCATCAGATTATTTTGTAAATATTTTCTCCCAGTCTGTGACTTGCTTTTTCCATTCTCTTAACAGTGTCTTTCACACAACAGAAGTTTTTAATTTTAATGAGGCTCAACTTAATTTTTTTTTCATTAGTAGATTGTGCTTTTGGTTTTGTATCTAAGAAGCCATCATTGAACCCAGGATCCCTCAGATTTTCTCCTATTTTATCTCTTAGGATTCTTATGGTTTTGCACCTTACATTTACGTGTAAGATTTATTTTATAAAGGGTATATAACATGCATACCTGGATTTATTTATTTTTTTTGCATGTGGTTGTCCAGCTGTTCTAGCACCACTAGTTGGAAAGGCTATCTTTGCTGTTTTAAATTGTCTCTAAACCTCCATGGAAGATCAGTGGACTGTATGTAGGCCTGCTTCTGGGCTCCGTATTCTTTTCCATGCATCTATATGTGTGTGTTTTCTCTTTTCACCAACTTCACACTATTTGGGTTACTGTAGCTTAATGTAAGTCCTGAAGTTGGTAGTGCCAAACCTCAGGGAGTTTTTCTGAACTTCATCATGAGAACCTGGTTGAGATCATTGTAGTAACACTTGGAAATGTGTGAGATTCCCCCTTAGTCTGGTCTTCAAGGAGTTTTTAATGTTCTAGCCAGGCTACCCTCAGCTTCTAGTAATCTGTCAATACCATTTAAGTGCTCCTCCCACTTGCTGTCCCCAGTAGCTTCTCTTCCCTGTGAGCTGTGACTCCTTGTGTGTTAGCCTGTGTTTCTCATTTTTAAGGTGGCAGTTTTCCCTGTGACCTCAATTCTCTGATCCACCCTAGAAGGGTTGACTTTCAGTTTGTTCAGCCTTTTTCTAGCTGTGAGGACAAGTGATGACTGCCTAGCTCTTTCCATGTTGAAATAGAAACCCAAAAGTTTGTTTAAAGAATTACTTGTTATAAAAGTCCCCCATTGTTAATGTACAACTCAATGATGTAAGTTGATTTATCGAATTGTGCAGCCATCAGCAGAGTTCTACTTCAGCATATTTTGTCACTTCCCAAATTCCCTTGAACCTGTTTGTAGTCATTTCCTAATCCCTGGTCCCCATGACTGGGTCTGAATAGAATAAACATTTGGAAAGCAGATTTCATTATATTTACATTTTCCTGTGTTTGGGACTTTATATAGTGGACTATTGTGTTCGTTTTGTGACAAGTAGAGAAGAGATTGCATTCTAGGGATGGTTTTTGGGGAAACATAATAGTAGTCCTGTTTATGGCTCTCCTTGAATTGGTTCATCTGTGCTGGTGACTGGTATTTGTTACCAAACCTTGTCTGGTGAGCACAAGAAAAGGAATTTTTTAAAATCTGCTATTAAAATTGAGATGATACATTTTCACATAATAATATTTGGAGTTAAGTAGTGAACCGTCTTTATTTTATCTTTTTTTTTTTGGAGATGGAGTTATTTCTCTTTTCCTTGGGCTCAAATGCAACGGCGCCATCTCAGCTCACTGCAACCTCCACCTCCTGAGTTCAAGTGATTCTCCTGCCTCAGCCTCCTGAATAGCTGGGATTACAGGCGCCTGCCACCGCACCTGGCTAATGTTTGTATTTTTGGTAGAGACAGGGTTTCTTCATGTTGGCCAGGTTGGTCTCTAACTCTTGACCTCAAGTGATCCACCTGCCTTGGCCTCTCAAAGTGCTAGGATTACAGACACGAGCCACGGCCTGACCTGAACTGTGGGGAAAAGAAAGAGAGATCAGATTGTTACTGTGTCTGTGTAGGAAGAAGTAGACATAAGAGACTCCATTTTGTTCTGTACTAAGAAAAATTGTTTTGCCTTGAGACGCTGTTAATCTGTAACCCTACCCCCAACCCTGTGCTCCCTAAGACATGGGCTGTGTCAACTCAGGGTTAAATGGATTAAGGGCTGTTCAGGGTGTGCTTTGTTAAACAAATGCTTGAAGGCAGCATGCTTGTTAAGAGTCATCACCACTCCCTAATCTCAAGTACCCAGAGGCACACTACACTGCGGAAGACTGCAGGGTCCTCTGCCTAGGAAAGCCAGGTATTGTCCAAGGTTTCTCCCCATGTGATAGTCTGAAATACAGCCTCGTGGGAAGGGAAAGACCTGACTGTCCCCCAGCCCGACACCCGTAAAGGGTCTGTGCTGAGGAGGATTAGTAAAAGAGGAAGGAAGGCCTCTTTGCAGTTGAGATAAGAGGAAGGCATCTGTCTCCGGCTCGTCCCTGGGCAATGGAATGTCTCGGTGTAAAGCCCGATTGTATATTCCATCTACTGAGATAGGAGAAAACCGCCTTAGGACTGGAGGTGGGACATGCTGGCAGCAATACTGCTCTTTAAGGCATTGAGATGTTTCTGTATATGCACATCAAAAGCACAGCACTTTTTTCTTTACCTTGTTTATGATGCAGAGACATTTGTTCACGTGTTTACCTGCTGATCTTCTCTCCACTATTATCCTATTGTCCTGCCACATCCCCCTCTCCGGAAATGCCCGATAATGATCAATAAATACTAAGGGAACTCAGAGGCCAGTGCCGGCATGGGTCCTCCGTATGCTGAACGCCGGTCCCCTGGGCCCATTTTTCTTCCTCTGTACTTTGTCTCTGTGTCTCTTTCTTTTCCAAGTCTCTCCTTCCACCTAATGAGAAACGCCCACAGGTGTGGAGGGGCAACCCATCCCTTCACTGAACCATTTTTATTCTTCCAGAAATGTGATTGATAACAGTAAAGCCACACTCCTCAAGTGCCTGAAATACCCCTCATTGTCTTCTTCAGGTGGCAAGGGCTCTGGAACAGCCACATAAAGGTGAGGGCAATATTTTTACTGTAGTTCTTTCATTGATTGGTTGATTGATTTTTTTCTCTTAGAGGGTTAGCATACATTTATCTGAAATTGAAATTCAAGAGGAGAGACAGGCACCTGTACTAGTTTTCTCTTGCTGCCTATTATCACATTACCACAAACCAGTGGTTTGAAACCACAGAAGTCTGGAATGAAGTGGCCGGGTTCTCTGATCAGAGTCATGTGAGGCTAAAATCCGGGAATGGGCTGGCTGTGTTTTTTTCCTAGAGCTCAAGCTATTTTTCCAGGTTCACTACAGATAATGAAAGAGTTCCTATTCTTGTTTGTGGGGGACTGAGGGCCCTTTTTCTGTGCTGGCTGTCAGCGGGGAGACAGTCTACTCTGACTCCAGAGGCCACATGCTTTCCTCCTTACCTGTCTGTTTCATCTTTCAACCAATAACAACTCATGGAGTCCTTCTCAAGCTCCCACCTTCTCTGACTTCATCTTCTCCAACCAGCCACACAAAGCTCTGTCATGTATGGAGTGATGTGATTAGATCCAGTTCATGCGGTAACCTCACCATCTTAAAGTCATATAACTGGCATATAACAACATAGTCACAGGAATGGTGTCTCATCACCTTAAGAGGCTTTAGAGACAAGGGTGTGGCATGTTTGGGGACCATTTCAGAAATTCCATCTACCACAGTAGGACACTCACATTCCCCCATCTGCAAAGTGCATTTACCCTCTCCCCTGAGGTTTCCAGATTTCATGTCATTAAAGCATTAGTTCAACATGAAAAATGTCATGTAGACCACATCAGATCAAAAGTTTAAAATCCCATCTAAAACATCCACACCAGGTGTGAATGAGGCTTCCGAGAGTGTCCATTAAGTGCAGATCCTTGACATAATTCCCTTACCTCTGTCGACCTGTGAAACTGAACAAACAGCTTATCTGCCCCTAATGTGAAATGATGGGACAGACATAGAATAACCACTACAGTGATTCTAGTTCAAAATGAGGGAACATGGAGGGGATAAAGAAGTCAATAACCCAAAATAGTTTGGAAATGGAGCTGGGCAAAATCCAGCAGGAGTTTCTTAGTTAGGATCCACAGCCTGGGACTGACCCTCTGTCCTGTGGGTCTTTGCCTCTGGGCTCTCTGCTCTGCATTTCTTGAAACCATTATTATTTATCATTTTTCTCACACTCTTTTGCGTATGGCTCCTATTGCACTCAAAATGTTTTTGAGATTCATCCATCTTGTTTTGTGTGTCAAAAGTTTGTTCCTTTAGCCGTTCCATGGAATGAATGTATCACAGTTTATTGATCCATTCTTGTATTGATAGATATTTGAATGTTTCCAGTTTTTCCTATTATGAATAAAACTGCTATGAACATTCTTGTATAAATCATTTTCTGGACATATGTTTTAATTTCTCTTGGATAAATGCTTAGGAATTAGTGAGTCATAGAATAGGTAGTTGTTTAGTTCTGTAAGAATATGCCAGACATTTTTTCCCAAAGTGTTTATACTATTGTACATTCCAACCATTAATGTATGAAGGTGAGAAAGCTTTTGCTACTTCCAAAGAGGCTTCTCTATATACATGTAATTTTTTCTAACTGGAGACAGGCTGATGACTTCAGGGACATGAGCATGGGATACCTGTCATCACCACCACCATAAAGTTGGGATTCAGGAAGGAGGTTAATCATATAAAGAATCCTGTGACCAGTATGAGCTTCTCTCAGGCCACACAGGGCACTCAAGTGAACAGGGCATGGGGGCCCTGGGGTCATGGTAAGAAAGTGTCTCATTGGTAAAACCTTTTCCTCTGGGGAGGTAAATAAATGATTTGTTTCTTCTTGGTAGCCCTTGAAGATAAGGATGGTCAAACAAAATAATATCATACCTGGAGAAACTCAGATCTTGGTAAGATTTACTGGTTGGGAATCCAAAGTTAATGCCAAGAAGCAGCCGCCAGTTGGGATCAAATGTGAGCCTATGGATCAAGGTGCGTACTCAAACACAGAGAGCTTTGTGAAAGATGCTACCAGTAGTTTTTCCAGGGCAGAGATGGGTCCTTTATTTTTCTCTCTAATCTAGCCCATATGCTTAGCTGAGTTTTCTTCGTATCACTTTAAATGATGATGTCCCTTGTTCAACAATTTTCTAAACATTCTTTAGATAATAATTTTATGGGCATTCTTTACTGCATTAGGCTTAAATTTAATGCATCTTAAGGTTTTATTGCAAAATATTGCCTTGTTTCCTTTTTAAGATGATACAGTTTATAATATGCAAATTTGTTGTGTCCCCTCCCTTTATGTACATAGAAAATGAGCAAACAGGTGGCCATGAAACAGATGGTCATAGAATTGGTTCAGTGGTTGTGAGTGCAGCAACCCAAGGGTGTCTTAATCTGAAATACCACCAGGAATGTCTGGACACAGTAGACAAAGGTTTTTCAACTGGACGCCTTAGGATACATGCTTCCAAAAACAAAGTAGCCGAAAAGAAACCAGAGTCACAGAATATCAGAGCCAGAGGAACATTTGGAGGTAATTCAGTACCTCCTCCTTTTCAACCTACAGGGGAGATAGTGGAAGAGAAGCAGGGATGGGTCTGCCTTCTGTGCCCACAATTCATTGGAGATTGTTGTGGTGAAGAATTTCTTTTATGATGAAGGAGAAATAAACTCCCATCAGCTTTAATTCAGGCAGGTTTATTGAAAAGGTGAAGAAGCATCTTGCAGAAGCAAAGCATGGCTGAGGCTTGTGGGCTCTGTCTGGACAAATGAGCAGCCGACAGTGGCTGATGCTGCCCCTGACTCTGGGGCCGTGCGGTCTGTGGTTCTCTGTGAGCATCTCTTCTATTCTCTTGCACCTTCCCTCAGCCTGGCAGTCTCTGTGTACTCTTCAACCCATAATTGAGCGAGGCTGTACCAGCCCCAATGCCATGTAGCACTTTATGTCAAATTAGAAAGGCATGAGCATTTGGAAAATGAAATAAGAATACAATTTCATTTAAAGTAACATCTAAATACATGTTGTGTTTATAAATAAATTCAACAGACTGGGCACCGTGGCTCACACCTGTAATCTCAGCACTTTGGGAGGCCGAGGTGGGCAGATCATGAGGTCAGGAGATGGAGACCATCATGCCTAACACAGTGAAACCCCATCTCTACTAAAAATACAAAAAATTAGCTAGGCATGGTGGCATGTGCCTGTAGTCCAGCTACTTGGGAGGCTGAGGCAGGAGGATCACTTGAACCTGGGAGGCAGAGGTTACAGTGAGCCGAGATCGCATCACTGCACTCCAGCCTGGGTAACAGAGCAAGACTCTGTCTCAAAAAAAAAAAAAAAAAAAAAAGGAAAGTCAACAAAATTTATGTAAGGCCAGTAGGCCAGTACACCAAAAACTACAAAAAATTGCTTTGAGAAATTATGAAAGAACTAAATTAGTGGGGAGATAAACCTTGTCATGGATCAGAAGAGTTGTTATGTTTAAAAAGTCAGTTCTTCGTAAATTGATCTCCAGATCCAATGCAATTCTAATAAAAATTCCAACCGGCATTTTGGTAGAAATTTACAAGCTGATTCTACCATTTATATGGTAATGTCAATGATCAAGAATAATAAAATAGCAATATTATAAAAGAATAATGGTGAATGAATTCACTACCTATTTCCAGAATTACTCTACAGCTATGAAAATCAAGATTATGTGTTTTGTTGAAAAAAAAATGGAATATATATCAGTGGAAGAGAAGAGAGAATCCAGAAATAGATACTCACATGTATGTCTAATTGATTCTTAGGACATATATATATGTATACACACACACACACACAAACGTGTGTGTGTGTGTGTATACATATATATATTCACCGTTTTGAAGATTATTATCTCCAAATAGGGAATATATATATATATATATATACGTATATATATACATATACGTATATATATGTGTGTGTATATATATATATACGTATATATATATATGTATATATATATACACAGACAGGCACACACACACACACACACACACACACATATATATATATTGCAGTCTGATAAGATAAACAGCACATTGAAACAATTTCTCAAAAGACTTAGATACTTCAGAAAAGAAGATACATGGGGCCGGGCGCGGTGGCTCACGCCTGTAATCCCAGCACTTTGGGAGGCCGAGGCGGGCGGATCACGAGGTCAGGAGATCGAGACCATCCCGGCTAAAACGGTGAAACCCCGTCTCTACTAAAACTACAAAAAATAGCCGGGCGTAGTGGCGGGCGCCTGTAGTCCTAGCTACTTGGGAGGCTGAGGCAGGAGAATGGCGTGAACCCGGGAGGCGGAGCTTGCAGTGAGCCGAGATCCCGCCACTGCACTCCAGCCTGGGCGACAGAGCGAGACTCCGTCTCAAAAAAAAAAAAAAAGAAGATACATGAATGGTCAATTAGCATAGGAAAAGATGCTCCACTGTTTAGTCATCAGGGAGATCAATCAGTGCAACAATGAGATACCAGTACATATCCATAAGAATGGCTAAAATTAAAAAGGCTGAAAATAGCACCTGTTGGTGAGGATATAAAGCACTTGGAAGTCTTATACTTGTAGGAATGAAAAATGGTATGGCTCCTTTGAAAATCTAACAGTTTCTTAAAGGTTAAACGTAACACAAATCAGATAGACAGTCATTCCATTCCTAGGAATTTACACACTGTGTCTGCACAATGATCTGTATGTGTGTTTCCAGACCAACCTGAGGGGCGGGATGCTGTTTCTCGTGGCTCCGTAACGAGACACAGATGAACTGGGGAGGAAGAGAGTTTTGACTTCTGCAACTGGTTACAGGGAAACGGCCTGGAAATTATCACCAGACCAACTCAAAATTGGAAAGTTTTCCTGAGCTAATGTACCTTCTAAGCTATATGTGTATGTGGAAGTGTGCATTCATCTAAATACATAAATGATTAACTTCTTTTAATCTATAAGTCTGAGTCCTGAAGACCTTCCTCTGGAACCTCAGTTAAATTCAGTTAATCTAAATGGGTCTAGGTGCTGGGGGCCCTTATCTTGTCTCCTGCTAAATCACAGAGGTTTGGAGAGTCCCTTCAGATCTCCAATAAACTTGTTTGTGGAGGCCTGGGGAGTTTCTTCAGACCCCCAATAAAACTCGTTTAATACTAAATGGCTCCTGTTAAGAATGCCTTCGTTATTTCGTCATGCTTTAAGGCCCAGGAAAAACCTAGGCAAAACTCTTGGTGGGCTTTTGTTACATTCCAGCCTTTGTATAAGGGCACTGGCTTCTTTTTTTTTTTTCCTCTTAATATTTAATTGAACCACTCAGTCGGTACTGAAACAGTTGTTAGGGAGGCCTGTGTTAGTGAGACCTGGCCTGCCACGTATGGATGCTCATGATAGTTTCTTCATAATAGCCCAAACGCGGAATGATAGAAATGTCCAATAATAAGTGAAAGTACAAACATACATGGTATAGCCACACGAAGGAATACTACTCAGTATTTACGAGACATTACAGATGGATTTTAAAATTACATTGATGCATGAAAGAAGGCAGACACAAAAGAACACAGGTATCATTTCATTTATAGAAAATGGTTAAAAATGCAAACGGACCTGAAGTGACAGTGGCTCCTTGGGGCTGAGGGTTGAAAGGCTGATGAACTGCAAAGGGGTACAAGAAACTTTGGGGCATAGGGAATTTCCTCTATCTTGGTTGTGGCAGTAGTTCCGTTAGTGTATCCATTTGTAAACGTGCATTGAATTACACATTTTAAAGTGGTGCAGTCTGTTGTACCGAAATTATGCCTTTATAAAGTTGATTTCATCATCTTAATTTCTCCATACTAGCAATTAGCAGCTAGAAAATGAAATTCAATAAAACATAATAGAGATTAATAACCAGAATCATTACATGCTTAACAATACATGCAATGAAGCAGGTACGAGGCCCCTAAAAGCAATTGGTGAGAAAAATTAAGGCTAAATAAATATATATCATGTTTATTGATTGGAAGACTCAATTTTGTTAGCATATTACATCAACACAATTCTGATTAATATTTCTAGTAGGAGATTTTAGAGAAATTTGAAAGCTAGTTTCAAAATGTATTTGAAAATCAAAGAACCTAGAATAAGCAAGTCGGTCTTGAAGAAGCAATAAGTTGGAGGACTTACTCTGCTAGATTTCAAACCTGATTTTAAAGCTACAGTAATTTTAAAACAGTAGTAATGGTGTAAGTATTCATAAATATATCAAAGTGAAAGAATACAGATTCAAACAATATGCCCACATATGTACAGTTATTCATTTTTTTTAGTAGAATCTTTTTTATTCATAAGAAATCCATCAAAACAAAAAAGTTTTCCAGCCACACACAGGAGGGGTATGGGTGGGGGAAGGTGTCTGTCCATCTATCCCTGGCCCCCAGCCCATGTGGTTTTGGCAGCAATAAGGTGTGTGGGGTAATGACTCCTGAAATTAAAATGGTGTGTGTATGTGAAGGAAAGGCAGGCAAAGCTGTGGGGAGCGGTGGAGTGGAAGGAACAAAGCAGGTCAGTACTGGGAACGCTGAAGGTGGGAGGCCATTTCATAACATTACTTGCTGATGAAATTGCCATGGATACCTTCTTTGCCCATCAGCAGGCCTAGCGTCTTGGCAGTCATGGTGACAATGACGTTGAAGGTGGGGGCTCCACCGATGCTCTTCATACGAAGATCCGTGGTCAATTCCCCATCCTGCAGCAGTGAGTCCAGGACCACAGTATATTTCTGGCCCCCCAGTGTCAGCCCATTCATGACAAAGCTTGACCAGTCTTTGCCAACCAGGACACCAACCTCAGCTGGCGTGATGTTGAGGAAGGTTTTCCCTGGGACGGCGGCCCAGATGGAAGGTGGGTCCTTGTTGCCCACAATGGCCGTGTCCTAACAGGTCCCGTCCGCCACGAGGCTGTAGATGGAGGTGTCCACCTGGCCGTTGCGTTGCTGCAGGGGCTCTTCTGGTCACTGCTGCTGGGGCCGCCTGGGCTGGCGGGTGGGGGAGGCGGAGAGCTCGATGCAGGTGCTGTCCTCCTCGCCACGACTCTGCTAGCTGTGCAGTAGCCCTCGCTCCGCCACTTAAAAAAGAAAAATATATATATATAATATATATATACACGTGTTATATATAGTATATTATGTATATACACGTATTATATATATACACGTATGTATATACACGTATATATATTATATATATTCATGTGTTTGTATATATATTATATATACGTGTATACACGTATATACATGTATACATGTATACGTGTATACATGTATATATGTGTATAATATATATACACGTGTATATATATTATATATATATACGTGTGCCATGTTGGTTTGCTGCACCCATTAACTCGTCATTTACATTAGGTATTTCTCCTAATGCTATCCCTCCCCCAGCCCTCACCCCATGACAGGCCCTGGTGTGTGATGTTCCCCGTCCTGTGTCCAAGTGTTCTCATTGTTCAGTTCCCACCCATGAGTGAGAACATGCTCGCACCGCCGCTTCTAAATGTTTTAAAAACAAAGACACCAATGCCCTTCATTGGGGAAATGAAAGACTTTTAAGTAAAACGATTTTGAGTGAAATAATATTTGTTGTTTTAAAAAGTTAATATTAACCACTCTCCATCATATGTTGAAATTATCTTAAGATGTGAAAGTTAAAATTAGAAACCTTGTAAAGGAAAAATAGGAAATAGTTTCATGAACTTGACACAGGAAAATATTTCTTAGACTAGATACTGTAGCACTCACCACAATAAGAAATCAAGCGAATTGCACTTCATTTTTAAAAAGCTTCTCCTTATTATGTTGTTGTTTAACAACTTAAACGCTATCTCTAGACCAGGAATAATTATTTGCTATATAATACAGCAAAAAATATGTATGTATAAATGGACTCATTCAAAATATATAAAGAACTCCTATTACAAAGAAATTGACAAACAGCCCAGTATATCAATGAATATAAAAATTTGAGAAGATATTTTCCATAAGAAGATATCTAAATGAACATTAGGCATGAGAAAACCAAATTTTATGATATCACTACACACCTGGCATAGTTTAAAAGACTGAAAATATTAAGTGTGTGGGAATGTAGAGCAACTGGAAATGGCCTACATCTTTCATAGAAATGTAAAGCAATACAAATACTTTGCAAAACTCTGTCCAACATTTTCTACCCATTCACCAAGCAACTCCATCCCTAGCTATAGATACCCAGGAAAATAAGTATGTATCTTCACAGAAATAATTGTATGAGAATATTCATAGTTACTTATGCACAGTAGTTATCAAGTAAACCTGTCTCCCATCAGAAAAATGGATATAAAATTGTGTGATAATCATACAATCAATAGGATATTACTTGGCCAAAACAAAATGAAACAAGGGAAAAACACAATCAAACAAATTAGTGGCATATATACCCACCTGAGTAAAGAGAAGTCGGCCGGGCGCGGTGGCTCACGCCTGTAATCCCAGTACTTTGGGAGGCCGAGGCGGCAGATCACGAGGTCAGGAGATCGAGACCATCGTGGCTAACACAGTGAAACCCCGTCTCTACTAAAAATACAAAAAAAAAAAAAAAAAAAAAAATTAGCCGGGCGTGGTGGCGGGTGCCTGTATTCCCAGCTACTTGGGAGTCTGAGGCAGGAGAATAGCGTGAACCTGGGAGGCAGAGCTTGCAGTGAGCCTAGATCGCGTCACTGCACTCCAGCCTGGGCGACAGAGTGAGACTCTGTCTCCAAAAAAAAAAAAAGAAAAAGTCAAAACAAGAGAACATACTAAATGATTCCATTTTTTTATTTATGACTTCATGACTACCATTAAGAAAATATAACCTGTTGGGAAACTGTTTCTGCCTTGATGATGTTGTACAGACAAGAGATAAACAGTGAGGAATATGCTTAGATGTATTGGGAAAGACACGGGTCTGTGGCATTGTCACAAGGGTACACGAATACTGAGAGTGAATGCTGAAGGAATGATCCCCATTGGTGGTGACCCTCAGGTGAGACTAGGGTGCCTGTGTTTCAGCAAAGCCTGGGCAATTGGAATGCAGGGCTCCTAAGATTCCATGACACCCCCACCTTCTAATTCTGTTATTGCAACTGCAGACGGTTACCTGGCACGCTGGCCACAATCTACCTCACTCTTATCAGAGTCTGAGCTACTGGCAGTGCTTTCAGCTCTGAGTTGAGGCACCTTGAACCTTGTTTTTGTGGTGAAGGATCCTAAAGTGCTGTGGGGAGTGATCACATTTTTCACAACAGTAAGGTAAGAATTTCAGTTACTGACATCCCTCAGTCCTGATTAAACCTATTTGATTTCACCAGTTTTTAACCCATCATATGTTTGGGTTTCTTCTCCCCAGTCCCTGACTCCACCTCTTCTGCCACAAACGTCAGCATGGTGGTATCAGCCGGCCCTTGGTCCAGCGAGAAGGCAGAGATGAACATTCTAGAAATCAACGAGAAATTGCGCCCCCAGTTGGCAGAGAACAAACAGCAGTTCGGAAACCTCAAAGAGAGATGTTTTGTAACTCAACTGGCCGGCTTCCTGGCCAACCAGCAGAAGAAATACAGTAAGATCTATAGGCTCACCATCATGAAAGTGATGAATGATGTCCTGTCTTCTGAGACACTAAATGCTCTCTCCATCAAAAATAATTTCATCCTTCTTGTACTTGTAGGAAAACAGAAATGGGTATTTTAACATTTTGTTAGTTGGAAGACAGAGGTACCAAAGTATTTAGCAACTTTCCATGTTTGCAATCAGATGGGGGTGGGACTAGAGTTAAACTGCCATTTATTGATTTCTAACACAGGCACAGAACGACCTGTTTTCTCCAAGAGGCTCAATCATGTTTTCAAGAATCCTCTCTGTACCATATAAGATCCTGCAGACAAATAACATGTAGTCTGTTGTTCTAAATGTCTAGGACTAGTGAACTTTTATTCAGTTCAAGTTTCTGTTGAGGCCCAACAGGCAAAGCTGTGTTCTAGTGACTCTGAGGGAAACTTGGTGATAGTAGCCAGTACCTGCTCTGAGGGGCTTCAAGAGGAGTCTGCTCCTAATAGAACCTGTGCTATCTATAAGTGACAGCATCAAGAGCAGGGAGTAGGGGCCGTGCAACGTGGCTCACTCCTGTAATCTCAGCACTTTGGGAGGCTGAGGCGGGCAGAGCACGAGGTCAGGAGTTTGAGACTAGCCTGGGCAACATGGAGAAACCCCATCTCCACTAAAAATACAAAAAGTAGATGGGCGTCGTGGTGGGCAACTGTAATCACCACTAATCGGGTGGCTGAGGCAGAAGAATCCTTTGAACCCAGCAGGCAGATGTTGCAGTGAGCCAAGATTGCACTATTGCACTCCAGCATGGGTGACAGGGCAAGACTCGTCAAAAAACAAACAAACAAAAAGATAAATAAATCAAAAATAAAAATAAAAAGCAGAGAGTAGCTTGGTGAGAGCGAAGTCCTGTTTCCTGGTGCACAGGCTCTTGTTCCTAAAGAGGAAGAAAGATCACACCCGAGAATGTGTGGAAGCAGCAGTGCAGTGTGCAAAGCAGGGACCCTCAGCCTGTCTCCTGGGCTCCATCCATGTTGCTTGTCTTGTCTGTCCCTCAGTTTCCTCATCTGTTCAGAGGGTACTACAATAATACCTACCTCTGTAAATTGCTGCAGTGAATTACATGAGCTATTTCTTGTCAATCTCCTAGAACATTTATTGGCACACAGTGAACACTATTTATTAGTTCTTCATTCTGCTGTTTCTAAATTAACACAAACTTTATTAACATTTGGGCATATTTCCTTCATGGCCTTAAGGTGTTATGTGTCACACTTTATGCTTCAGATATGATTCTTAAAATCATAACTGAAGATATGATTTAAAAATCAAAGATTTTAAAAATCTTTCACATACTTGTCCTTGAAATTCCCAGTAAAAGGGAAACCATCAGTCCCATAGTCCTAGGGGCCTTCCCGACTGTACAAGAAATCACTACTTCATGCCCCAGTGCAGTGTTTTAGAGGAGAGGCTGCAAGGCTTGGGAAAGTGGCCCCGCATTCAGAGTCAGACCTCACGGACTGTGAATTCTGACTCCACTTCGTTGTGGTTGAATCATCTTGTCAACTTCCTTGATGTGCCCTTGAGGTTCTCTTTCTTCATCTCTAAATTTTGGAGGATCAGATGCCAGAAAGTCAGGAGACTGAAGAGTAAAGATGTGGAAATCCCTGTCTAGACCCTGGTACTGGGGAGAGTTTTGTCCTTGGGATGGACCTGGCTCCTGCCCTGTAGGCAATGACCACAGCAGCATGTCCAGCCTTCCACTGAGGCAGGCGTGTCTGTCTTTTCTCAGAATATGAAGAGTGCAAAGACCTCATAAAATCTATGCTGAGGAATGAGCGACAGTTCAAGGAGGAGAAGCTTGCAGAGCAGCTCAAGCAAGCTGAGGAGCTCAGGTGAGGGGACCCCATGGTGGCAGGCAGGGGGGCAGGTGTGTAAATCTCTGAAATACAGCAGCTCGGTGGGGAGACGTAAGAGCTAAGCTGGGCCAGGGGAAGGGCAGGAATTGCCATGGCAGGCTCGCTACACATAAATATTTATCAAACAGAGAAGAAGGATAATAAAAATGTATGGGTTGCAGTTGTTTCTCAGAGCCTTGTTTTCTCTTTTTCAAACAAGTAATTGTTGATGTGAAATTTACATAACACAAAATTAACCAAAGGAGTGTGAACCACACAGCAGCATTCAGTATACTCAAAATGGTGTGCCATCACCACCCCACTTACCCTTAGTGACAATCACCTCCTGACTGACTGCGGCTTCTCATTCTTTCACTCAATCAATGTTGCCTTCTCGACCCTGTCATTCTTTTCTTCTTTCGTCTTTTCAATTCGCCCCATCTGCACCTGGCCTCATTTCTGTACATAGCTTTGTATCTAGTGGCCGCAAGATGCACTATGTGTATTTTCACATGGAAATGTCCATGGCCAGAGTGAGGAACTGAAAGGATGTCTTTTTGAAACGGAATTAGGAAGACACCTACTTTTGTTTACAGAAGGGAAAGATGAATGGAACATCATCGAGGATCTTGCAAGAGCCCTCTCTGATACAGAGGAAGCCTGTAAACCATTTTCTATTCTTTCTCTTGGCCACAGACATTCCTTTAAACATGTGCTGACCTTCTGCTTCGAGGTCTCCTTGAGGACATTATCTCAGAAATCTCTGTTGCAATATTTGAGCGGATCACTGAACCTTTCCACTCTTAAATTTTCTCTACCGTCTCACCTTAGGCAATATAAAGTCCTGGTTCACGCTCAGGAACGAGAGCTGACCCAGTTAAGGGAGAAGTTGCGGGAAGGGAGAGATGCCTCCCGCTCATTGAATGAGCATCTCCAGGCCCTCCTTACTCCGGATGAGCCGGACAAGTCCCAGGGGCAGGACCTCCAAGAACAGCTGGCTGAGGGGTGTAGACTGGCACAGCACCTTGTCCAAAAGCTCAGCCCAGGTAAGGTGGCCATAGGCCCTGATGACCCAAAATCCCAGGCTTATGAGAGACTCCAGACCTCCATACTTTCACAATGACAGTTGTATCAATGGTGTTTTTTTCCACTAAGCTTATGTGGCCATGACATGACCAGGACTTCTTGGGTAAGAACGGAGATGGGAAACCCATGGGGTTGGAGGTCACAGTATTGCAAGTGTCCCTCCTCCCTTGATGGAAGGTGGTCTTTGGAGCAAGAGGCAGCATCTGTCTAGTTTTAAAGGACAGGAAGGAGGCTGCGATGGGAGCAGGCTTGTTAGAGTGAAAGAGCACTAAGAATGAAGGTTCCCAGGCTGTCTTTTCGGCAATATTCTTAGTAACTGTCAGAGAGTGAATGACTTGTCCTTCCTGAGTTTCTCTCTCTCCGTGGCAGACAAATTGTCTCTTGCAAGGGTCTGAAGCATTCAAATGTGGGAACACTTACAACTGCTTTCCAAAATGAGATGAAGGCCCTCGCCGTGTGATGTTGGAGAAGGCACTTTATGTGGGGGCGTTTTGTGGTAGGAAGTGCTTCAGACTGGAGCACTCCCCATGGATAGAATGTCCCTGAAGAACACAGCAGAAGCCACTTGGAGGCTTGAAATCTTCTGATGCATAGAGGACTGTGGGACAAGTTTGTCTGCTTCTAAGAGAAAGAATGAGGTTTGAAATGCAAACCGTGACAGGACACCAAGCCTGTGCCTGGGAATCAGATCTGGCAGGATGGGGGAGACAGCTGCCAACGTCCAGAGAGAGGCTGCACAAGCCTCCAGTGATATGGGAAGCAAAAGGTCTTTTCAATATTTGGCCACATCTTGATGGTGGCCCTCCAGATCAGAAATGCATTGCCTGATGGATCAGGAAACCATGCCAGGGCATTCTGTTAAAGATAAAACATGAGAGTTTTCAGTTGAACGGTGACCCATGCCTAGATGTTCATGTCTCTGTTGCACATTGGGCTGACTGTGCTTGCAGACTGTGAAGTGGGAAATATCTGAACGAACACTTCTGTATTTACAGAAAATGACAACGATGACGATGAAGATGTTCAAGTTGAGTTGGCTGAGAAAGTGCAGAAATCGTCTGCCCCCAGGTAACACTGAATACTCAGGAACAATTAATGGATGGTAACATATGAGGAATATCTAGGAGGCACACCCTCTCTGGCATCTATGATCGGCCAAAAACCCACATTTGCTTGGCCACAGTATGTGAAATATAACCCAGCTTAGACACAGGGTGCGGCAGCTGTCATGTTTCTCTGTGTGTGCCGAGTGTCACGTCTGCACCGTACAGGGATAGCTGAGTCTTCATCCTCCTCAGCTCCTATCTGTCCAGTGCAATGAACAGCAGCTGCTCTCTTCCTCTCTGGTTCCCATGGCAGCCATGCTCTGTTGCAGAGAGAACAGGATTGCATGTTCCCCCTTAATGGGAACCTCCATTTTGCTTTCTGGGACCACTCTCTTAATGCCGCCTGTCAAAACCAGCTAGGACTCCCTGGGGTCCAATCCCTCTGTGTTTAATCTTCTGTCATCTCTGTCCCACCTGGCTCATCAGGGAGATGCAGAAGGCTGAAGAAAAGGAAGTCCCTGAGGACTCACAGGAGGAATGTGCCATCACTTATTCAAATAGCCATGGCCCTTATGACTCCAACCAGCCACATAGGAAAACCAAAATCACATTTGAGGAAGACAAAGTCGACTCAACTCTGATTGGCTCATCCTCTCATGTTGAATGGGAGGATGCTGTACACATTATTCCAGGTAGCCTCTGTTTTCCTTGTGTCTCATACCTCTCTCTAGGCTGAGGAAGATAAACTCTGAAGACAGGCTCTATAAACACAAATTCATTTGAATAAAAAACTGTGATGGGTTTCTAAACAGATATCAGGGACTTTTTTTGTCCTTCTCAGCTAATGTCATGACTTTGTCTGCCAGTCCCCAGTATCAAGTTACTCAACCCCAGGCAAGTGTGACAATCTCATAGTCACCTGAGTGCAGGAGGTGCACAGGCAGTATCTGTCAGGCCTACTAGCTTCGATTCAGTATCTCTTGTCATCTGTGATTAAGTCCTCTGTCCCTGAACAATGTCCATGGAATTTCTATGCCTGTTTAAGGAAGCTGGCAGCCTTGCCTTTGTATTTGGAAATATTGTTCCCCCGGCTTCACTGCTCTCAGCTTTCATCTGGATCTCCTTTAAGTCAGCTTGCTTAGCTGCACAGTCACCCTGAAATCAGGACAGAAACTTTTCTTCTTTACTTTGCTGATATATTTCCATAAAGCAAGGCTGGACCCTGGTTCTCCACCCTGTCAATGCAATGGCTGATCCAATGTTTCTTTGTAGCATCGTGGATTTTTTTTTTTTTTTTTTTTTTTGTGATGGAGTCTTGCTCTGTCACCCAGGCTGGAGTGCAGTGGCACCATCTTGGCTTGGTGCAACCTCTGCCTCCCAGATTCAAGTGATTCTCCTGCCTCAGCCTCCTGAGTTGCTGGGACCACAGGTGCACAACATCACATCTGGCTAATTTTTGTATTTTTAGTAGAGACAGGGTTTCCCCATATTGGCCAGGGTAGTCCTGAACTCATGACCTCAAATGATTCACCTGTCTTGGCCTCCCAAATCACAGATTCTTTTTAAAGCAAGAGTTGTTCAAATTTATCTATCAGTCGTGTTTCATGTATAGATGCCTCTAAACATTTAATGTCCATGTTACCTGGTGATATAAGTCCGTATCGCAGCAGCACTCTTAGAAAATTGTTTGACCAATTTTTGGAGATTTTTTTGGGGAAAAAATTTTGTTTAACTTTGACTCAGGCAGGGAATATGGCATTATGGTCTACACGTAGAGGGAGATTTTGGCCTGTGGGTCTGGAAAGCAGGGTTATCTAATTCTCACCAAAGTTAATCTAGGACACCCTAGAATATTCCTGTCAGAATCCTTATTCTTGCACTGAGAATAGTTATGTCCTTGTGCTATGACTGGACAGTGATTTGTTCATATGTGAAGTATGAATTGCTTAATGTGACCTGCTTCTCTGAATTTATTTACAGAAAATGAAAGTGATGATGAGGAAGAGGAAGAAAAAGGGCCAGTGTCTCCCAGGTAATGTTGTGGAATTGTTGGCTGTTAATTCAGTAGTGACATCTGGAGATTGTAGATTTAGGGAAAATGAGGAAGTGATGAATAGAACTATTTCTTCCATTCACCCAGCTACAAATTGTGCTGATTTACAATGTTGTATGTTATTTGTAGCACTTGTATTGGTTTTAATTTCATAGTCCTCTCAAGATAGGAACTTGCCATCAGATGAGCCAGGTGAACTAGCCAAACAGGGTTTTCTTGTTGATCTTTTCAAAAAACCAGCCCTGGATTCATTGATCTTTTGAAGGGTTTTTTGTGTCTCTATCTCCTTTAGTTCTGCTCTGATCTTAGTTACTTCTTGTCTTCTGCTAGCTTTTGAATTTGTTTGCTTTGCTTCTCTAGTTATTTTAATTGTGATGTTAGGGTGTCAATTTTAGATCTTTTCTGCTTTCTCTTGTGGGCATTTAGTGCTATAATTTTCCCTCTACACATTGCTTTAAATGTGTCCCAGAGATTCTGATATGTTGTGTCTTTGTTCTCATTGGTTTCAAAGAACATCTTTATTTCTGCCTTCATTTTGTTATTTTCCCAGTAGTCATTCAGGAGCAGGTTGTTGAGTTTCCATGTAGTTGTGCGGTTTTGAGTGAGTTTCTTAATCCTGAGTTCTAATTTGATTGCACTGTGGTCTGACAGTTTGTTGTGATTTCCATTCTTTTACATTTGCTGACGAGTGCTTTACCTCCAACTATGTGGTCAATTTTGGAATAAGTGTGATGTGGTGCTGAGAAGAATGTATATTCTGTGGATTTGGGGTGGAGAGTTCTGTAGATGTCTTTTAGGTCTGCTTGGTGGAGAGCTGAGTTCAAGTCCTGGATATCCTTGTTAAGCTTCTGTCTCATTGATCTGTCTAATATTGACAGTGGGGTGTTAAAGTCTCCCATGATGATTGTGTGGAGTCTAAATCTCTTTGTAGGTCTCTCAGGACTTGCTTTATGAATCTGGGTGCTCCTGTATACGGTGCATATATGTTTAGGATAGTTAACTCTTGTTGAATTGATCCCTTTACCATTATGTAGTGGCCTTCTTTGTCTCTTTTGATCTTGGTTGGTTTAAAGTCTGTTTTATCAGAGACTAGGATTGCAACCCCTGCCTTTTTTTGTTTTCCATTTGCTTGGTAGATCTTCCTCCATCCCTTTAGTTTGAGCCTATGTGTGTCTCTGCATGTGAGATGGGTTTCCTGAGTACAGCACACTGATGGGACTTGACTCTTTATCCAATTTGCCATTCTGTGTTTTTTAACTGGGGCATTTAGCCCATTTACATTTAAGGTTAATATTGTTATGTGTGAATTTGATCCTGTCGTTATGATATTAGCTGGTTATTTCGCCCATTAGTTGATGCAGTTTCTTCCTAGCGTCAATGGTCTTTACAGTTTGGCATGTTTTTGTAGTGGCTGGTACCGGTTGTTCCTTTCCATGTTTACTGCTTCCTTTAGGAGCTCTTGTAAGGCAGGCCTGGTGGTGACAAAATCTCTCAGCATTTGCTTCTCTGTAAAGGATTTATTTCTCCTTCACTTATGAAGCTTTGTTTGGCTGGATATGAAATTCTGGGTTGAAAATTCTTTTCTTTAAGAATGTTGAAGATGCTGGAGAGGATGTGGAGAAATAGGAACACTTTTACACTGTTGGTGGGACTGTAAACTAGTTCAACGATTGTGGAAGGCAGTGTGACAATTCCTCAGGGATCTAGAACTAGAAATACCATTTGACCCAGCCATCCCATTACTGGGTGTGTACCCAAATGATTATAAATCATGCTGCTGTAAAGACACATGCACACATATGTTTATTGTGGCACTATTCACAATAGCAAAGACTTGGAACCAAGCCAAATATCCAGCAATGATAGACTGGATTAAGAAAATGTGGCACATATACACCATGGAATACTATGCAGCTATAAAAAATGATGAGTTCATGTCCTTTGTAGGGGCATGGATGAAGCTGGAAACCATCATTCTCAGCAAACTATTGCAAGGACAAAAAACCAAATACCGCATGTTCTTACTCACAGGTGGGAATTGAACAATGAGAACACATGGACACAGAAAGGGGAACATCACACACTGGGGCCTGTTGTAGGGTGGGGGGAGGGAGGAGGGGTAGCATTAGGAGATATACCTAATGTTAAATGATGAGTTAATGGGTGAAGCACACCAATGTGGACATGTATACATATGTAACTAACCTGCACGTTGTGCACATGTACCCTAAGACTTAAAGTATTATATATATCTGTATATATATATATATATACATACACACAAAAAATAATAAAGGAAAACTATACATATGGAAAAAAAAAAGAATGTTGAATATTGCTCCCACTCTCTTCTGGCTTGTAGGGTTTGTGCCAAGAGATCTGCTGCTAGTCTGATGGGCTTCCCTTTGTGGGTAATCCGACCTTTCTCTCTGGCTGCCCTTAGCATTTTTTCCTTCATTTCAACCTTGGTGAATCTGACAATTAAGTGTTTTGGGGTTGCTCTTCTCGAGGAGTATCTTTATGGTGTTCTCTGTGTTTCCTGAATTTGAATGTTGGCCTTCCTTGCTAGGTTGGGGAAGTCCTCCTGGATAATATCCTGAAGAATGTTTCCCAGCTTGGTTCCATTCTCCCCGTCACTTTCAGTACACCAATCAAATGTAGATTTGGTCTTTCCACATAGTCCCATATTTATTGGAGGCTTGTTCATTTCTTTTTACTCTTTTTTCTCTAAACTTCTCTTCTCGCTTCATTTCACTAATTTGATCTTGAATCACTGATACCATTTCTTGCACTTGATCGAATTGGCTACTGAAGCTTGTGCATGCATCACGTAGTTCTCGTGCCATGGTTTTCAGCTCCATCAGGTCATTTAAGGTCTTCTCTACACTGTTCATTCTGGTTAGCCATTCGTCTAATCTTTTTTCAAGGTTTTTAGCTTCCTTGCGATGAGTTCGCACATCCTCCTTTAGCTCAGAGAAGTTTGTTATTACCGACTTTCTGAAGCCTACTTCTGTCAGCTCATCAAAGTCATTCTCCATCCTGCTTTGTTCCATTGCTGGCGAGGAGCTGCGATCCTTTGGAGGAGAAGGGATGTCAGGTTTTTGGAATTTTCAGCTTTTGTGCTCTGGTTTCTCCCCACCTTTGTGGTTTTATCTACCCTTGGTCTTTGATGATGGTGACCTACAGATGGGGTTTTGGGGTGGATGTCTTTTTTGTTGATGTTGATGTTATTCCTTTCTGTGTGTTAGTTTTCCTTCTAACAGTCAGGTCCCTCAGCTTCAGGTCTGTTGGAGTTTGCTGGAAGTCCACTCCAGACCCTCAAACAGGGATTTCTTGGTGTTGCCTATTCTCTCCGATGTGTTTAAATCCAGGGAGAGGTGTATACATGCTTTTTTCCTATTTGTTGGTAGTATGTTGGCTAGTATTTTTGCAAGAAAAGAAATTGAAAAAGTAAATATATTATATCAAAATATTGGGAAAATGGGGCCCTTAATACACAAGATCTGTGTCTGCACTGCGTCAAGAACTCTCTTCACTTGAATGCTGCATGTAAAATTCAACCCAATTTATGCAAAGTAGTTGAAGCCCTGTGTCAGTTCTCTGTGCTGCAAGTCATGATGGTAGTTTACAGGGAGAGTCTGGGTGCCCTGAGTTGGCTCATCTGTGGCAAATGTACTGAGCACATGCTGCCCATTTTTGCTCTGTCCCCAGAGCAGTCACCCTCCACCCTGCATTTAGAAGGATAGTTTTATTTCTCTTGAAGGAAAAATGCCTTTGGTTTCTGTGACCACTCCATTCTGTCTCCCATCAGATCATCTGGGAGGTTTTGTTGTCTAATGTCTGTTGGTTAAATCTTCTATCATCCCTGTCCTGCCTGGCTCATCAGGAATCTGCAGGAGTCTGAAGAGGAGGAAGTCCCCCAGGAGTCCTGGGATGAAGGTTATTCGACTCTCTCAATTCCTCCTGAAATGTTGGCCTCGTACCAGTCTTACAGCAGCACATTTCACTCATTAGAGGAACAGCAAGTCTGCATGGCTGTTGACATAGGCAGTGAGTACTACACTGTGAAGGTGATAAAGCTCCAGTTCATGGCCCAGGTAGACCCCATAATCTTTGGGCCTTGTGCCCCTTGTTGGGCTGAGATTTGCCATCACCGTGGGCTGAACCTATATATCAATGTAGATTTCAATCACTCTGGAGTCGAGTCTGAAGCACAGGCATGGGGTGGGTCAGTGAGCTTTGCTCTCTTCCTAGTCTCAGGCCATGCCCGTGCCAACCTGGACTGATTGTCACGACATTGAACTCAAGGCAGGTGTGGCAAACTCACACCAAACTATGCAGCACATGCCCAGGAGTTGTCTGTCAGCTCAGCTCATCTGAATTAAATGTCTCTTGCCAGCTACAAAATTCCTTATGAGTTTTGTTCCCAAAGCATGTCTGTGTGGTTCTTTACCCGCCCAAGGCCAGTGTCACCCTTGTCTACCTCTCAGTGAAAGATGTGACCCAGGTTTCACTGAATTTATTCCCATTTTCTGTGTCTTCTAAGTTCGCTTGTTTTAGCTCATCTGTCCATCATGTTCCTGGTATGTTTTCTAGATAAATGGCTGACTTTTCACCCACAAAAGCCATAATAGCTGATGCTTCTGTGTAGAACCAAGTTTCATTTTGACTCAAGAGCTGGTACATTGCACCCCTTCATCAAATCTCTGTGTCCACAATCTCATAAACTATCAAATTCTGGGTATTTGATGAGAGAAAGCTTAATATTGAAGTGTCTCTCCTATGAGGTGTTAGAACTATTTGCCTACAATTTATTGGGGAAAAAATTTCTCATTTGTGTACAGAAGCCTAGGACAGAGCACATAGGGAAGATAACATTCCAACACAGGGGAATTTTGCCCAAGGCTCATGAAAGAACCCAAGCCAGTTTTCTCAAGACTTGACCTCAGGCCTACTGGAATATTTCTCTCAAAGTCTCCTGTTCTCACACTGACAAGACTGATGTCCCTGTGTTAGGATTGGACAGAGGAATGTTTCTGTGTGCAAGGAAGAACTGCTTAATGTAAGAGGGCCCATCTGAATTTATTTGCAGGACATCGGTGGGATCAAGTGAAAAAGGAGGACCAAGAGGCAACAGGTCCCAGGTGAGTCTGAGAAATTGTGGAGAGTTAATTTGATGTTGACACCTGGAGATGCCAAGTCCAGGGAAAACAGTACATGCTGAAAATAATGATTTTGTCTTGTCAGACAAGTCTGAATTATGCCTACTACATTGCTTTCTGGTTCTCATTAGAGTACATGTTTAGGTTTCCATTTCTTCCTACCCTTATCATTTACTAACCTAGTGAAAGTTGACCATAACTCAAAAGCTGTATTCTCATGGTAACTGCAGGGAAACTTGAGCACATTTTATGCAAAATTATTGAGGACATGCTTTTCATGATCACTGTTCACAGTGTGTCCTGAGAGCACAAATACAGAGTGTCCTTTGACTCCCTCATCAGTGTGTCACCTGACCAATTCACTGAGCTCGCTCTGTGTGTGTGTGTGTGTGTGTGTGTGTGTGTGTTTGTGTGTGTGTGTGAGTGTGTGTCTCTCTCTTTCATCCTTTTCTACCTGGCCCTAGTCTATCCCAACATAAAGGCAATAATTTCTTACCTCATTAATGGATCTGTCCTTTTTCTTTTCAAACTCTTCCTTACGTTAGCCATGAAATCTAGCTGGGGCTGTGTGGTTTCTGATTCCCCCTGGCTTATTCTTTACTTTTTCCCACTTTTCCAGGCTCAGCAGGGAGCTGCTGGATGAGAAAGGGCCTGAAGTCTTGCAGGACTCACTGGATAGATGTTATTCAACTCCTTCAGGTTGTCTTGAACTGACTGACTCATGCCAGCCCTACAGAAGTGCCTTTTACGTATTGGAGCAACAGCGTATTGGCTTGGCTGTTGACATGGATGGTGAGTACCTTTCTATGAAGGTGATAAGGATCCACTGAGTCTTCTGGTTAGGGTCATATTCCTACTGCAAGTGGCCCTTACTGAGCTGAGAGATGTCATTGCCACAGGGAGGTCCTATAGGCACATGTAGGTTGAATGAAACTCTAGTTCCACTTGGAAGCCCAGACAAGGGATGGGTCAGTGAGCAAGGCTCTCTTCCTAGTCTCAGGCCATGCCTGTGGTGCCCTAATCCTACTCTCATGACGTTCGACCTGGGCAGATGTGACAAATTCACACAACTCTGATTTTGTCTCAATTTTGTAGATCTTGTAGATTTCATCCTTCACTCTAATTTCAGCGTCTAAAATCCTCGCTACCATGAACAATCTGAGTATTTGATGAGACAGGGCTGAATAGTGCAGTTTTTCTCCTAGCAACCATTTGGGGGCATTTGCTTTAAATCGATTGGAAAAATATGGCATAACCATTTGCACAAACTTGGGACAAATGATATTGGGATAACGATCTACCAGAATAGGGAATTTTACCCACAGTTTCTGGGACAAAAACCAAGGAATCTCTATGGTGATCAGCCTTCAGGCCTCCTGAAGACTATCTCTCACAGTGTCCTATTCTCATGCTGAGGAGCCTGAAGTCCCTGTGTGAGGATTAGACAGTGGATTGTTATGTGTGTAGGAGAACCAGCTTAATATGTCTGTCCATGTCTGAACTTATTGCAGAAATTGAAAAGTACCAAGAAGTGGAAGAAGACCAAGACCCATCATGCCCCAGGTAACTTTGAGCAATTATGGATGCTTAATTCTGTGTTGACACCTGGAGATGCCAGGTCCAGGGAAAACAAGAGTGTGTTCAATTTCATGTTTTCAACGAAGGTTGAATTACTCCTCCTGACATTGCTGTTGGTTTTCATTGCAGTAGATGTTTAGGTTTCCATTTCTTCCTCCCCTTATCATTTACTAACTTACTATAGGTTGACCATACCTCAAAGGCTGTATGGCAACTGCATGGAATCTTGAGCAAGTTTATGGAAAATTATTGAGCCCACTCTTTTCATAATCACTGTTCGCTGTGTGTCCCGAGGGCACTAACTCAGAGTGTCCTTTGACCCCTTCATCAGTGTGTCACCCGGCCAACTCGCTGAGCTCACTTTCTCCTCTCTCTCTCTCTCTCTCCCTCTCCCTGTCTTTCTCTTTCATTCTTTTCTACCTGGCCCTGGTCTATCCCAACATAAAGGCAATAATTCATTACCTCATTAATGGATCTGTCCTTTTTCTTTTTAAACAGTTCCTTATGTTAGCCATGAAATCTAGCTGGGGCTGTGTGGTTTCTGATTCCCCCTGGCTTATTCTTTACTTTTTCCTACTTTTCCAGGCTCAGCAGGGAGCTGCTGGATGAGAAAGAGCCTGAAGTCTTGCAGGACTCACTGGATAGATGTTATTCGACTCCTTCAGGTTATCTTGAACTGCCTGACTTAGGCCAGCCCTACAGCAGTGCTGTTTACTCATTGGAGGAACAGTACCTTGGCTTGGCTCTTGACGTGGACAGTGAGTACCTTACTGTGAAGGTGATAAGCCTCCACCTGGTCTTCCAGATAGGGGTGATATTCCTGTTCCAAGTGGCCCTTACTGACCCGAGAGATGTCATTGCCGCAGGCAGGACCTATGGGCGCATATAGGTTGTAATGAAACTGTAGTCTCAGTTGGAAGCCTAGACATGAAATGGGTCAGTGAGCAAGGCTCTATTCCTAGTCTCCAGCCATGCCTGTGGCAAGCTGAGCCCGCTCTCAGCACATTGGACCCAGGCAGATGTAAAAAATTCACAGAAGTATGATTTGGACTGAAGGGTTTGTAGATTTCCTCCTTCATTCTAATTTCAGTGTCTAAAATTCTTGCATCCATGAACGAGCTGGGCATTTGATGAGACAGGGCTGAATACTGCAGTTTTCCTCCTAGAAATCATCTGGGGCATTTTCTTTGAACTGATGGGAACAATAAGGCATAACTGTTTGCACAAACTTGGGATAAATGATTTTGGGATAACGATCTACCAGAATGGGGATATTTCACCCTTGGTTCTGAGATGCAAACCAAAGAATATCATGACCAGCTTTCAGGCCTCCTGAAGTATCTCTCTCACATTGTCCTGTTCTCATGCTGAGGAGCCTGAGATCCCTGTGTGGGGATTAGACAGTGGACTGTTATGGGTGTAGGTGAATTGGCTTATTTTGTCTGTCCCTGTCTGAATGTATTGCAGGAACTAAAAAGGACCAAGAAGAGGAAGAAGACCAAGGCCCACCATGCCCCAGGTAACTGAGCAATTGTGAACAGCTACTTCTGTGTTGACATCTGGAGACTCCTGGTTCAGGGAAAACAGAGCGGGCTGACATTATCGATTACATCTTTTCCAGCAAGCCTGAATTATTCCTACTAACATTGCTGTTGGTTTTCATTGCAGTAGATATTTAGGTTTCCATTTCTTCCTCCCCTTATCATTTACTAACCTACTGTAGGTGGACCAGACTTCAAAAACTGTATTCTCATGGCGACTGCATGGAAACTTGAGCACATTTTATGGAAAATTATTGAGCACAGTCTTTTCATGATCCCTGTATGCTGTGTGTCCTGAGGGCACTAACTCAGAGTGTCCTGTTACTCCCTCATCAGTGTGTCACCTGGACAATTCACTGAGCTCGTTCTCTCTCTGTGTGTGTGTGTGTCTGTGTGTGTGTCTGTGTGTGTGTGTGTGTGTGTGTGTGTGTGTCTATCTGTCTTTCTCTTTCATTCTTTTCCATTTGGCCCTGTTCTGTCCCAACATGAAGGCAATAATTTGTTACCTCATTAATGGATCTATCCTTTTAGTTTTTTAACCACTTCCCTATGCTACCCATGAAACCTAGTTGGGGCTCTGTTGTGTCTGATTTCCCCTGGCTTATTCTTTACTTTTTCCTCCTTTTCCAGGCTCAGCAGGGAGCTGCTGGAGGTAGTAGAGCCTGAAGTCTTGCAGGACTCACTGGATAGATGTTATTCAACTCCTTCCAGTTGTCTTGAACAGCCTGACTCCTGCCAGCCCTATGGAAGTTCCTTTTATGCATTGGAGGAAAAACATGTTGGCTTTTCTCTTGACGTGGGAGGTGAGTACCTTTCTATGAAGGTGATAAGGATCCACTGAGTCTTCCATATAAAGATCATATTCCTGCTCCAAGTGGCCATTACTGAGCTGAGAGATGTCATTGCCACAGGGAGGACCTATAGGCACATGTAGGTTGAATGAAACTCTAGTTCTACCTGGAAGCCCAGGCAAGGGATGGGTCAGTGAGCAAGACTCTCTTCCTAGTCTCAGGCCATACCTGTGGCGCCCTGATCCTATCCTCATGACATTGGACCTGGGCAGATGTGACAAATTCAGAGAACTATGATTTTGACTCAAGGGTTTGTAGATTTCCTTTTTCACTCTAATTTCAGTGTCTAAAGTCCTCACAACCATGAACAATCTGAGTATTTGATGAGACAGGGCTAAATATTGCAGTTTTTCTCCTAGAAATCATTTGAGGGTATTTGCTTTAAGTTGATTGGAAAAATATGGCATAACTGTTTGCACAAACTTGGGACAAATGATATTGGGATAACGATCTACTAGAATAGGGACATTTTACCCACAGTTTCTGGGAGAAAAACCGAGGAATTTCTATCATGACCAGCCTTCAGGCCTCCTGAAATATATCTCTCACGGTGTCCTATTCTTATGCTGAGGAGCCTGAGGTCCCTGTGTGAGGATTAGACAGTGGATTGTTATGTGTGTAGGGGAATCAGCTTAATGTGTCTGTCCATGTCTGAATTTATTGCAGAAATTGAAAAGAAGGGGAAGGGGAAGAAAAGAAGGGGAAGAAGATCAAAGAAGGAAAGAAGAAGGGGAAGAAAAGAAGGGGAAGAAGATCAAAACCCACCATGCCCCAGGTGACTTTCAGCAATTGTGGATGCTTAATTCTCTGTTAACACCTGGAGGCAACAGATTCAGGGAAACCAGAGTGTGTTTGATGTCATGTTTTCAACGAAGGCTGAATTACTCCTACTGTCATTGCTGTTGGTTTTCATTGCAGTAGATGTTTAGGTTTCCATTTCTTCCTCCCCTTATCATTTCCTAACGTACCATAGGTTGACCATACTTCAAAAGCTGTACTCTCATGGCCACTGCATCGAATTTTGAGCATATTTTATGGAAAACTATTGAGCTCACTCTTTTCATGATCACAGTTTGCTGTGTGTCATGAGGGCACTAACTCAGAGTGTCCTTTTACTCCCTTACCAGTATGTCACCTGGCCAATTCACTAGGTCACTTTCTCTCTGTCTCTGTCTCTGTCTCTCTCTCTCTGTCTCTGTCTCTCTCTCTCTCTCTGTCTTTCTCTTTCATTGTTTTCTACCTGGCCCTGTTCTATCCCAACATAAAGGCAATAATTTGTTACCTCATTAATGGATCTGTCCTTTTTCTTTTCAAACTCTTCCTTACGTTAGCCATGAAATCTAGCTGGGGCTGTGTGGTTTCTGATTCCCCCTGGCTTATTCTTTACTTTTTCCCACTTTTCCAGGCTCAGCAGGGAGCTGCTGGATGAGAAAGGGCCTGAAGTCTTGCAGGACTCACTGGATAGATGTTATTCAACTCCTTCAGGTTGTCTTGAACTGACTGACTCATGCCAGCCCTACAGAAGTGCCTTTTACGTATTGGAGCAACAGCGTGTTGGCTTGGCTGTTGACATGGATGGTGAGTACCTTTCTATGAAGGTGATAAGGATCCACTGAGTCTTCTGGTTAGGGTCATATTCCTACTGCAAGTGGCCCTTACTGAGCTGAGAGATGTCATTGCCACAGGGAGGTCCTATAGGCACATGTAGGTTGAATGAAACTCTAGTTCCACTTGGAAGCCCAGACAAGGGATGGGTCAGTGAGCAAGGCTCTCTTCCTAGTCTCAGGCCATGCCTGTGGCGCCCTAATCCTACTCTCATGACGTTGGACCTGGGCAGATGTGACAAATTCACACAACTCTGATTTTGTCTCAATTTTGTAGATCTTGTAGATTTCATCCTTCACTCTAATTTCAGCGTCTAAAATCCTCGCTACCGTGAACAATCTGAGTATTTGATGAGACAGGGCTGAATAGTGCAGTTTTTCTCCTAGCAACCATTTGGGGGCATTTGCTTTAAATCGATTGGAAAAATATGGCATAACCATTTGCACAAACTTGGGACAAATGATATTGGGATAACGATCTACCAGAATAGGGAATTTTACCCACAGTTTCTGGGACAAAAACCAAGGAATCTCTATCGTGATCAGCCTTCAGGCCTCCTGAAGACTACCTCTCACAGTGTCCTATTCTCATGCTGAGGAGCCTGAAGTCCCTGTGTGAGGATTAGACAGTGGATTGTTATGTGTGTAGGAGAACCAGCTTAATATGTCTGTCCATGTCTGAACTTATTGCAGAAATTGAAAAGTACCAAGAAGTGGAAGAAGACCAAGACCCATCATGCCCCAGGTAACTTTGAGCAATTATGGATGCTTAATTCTGTGTTGACACCTGGAGATGCCAGGTCCAGGGAAAACAAGAGTGTGTTCAATTTCATGTTTTCAACGAAGGTTGAATTACTCCTCCTGACATTGCTGTTGGTTTTCATTGCAGTAGATGTTTAGGTTTCCATTTCTTCCTCCCCTTATCATTTACTAACTTACTATAGGTTGACCATACCTCAAAGGCTGTATGGCAACTGCATGGAATCTTGAGCAAGTTTATGGAAAATTATTGAGCCCACTCTTTTCATGATCACTGTTCGCTGTGTGTCCCGAGGGCACTAACTCAGAGTGTCCTTTGACCCCTTCATCAGTGTGTCACCCGGCCAACTCGCTGAGCTCACTTTCTCCTCTCTCTCTCTCTCTCTCCCTCTCCCTGTCTTTCTCTTTCATTCTTTTCTACCTGGCCCTGGTCTATCCCAACATAAAGGCAATAATTCATTACCTCATTAATGGATCTGTCCTTTTTCTTTTTAAACAGTTCCTTATGTTAGCCATGAAATCTAGCTGGGGCTGTGTGGTTTCTGATTCCCCCTGGCTTATTCTTTACTTTTTCCTACTTTTCCAGGCTCAGCAGGGAGCTGCTGGATGAGAAAGAGCCTGAAGTCTTGCAGGACTCACTGGATAGATGTTATTCGACTCCTTCAGGTTATCTTGAACTGCCTGACTTAGGCCAGCCCTACAGCAGTGCTGTTTACTCATTGGAGGAACAGTACCTTGGCTTGGCTCTTGACGTGGACAGTGAGTACCTTACTGTGAAGGTGATAAGCCTCCACCTGGTCTTCCAGATAGGGGTGATATTCCTGTTCCAAGTGGCCCTTACTGACCCGAGAGATGTCATTGCCGCAGGCAGGACCTATGGGCGCATATAGGTTGTAATGAAACTGTAGTCTCAGTTGGAAGCCTAGACATGAAATGGGTCAGTGAGCAAGGCTCTATTCCTAGTCTCCAGCCATGCCTGTGGCAAGCTGAGCCCGCTCTCAGCACATTGGACCCAGGCAGATGTAAAAAATTCACAGAAGTATGATTTGGACTGAAGGGTTTGTAGATTTCCTCCTTCATTCTAATTTCAGTGTCTAAAATTCTTGCATCCATGAACGAGCTGGGCATTTGATGAGACAGGGCTGAATACTGCAGTTTTCCTCCTAGAAATCATCTGGGGCATTTTCTTTGAACTGATGGGAACAATAAGGCATAACTGTTTGCACAAACTTGGGATAAATGATTTTGGGATAACGATCTACCAGAATGGGGATATTTCACCCTTGGTTCTGAGATGCAAACCAAAGAATATCATGACCAGCTTTCAGGCCTCCTGAAGTATCTCTCTCACATTGTCCTGTTCTCATGCTGAGGAGCCTGAGATCCCTGTGTGGGGATTAGACAGTGGACTGTTATGGGTGTAGGTGAATTGGCTTATTTTGTCTGTCCCTGTCTGAATGTATTGCAGGAACTAAAAAGGACCAAGAAGAGGAAGAAGACCAAGGCCCACCATGCCCCAGGTAACTGAGCAATTGTGAACAGCTACTTCTGTGTTGACATCTGGAGACTCCTGGTTCAGGGAAAACAGAGCGGGCTGACATTATCGATTACATCTTTTCCAGCAAGCCTGAATTATTCCTACTAACATTGCTGTTGGTTTTCATTGCAGTAGATATTTAGGTTTCCATTTCTTCCTCCCCTTATCATTTACTAACCTACTGTAGGTGGACCAGACTTCAAAAACTGTATTCTCATGGCGACTGCATGGAAACTTGAGCACATTTTATGGAAAATTATTGAGCACAGTCTTTTCATGATCCCTGTATGCTGTGTGTCCTGAGGGCACTAACTCAGAGTGTCCTGTTACTCCCTCATCAGTGTGTCACCTGGACAATTCACTGAGCTCGTTCTCTCTCTGTGTGTGTGTGTGTCTGTGTGTGTGTCTGTGTGTGTGTGTGTGTGTGTGTGTCTATCTGTCTTTCTCTTTCATTCTTTTCCATTTGGCCCTGTTCTGTCCCAACATGAAGGCAATAATTTGTTACCTCATTAATGGATCTATCCTTTTAGTTTTTTAACCACTTCCCTATGCTACCCATGAAACCTAGTTGGGGCTCTGTTGTGTCTGATTTCCCCTGGCTTATTCTTTACTTTTTCCTCCTTTTCCAGGCTCAGCAGGGAGCTGCTGGAGGTAGTAGAGCCTGAAGTCTTGCAGGACTCACTGGATAGATGTTATTCAACTCCTTCCAGTTGTCTTGAACAGCCTGACTCCTGCCAGCCCTATGGAAGTTCCTTTTATGCATTGGAGGAAAAACATGTTGGCTTTTCTCTTGACGTGGGAGGTGAGTACCTTTCTATGAAGGTGATAAGGATCCACTGAGTCTTCCATATAAAGATCATATTCCTGCTCCAAGTGGCCATTACTGAGCTGAGAGATGTCATTGCCACAGGGAGGACCTATAGGCACATGTAGGTTGAATGAAACTCTAGTTCTACCTGGAAGCCCAGGCAAGGGATGGGTCAGTGAGCAAGACTCTCTTCCTAGTCTCAGGCCATACCTGTGGCGCCCTGATCCTATCCTCATGACATTGGACCTGGGCAGATGTGACAAATTCAGAGAACTATGATTTTGACTCAAGGGTTTGTAGATTTCCTTTTTCACTCTAATTTCAGTGTCTAAAGTCCTCACAACCATGAACAATCTGAGTATTTGATGAGACAGGGCTAAATATTGCAGTTTTTCTCCTAGAAATCATTTGAGGGTATTTGCTTTAAGTTGATTGGAAAAATATGGCATAACTGTTTGCACAAACTTGGGACAAATGATATTGGGATAACGATCTACTAGAATAGGGACATTTTACCCACAGTTTCTGGGAGAAAAACCGAGGAATTTCTATCATGACCAGCCTTCAGGCCTCCTGAAATATATCTCTCACGGTGTCCTATTCTTATGCTGAGGAGCCTGAGGTCCCTGTGTGAGGATTAGACAGTGGATTGTTATGTGTGTAGGGGAATCAGCTTAATGTGTCTGTCCATGTCTGAATTTATTGCAGAAATTGAAAAGAAGGGGAAGGGGAAGAAAAGAAGGGGAAGAAGATCAAAGAAGGAAAGAAGAAGGGGAAGAAAAGAAGGGGAAGAAGATCAAAACCCACCATGCCCCAGGTGACTTTCAGCAATTGTGGATGCTTAATTCTGTGTTAACACCTGGAGGCAACAGATTCAGGGAAACCAGAGTGTGTTTGATGTCATGTTTTCAACGAAGGCTGAATTACTCCTACTGTCATTGCTGTTGGTTTTCATTGCAGTAGATGTTTAGGTTTCCATTTCTTCCTCCCCTTATCATTTCCTAACGTACCATAGGTTGACCATACTTCAAAAGCTGTACTCTCATGGCCACTGCATCGAATTTTGAGCATATTTTATGGAAAACTATTGAGCTCACTCTTTTCATGATCACAGTTTGCTGTGTGTCATGAGGGCACTAACTCAGAGTGTCCTTTTACTCCCTTACCAGTATGTCACCTGGCCAATTCACTAGGTCACTTTCTCTCTGTCTCTGTCTCTGTCTCTCTCTCTGTCTCTGTCTCTCTCTCTCTCTCTGTCTTTCTCTTTCATTGTTTTCTACCTGGCCCTGTTCTATCCCAACATAAAGGCAATAATTTGTTACCTCATTAATGGATCTGTCCTTTTTCTTTTCAAACTCTTCCTTACGTTAGCCATGAAATCTAGCTGGGGCTGTGTGGTTTCTGATTCCCCCTGGCTTATTCTTTACTTTTTCCCACTTTTCCAGGCTCAGCAGGGAGCTGCTGGATGAGAAAGGGCCTGAAGTCTTGCAGGACTCACTGGATAGAAGTTATTCAACTCCTTCAGGTTGTCTTGAACTGACTGACTCATGCCAGCCCTACAGAAGTGCCTTTTACGTATTGGAGCAACAGCGTGTTGGCTTGGCTGTTGACATGGATGGTGAGTACCTTTCTATGAAGGTGATAAGGATCCACTGAGTCTTCTGGTTAGGGTCATATTCCTACTGCAAGTGGCCCTTACTGAGCTGAGAGATGTCATTGCCACAGGGAGGTCCTATAGGCACATGTAGGTTGAATGAAACTCTAGTTCCACTTGGAAGCCCAGACAAGGGATGGGTCAGTGAGCAAGGCTCTCTTCCTAGTCTCAGGCCATGCCTGTGGCGCCCTAATCCTACTCTCATGACGTTGGACCTGGGCAGATGTGACAAATTCACACAACTCTGATTTTGTCTCAATTTTGTAGATCTTGTAGATTTCATCCTTCACTCTAATTTCAGCGTCTAAAATCCTCGCTACCGTGAACAATCTGAGTATTTGATGAGACAGGGCTGAATAGTGCAGTTTTTCTCCTAGCAACCATTTGGGGGCATTTGCTTTAAATCGATTGGAAAAATATGGCATAACCATTTGCACAAACTTGGGACAAATGATATTGGGATAACGATCTACCAGAATAGGGAATTTTACCCACAGTTTCTGGGACAAAAACCAAGGAATCTCTATGGTGATCAGCCTTCAGGCCTCCTGAAGACTATCTCTCACAGTGTCCTATTCTCATGCTGAGGAGCCTGAAGTCCCTGTGTGAGGATTAGACAGTGGATTGTTATGTGTGTAGGAGAACCAGCTTAATATGTCTGTCCATGTCTGAACTTATTGCAGAAATTGAAAAGTACCAAGAAGTGGAAGAAGACCAAGACCCATCATGCCCCAGGTAACTTTGAGCAATTATGGATGCTTAATTCTGTGTTGACACCTGGAGATGCCAGGTCCAGGGAAAACAAGAGTGTGTTCAATTTCATGTTTTCAACGAAGGTTGAATTACTCCTCCTGATATTGCTGTTGGTTTTCATTGCAGTAGATGTTTAGGTTTCCATTTCTTCCTCCCCTTATCATTTACTAACTTACTATAGGTTGACCATACCTCAAAGGCTGTATGGCAACTGCATGGAATCTTGAGCAAGTTTATGGAAAATTATTGAGCCCACTCTTTTCATGATCACTGTTCGCTGTGTGTCCCGAGGGCACTAACTCAGAGTGTCCTTTGACCCCTTCATCAGTGTGTCACCCGGCCAACTCGCTGAGCTTACTTTCTCCTCTCTCTCTCTCTCTCTCTCTCCCTCCCTCTCCCTGTCTTTCTCTTTCATTCTTTTCTACCTGGCCCTGGTCTATCCCAACATAAAGGCAATAATTCATTACCTCATTAATGGATCTGTCCTTTTTCTTTTTAAACAGTTCCTTATGTTAGCCATGAAATCTAGCTGGGGCTGTGTGGTTTCTGATTCCCCCTGGCTTATTCTTTACTTTTTCCTACTTTTCCAGGCTCAGCAGGGAGCTGCTGGATGAGAAAGAGCCTGAAGTCTTGCAGGACTCACTGGATAGATGTTATTCGACTCCTTCAGGTTATCTTGAACTGCCTGACTTAGGCCAGCCCTACAGCAGTGCTGTTTACTCATTGGAGGAACAGTACCTTGGCTTGGCTCTTGACGTGGACAGTGAGTACCTTACTGTGAAGGTGATAAGCCTCCACCTGGTCTTCCAGATAGGGGTGATATTCCTGTTCCAAGTGGCCCTTACTGACCCGAGAGATGTCATTGCCGCAGGCAGGACCTATGGGCGCATATAGGTTGTAATGAAACTGTAGTCTCAGTTGGAAGCCTAGACATGAAATGGGTCAGTGAGCAAGGCTCTATTCCTAGTCTCCAGCCATGCCTGTGGCAAGCTGAGCCCGCTCTCAGCACATTGGACCCAGGCAGATGTAAAAAATTCACAGAAGTATGATTTGGACTGAAGGGTTTGTAGATTTCCTCCTTCATTCTAATTTCAGTGTCTAAAATTCTTGCATCCATGAACGAGCTGGGCATTTGATGAGACAGGGCTGAATACTGCAGTTTTCCTCCTAGAAATCATCTGGGGCATTTTCTTTGAACTGATGGGAACAATAAGGCATAACTGTTTGCACAAACTTGGGATAAATGATTTTGGGATAACGATCTACCAGAATGGGGATATTTCACCCTTGGTTCTGAGATGCAAACCAAAGAATATCATGACCAGCTTTCAGGCCTCCTGAAGTATCTCTCTCACATTGTCCTGTTCTCATGCTGAGGAGCCTGAGATCCCTGTGTGGGGATTAGACAGTGGACTGTTATGGGTGTAGGTGAATTGGCTTATTTTGTCTGTCCCTGTCTGAATGTATTGCAGGAACTAAAAAGGACCAAGAAGAGGAAGAAGACCAAGGCCCACCATGCCCCAGGTAACTGAGCAATTGTGAACAGCTACTTCTGTGTTGACATCTGGAGACTCCTGGTTCAGGGAAAACAGAGCGGGCTGACATTATCGATTACATCTTTTCCAGCAAGCCTGAATTATTCCTACTAACATTGCTGTTGGTTTTCATTGCAGTAGATATTTAGGTTTCCATTTCTTCCTCCCCTTATCATTTACTAACCTACTGTAGGTGGACCAGACTTCAAAAACTGTATTCTCATGGCGACTGCATGGAAACTTGAGCACATTTTATGGAAAATTATTGAGCACAGTCTTTTCATGATCCCTGTATGCTGTGTGTCCTGAGGGCACTAACTCAGAGTGTCCTGTTACTCCCTCATCAGTGTGTCACCTGGACAATTCACTGAGCTCGTTCTCTGTGTGTGTGTGTGTGTGTCTGTGTGTGTGTGTGTGTGTGTGTGTGTGTGTGTGTCTATCTGTCTTTCTCTTTCATTCTTTTCCATTTGGCCCTGTTCTGTCCCAACATGAAGGCAATAATTTGTTACCTCATTAATGGATCTATCCTTTTAGTTTTTTAACCACTTCCCTATGCTACCCATGAAACCTAGTTGGGGCTCTGTTGTGTCTGATTTCCCCTGGCTTATTCTTTACTTTTTCCTCCTTTTCCAGGCTCAGCAGGGAGCTGCTGGAGGTAGTAGAGCCTGAAGTCTTGCAGGACTCACTGGATAGATGTTATTCAACTCCTTCCAGTTGTCTTGAACAGCCTGACTCCTGCCAGCCCTATGGAAGTTCCTTTTATGCATTGGAGGAAAAACATGTTGGCTTTTCTCTCGACGTGGGAGGTGAGTACCTTTCTATGAAGGTGATAAGGATCCACTGAGTCTTCCATATAAAGATCATATTCCTGCTCCAAGTGGCCATTACTGAGCTGAGAGATGTCATTGCCACAGGGAGGACCTATAGGCACATGTAGGTTGAATGAAACTCTAGTTCTACCTGGAAGCCCAGGCAAGGGATGGGTCAGTGAGCAAGACTCTCTTCCTAGTCTCAGGCCATACCTGTGGCGCCCTGATCCTATCCTCATGACATTGGACCTGGGCAGATGTGACAAATTCAGAGAACTATGATTTTGACTCAAGGGTTTGTAGATTTCCTTTTTCACTCTAATTTCAGTGTCTAAAGTCCTCACAACCATGAACAATCTGAGTATTTGATGAGACAGGGCTAAATATTGCAGTTTTTCTCCTAGAAATCATTTGAGGGTATTTGCTTTAAGTTGATTGGAAAAATATGGCATAACTGTTTGCA
Organism: Homo sapiens; assembly: GCF_000001405.40. Classification (NCBI taxonomy): domain Eukaryota; kingdom Metazoa; phylum Chordata; class Mammalia; order Primates; family Hominidae; genus Homo; species Homo sapiens. The sequence continues at coordinate 145,379,973 of NC_000001.11, read as the reverse complement.
CAAACTTGGGACAAATGATATTGGGATAACGATCTACTAGAATAGGGACATTTTACCCACAGTTTCTGGGAGAAAAACCGAGGAATTTCTATCATGACCAGCCTTCAGGCCTCCTGAAATATATCTCTCACGGTGTCCTATTCTTATGCTGAGGAGCCTGAGGTCCCTGTGTGAGGATTAGACAGTGGATTGTTATGTGTGTAGGGGAATCAGCTTAATGTGTCTGTCCATGTCTGAATTTATTGCAGAAATTGAAAAGAAGGGGAAGGGGAAGAAAAGAAGGGGAAGAAGATCAAAGAAGGAAAGAAGAAGGGGAAGAAAAGAAGGGGAAGAAGATCAAAACCCACCATGCCCCAGGTGACTTTCAGCAATTGTGGATGCTTAATTCTGTGTTAACACCTGGAGGCAACAGATTCAGGGAAACCAGAGTGTGTTTGATGTCATGTTTTCAACGAAGGCTGAATTACTCCTACTGTCATTGCTGTTGGTTTTCATTGCAGTAGATGTTTAGGTTTCCATTTCTTCCTCCCCTTATCATTTCCTAACGTACCATAGGTTGACCATACTTCAAAAGCTGTACTCTCATGGCCACTGCATCGAATTTTGAGCATATTTTATGGAAAACTATTGAGCTCACTCTTTTCATGATCACAGTTTGCTGTGTGTCATGAGGGCACTAACTCAGAGTGTCCTTTTACTCCCTTACCAGTATGTCACCTGGCCAATTCACTAGGTCACTTTCTCTCTGTCTCTGTCTCTGTCTCTCTCTCTCTGTCTCTGTCTCTCTCTCTCTCTCTGTCTTTCTCTTTCATTGTTTTCTACCTGGCCCTGTTCTATCCCAACATAAAGGCAATAATTTGTTACCTCATTAATGGATCTGTCCTTTTTCTTTTCAAACTCTTCCTTACGTTAGCCATGAAATCTAGCTGGGGCTGTGTGGTTTCTGATTCCCCCTGGCTTATTCTTTACTTTTTCCCACTTTTCCAGGCTCAGCAGGGAGCTGCTGGATGAGAAAGGGCCTGAAGTCTTGCAGGACTCACTGGATAGATGTTATTCAACTCCTTCAGGTTGTCTTGAACTGACTGACTCATGCCAGCCCTACAGAAGTGCCTTTTACGTATTGGAGCAACAGCGTGTTGGCTTGGCTGTTGACATGGATGGTGAGTACCTTTCTATGAAGGTGATAAGGATCCACTGAGTCTTCTGGTTAGGGTCATATTCCTACTGCAAGTGGCCCTTACTGAGCTGAGAGATGTCATTGCCACAGGGAGGTCCTATAGGCACATGTAGGTTGAATGAAACTCTAGTTCCACTTGGAAGCCCAGACAAGGGATGGGTCAGTGAGCAAGGCTCTCTTCCTAGTCTCAGGCCATGCCTGTGGCGCCCTAATCCTACTCTCATGACGTTGGACCTGGGCAGATGTGACAAATTCACACAACTCTGATTTTGTCTCAATTTTGTAGATCTTGTAGATTTCATCCTTCACTCTAATTTCAGTGTCTAAAATCCTCGCTACCGTGAACAATCTGAGTATTTGATGAGACAGGGCTGAATAGTGCAGTTTTTCTCCTAGCAACCATTTGGGGGCATTTGCTTTAAATCGATTGGAAAAATATGGCATAACCATTTGCACAAACTTGGGACAAATGATATTGGGATAACGATCTACCAGAATAGGGAATTTTACCCACAGTTTCTGGGACAAAAACCAAGGAATCTCTATCGTGATCAGCCTTCAGGCCTCCTGAAGACTATCTCTCACAGTGTCCTATTCTCATGCTGAGGAGCCTGAAGTCCCTGTGTGAGGATTAGACAGTGGATTGTTATGTGTGTAGGAGAACCAGCTTAATATGTCTGTCCATGTCTGAACTTATTGCAGAAATTGAAAAGTACCAAGAAGTGGAAGAAGACCAAGACCCATCATGCCCCAGGTAACTTTGAGCAATTATGGATGCTTAATTCTGTGTCGACACCTGGAGATGCCAGGTCCAGGGAAAACAAGAGTGTGTTCAATTTCATGTTTTCAACGAAGGTTGAATTACTCCTCCTGACATTGCTGTTGGTTTTCATTGCAGTAGATGTTTAGGTTTCCATTTCTTCCTCCCCTTATCATTTACTAACTTACTATAGGTTGACCATACCTCAAAGGCTGTATGGCAACTGCATGGAATCTTGAGCAAGTTTATGGAAAATTATTGAGCCCACTCTTTTCATGATCACTGTTCGCTGTGTGTCCCGAGGGCACTAACTCAGAGTGTCCTTTGACCCCTTCATCAGTGTGTCACCCGGCCAACTCGCTGAGCTCACTTTCTCCTCTCTCTCTCTCTCTCTCCCTCCCTCTCCCTGTCTTTCTCTTTCATTCTTTTCTACCTGGCCCTGGTCTATGCCAACATAAAGGCAATAATTCATTACCTCATTAATGGATCTGTCCTTTTTCTTTTTAAACAGTTCCTTATGTTAGCCATGAAATCTAGCTGGGGCTGTGTGGTTTCTGATTCCCCCTGGCTTATTCTTTACTTTTTCCTACTTTTCCAGGCTCAGCAGGGAGCTGCTGGATGAGAAAGAGCCTGAAGTCTTGCAGGACTCACTGGATAGATGTTATTCGACTCCTTCAGGTTATCTTGAACTGCCTGACTTAGGCCAGCCCTACAGCAGTGCTGTTTACTCATTGGAGGAACAGTACCTTGGCTTGGCTCTTGACGTGGACAGTGAGTACCTTACTGTGAAGGTGATAAGCCTCCACCTGGTCTTCCAGATAGGGGTGATATTCCTGTTCCAAGTGGCCCTTACTGACCCGAGAGATGTCATTGCCGCAGGCAGGACCTATGGGCGCATATAGGTTGTAATGAAACTGTAGTCTCAGTTGGAAGCCTAGACATGAAATGGGTCAGTGAGCAAGGCTCTATTCCTAGTCTCCAGCCATGCCTGTGGCAAGCTGAGCCCGCTCTCAGCACATTGGACCCAGGCAGATGTAAAAAATTCACAGAAGTATGATTTGGACTCAAGGGTTTGTAGATTTCCTCCTTCATTCTAATTTCAGTGTCTAAAATTCTTGCATCCATGAACGAGCTGGGCATTTGATGAGACAGGGCTGAATACTGCAGTTTTCCTCCTAGAAATCATCTGGGGCATTTTCTTTGAACTGATGGGAACAATAAGGCATAACTGTTTGCACAAACTTGGGATAAATGATTTTGGGATAACGATCTACCAGAATGGGGATATTTCACCCTTGGTTCTGAGATGCAAACCAAAGAATATCATGACCAGCTTTCAGGCCTCCTGAAGTATCTCTCTCACATTGTCCTGTTCTCATGCTGAGGAGCCTGAGATCCCTGTGTGGGGATTAGACAGTGGACTGTTATGGGTGTAGGTGAATTGGCTTATTTTGTCTGTCCCTGTCTGAATGTATTGCAGGAACTAAAAAGGACCAAGAAGAGGAAGAAGACCAAGGCCCACCATGCCCCAGGTAACTGAGCAATTGTGAACAGCTACTTCTGTGTTGACATCTGGAGACTCCTGGTTCAGGGAAAACAGAGCGGGCTGACATTATCGATTACATCTTTTCCAGCAAGCCTGAATTATTCCTACTAACATTGCTGTTGGTTTTCATTGCAGTAGATATTTAGGTTTCCATTTCTTCCTCCCCTTATCATTTACTAACCTACTGTAGGTGGACCAGACTTCAAAAACTGTATTCTCATGGCGACTGCATGGAAACTTGAGCACATTTTATGGAAAATTATTGAGCACAGTCTTTTCATGATCCCTGTATGCTGTGTGTCCTGAGGGCACTAACTCAGAGTGTCCTGTTACTCCCTCATCAGTGTGTCACCTGGACAATTCACTGAGCTCGTTCTCTCTGTGTGTGTGTGTGTGTCTGTGTGTGTGTGTGTGTGTGTGTGTGTGTGTGTGTCTATCTGTCTTTCTCTTTCATTCTTTTCCATTTGGCCCTGTTCTGTCCCAACATGAAGGCAATAATTTGTTACCTCATTAATGGATCTATCCTTTTAGTTTTTTAACCACTTCCCTATGCTACCCATGAAACCTAGTTGGGGCTCTGTTGTGTCTGATTTCCCCTGGCTTATTCTTTACTTTTTCCTCCTTTTCCAGGCTCAGCAGGGAGCTGCTGGAGGTAGTAGAGCCTGAAGTCTTGCAGGACTCACTGGATAGATGTTATTCAACTCCTTCCAGTTGTCTTGAACAGCCTGACTCCTGCCAGCCCTATGGAAGTTCCTTTTATGCATTGGAGGAAAAACATGTTGGCTTTTCTCTTGACGTGGGAGGTGAGTACCTTTCTATGAAGGTGATAAGGATCCACTGAGTCTTCCATATAAAGATCATATTCCTGCTCCAAGTGGCCATTACTGAGCTGAGAGATGTCATTGCCACAGGGAGGACCTATAGGCACATGTAGGTTGAATGAAACTCTAGTTCTACCTGGAAGCCCAGGCAAGGGATGGGTCAGTGAGCAAGACTCTCTTCCTAGTCTCAGGCCATACCTGTGGCGCCCTGATCCTATCCTCATGACATTGGACCTGGGCAGATGTGACAAATTCAGAGAACTATGATTTTGACTCAAGGGTTTGTAGATTTCCTTTTTCACTCTAATTTCAGTGTCTAAAGTCCTCACAACCATGAACAATCTGAGTATTTGATGAGACAGGGCTAAATATTGCAGTTTTTCTCCTAGAAATCATTTGAGGGTATTTGCTTTAAGTTGATTGGAAAAATATGGCATAACTGTTTGCACAAACTTGGGACAAATGATATTGGGATAACGATCTACTAGAATAGGGACATTTTACCCACAGTTTCTGGGAGAAAAACCGAGGAATTTCTATCATGACCAGCCTTCAGGCCTCCTGAAATATATCTCTCACGGTGTCCTATTCTTATGCTGAGGAGCCTGAGGTCCCTGTGTGAGGATTAGACAGTGGATTGTTATGTGTGTAGGGGAATCAGCTTAATGTGTCTGTCCATGTCTGAATTTATTGCAGAAATTGAAAAGAAGGGGAAGGGGAAGAAAAGAAGGGGAAGAAGATCAAAGAAGGAAAGAAGAAGGGGAAGAAAAGAAGGGGAAGAAGATCAAAACCCACCATGCCCCAGGTGACTTTCAGCAATTGTGGATGCTTAATTCTGTGTTAACACCTGGAGGCAACAGATTCAGGGAAACCAGAGTGTGTTTGATGTCATGTTTTCAACGAAGGCTGAATTACTCCTACTGTCATTGCTGTTGGTTTTCATTGCAGTAGATGTTTAGGTTTCCATTTCTTCCTCCCCTTATCATTTCCTAACGTACCATAGGTTGACCATACTTCAAAAGCTGTACTCTCATGGCCACTGCATCGAATTTTGAGCATATTTTATGGAAAACTATTGAGCTCACTCTTTTCATGATCACAGTTTGCTGTGTGTCATGAGGGCACTAACTCAGAGTGTCCTTTTACTCCCTTACCAGTATGTCACCTGGCCAATTCACTAGGTCACTTTCTCTCTGTCTCTGTCTCTGTCTCTCTCTCTGTCTCTGTCTCTCTCTCTCTCTCTGTCTTTCTCTTTCATTGTTTTCTACCTGGCCCTGTTCTATCCCAACATAAAGGCAATAATTTGTTACCTCATTAATGGATCTGTCCTTTTTCTTTTCAAACTCTTCCTTACGTTAGCCATGAAATCTAGCTGGGGCTGTGTGGTTTCTGATTCCCCCTGGCTTATTCTTTACTTTTTCCCACTTTTCCAGGCTCAGCAGGGAGCTGCTGGATGAGAAAGGGCCTGAAGTCTTGCAGGACTCACTGGATAGAAGTTATTCAACTCCTTCAGGTTGTCTTGAACTGACTGACTCATGCCAGCCCTACAGAAGTGCCTTTTACGTATTGGAGCAACAGCGTGTTGGCTTGGCTGTTGACATGGATGGTGAGTACCTTTCTATGAAGGTGATAAGGATCCACTGAGTCTTCTGGTTAGGGTCATATTCCTACTGCAAGTGGCCCTTACTGAGCTGAGAGATGTCATTGCCACAGGGAGGTCCTATAGGCACATGTAGGTTGAATGAAACTCTAGTTCCACTTGGAAGCCCAGACAAGGGATGGGTCAGTGAGCAAGGCTCTCTTCCTAGTCTCAGGCCATGCCTGTGGCGCCCTAATCCTACTCTCATGACGTTGGACCTGGGCAGATGTGACAAATTCACACAACTCTGATTTTGTCTCAATTTTGTAGATCTTGTAGATTTCATCCTTCACTCTAATTTCAGCGTCTAAAATCCTCGCTACCGTGAACAATCTGAGTATTTGATGAGACAGGGCTGAATAGTGCAGTTTTTCTCCTAGCAACCATTTGGGGGCATTTGCTTTAAATCGATTGGAAAAATATGGCATAACCATTTGCACAAACTTGGGACAAATGATATTGGGATAACGATCTACCAGAATAGGGAATTTTACCCACAGTTTCTGGGACAAAAACCAAGGAATCTCTATGGTGATCAGCCTTCAGGCCTCCTGAAGACTATCTCTCACAGTGTCCTATTCTCATGCTGAGGAGCCTGAAGTCCCTGTGTGAGGATTAGACAGTGGATTGTTATGTGTGTAGGAGAACCAGCTTAATATGTCTGTCCATGTCTGAACTTATTGCAGAAATTGAAAAGTACCAAGAAGTGGAAGAAGACCAAGACCCATCATGCCCCAGGTAACTTTGAGCAATTATGGATGCTTAATTCTGTGTTGACACCTGGAGATGCCAGGTCCAGGGAAAACAAGAGTGTGTTCAATTTCATGTTTTCAACGAAGGTTGAATTACTCCTCCTGATATTGCTGTTGGTTTTCATTGCAGTAGATGTTTAGGTTTCCATTTCTTCCTCCCCTTATCATTTACTAACTTACTATAGGTTGACCATACCTCAAAGGCTGTATGGCAACTGCATGGAATCTTGAGCAAGTTTATGGAAAATTATTGAGCCCACTCTTTTCATGATCACTGTTCGCTGTGTGTCCCGAGGGCACTAACTCAGAGTGTCCTTTGACCCCTTCATCAGTGTGTCACCCGGCCAACTCGCTGAGCTTACTTTCTCCTCTCTCTCTCTCTCTCTCTCTCCCTCCCTCTCCCTGTCTTTCTCTTTCATTCTTTTCTACCTGGCCCTGGTCTATCCCAACATAAAGGCAATAATTCATTACCTCATTAATGGATCTGTCCTTTTTCTTTTTAAACAGTTCCTTATGTTAGCCATGAAATCTAGCTGGGGCTGTGTGGTTTCTGATTCCCCCTGGCTTATTCTTTACTTTTTCCTACTTTTCCAGGCTCAGCAGGGAGCTGCTGGATGAGAAAGAGCCTGAAGTCTTGCAGGACTCACTGGATAGATGTTATTCGACTCCTTCAGGTTATCTTGAACTGCCTGACTTAGGCCAGCCCTACAGCAGTGCTGTTTACTCATTGGAGGAACAGTACCTTGGCTTGGCTCTTGACGTGGACAGTGAGTATCTTACTGTGAAGGTGATAAGCCTCCACCTGGTCTTCCAGATAGGGGTGATATTCCTGTTCCAAGTGGCCCTTACTGACCCGAGAGATGTCATTGCCGCAGGCAGGACCTATGGGCGCATATAGGTTGTAATGAAACTGTAGTCTCAGTTGGAAGCCTAGACATGAAATGGGTCAGTGAGCAAGGCTCTATTCCTAGTCTCCAGCCATGCCTGTGGCAAGCTGAGCCCGCTCTCAGCACATTGGACCCAGGCAGACGTAAAAAATTCACAGAACTATGATTTGGACTCAAGGGTTTGTAGATTTCCTCCTTCATTCTAATTTCAGTGTCTAAAATTCTTGCATCCATGAACGAGCTGGGCATTTGATGAGACAGGGCTGAATACTGCAGTTTTCCTCCTAGAAATCATCTGGGGCATTTTCTTTGAACTGATGGGAACAATAAGGCATAACTGTTTGCACAAACTTGGGATAAATGATTTTGGGATAACGATCTACCAGAATGGGGATATTTCACCCTTGGTTCTGAGATGCAAACCAAAGAATATCATGACCAGCTTTCAGGCCTCCTGAAGTATCTCTCTCACATTGTCCTGTTCTCATGCTGAGGAGCCTGAGATCCCTGTGTGGGGATTAGACAGTGGACTGTTATGGGTGTAGGTGAATTGGCTTATTTTGTCTGTCCCTGTCTGAATGTATTGCAGGAACTAAAAAGGACCAAGAAGAGGAAGAAGACCAAGGCCCACCATGCCCCAGGTAACTGAGCAATTGTGAACAGCTACTTCTGTGTTGACATCTGGAGACTCCTGGTTCAGGGAAAACAGAGCGGGCTGACATTATCGATTACATCTTTTCCAGCAAGCCTGAATTATTCCTACTAACATTGCTGTTGGTTTTCATTGCAGTAGATATTTAGGTTTCCATTTCTTCCTCCCCTTATCATTTACTAACCTACTGTAGGTGGACCAGACTTCAAAAACTGTATTCTCATGGCGACTGCATGGAAACTTGAGCACATTTTATGGAAAATTATTGAGCACAGTCTTTTCATGATCCCTGTATGCTGTGTGTCCTGAGGGCACTAACTCAGAGTGTCCTGTTACTCCCTCATCAGTGTGTCACCTGGACAATTCACTGAGCTCGTTCTCTCTCTCTCTGTGTGTGTGTGTGTGTGTGTGTGTGTGTGTGTGTGTGTGTCTATCTGTCTTTCTCTTTCATTCTTTTCCATTTGGCCCTGTTCTGTCCCAACATGAAGGCAATAATTTGTTACCTCATTAATGGATCTATCCTTTTAGTTTTTTAACCACTTCCCTATGCTACCCATGAAACCTAGTTGGGGCTCTGTTGTGTCTGATTTCCCCTGGCTTATTCTTTACTTTTTCCTCCTTTTCCAGGCTCAGCAGGGAGCTGCTGGAGGTAGTAGAGCCTGAAGTCTTGCAGGACTCACTGGATAGATGTTATTCAACTCCTTCCAGTTGTCTTGAACAGCCTGACTCCTGCCAGCCCTATGGAAGTTCCTTTTATGCATTGGAGGAAAAACATGTTGGCTTTTCTCTCGACGTGGGAGGTGAGTACCTTTCTATGAAGGTGATAAGGATCCACTGAGTCTTCCATATAAAGATCATATTCCTGCTCCAAGTGGCCATTACTGAGCTGAGAGATGTCATTGCCACAGGGAGGACCTATAGGCACATGTAGGTTGAATGAAACTCTAGTTCTACCTGGAAGCCCAGGCAAGGGATGGGTCAGTGAGCAAGACTCTCTTCCTAGTCTCAGGCCATACCTGTGGCGCCCTGATCCTATCCTCATGACATTGGACCTGGGCAGATGTGACAAATTCAGAGAACTATGATTTTGACTCAAGGGTTTGTAGATTTCCTTTTTCACTCTAATTTCAGTGTCTAAAGTCCTCACAACCATGAACAATCTGAGTATTTGATGAGACAGGGCTAAATATTGCAGTTTTTCTCCTAGAAATCATTTGAGGGTATTTGCTTTAAGTTGATTGGAAAAATATGGCATAACTGTTTGCACAAACTTGGGACAAATGATATTGGGATAACGATCTACTAGAATAGGGACATTTTACCCACAGTTTCTGGGAGAAAAACCGAGGAATTTCTATCATGACCAGCCTTCAGGCCTCCTGAAATATATCTCTCACGGTGTCCTATTCTTATGCTGAGGAGCCTGAGGTCCCTGTGTGAGGATTAGACAGTGGATTGTTATGTGTGTAGGGGAATCAGCTTAATGTGTCTGTCCATGTCTGAATTTATTGCAGAAATTGAAAAGAAGGGGAAGGGGAAGAAAAGAAGGGGAAGAAGATCAAAGAAGGAAAGAAGAAGGGGAAGAAAAGAAGGGGAAGAAGATCAAAACCCACCATGCCCCAGGTGACTTTCAGCAATTGTGGATGCTTAATTCTGTGTTAACACCTGGAGGCAACAGATTCAGGGAAACCAGAGTGTGTTTGATGTCATGTTTTCAACGAAGGCTGAATTACTCCTACTGTCATTGCTGTTGGTTTTCATTGCAGTAGATGTTTAGGTTTCCATTTCTTCCTCCCCTTATCATTTCCTAACGTACCATAGGTTGACCATACTTCAAAAGCTGTACTCTCATGGCCACTGCATCGAATTTTGAGCATATTTTATGGAAAACTATTGAGCTCACTCTTTTCATGATCACAGTTTGCTGTGTGTCATGAGGGCACTAACTCAGAGTGTCCTTTTACTCCCTTACCAGTATGTCACCTGGCCAATTCACTAGGTCACTTTCTCTCTGTCTCTGTCTCTGTCTCTCTCTCTGTCTCTGTCTCTCTCTCTCTCTCTGTCTTTCTCTTTCATTGTTTTCTACCTGGCCCTGTTCTATCCCAACATAAAGGCAATAATTTGTTACCTCATTAATGGATCTGTCCTTTTTCTTTTCAAACTCTTCCTTACGTTAGCCATGAAATCTAGCTGGGGCTGTGTGGTTTCTGATTCCCCCTGGCTTATTCTTTACTTTTTCCCACTTTTCCAGGCTCAGCAGGGAGCTGCTGGATGAGAAAGGGCCTGAAGTCTTGCAGGACTCACTGGATAGAAGTTATTCAACTCCTTCAGGTTGTCTTGAACTGACTGACTCATGCCAGCCCTACAGAAGTGCCTTTTACGTATTGGAGCAACAGCGTGTTGGCTTGGCTGTTGACATGGATGGTGAGTACCTTTCTATGAAGGTGATAAGGATCCACTGAGTCTTCTGGTTAGGGTCATATTCCTACTGCAAGTGGCCCTTACTGAGCTGAGAGATGTCATTGCCACAGGGAGGTCCTATAGGCACATGTAGGTTGAATGAAACTCTAGTTCCACTTGGAAGCCCAGACAAGGGATGGGTCAGTGAGCAAGGCTCTCTTCCTAGTCTCAGGCCATGCCTGTGGCGCCCTAATCCTACTCTCATGACGTTGGACCTGGGCAGATGTGACAAATTCACACAACTCTGATTTTGTCTCAATTTTGTAGATCTTGTAGATTTCATCCTTCACTCTAATTTCAGCGTCTAAAATCCTCGCTACCGTGAACAATCTGAGTATTTGATGAGACAGGGCTGAATAGTGCAGTTTTTCTCCTAGCAACCATTTGGGGGCATTTGCTTTAAATCGATTGGAAAAATATGGCATAACCATTTGCACAAACTTGGGACAAATGATATTGGGATAACGATCTACCAGAATAGGGAATTTTACCCACAGTTTCTGGGACAAAAACCAAGGAATCTCTATGGTGATCAGCCTTCAGGCCTCCTGAAGACTATCTCTCACAGTGTCCTATTCTCATGCTGAGGAGCCTGAAGTCCCCGTGTGAGGATTAGACAGTGGATTGTTATGTGTGTAGGAGAACCAGCTTAATATGTCTGTCCATGTCTGAACTTATTGCAGAAATTGAAAAGTACCAAGAAGTGGAAGAAGACCAAGACCCATCATGCCCCAGGTAACTTTGAGCAATTATGGATGCTTAATTCTGTGTTGACACCTGGAGATGCCAGGTCCAGGGAAAACAAGAGTGTGTTCAATTTCATGTTTTCAACGAAGGTTGAATTACTCCTCCTGATATTGCTGTTGGTTTTCATTGCAGTAGATGTTTAGGTTTCCATTTCTTCCTCCCCTTATCATTTACTAACTTACTATAGGTTGACCATACCTCAAAGGCTGTATGGCAACTGCATGGAATCTTGAGCAAGTTTATGGAAAATTATTGAGCCCACTCTTTTCATGATCACTGTTCGCTGTGTGTCCCGAGGGCACTAACTCAGAGTGTCCTTTGACCCCTTCATCAGTGTGTCACCCGGCCAACTCGCTGAGCTTACTTTCTCCTCTCTCTCTCTCTCTCTCTCTCCCTCCCTCTCCCTGTCTTTCTCTTTCATTCTTTTCTACCTGGCCCTGGTCTATCCCAACATAAAGGCAATAATTCATTACCTCATTAATGGATCTGTCCTTTTTCTTTTTAAACAGTTCCTTATGTTAGCCATGAAATCTAGCTGGGGCTGTGTGGTTTCTGATTCCCCCTGGCTTATTCTTTACTTTTTCCTACTTTTCCAGGCTCAGCAGGGAGCTGCTGGATGAGAAAGAGCCTGAAGTCTTGCAGGACTCACTGGATAGATGTTATTCGACTCCTTCAGGTTATCTTGAACTGCCTGACTTAGGCCAGCCCTACAGCAGTGCTGTTTACTCATTGGAGGAACAGTACCTTGGCTTGGCTCTTGACGTGGACAGTGAGTACCTTACTGTGAAGGTGATAAGCCTCCACCTGGTCTTCCAGATAGGGGTGATATTCCTGTTCCAAGTGGCCCTTACTGACCCGAGAGATGTCATTGCCGCAGGCAGGACCTATGGGCGCATATAGGTTGTAATGAAACTGTAGTCTCAGTTGGAAGCCTAGACATGAAATGGGTCAGTGAGCAAGGCTCTATTCCTAGTCTCCAGCCATGCCTGTGGCAAGCTGAGCCCGCTCTCAGCACATTGGACCCAGGCAGATGTAAAAAATTCACAGAAGTATGATTTGGACTGAAGGGTTTGTAGATTTCCTCCTTCATTCTAATTTCAGTGTCTAAAATTCTTGCATCCATGAACGAGCTGGGCATTTGATGAGACAGGGCTGAATACTGCAGTTTTCCTCCTAGAAATCATCTGGGGCATTTTCTTTGAACTGATGGGAACAATAAGGCATAACTGTTTGCACAAACTTGGGATAAATGATTTTGGGATAACGATCTACCAGAATGGGGATATTTCACCCTTGGTTCTGAGATGCAAACCAAAGAATATCATGACCAGCTTTCAGGCCTCCTGAAGTATCTCTCTCACATTGTCCTGTTCTCATGCTGAGGAGCCTGAGATCCCTGTGTGGGGATTAGACAGTGGACTGTTATGGGTGTAGGTGAATTGGCTTATTTTGTCTGTCCCTGTCTGAATGTATTGCAGGAACTAAAAAGGACCAAGAAGAGGAAGAAGACCAAGGCCCACCATGCCCCAGGTAACTGAGCAATTGTGAACAGCTACTTCTGTGTTGACATCTGGAGACTCCTGGTTCAGGGAAAACAGAGCGGGCTGACATTATCGATTACATCTTTTCCAGCAAGCCTGAATTATTCCTACTAACATTGCTGTTGGTTTTCATTGCAGTAGATATTTAGGTTTCCATTTCTTCCTCCCCTTATCATTTACTAACCTACTGTAGGTGGACCAGACTTCAAAAACTGTATTCTCATGGCGACTGCATGGAAACTTGAGCACATTTTATGGAAAATTATTGAGCACAGTCTTTTCATGATCCCTGTATGCTGTGTGTCCTGAGGGCACTAACTCAGAGTGTCCTGTTACTCCCTCATCAGTGTGTCACCTGGACAATTCACTGAGCTCGTTCTCTCTGTGTGTGTGTGTGTGTCTGTGTGTGTGTGTGTGTGTGTGTGTGTGTGTGTGTGTGTGTCTATCTGTCTTTCTCTTTCATTCTTTTCCATTTGGCCCTGTTCTGTCCCAACATGAAGGCAATAATTTGTTACCTCATTAATGGATCTATCCTTTTAGTTTTTTAACCACTTCCCTATGCTACCCATGAAACCTAGTTGGGGCTCTGTTGTGTCTGATTTCCCCTGGCTTATTCTTTACTTTTTCCTCCTTTTCCAGGCTCAGCAGGGAGCTGCTGGAGGTAGTAGAGCCTGAAGTCTTGCAGGACTCACTGGATAGATGTTATTCAACTCCTTCCAGTTGTCTTGAACAGCCTGACTCCTGCCAGCCCTATGGAAGTTCCTTTTATGCATTGGAGGAAAAACATGTTGGCTTTTCTCTCGACGTGGGAGGTGAGTACCTTTCTATGAAGGTGATAAGGATCCACTGAGTCTTCCATATAAAGATCATATTCCTGCTCCAAGTGGCCATTACTGAGCTGAGAGATGTCATTGCCACAGGGAGGACCTATAGGCACATGTAGGTTGAATGAAACTCTAGTTCTACCTGGAAGCCCAGGCAAGGGATGGGTCAGTGAGCAAGACTCTCTTCCTAGTCTCAGGCCATACCTGTGGCGCCCTGATCCTATCCTCATGACATTGGACCTGGGCAGATGTGACAAATTCAGAGAACTATGATTTTGACTCAAGGGTTTGTAGATTTCCTTTTTCACTCTAATTTCAGTGTCTAAAGTCCTCACAACCATGAACAATCTGAGTATTTGATGAGACAGGGCTAAATATTGCAGTTTTTCTCCTAGAAATCATTTGAGGGTATTTGCTTTAAGTTGATTGGAAAAATATGGCATAACTGTTTGCACAAACTTGGGACAAATGATATTGGGATAACGATCTACTAGAATAGGGACATTTTACCCACAGTTTCTGGGAGAAAAACCGAGGAATTTCTATCATGACCAGCCTTCAGGCCTCCTGAAATATATCTCTCACGGTGTCCTATTCTTATGCTGAGGAGCCTGAGGTCCCTGTGTGAGGATTAGACAGTGGATTGTTATGTGTGTAGGGGAATCAGCTTAATGTGTCTGTCCATGTCTGAATTTATTGCAGAAATTGAAAAGAAGGGGAAGGGGAAGAAAAGAAGGGGAAGAAGATCAAAGAAGGAAAGAAGAAGGGGAAGAAAAGAAGGGGAAGAAGATCAAACCCCACCATGCCCCAGGTGACTTTCAGCAATTGTGGATGCTTAATTCTGTGTTAACACCTGGAGGCAACAGATTCAGGGAAACCAGAGTGTGTTTGATGTCATGTTTTCAACGAAGGCTGAATTACTCCTACTGTCATTGCTGTTGGTTTTCATTGCAGTAGATGTTTAGGTTTCCATTTCTTCCTCCCCTTATCATTTCCTAACGTACCATAGGTTGACCATACTTCAAAAGCTGTACTCTCATGGCCACTGCATCGAATTTTGAGCATATTTTATGGAAAACTATTGAGCTCACTCTTTTCATGATCACAGTTTGCTGTGTGTCATGAGGGCACTAACTCAGAGTGTCCTTTTACTCCCTTACCAGTATGTCACCTGGCCAATTCACTAGGTCACTTTCTCTCTGTCTCTGTCTCTGTCTCTCTCTCTGTCTCTGTCTCTCTCTCTCTCTCTGTCTTTCTCTTTCATTGTTTTCTACCTGGCCCTGTTCTATCCCAACATAAAGGCAATAATTTGTTACCTCATTAATGGATCTGTCCTTTTTCTTTTCAAACTCTTCCTTACGTTAGCCATGAAATCTAGCTGGGGCTGTGTGGTTTCTGATTCCCCCTGGCTTATTCTTTACTTTTTCCCACTTTTCCAGGCTCAGCAGGGAGCTGCTGGATGAGAAAGGGCCTGAAGTCTTGCAGGACTCACTGGATAGAAGTTATTCAACTCCTTCAGGTTGTCTTGAACTGACTGACTCATGCCAGCCCTACAGAAGTGCCTTTTACGTATTGGAGCAACAGCGTGTTGGCTTGGCTGTTGACATGGATGGTGAGTACCTTTCTATGAAGGTGATAAGGATCCACTGAGTCTTCTGGTTAGGGTCATATTCCTACTGCAAGTGGCCCTTACTGAGCTGAGAGATGTCATTGCCACAGGGAGGTCCTATAGGCACATGTAGGTTGAATGAAACTCTAGTTCCACTTGGAAGCCCAGACAAGGGATGGGTCAGTGAGCAAGGCTCTCTTCCTAGTCTCAGGCCATGCCTGTGGCGCCCTAATCCTACTCTCATGACGTTGGACCTGGGCAGATGTGACAAATTCACACAACTCTGATTTTGTCTCAATTTTGTAGATCTTGTAGATTTCATCCTTCACTCTAATTTCAGCGTCTAAAATCCTCGCTACCGTGAACAATCTGAGTATTTGATGAGACAGGGCTGAATAGTGCAGTTTTTCTCCTAGCAACCATTTGGGGGCATTTGCTTTAAATCGATTGGAAAAATATGGCATAACCATTTGCACAAACTTGGGACAAATGATATTGGGATAACGATCTACCAGAATAGGGAATTTTACCCACAGTTTCTGGGACAAAAACCAAGGAATCTCTATGGTGATCAGCCTTCAGGCCTCCTGAAGACTATCTCTCACAGTGTCCTATTCTCATGCTGAGGAGCCTGAAGTCCCTGTGTGAGGATTAGACAGTGGATTGTTATGTGTGTAGGAGAACCAGCTTAATATGTCTGTCCATGTCTGAACTTATTGCAGAAATTGAAAAGTACCAAGAAGTGGAAGAAGACCAAGACCCATCATGCCCCAGGTAACTTTGAGCAATTATGGATGCTTAATTCTGTGTTGACACCTGGAGATGCCAGGTCCAGGGAAAACAAGAGTGTGTTCAATTTCATGTTTTCAACGAAGGTTGAATTACTCCTCCTGATATTGCTGTTGGTTTTCATTGCAGTAGATGTTTAGGTTTCCATTTCTTCCTCCCCTTATCATTTACTAACTTACTATAGGTTGACCATACCTCAAAGGCTGTATGGCAACTGCATGGAATCTTGAGCAAGTTTATGGAAAATTATTGAGCCCACTCTTTTCATGATCACTGTTCGCTGTGTGTCCCGAGGGCACTAACTCAGAGTGTCCTTTGACCCCTTCATCAGTGTGTCACCCGGCCAACTCGCTGAGCTTACTTTCTCCTCTCTCTCTCTCTCTCTCTCTCCCTCCCTCTCCCTGTCTTTCTCTTTCATTCTTTTCTACCTGGCCCTGGTCTATCCCAACATAAAGGCAATAATTCATTACCTCATTAATGGATCTGTCCTTTTTCTTTTTAAACAGTTCCTTATGTTAGCCATGAAATCTAGCTGGGGCTGTGTGGTTTCTGATTCCCCCTGGCTTATTCTTTACTTTTTCCTACTTTTCCAGGCTCAGCAGGGAGCTGCTGGATGAGAAAGAGCCTGAAGTCTTGCAGGACTCACTGGATAGATGTTATTCGACTCCTTCAGGTTATCTTGAACTGCCTGACTTAGGCCAGCCCTACAGCAGTGCTGTTTACTCATTGGAGGAACAGTACCTTGGCTTGGCTCTTGACGTGGACAGTGAGTACCTTACTGTGAAGGTGATAAGCCTCCACCTGGTCTTCCAGATAGGGGTGATATTCCTGTTCCAAGTGGCCCTTACTGACCCGAGAGATGTCATTGCCGCAGGCAGGACCTATGGGCGCATATAGGTTGTAATGAAACTGTAGTCTCAGTTGGAAGCCTAGACATGAAATGGGTCAGTGAGCAAGGCTCTATTCCTAGTCTCCAGCCATGCCTGTGGCAAGCTGAGCCCGCTCTCAGCACATTGGACCCAGGCAGATGTAAAAAATTCACAGAAGTATGATTTGGACTCAAGGGTTTGTAGATTTCCTCCTTCATTCTAATTTCAGTGTCTAAAATTCTTGCATCCATGAACGAGCTGGGCATTTGATGAGACAGGGCTGAATACTGCAGTTTTCCTCCTAGAAATCATCTGGGGCATTTTCTTTGAACTGATGGGAACAATAAGGCATAACTGTTTGCACAAACTTGGGATAAATGATTTTGGGATAACGATCTACCAGAATGGGGATATTTCACCCTTGGTTCTGAGATGCAAACCAAAGAATATCATGACCAGCTTTCAGGCCTCCTGAAGTATCTCTCTCACATTGTCCTGTTCTCATGCTGAGGAGCCTGAGATCCCTGTGTGGGGATTAGACAGTGGACTGTTATGGGTGTAGGTGAATTGGCTTATTTTGTCTGTCCCTGTCTGAATGTATTGCAGGAACTAAAAAGGACCAAGAAGAGGAAGAAGACCAAGGCCCACCATGCCCCAGGTAACTGAGCAATTGTGAACAGCTACTTCTGTGTTGACATCTGGAGACTCCTGGTTCAGGGAAAACAGAGCGGGCTGACATTATCGATTACATCTTTTCCAGCAAGCCTGAATTATTCCTACTAACATTGCTGTTGGTTTTCATTGCAGTAGATATTTAGGTTTCCATTTCTTCCTCCCCTTATCATTTACTAACCTACTGTAGGTGGACCAGACTTCAAAAACTGTATTCTCATGGCGACTGCATGGAAACTTGAGCACATTTTATGGAAAATTATTGAGCACAGTCTTTTCATGATCCCTGTATGCTGTGTGTCCTGAGGGCACTAACTCAGAGTGTCCTGTTACTCCCTCATCAGTGTGTCACCTGGACAATTCACTGAGCTCGTTCTCTCTGTGTGTGTGTGTGTGTCTGTGTGTGTGTGTGTGTGTGTGTGTGTGTGTGTGTCTATCTGTCTTTCTCTTTCATTCTTTTCCATTTGGCCCTGTTCTGTCCCAACATGAAGGCAATAATTTGTTACCTCATTAATGGATCTATCCTTTTAGTTTTTTAACCACTTCCCTATGCTACCCATGAAACCTAGTTGGGGCTCTGTTGTGTCTGATTTCCCCTGGCTTATTCTTTACTTTTTCCTCCTTTTCCAGGCTCAGCAGGGAGCTGCTGGAGGTAGTAGAGCCTGAAGTCTTGCAGGACTCACTGGATAGATGTTATTCAACTCCTTCCAGTTGTCTTGAACAGCCTGACTCCTGCCAGCCCTATGGAAGTTCCTTTTATGCATTGGAGGAAAAACATGTTGGCTTTTCTCTCGACGTGGGAGGTGAGTACCTTTCTATGAAGGTGATAAGGATCCACTGAGTCTTCCATATAAAGATCATATTCCTGCTCCAAGTGGCCATTACTGAGCTGAGAGATGTCATTGCCACAGGGAGGACCTATAGGCACATGTAGGTTGAATGAAACTCTAGTTCTACCTGGAAGCCCAGGCAAGGGATGGGTCAGTGAGCAAGACTCTCTTCCTAGTCTCAGGCCATACCTGTGGCGCCCTGATCCTATCCTCATGACATTGGACCTGGGCAGATGTGACAAATTCAGAGAACTATGATTTTGACTCAAGGGTTTGTAGATTTCCTTTTTCACTCTAATTTCAGTGTCTAAAGTCCTCACAACCATGAACAATCTGAGTATTTGATGAGACAGGGCTAAATATTGCAGTTTTTCTCCTAGAAATCATTTGAGGGTATTTGCTTTAAGTTGATTGGAAAAATATGGCATAACTGTTTGCACAAACTTGGGACAAATGATATTGGGATAACGATCTACTAGAATAGGGACATTTTACCCACAGTTTCTGGGAGAAAAACCGAGGAATTTCTATCATGACCAGCCTTCAGGCCTCCTGAAATATATCTCTCACGGTGTCCTATTCTTATGCTGAGGAGCCTGAGGTCCCTGTGTGAGGATTAGACAGTGGATTGTTATGTGTGTAGGGGAATCAGCTTAATGTGTCTGTCCATGTCTGAATTTATTGCAGAAATTGAAAAGAAGGGGAAGGGGAAGAAAAGAAGGGGAAGAAGATCAAAGAAGGAAAGAAGAAGGGGAAGAAAAGAAGGGGAAGAAGATCAAAACCCACCATGCCCCAGGTGACTTTCAGCAATTGTGGATGCTTAATTCTGTGTTAACACCTGGAGGCAACAGATTCAGGGAAACCAGAGTGTGTTTGATGTCATGTTTTCAACGAAGGCTGAATTACTCCTACTGTCATTGCTGTTGGTTTTCATTGCAGTAGATGTTTAGGTTTCCATTTCTTCCTCCCCTTATCATTTCCTAACGTACCATAGGTTGACCATACTTCAAAAGCTGTACTCTCATGGCCACTGCATCGAATTTTGAGCATATTTTATGGAAAACTATTGAGCTCACTCTTTTCATGATCACAGTTTGCTGTGTGTCATGAGGGCACTAACTCAGAGTGTCCTTTTACTCCCTTACCAGTATGTCACCTGGCCAATTCACTAGGTCACTTTCTCTCTGTCTCTGTCTCTGTCTCTCTCTCTGTCTCTGTCTCTCTCTCTCTCTCTGTCTTTCTCTTTCATTGTTTTCTACCTGGCCCTGTTCTATCCCAACATAAAGGCAATAATTTGTTACCTCATTAATGGATCTGTCCTTTTTCTTTTCAAACTCTTCCTTACGTTAGCCATGAAATCTAGCTGGGGCTGTGTGGTTTCTGATTCCCCCTGGCTTATTCTTTACTTTTTCCCACTTTTCCAGGCTCAGCAGGGAGCTGCTGGATGAGAAAGGGCCTGAAGTCTTGCAGGACTCACTGGATAGAAGTTATTCAACTCCTTCAGGTTGTCTTGAACTGACTGACTCATGCCAGCCCTACAGAAGTGCCTTTTACGTATTGGAGCAACAGCGTGTTGGCTTGGCTGTTGACATGGATGGTGAGTACCTTTCTATGAAGGTGATAAGGATCCACTGAGTCTTCTGGTTAGGGTCATATTCCTACTGCAAGTGGCCCTTACTGAGCTGAGAGATGTCATTGCCACAGGGAGGTCCTATAGGCACATGTAGGTTGAATGAAACTCTAGTTCCACTTGGAAGCCCAGACAAGGGATGGGTCAGTGAGCAAGGCTCTCTTCCTAGTCTCAGGCCATGCCTGTGGCGCCCTAATCCTACTCTCATGACGTTGGACCTGGGCAGATGTGACAAATTCACACAACTCTGATTTTGTCTCAATTTTGTAGATCTTGTAGATTTCATCCTTCACTCTAATTTCAGCGTCTAAAATCCTCGCTACCGTGAACAATCTGAGTATTTGATGAGACAGGGCTGAATAGTGCAGTTTTTCTCCTAGCAACCATTTGGGGGCATTTGCTTTAAATCGATTGGAAAAATATGGCATAACCATTTGCACAAACTTGGGACAAATGATATTGGGATAACGATCTACCAGAATAGGGAATTTTACCCACAGTTTCTGGGACAAAAACCAAGGAATCTCTATGGTGATCAGCCTTCAGGCCTCCTGAAGACTATCTCTCACAGTGTCCTATTCTCATGCTGAGGAGCCTGAAGTCCCTGTGTGAGGATTAGACAGTGGATTGTTATGTGTGTAGGAGAACCAGCTTAATATGTCTGTCCATGTCTGAACTTATTGCAGAAATTGAAAAGTACCAAGAAGTGGAAGAAGACCAAGACCCATCATGCCCCAGGTAACTTTGAGCAATTATGGATGCTTAATTCTGTGTTGACACCTGGAGATGCCAGGTCCAGGGAAAACAAGAGTGTGTTCAATTTCATGTTTTCAACGAAGGTTGAATTACTCCTCCTGATATTGCTGTTGGTTTTCATTGCAGTAGATGTTTAGGTTTCCATTTCTTCCTCCCCTTATCATTTACTAACTTACTATAGGTTGACCATACCTCAAAGGCTGTATGGCAACTGCATGGAATCTTGAGCAAGTTTATGGAAAATTATTGAGCCCACTCTTTTCATGATCACTGTTCGCTGTGTGTCCCGAGGGCACTAACTCAGAGTGTCCTTTGACCCCTTCATCAGTGTGTCACCCGGCCAACTCGCTGAGCTTACTTTCTCCTCTCTCTCTCTCTCTCTCTCTCCCTCCCTCTCCCTGTCTTTCTCTTTCATTCTTTTCTACCTGGCCCTGGTCTATCCCAACATAAAGGCAATAATTCATTACCTCATTAATGGATCTGTCCTTTTTCTTTTTAAACAGTTCCTTATGTTAGCCATGAAATCTAGCTGGGGCTGTGTGGTTTCTGATTCCCCCTGGCTTATTCTTTACTTTTTCCTACTTTCCAGGCTCAGCAGGGAGCTGCTGGATGAGAAAGAGCCTGAAGTCTTGCAGGACTCACTGGATAGATGTTATTCGACTCCTTCAGGTTATCTTGAACTGCCTGACTTAGGCCAGCCCTACAGCAGTGCTGTTTACTCATTGGAGGAACAGTACCTTGGCTTGGCTCTTGACGTGGACAGTGAGTACCTTACTGTGAAGGTGATAAGCCTCCACCTGGTCTTCCAGATAGGGGTGATATTCCTGTTCCAAGTGGCCCTTACTGACCCGAGAGATGTCATTGCCGCAGGCAGGACCTATGGGCGCATATAGGTTGTAATGAAACTGTAGTCTCAGTTGGAAGCCTAGACATGAAATGGGTCAGTGAGCAAGGCTCTATTCCTAGTCTCCAGCCATGCCTGTGGCAAGCTGAGCCCGCTCTCAGCACATTGGACCCAGGCAGATGTAAAAAATTCACAGAAGTATGATTTGGACTCAAGGGTTTGTAGATTTCCTCCTTCATTCTAATTTCAGTGTCTAAAATTCTTGCATCCATGAACGAGCTGGGCATTTGATGAGACAGGGCTGAATACTGCAGTTTTCCTCCTAGAAATCATCTGGGGCATTTTCTTTGAACTGATGGGAACAATAAGGCATAACTGTTTGCACAAACTTGGGATAAATGATTTTGGGATAACGATCTACCAGAATGGGGATATTTCACCCTTGGTTCTGAGATGCAAACCAAAGAATATCATGACCAGCTTTCAGGCCTCCTGAAGTATCTCTCTCACATTGTCCTGTTCTCATGCTGAGGAGCCTGAGATCCCTGTGTGGGGATTAGACAGTGGACTGTTATGGGTGTAGGTGAATTGGCTTATTTTGTCTGTCCCTGTCTGAATGTATTGCAGGAACTAAAAAGGACCAAGAAGAGGAAGAAGACCAAGGCCCACCATGCCCCAGGTAACTGAGCAATTGTGAACAGCTACTTCTGTGTTGACATCTGGAGACTCCTGGTTCAGGGAAAACAGAGCGGGCTGACATTATCGATTACATCTTTTCCAGCAAGCCTGAATTATTCCTACTAACATTGCTGTTGGTTTTCATTGCAGTAGATATTTAGGTTTCCATTTCTTCCTCCCCTTATCATTTACTAACCTACTGTAGGTGGACCAGACTTCAAAAACTGTATTCTCATGGCGACTGCATGGAAACTTGAGCACATTTTATGGAAAATTATTGAGCACAGTCTTTTCATGATCCCTGTATGCTGTGTGTCCTGAGGGCACTAACTCAGAGTGTCCTGTTACTCCCTCATCAGTGTGTCACCTGGACAATTCACTGAGCTCGTTCTCTCTCTCTCTGTGTGTGTGTGTGTGTGTGTGTGTGTGTGTGTGTGTGTGTCTATCTGTCTTTCTCTTTCATTCTTTTCCATTTGGCCCTGTTCTGTCCCAACATGAAGGCAATAATTTGTTACCTCATTAATGGATCTATCCTTTTAGTTTTTTAACCACTTCCCTATGCTACCCATGAAACCTAGTTGGGGCTCTGTTGTGTCTGATTTCCCCTGGCTTATTCTTTACTTTTTCCTCCTTTTCCAGGCTCAGCAGGGAGCTGCTGGAGGTAGTAGAGCCTGAAGTCTTGCAGGACTCACTGGATAGATGTTATTCAACTCCTTCCAGTTGTCTTGAACAGCCTGACTCCTGCCAGCCCTATGGAAGTTCCTTTTATGCATTGGAGGAAAAACATGTTGGCTTTTCTCTCGACGTGGGAGGTGAGTACCTTTCTATGAAGGTGATAAGGATCCACTGAGTCTTCCATATAAAGATCATATTCCTGCTCCAAGTGGCCATTACTGAGCTGAGAGATGTCATTGCCACAGGGAGGACCTATAGGCACATGTAGGTTGAATGAAACTCTAGTTCTACCTGGAAGCCCAGGCAAGGGATGGGTCAGTGAGCAAGACTCTCTTCCTAGTCTCAGGCCATACCTGTGGCGGCCTGATCCTATCCTCATGACATTGGACCTGGGCAGATGTGACAAATTCAGAGAACTATGATTTTGACTCAAGGGTTTGTAGATTTCCTTTTTCACTCTAATTTCAGTGTCTAAAGTCCTCACAACCATGAACAATCTGAGTATTTGATGAGACAGGGCTAAATATTGCAGTTTTTCTCCTAGAAATCATTTGAGGGTATTTGCTTTAAGTTGATTGGAAAAATATGGCATAACTGTTTGCACAAACTTGGGACAAATGATATTGGGATAACGATCTACTAGAATAGGGACATTTTACCCACAGTTTCTGGGAGAAAAACCGAGGAATTTCTATCATGACCAGCCTTCAGGCCTCCTGAAATATATCTCTCACGGTGTCCTATTCTTATGCTGAGGAGCCTGAGGTCCCTGTGTGAGGATTAGACAGTGGATTGTTATGTGTGTAGGGGAATCAGCTTAATGTGTCTGTCCATGTCTGAATTTATTGCAGAAATTGAAAAGAAGGGGAAGGGGAAGAAAAGAAGGGGAAGAAGATCAAAGAAGGAAAGAAGAAGGGGAAGAAAAGAAGGGGAAGAAGATCAAAACCCACCATGCCCCAGGTGACTTTCAGCAATTGTGGATGCTTAATTCT
Organism: Homo sapiens; assembly: GCF_000001405.40. Lineage (NCBI taxonomy): Eukaryota > Metazoa > Chordata > Mammalia > Primates > Hominidae > Homo > Homo sapiens. Next base: position 145,355,823 of record NC_000001.11, on the reverse strand, counting down.
GTGTTAACACCTGGAGGCAACAGATTCAGGGAAACCAGAGTGTGTTTGATGTCATGTTTTCAACGAAGGCTGAATTACTCCTACTGTCATTGCTGTTGGTTTTCATTGCAGTAGATGTTTAGGTTTCCATTTCTTCCTCCCCTTATCATTTCCTAACGTACCATAGGTTGACCATACTTCAAAAGCTGTACTCTCATGGCCACTGCATCGAATTTTGAGCATATTTTATGGAAAACTATTGAGCTCACTCTTTTCATGATCACAGTTTGCTGTGTGTCATGAGGGCACTAACTCAGAGTGTCCTTTTACTCCCTTACCAGTATGTCACCTGGCCAATTCACTAGGTCACTTTCTCTCTGTCTCTGTCTCTGTCTCTCTCTCTGTCTCTGTCTCTCTCTCTCTCTCTGTCTTTCTCTTTCATTGTTTTCTACCTGGCCCTGTTCTATCCCAACATAAAGGCAATAATTTGTTACCTCATTAATGGATCTGTCCTTTTTCTTTTCAAACTCTTCCTTACGTTAGCCATGAAATCTAGCTGGGGCTGTGTGGTTTCTGATTCCCCCTGGCTTATTCTTTACTTTTTCCCACTTTTCCAGGCTCAGCAGGGAGCTGCTGGATGAGAAAGGGCCTGAAGTCTTGCAGGACTCACTGGATAGATGTTATTCAACTCCTTCAGGTTGTCTTGAACTGACTGACTCATGCCAGCCCTACAGAAGTGCCTTTTACGTATTGGAGCAACAGCGTGTTGGCTTGGCTGTTGACATGGATGGTGAGTACCTTTCTATGAAGGTGATAAGGATCCACTGAGTCTTCTGGTTAGGGTCATATTCCTACTGCAAGTGGCCCTTACTGAGCTGAGAGATGTCATTGCCACAGGGAGGTCCTATAGGCACATGTAGGTTGAATGAAACTCTAGTTCCACTTGGAAGCCCAGACAAGGGATGGGTCAGTGAGCAAGGCTCTCTTCCTAGTCTCAGGCCATGCCTGTGGCGCCCTAATCCTACTCTCATGACGTTGGACCTGGGCAGATGTGACAAATTCACACAACTCTGATTTTGTCTCAATTTTGTAGATCTTGTAGATTTCATCCTTCACTCTAATTTCAGCGTCTAAAATCCTCGCTACCGTGAACAATCTGAGTATTTGATGAGACAGGGCTGAATAGTGCAGTTTTTCTCCTAGCAACCATTTGGGGGCATTTGCTTTAAATCGATTGGAAAAATATGGCATAACCATTTGCACAAACTTGGGACAAATGATATTGGGATAACGATCTACCAGAATAGGGAATTTTACCCACAGTTTCTGGGACAAAAACCAAGGAATCTCTATGGTGATCAGCCTTCAGGCCTCCTGAAGACTATCTCTCACAGTGTCCTATTCTCATGCTGAGGAGCCTGAAGTCCCTGTGTGAGGATTAGACAGTGGATTGTTATGTGTGTAGGAGAACCAGCTTAATATGTCTGTCCATGTCTGAACTTATTGCAGAAATTGAAAAGTACCAAGAAGTGGAAGAAGACCAAGACCCATCATGCCCCAGGTAACTTTGAGCAATTATGGATGCTTAATTCTGTGTTGACACCTGGAGATGCCAGGTCCAGGGAAAACAAGAGTGTGTTCAATTTCATGTTTTCAACGAAGGTTGAATTACTCCTCCTGATATTGCTGTTGGTTTTCATTGCAGTAGATGTTTAGGTTTCCATTTCTTCCTCCCCTTATCATTTACTAACTTACTATAGGTTGACCATACCTCAAAGGCTGTATGGCAACTGCATGGAATCTTGAGCAAGTTTATGGAAAATTATTGAGCCCACTCTTTTCATGATCACTGTTCGCTGTGTGTCCCGAGGGCACTAACTCAGAGTGTCCTTTGACCCCTTCATCAGTGTGTCACCCGGCCAACTCGCTGAGCTTACTTTCTCCTCTCTCTCTCTCTCTCTCTCTCCCTCCCTCTCCCTGTCTTTCTCTTTCATTCTTTTCTACCTGGCCCTGGTCTATCCCAACATAAAGGCAATAATTCATTACCTCATTAATGGATCTGTCCTTTTTCTTTTTAAACAGTTCCTTATGTTAGCCATGAAATCTAGCTGGGGCTGTGTGGTTTCTGATTCCCCCTGGCTTATTCTTTACTTTTTCCTACTTTTCCAGGCTCAGCAGGGAGCTGCTGGATGAGAAAGAGCCTGAAGTCTTGCAGGACTCACTGGATAGATGTTATTCGACTCCTTCAGGTTATCTTGAACTGCCTGACTTAGGCCAGCCCTACAGCAGTGCTGTTTACTCATTGGAGGAACAGTACCTTGGCTTGGCTCTTGACGTGGACAGTGAGTACCTTACTGTGAAGGTGATAAGCCTCCACCTGGTCTTCCAGATAGGGGTGATATTCCTGTTCCAAGTGGCCCTTACTGACCCGAGAGATGTCATTGCCGCAGGCAGGACCTATGGGCGCATATAGGTTGTAATGAAACTGTAGTCTCAGTTGGAAGCCTAGACATGAAATGGGTCAGTGAGCAAGGCTCTATTACTAGTCTCCAGCCATGCCTGTGGCAAGCTGAGCCCGCTCTCAGCACATTGGACCCAGGCAGATGTAAAAAATTCACAGAAGTATGATTTGGACTGAAGGGTTTGTAGATTTCCTCCTTCATTCTAATTTCAGTGTCTAAAATTCTTGCATCCATGAACGAGCTGGGCATTTGATGAGACAGGGCTGAATACTGCAGTTTTCCTCCTAGAAATCATCTGGGGCATTTTCTTTGAACTGATGGGAACAATAAGGCATAACTGTTTGCACAAACTTGGGATAAATGATTTTGGGATAACGATCTACCAGAATGGGGATATTTCACCCTTGGTTCTGAGATGCAAACCAAAGAATATCATGACCAGCTTTCAGGCCTCCTGAAGTATCTCTCTCACATTGTCCTGTTCTCATGCTGAGGAGCCTGAGATCCCTGTGTGGGGATTAGACAGTGGACTGTTATGGGTGTAGGTGAATTGGCTTATTTTGTCTGTCCCTGTCTGAATGTATTGCAGGAACTAAAAAGGACCAAGAAGAGGAAGAAGACCAAGGCCCACCATGCCCCAGGTAACTGAGCAATTGTGAACAGCTACTTCTGTGTTGACATCTGGAGACTCCTGGTTCAGGGAAAACAGAGCGGGCTGACATTATCGATTACATCTTTTCCAGCAAGCCTGAATTATTCCTACTAACATTGCTGTTGGTTTTCATTGCAGTAGATATTTAGGTTTCCATTTCTTCCTCCCCTTATCATTTACTAACCTACTGTAGGTGGACCAGACTTCAAAAACTGTATTCTCATGGCGACTGCATGGAAACTTGAGCACATTTTATGGAAAATTATTGAGCACAGTCTTTTCATGATCCCTGTATGCTGTGTGTCCTGAGGGCACTAACTCAGAGTGTCCTGTTACTCCCTCATCAGTGTGTCACCTGGACAATTCACTGAGCTCGTTCTCTCTGTGTGTGTGTGTGTGTCTGTGTGTGTGTGTGTGTGTGTGTGTGTGTGTGTGTGTGTGTGTCTATCTGTCTTTCTCTTTCATTCTTTTCCATTTGGCCCTGTTCTGTCCCAACATGAAGGCAATAATTTGTTACCTCATTAATGGATCTATCCTTTTAGTTTTTTAACCACTTCCCTATGCTACCCATGAAACCTAGTTGGGGCTCTGTTGTGTCTGATTTCCCCTGGCTTATTCTTTACTTTTTCCTCCTTTTCCAGGCTCAGCAGGGAGCTGCTGGAGGTAGTAGAGCCTGAAGTCTTGCAGGACTCACTGGATAGATGTTATTCAACTCCTTCCAGTTGTCTTGAACAGCCTGACTCCTGCCAGCCCTATGGAAGTTCCTTTTATGCATTGGAGGAAAAACATGTTGGCTTTTCTCTCGACGTGGGAGGTGAGTACCTTTCTATGAAGGTGATAAGGATCCACTGAGTCTTCCATATAAAGATCATATTCCTGCTCCAAGTGGCCATTACTGAGCTGAGAGATGTCATTGCCACAGGGAGGACCTATAGGCACATGTAGGTTGAATGAAACTCTAGTTCTACCTGGAAGCCCAGGCAAGGGATGGGTCAGTGAGCAAGACTCTCTTCCTAGTCTCAGGCCATACCTGTGGCGCCCTGATCCTATCCTCATGACATTGGACCTGGGCAGATGTGACAAATTCAGAGAACTATGATTTTGACTCAAGGGTTTGTAGATTTCCTTTTTCACTCTAATTTCAGTGTCTAAAGTCCTCACAACCATGAACAATCTGAGTATTTGATGAGACAGGGCTAAATATTGCAGTTTTTCTCCTAGAAATCATTTGAGGGTATTTGCTTTAAGTTGATTGGAAAAATATGGCATAACTGTTTGCACAAACTTGGGACAAATGATATTGGGATAACGATCTACTAGAATAGGGACATTTTACCCACAGTTTCTGGGAGAAAAACCGAGGAATTTCTATCATGACCAGCCTTCAGGCCTCCTGAAATATATCTCTCACGGTGTCCTATTCTTATGCTGAGGAGCCTGAGGTCCCTGCGTGAGGATTAGACAGTGGATTGTTATGTGTGTAGGGGAATCAGCTTAATGTGTCTGTCCATGTCTGAATTTATTGCAGAAATTGAAAAGAAGGGGAAGGGGAAGAAAAGAAGGGGAAGAAGATCAAAGAAGGAAAGAAGAAGGGGAAGAAAAGAAGGGGAAGAAGATCAAAACCCACCATGCCCCAGGTGACTTTCAGCAATTGTGGATGCTTAATTCTGTGTTAACACCTGGAGGCAACAGATTCAGGGAAACCAGAGTGTGTTTGATGTCATGTTTTCAACGAAGGCTGAATTACTCCTACTGTCATTGCTGTTGGTTTTCATTGCAGTAGATGTTTAGGTTTCCATTTCTTCCTCCCCTTATCATTTCCTAACGTACCATAGGTTGACCATACTTCAAAAGCTGTACTCTCATGGCCACTGCATCGAATTTTGAGCATATTTTATGGAAAACTATTGAGCTCACTCTTTTCATGATCACAGTTTGCTGTGTGTCATGAGGGCACTAACTCAGAGTGTCCTTTTACTCCCTTACCAGTATGTCACCTGGCCAATTCACTAGGTCACTTTCTCTCTGTCTCTGTCTCTGTCTCTCTCTCTCTGTCTCTGTCTCTCTCTCTCTCTCTGTCTTTCTCTTTCATTGTTTTCTACCTGGCCCTGTTCTATCCCAACATAAAGGCAATAATTTGTTACCTCATTAATGGATCTGTCCTTTTTCTTTTCAAACTCTTCCTTACGTTAGCCATGAAATCTAGCTGGGGCTGTGTGGTTTCTGATTCCCCCTGGCTTATTCTTTACTTTTTCCCACTTTTCCAGGCTCAGCAGGGAGCTGCTGGATGAGAAAGGGCCTGAAGTCTTGCAGGACTCACTGGATAGATGTTATTCAACTCCTTCAGGTTGTCTTGAACTGACTGACTCATGCCAGCCCTACAGAAGTGCCTTTTACGTATTGGAGCAACAGCGTGTTGGCTTGGCTGTTGACATGGATGGTGAGTACCTTTCTATGAAGGTGATAAGGATCCACTGAGTCTTCTGGTTAGGGTCATATTCCTACTGCAAGTGGCCCTTACTGAGCTGAGAGATGTCATTGCCACAGGGAGGTCCTATAGGCACATGTAGGTTGAATGAAACTCTAGTTCCACTTGGAAGCCCAGACAAGGGATGGGTCAGTGAGCAAGGCTCTCTTCCTAGTCTCAGGCCATGCCTGTGGCGCCCTAATCCTACTCTCATGACGTTGGACCTGGGCAGATGTGACAAATTCACACAACTCTGATTTTGTCTCAATTTTGTAGATCTTGTAGATTTCATCCTTCACTCTAATTTCAGTGTCTAAAATCCTCGCTACCGTGAACAATCTGAGTATTTGATGAGACAGGGCTGAATAGTGCAGTTTTTCTCCTAGCAACCATTTGGGGGCATTTGCTTTAAATCGATTGGAAAAATATGGCATAACCATTTGCACAAACTTGGGACAAATGATATTGGGATAACGATCTACCAGAATAGGGAATTTTACCCACAGTTTCTGGGACAAAAACCAAGGAATCTCTATGGTGATCAGCCTTCAGGCCTCCTGAAGACTATCTCTCACAGTGTCCTATTCTCATGCTGAGGAGCCTGAAGTCCCTGTGTGAGGATTAGACAGTGGATTGTTATGTGTGTAGGAGAACCAGCTTAATATGTCTGTCCATGTCTGAACTTATTGCAGAAATTGAAAAGTACCAAGAAGTGGAAGAAGACCAAGACCCATCATGCCCCAGGTAACTTTGAGCAATTATGGATGCTTAATTCTGTGTTGACACCTGGAGATGCCAGGTCCAGGGAAAACAAGAGTGTGTTCAATTTCATGTTTTCAACGAAGGTTGAATTACTCCTCCTGATATTGCTGTTGGTTTTCATTGCAGTAGATGTTTAGGTTTCCATTTCTTCCTCCCCTTATCATTTACTAACTTACTATAGGTTGACCATACCTCAAAGGCTGTATGGCAACTGCATGGAATCTTGAGCAAGTTTATGGAAAATTATTGAGCCCACTCTTTTCATGATCACTGTTCGCTGTGTGTCCCGAGGGCACTAACTCAGAGTGTCCTTTGACCCCTTCATCAGTGTGTCACCCGGCCAACTCGCTGAGCTTACTTTCTCCTCTCTCTCTCTCTCTCTCTCTCCCTCCCTCTCCCTGTCTTTCTCTTTCATTCTTTTCTACCTGGCCCTGGTCTATCCCAACATAAAGGCAATAATTCATTACCTCATTAATGGATCTGTCCTTTTTCTTTTTAAACAGTTCCTTATGTTAGCCATGAAATCTAGCTGGGGCTGTGTGGTTTCTGATTCCCCCTGGCTTATTCTTTACTTTTTCCTACTTTTCCAGGCTCAGCAGGGAGCTGCTGGATGAGAAAGAGCCTGAAGTCTTGCAGGACTCACTGGATAGATGTTATTCGACTCCTTCAGGTTATCTTGAACTGCCTGACTTAGGCCAGCCCTACAGCAGTGCTGTTTACTCATTGGAGGAACAGTACCTTGGCTTGGCTCTTGACGTGGACAGTGAGTACCTTACTGTGAAGGTGATAAGCCTCCACCTGGTCTTCCAGATAGGGGTGATATTCCTGTTCCAAGTGGCCCTTACTGACCCGAGAGATGTCATTGCCGCAGGCAGGACCTATGGGCGCATATAGGTTGTAATGAAACTGTAGTCTCAGTTGGAAGCCTAGACATGAAATGGGTCAGTGAGCAAGGCTCTATTACTAGTCTCCAGCCATGCCTGTGGCAAGCTGAGCCCGCTCTCAGCACATTGGACCCAGGCAGATGTAAAAAATTCACAGAAGTATGATTTGGACTGAAGGGTTTGTAGATTTCCTCCTTCATTCTAATTTCAGTGTCTAAAATTCTTGCATCCATGAACGAGCTGGGCATTTGATGAGACAGGGCTGAATACTGCAGTTTTCCTCCTAGAAATCATCTGGGGCATTTTCTTTGAACTGATGGGAACAATAAGGCATAACTGTTTGCACAAACTTGGGATAAATGATTTTGGGATAACGATCTACCAGAATGGGGATATTTCACCCTTGGTTCTGAGATGCAAACCAAAGAATATCATGACCAGCTTTCAGGCCTCCTGAAGTATCTCTCTCACATTGTCCTGTTCTCATGCTGAGGAGCCTGAGATCCCTGTGTGGGGATTAGACAGTGGACTGTTATGGGTGTAGGTGAATTGGCTTATTTTGTCTGTCCCTGTCTGAATGTATTGCAGGAACTAAAAAGGACCAAGAAGAGGAAGAAGACCAAGGCCCACCATGCCCCAGGTAACTGAGCAATTGTGAACAGCTACTTCTGTGTTGACATCTGGAGACTCCTGGTTCAGGGAAAACAGAGCGGGCTGACATTATCGATTACATCTTTTCCAGCAAGCCTGAATTATTCCTACTAACATTGCTGTTGGTTTTCATTGCAGTAGATATTTAGGTTTCCATTTCTTCCTCCCCTTATCATTTACTAACCTACTGTAGGTGGACCAGACTTCAAAAACTGTATTCTCATGGCGACTGCATGGAAACTTGAGCACATTTTATGGAAAATTATTGAGCACAGTCTTTTCATGATCCCTGTATGCTGTGTGTCCTGAGGGCACTAACTCAGAGTGTCCTGTTACTCCCTCATCAGTGTGTCACCTGGACAATTCACTGAGCTCGTTCTCTCTCTGTGTGTGTGTTTGTCTGTGTGTGTGTCTGTGTGTGTGTGTGTGTGTGTGTGTGTGTGTGTGTGTGTCTATCTGTCTTTCTCTTTCATTCTTTTCCATTTGGCCCTGTTCTGTCCCAACATGAAGGCAATAATTTGTTACCTCATTAATGGATCTATCCTTTTAGTTTTTTAACCACTTCCCTATGCTACCCATGAAACCTAGTTGGGGCTCTGTTGTGTCTGATTTCCCCTGGCTTATTCTTTACTTTTTCCTCCTTTTCCAGGCTCAGCAGGGAGCTGCTGGAGGTAGTAGAGCCTGAAGTCTTGCAGGACTCACTGGATAGATGTTATTCAACTCCTTCCAGTTGTCTTGAACAGCCTGACTCCTGCCAGCCCTATGGAAGTTCCTTTTATGCATTGGAGGAAAAACATGTTGGCTTTTCTCTCGACGTGGGAGGTGAGTACCTTTCTATGAAGGTGATAAGGATCCACTGAGTCTTCCATATAAAGATCATATTCCTGCTCCAAGTGGCCATTACTGAGCTGAGAGATGTCATTGCCACAGGGAGGACCTATAGGCACATGTAGGTTGAATGAAACTCTAGTTCTACCTGGAAGCCCAGGCAAGGGATGGGTCAGTGAGCAAGACTCTCTTCCTAGTCTCAGGCCATACCTGTGGCGCCCTGATCCTATCCTCATGACATTGGACCTGGGCAGATGTGACAAATTCAGAGAACTATGATTTTGACTCAAGGGTTTGTAGATTTCCTTTTTCACTCTAATTTCAGTGTCTAAAGTCCTCACAACCATGAACAATCTGAGTATTTGATGAGACAGGGCTAAATATTGCAGTTTTTCTCCTAGAAATCATTTGAGGGTATTTGCTTTAAGTTGATTGGAAAAATATGGCATAACTGTTTGCACAAACTTGGGACAAATGATATTGGGATAACGATCTACTAGAATAGGGACATTTTACCCACAGTTTCTGGGAGAAAAACCGAGGAATTTCTATCATGACCAGCCTTCAGGCCTCCTGAAATATATCTCTCACGGTGTCCTATTCTTATGCTGAGGAGCCTGAGGTCCCTGCGTGAGGATTAGACAGTGGATTGTTATGTGTGTAGGGGAATCAGCTTAATGTGTCTGTCCATGTCTGAATTTATTGCAGAAATTGAAAAGAAGGGGAAGGGGAAGAAAAGAAGGGGAAGAAGATCAAAGAAGGAAAGAAGAAGGGGAAGAAAAGAAGGGGAAGAAGATCAAAACCCACCATGCCCCAGGTGACTTTCAGCAATTGTGTATGCTTAATTCTGTGTTAACACCTGGAGGCAACAGATTCAGGGAAACCAGAGTGTGTTTGATGTCATGTTTTCAACGAAGGCTGAATTACTCCTACTGTCATTGCTGTTGGTTTTCATTGCAGTAGATGTTTAGGTTTCCATTTCTTCCTCCCCTTATCATTTCCTAACGTACCATAGGTTGACCATACTTCAAAAGCTGTACTCTCATGGCCACTGCATCGAATTTTGAGCATATTTTATGGAAAACTATTGAGCTCACTCTTTTCATGATCACAGTTTGCTGTGTGTCATGAGGGCACTAACTCAGAGTGTCCTTTTACTCCCTTACCAGTATGTCACCTGGCCAATTCACTAGGTCACTTTCTCTCTGTCTCTGTCTCTGTCTCTCTCTCTGTCTCTGTCTCTCTCTCTCTCTCTGTCTTTCTCTTTCATTGTTTTCTACCTGGCCCTGTTCTATCCCAACATAAAGGCAATAATTTGTTACCTCATTAATGGATCTGTCCTTTTTCTTTTCAAACTCTTCCTTACGTTAGCCATGAAATCTAGCTGGGGCTGTGTGGTTTCTGATTCCCCCTGGCTTATTCTTTACTTTTTCCCACTTTTCCAGGCTCAGCAGGGAGCTGCTGGATGAGAAAGGGCCTGAAGTCTTGCAGGACTCACTGGATAGATGTTATTCAACTCCTTCAGGTTGTCTTGAACTGACTGACTCATGCCAGCCCTACAGAAGTGCCTTTTACGTATTGGAGCAACAGCGTGTTGGCTTGGCTGTTGACATGGATGGTGAGTACCTTTCTATGAAGGTGATAAGGATCCACTGAGTCTTCTGGTTAGGGTCATATTCCTACTGCAAGTGGCCCTTACTGAGCTGAGAGATGTCATTGCCACAGGGAGGTCCTATAGGCACATGTAGGTTGAATGAAACTCTAGTTCCACTTGGAAGCCCAGACAAGGGATGGGTCAGTGAGCAAGGCTCTCTTCCTAGTCTCAGGCCATGCCTGTGGCGCCCTAATCCTACTCTCATGACGTTGGACCTGGGCAGATGTGACAAATTCACACAACTCTGATTTTGTCTCAATTTTGTAGATCTTGTAGATTTCATCCTTCACTCTAATTTCAGCGTCTAAAATCCTCGCTACCGTGAACAATCTGAGTATTTGATGAGACAGGGCTGAATAGTGCAGTTTTTCTCCTAGCAACCATTTGGGGGCATTTGCTTTAAATCGATTGGAAAAATATGGCATAACCATTTGCACAAACTTGGGACAAATGATATTGGGATAACGATCTACCAGAATAGGGAATTTTACCCACAGTTTCTGGGACAAAAACCAAGGAATCTCTATGGTGATCAGCCTTCAGGCCTCCTGAAGACTATCTCTCACAGTGTCCTATTCTCATGCTGAGGAGCCTGAAGTCCCTGTGTGAGGATTAGACAGTGGATTGTTATGTGTGTAGGAGAACCAGCTTAATATGTCTGTCCATGTCTGAACTTATTGCAGAAATTGAAAAGTACCAAGAAGTGGAAGAAGACCAAGACCCATCATGCCCCAGGTAACTTTGAGCAATTATGGATGCTTAATTCTGTGTTGACACCTGGAGATGCCAGGTCCAGGGAAAACAAGAGTGTGTTCAATTTCATGTTTTCAACGAAGGTTGAATTACTCCTCCTGATATTGCTGTTGGTTTTCATTGCAGTAGATGTTTAGGTTTCCATTTCTTCCTCCCCTTATCATTTACTAACTTACTATAGGTTGACCATACCTCAAAGGCTGTATGGCAACTGCATGGAATCTTGAGCAAGTTTATGGAAAATTATTGAGCCCACTCTTTTCATGATCACTGTTCGCTGTGTGTCCCGAGGGCACTAACTCAGAGTGTCCTTTGACCCCTTCATCAGTGTGTCACCCGGCCAACTCGCTGAGCTTACTTTCTCCTCTCTCTCTCTCTCTCTCTCTCCCTCCCTCTCCCTGTCTTTCTCTTTCATTCTTTTCTACCTGGCCCTGGTCTATCCCAACATAAAGGCAATAATTCATTACCTCATTAATGGATCTGTCCTTTTTCTTTTTAAACAGTTCCTTATGTTAGCCATGAAATCTAGCTGGGGCTGTGTGGTTTCTGATTCCCCCTGGCTTATTCTTTACTTTTTCCTACTTTTCCAGGCTCAGCAGGGAGCTGCTGGATGAGAAAGAGCCTGAAGTCTTGCAGGACTCACTGGATAGATGTTATTCGACTCCTTCAGGTTATCTTGAACTGCCTGACTTAGGCCAGCCCTACAGCAGTGCTGTTTACTCATTGGAGGAACAGTACCTTGGCTTGGCTCTTGACGTGGACAGTGAGTACCTTACTGTGAAGGTGATAAGCCTCCACCTGGTCTTCCAGATAGGGGTGATATTCCTGTTCCAAGTGGCCCTTACTGACCCGAGAGATGTCATTGCCGCAGGCAGGACCTATGGGCGCATATAGGTTGTAATGAAACTGTAGTCTCAGTTGGAAGCCTAGACATGAAATGGGTCAGTGAGCAAGGCTCTATTCCTAGTCTCCAGCCATGCCTGTGGCAAGCTGAGCCCGCTCTCAGCACATTGGACCCAGGCAGATGTAAAAAATTCACAGAAGTATGATTTGGACTGAAGGGTTTGTAGATTTCCTCCTTCATTCTAATTTCAGTGTCTAAAATTCTTGCATCCATGAACGAGCTGGGCATTTGATGAGACAGGGCTGAATACTGCAGTTTTCCTCCTAGAAATCATCTGGGGCATTTTCTTTGAACTGATGGGAACAATAAGGCATAACTGTTTGCACAAACTTGGGATAAATGATTTTGGGATAACGATCTACCAGAATGGGGATATTTCACCCTTGGTTCTGAGATGCAAACCAAAGAATATCATGACCAGCTTTCAGGCCTCCTGAAGTATCTCTCTCACATTGTCCTGTTCTCATGCTGAGGAGCCTGAGATCCCTGTGTGGGGATTAGACAGTGGACTGTTATGGGTGTAGGTGAATTGGCTTATTTTGTCTGTCCCTGTCTGAATGTATTGCAGGAACTAAAAAGGACCAAGAAGAGGAAGAAGACCAAGGCCCACCATGCCCCAGGTAACTGAGCAATTGTGAACAGCTACTTCTGTGTTGACATCTGGAGACTCCTGGTTCAGGGAAAACAGAGCGGGCTGACATTATCGATTACATCTTTTCCAGCAAGCCTGAATTATTCCTACTAACATTGCTGTTGGTTTTCATTGCAGTAGATATTTAGGTTTCCATTTCTTCCTCCCCTTATCATTTACTAACCTACTGTAGGTGGACCAGACTTCAAAAACTGTATTCTCATGGCGACTGCATGGAAACTTGAGCACATTTTATGGAAAATTATTGAGCACAGTCTTTTCATGATCCCTGTATGCTGTGTGTCCTGAGGGCACTAACTCAGAGTGTCCTGTTACTCCCTCATCAGTGTGTCACCTGGACAATTCACTGAGCTCGTTCTCTCTGTGTGTGTGTGTGTGTCTGTGTGTGTGTGTGTGTGTGTGTGTGTGTGTGTGTGTGTCTATCTGTCTTTCTCTTTCATTCTTTTCCATTTGGCCCTGTTCTGTCCCAACATGAAGGCAATAATTTGTTACCTCATTAATGGATCTATCCTTTTAGTTTTTTAACCACTTCCCTATGCTACCCATGAAACCTAGTTGGGGCTCTGTTGTGTCTGATTTCCCCTGGCTTATTCTTTACTTTTTCCTCCTTTTCCAGGCTCAGCAGGGAGCTGCTGGAGGTAGTAGAGCCTGAAGTCTTGCAGGACTCACTGGATAGATGTTATTCAACTCCTTCCAGTTGTCTTGAACAGCCTGACTCCTGCCAGCCCTATGGAAGTTCCTTTTATGCATTGGAGGAAAAACATGTTGGCTTTTCTCTCGACGTGGGAGGTGAGTACCTTTCTATGAAGGTGATAAGGATCCACTGAGTCTTCCATATAAAGATCATATTCCTGCTCCAAGTGGCCATTACTGAGCTGAGAGATGTCATTGCCACAGGGAGGACCTATAGGCACATGTAGGTTGAATGAAACTCTAGTTCTACCTGGAAGCCCAGGCAAGGGATGGGTCAGTGAGCAAGACTCTCTTCCTAGTCTCAGGCCATACCTGTGGCGCCCTGATCCTATCCTCATGACATTGGACCTGGGCAGATGTGACAAATTCAGAGAACTATGATTTTGACTCAAGGGTTTGTAGATTTCCTTTTTCACTCTAATTTCAGTGTCTAAAGTCCTCACAACCATGAACAATCTGAGTATTTGATGAGACAGGGCTAAATATTGCAGTTTTTCTCCTAGAAATCATTTGAGGGTATTTGCTTTAAGTTGATTGGAAAAATATGGCATAACTGTTTGCACAAACTTGGGACAAATGATATTGGGATAACGATCTACTAGAATAGGGACATTTTACCCACAGTTTCTGGGAGAAAAACCGAGGAATTTCTATCATGACCAGCCTTCAGGCCTCCTGAAATATATCTCTCACGGTGTCCTATTCTTATGCTGAGGAGCCTGAGGTCCCTGTGTGAGGATTAGACAGTGGATTGTTATGTGTGTAGGGGAATCAGCTTAATGTGTCTGTCCATGTCTGAATTTATTGCAGAAATTGAAAAGAAGGGGAAGGGGAAGAAAAGAAGGGGAAGAAGATCAAAGAAGGAAAGAAGAAGGGGAAGAAAAGAAGGGGAAGAAGATCAAAACCCACCATGCCCCAGGTGACTTTCAGCAATTGTGGATGCTTAATTCTGTGTTAACACCTGGAGGCAACAGATTCAGGGAAACCAGAGTGTGTTTGATGTCATGTTTTCAACGAAGGCTGAATTACTCCTACTGTCATTGCTGTTGGTTTTCATTGCAGTAGATGTTTAGGTTTCCATTTCTTCCTCCCCTTATCATTTCCTAACGTACCATAGGTTGACCATACTTCAAAAGCTGTACTCTCATGGCCACTGCATCGAATTTTGAGCATATTTTATGGAAAACTATTGAGCTCACTCTTTTCATGATCACAGTTTGCTGTGTGTCATGAGGGCACTAACTCAGAGTGTCCTTTTACTCCCTTACCAGTATGTCACCTGGCCAATTCACTAGGTCACTTTCTCTCTGTCTCTGTCTCTGTCTCTCTCTCTGTCTCTGTCTCTCTCTCTCTGTCTTTCTCTTTCATTGTTTTCTACCTGGCCCTGTTCTATCCCAACATAAAGGCAATAATTTGTTACCTCATTAATGGATCTGTCCTTTTTCTTTTCAAACTCTTCCTTACGTTAGCCATGAAATCTAGCTGGGGCTGTGTGGTTTCTGATTCCCCCTGGCTTATTCTTTACTTTTTCCCACTTTTCCAGGCTCAGCAGGGAGCTGCTGGATGAGAAAGGGCCTGAAGTCTTGCAGGACTCACTGGATAGAAGTTATTCAACTCCTTCAGGTTGTCTTGAACTGACTGACTCATGCCAGCCCTACAGAAGTGCCTTTTACGTATTGGAGCAACAGCGTGTTGGCTTGGCTGTTGACATGGATGGTGAGTACCTTTCTATGAAGGTGATAAGGATCCACTGAGTCTTCTGGTTAGGGTCATATTCCTACTGCAAGTGGCCCTTACTGAGCTGAGAGATGTCATTGCCACAGGGAGGTCCTATAGGCACATGTAGGTTGAATGAAACTCTAGTTCCACTTGGAAGCCCAGACAAGGGATGGGTCAGTGAGCAAGGCTCTCTTCCTAGTCTCAGGCCATGCCTGTGGCGCCCTAATCCTACTCTCATGACGTTGGACCTGGGCAGATGTGACAAATTCACACAACTCTGATTTTGTCTCAATTTTGTAGATCTTGTAGATTTCATCCTTCACTCTAATTTCAGCGTCTAAAATCCTCGCTACCGTGAACAATCTGAGTATTTGATGAGACAGGGCTGAATAGTGCAGTTTTTCTCCTAGCAACCATTTGGGGGCATTTGCTTTAAATCGATTGGAAAAATATGGCATAACCATTTGCACAAACTTGGGACAAATGATATTGGGATAACGATCTACCAGAATAGGGAATTTTACCCACAGTTTCTGGGACAAAAACCAAGGAATCTCTATGGTGATCAGCCTTCAGGCCTCCTGAAGACTATCTCTCACAGTGTCCTATTCTCATGCTGAGGAGCCTGAAGTCCCTGTGTGAGGATTAGACAGTGGATTGTTATGTGTGTAGGAGAACCAGCTTAATATGTCTGTCCATGTCTGAACTTATTGCAGAAATTGAAAAGTACCAAGAAGTGGAAGAAGACCAAGACCCATCATGCCCCAGGTAACTTTGAGCAATTATGGATGCTTAATTCTGTGTTGACACCTGGAGATGCCAGGTCCAGGGAAAACAAGAGTGTGTTCAATTTCATGTTTTCAACGAAGGTTGAATTACTCCTCCTGATATTGCTGTTGGTTTTCATTGCAGTAGATGTTTAGGTTTCCATTTCTTCCTCCCCTTATCATTTACTAACTTACTATAGGTTGACCATACCTCAAAGGCTGTATGGCAACTGCATGGAATCTTGAGCAAGTTTATGGAAAATTATTGAGCCCACTCTTTTCATGATCACTGTTCGCTGTGTGTCCCGAGGGCACTAACTCAGAGTGTCCTTTGACCCCTTCATCAGTGTGTCACCCGGCCAACTCGCTGAGCTTACTTTCTCCTCTCTCTCTCTCTCTCTCTCTCCCTCCCTCTCCCTGTCTTTCTCTTTCATTCTTTTCTACCTGGCCCTGGTCTATCCCAACATAAAGGCAATAATTCATTACCTCATTAATGGATCTGTCCTTTTTCTTTTTAAACAGTTCCTTATGTTAGCCATGAAATCTAGCTGGGGCTGTGTGGTTTCTGATTCCCCCTGGCTTATTCTTTACTTTTTCCTACTTTTCCAGGCTCAGCAGGGAGCTGCTGGATGAGAAAGAGCCTGAAGTCTTGCAGGACTCACTGGATAGATGTTATTCGACTCCTTCAGGTTATCTTGAACTGCCTGACTTAGGCCAGCCCTACAGCAGTGCTGTTTACTCATTGGAGGAACAGTACCTTGGCTTGGCTCTTGACGTGGACAGTGAGTACCTTACTGTGAAGGTGATAAGCCTCCACCTGGTCTTCCAGATAGGGGTGATATTCCTGTTCCAAGTGGCCCTTACTGACCCGAGAGATGTCATTGCCGCAGGCAGGACCTATGGGCGCATATAGGTTGTAATGAAACTGTAGTCTCAGTTGGAAGCCTAGACATGAAATGGGTCAGTGAGCAAGGCTCTATTCCTAGTCTCCAGCCATGCCTGTGGCAAGCTGAGCCCGCTCTCAGCACATTGGACCCAGGCAGATGTAAAAAATTCACAGAACTATGATTTGGACTCAAGGGTTTGTAGATTTCCTCCTTCATTCTAATTTCAGTGTCTAAAATTCTTGCATCCATGAACGAGCTGGGCATTTGATGAGACAGGGCTGAATACTGCAGTTTTCCTCCTAGAAATCATCTGGGGCATTTTCTTTGAACTGATGGGAACAATAAGGCATAACTGTTTGCACAAACTTGGGATAAATGATTTTGGGATAACGATCTACCAGAATGGGGATATTTCACCCTTGGTTCTGAGATGCAAACCAAAGAATATCATGACCAGCTTTCAGGCCTCCTGAAGTATCTCTCTCACATTGTCCTGTTCTCATGCTGAGGAGCCTGAGATCCCTGTGTGGGGATTAGACAGTGGACTGTTATGGGTGTAGGTGAATTGGCTTATTTTGTCTGTCCCTGTCTGAATGTATTGCAGGAACTAAAAAGGACCAAGAAGAGGAAGAAGACCAAGGCCCACCATGCCCCAGGTAACTGAGCAATTGTGAACAGCTACTTCTGTGTTGACATCTGGAGACTCCTGGTTCAGGGAAAACAGAGCGGGCTGACATTATCGATTACATCTTTTCCAGCAAGCCTGAATTATTCCTACTAACATTGCTGTTGGTTTTCATTGCAGTAGATATTTAGGTTTCCATTTCTTCCTCCCCTTATCATTTACTAACCTACTGTAGGTGGACCAGACTTCAAAAACTGTATTCTCATGGCGACTGCATGGAAACTTGAGCACATTTTATGGAAAATTATTGAGCACAGTCTTTTCATGATCCCTGTATGCTGTGTGTCCTGAGGGCACTAACTCAGAGTGTCCTGTTACTCCCTCATCAGTGTGTCACCTGGACAATTCACTGAGCTCGTTCTCTCTCTCTCTGTGTGTGTGTGTGTGTGTGTGTGTGTGTGTGTGTGTGTGTGTGTGTCTATCTGTCTTTCTCTTTCATTCTTTTCCATTTGGCCCTGTTCTGTCCCAACATGAAGGCAATAATTTGTTACCTCATTAATGGATCTATCCTTTTAGTTTTTTAACCACTTCCCTATGCTACCCATGAAACCTAGTTGGGGCTCTGTTGTGTCTGATTTCCCCTGGCTTATTCTTTACTTTTTCCTCCTTTTCCAGGCTCAGCAGGGAGCTGCTGGAGGTAGTAGAGCCTGAAGTCTTGCAGGACTCACTGGATAGATGTTATTCAACTCCTTCCAGTTGTCTTGAACAGCCTGACTCCTGCCAGCCCTATGGAAGTTCCTTTTATGCATTGGAGGAAAAACATGTTGGCTTTTCTCTTGACGTGGGAGGTGAGTACCTTTCTATGAAGGTGATAAGGATCCACTGAGTCTTCCATATAAAGATCATATTCCTGCTCCAAGTGGCCATTACTGAGCTGAGAGATGTCATTGCCACAGGGAGGACCTATAGGCACATGTAGGTTGAATGAAACTCTAGTTCTACCTGGAAGCCCAGGCAAGGGATGGGTCAGTGAGCAAGACTCTCTTCCTAGTCTCAGGCCATACCTGTGGCGCCCTGATCCTATCCTCATGACATTGGACCTGGGCAGATGTGACAAATTCAGAGAACTATGATTTTGACTCAAGGGTTTGTAGATTTCCTTTTTCACTCTAATTTCAGTGTCTAAAGTCCTCACAACCATGAACAATCTGAGTATTTGATGAGACAGGGCTAAATATTGCAGTTTTTCTCCTAGAAATCATTTGAGGGTATTTGCTTTAAGTTGATTGGAAAAATATGGCATAACTGTTTGCACAAACTTGGGACAAATGATATTGGGATAACGATCTACTAGAATAGGGACATTTTACCCACAGTTTCTGGGAGAAAAACCGAGGAATTTCTATCATGACCAGCCTTCAGGCCTCCTGAAATATATCTCTCACGGTGTCCTATTCTTATGCTGAGGAGCCTGAGGTCCCTGTGTGAGGATTAGACAGTGGATTGTTATGTGTGTAGGGGAATCAGCTTAATGTGTCTGTCCATGTCTGAATTTATTGCAGAAATTGAAAAGAAGGGGAAGGGGAAGAAAAGAAGGGGAAGAAGATCAAAGAAGGAAAGAAGAAGGGGAAGAAAAGAAGGGGAAGAAGATCAAAACCCACCATGCCCCAGGTGACTTTCAGCAATTGTGGATGCTTAATTCTGTGTTAACACCTGGAGGCAACAGATTCAGGGAAACCAGAGTGTGTTTGATGTCATGTTTTCAACGAAGGCTGAATTACTCCTACTGTCATTGCTGTTGGTTTTCATTGCAGTAGATGTTTAGGTTTCCATTTCTTCCTCCCCTTATCATTTCCTAACGTACCATAGGTTGACCATACTTCAAAAGCTGTACTCTCATGGCCACTGCATCGAATTTTGAGCATATTTTATGGAAAACTATTGAGCTCACTCTTTTCATGATCACAGTTTGCTGTGTGTCATGAGGGCACTAACTCAGAGTGTCCTTTTACTCCCTTACCAGTATGTCACCTGGCCAATTCACTAGGTCACTTTCTCTCTGTCTCTGTCTCTGTCTCTCTCTCTGTCTCTGTCTCTCTCTCTCTCTCTGTCTTTCTCTTTCATTGTTTTCTACCTGGCCCTGTTCTATCCCAACATAAAGGCAATAATTTGTTACCTCATTAATGGATCTGTCCTTTTTCTTTTCAAACTCTTCCTTACGTTAGCCATGAAATCTAGCTGGGGCTGTGTGGTTTCTGATTCCCCCTGGCTTATTCTTTACTTTTTCCCACTTTTCCAGGCTCAGCAGGGAGCTGCTGGATGAGAAAGGGCCTGAAGTCTTGCAGGACTCACTGGATAGAAGTTATTCAACTCCTTCAGGTTGTCTTGAACTGACTGACTCATGCCAGCCCTACAGAAGTGCCTTTTACGTATTGGAGCAACAGCGTGTTGGCTTGGCTGTTGACATGGATGGTGAGTACCTTTCTATGAAGGTGATAAGGATCCACTGAGTCTTCTGGTTAGGGTCATATTCCTACTGCAAGTGGCCCTTACTGAGCTGAGAGATGTCATTGCCACAGGGAGGTCCTATAGGCACATGTAGGTTGAATGAAACTCTAGTTCCACTTGGAAGCCCAGACAAGGGATGGGTCAG
This sequence comes from Homo sapiens, assembly GCF_000001405.40. Taxonomy (NCBI): domain Eukaryota; kingdom Metazoa; phylum Chordata; class Mammalia; order Primates; family Hominidae; genus Homo; species Homo sapiens. The sequence continues at coordinate 145,335,831 of NC_000001.11, read as the reverse complement.
TGAGCAAGGCTCTCTTCCTAGTCTCAGGCCATGCCTGTGGCGCCCTAATCCTACTCTCATGACGTTGGACCTGGGCAGATGTGACAAATTCACACAACTCTGATTTTGTCTCAATTTTGTAGATCTTGTAGATTTCATCCTTCACTCTAATTTCAGCGTCTAAAATCCTCGCTACCGTGAACAATCTGAGTATTTGATGAGACAGGGCTGAATAGTGCAGTTTTTCTCCTAGCAACCATTTGGGGGCATTTGCTTTAAATCGATTGGAAAAATATGGCATAACCATTTGCACAAACTTGGGACAAATGATATTGGGATAACGATCTACCAGAATAGGGAATTTTACCCACAGTTTCTGGGACAAAAACCAAGGAATCTCTATGGTGATCAGCCTTCAGGCCTCCTGAAGACTATCTCTCACAGTGTCCTATTCTCATGCTGAGGAGCCTGAAGTCCCCGTGTGAGGATTAGACAGTGGATTGTTATGTGTGTAGGAGAACCAGCTTAATATGTCTGTCCATGTCTGAACTTATTGCAGAAATTGAAAAGTACCAAGAAGTGGAAGAAGACCAAGACCCATCATGCCCCAGGTAACTTTGAGCAATTATGGATGCTTAATTCTGTGTTGACACCTGGAGATGCCAGGTCCAGGGAAAACAAGAGTGTGTTCAATTTCATGTTTTCAACGAAGGTTGAATTACTCCTCCTGATATTGCTGTTGGTTTTCATTGCAGTAGATGTTTAGGTTTCCATTTCTTCCTCCCCTTATCATTTACTAACTTACTATAGGTTGACCATACCTCAAAGTCTGTATGGCAACTGCATGGAATCTTGAGCAAGTTTATGGAAAATTATTGAGCCCACTCTTTTCATGATCACTGTTCGCTGTGTGTCCCGAGGGCACTAACTCAGAGTGTCCTTTGACCCCTTCATCAGTGTGTCACCCGGCCAACTCGCTGAGCTTACTTTCTCCTCTCTCTCTCTCTCTCTCTCTCTCCCTCCCTCTCCCTGTCTTTCTCTTTCATTCTTTTCTACCTGGCCCTGGTCTATCCCAACATAAAGGCAATAATTCATTACCTCATTAATGGATCTGTCCTTTTTCTTTTTAAACAGTTCCTTATGTTAGCCATGAAATCTAGCTGGGGCTGTGTGGTTTCTGATTCCCCCTGGCTTATTCTTTACTTTTTCCTACTTTTCCAGGCTCAGCAGGGAGCTGCTGGATGAGAAAGAGCCTGAAGTCTTGCAGGACTCACTGGATAGATGTTATTCGACTCCTTCAGGTTATCTTGAACTGCCTGACTTAGGCCAGCCCTACAGCAGTGCTGTTTACTCATTGGAGGAACAGTACCTTGGCTTGGCTCTTGACGTGGACAGTGAGTACCTTACTGTGAAGGTGATAAGCCTCCACCTGGTCTTCCAGATAGGGGTGATATTCCTGTTCCAAGTGGCCCTTACTGACCCGAGAGATGTCATTGCCGCAGGCAGGACCTATGGGCGCATATAGGTTGTAATGAAACTGTAGTCTCAGTTGGAAGCCTAGACATGAAATGGGTCAGTGAGCAAGGCTCTATTCCTAGTCTCCAGCCATGCCTGTGGCAAGCTGAGCCCGCTCTCAGCACATTGGACCCAGGCAGATGTAAAAAATTCACAGAAGTATGATTTGGACTGAAGGGTTTGTAGATTTCCTCCTTCATTCTAATTTCAGTGTCTAAAATTCTTGCATCCATGAACGAGCTGGGCATTTGATGAGACAGGGCTGAATACTGCAGTTTTCCTCCTAGAAATCATCTGGGGCATTTTCTTTGAACTGATGGGAACAATAAGGCATAACTGTTTGCACAAACTTGGGATAAATGATTTTGGGATAACGATCTACCAGAATGGGGATATTTCACCCTTGGTTCTGAGATGCAAACCAAAGAATATCATGACCAGCTTTCAGGCCTCCTGAAGTATCTCTCTCACATTGTCCTGTTCTCATGCTGAGGAGCCTGAGATCCCTGTGTGGGGATTAGACAGTGGACTGTTATGGGTGTAGGTGAATTGGCTTATTTTGTCTGTCCCTGTCTGAATGTATTGCAGGAACTAAAAAGGACCAAGAAGAGGAAGAAGACCAAGGCCCACCATGCCCCAGGTAACTGAGCAATTGTGAACAGCTACTTCTGTGTTGACATCTGGAGACTCCTGGTTCAGGGAAAACAGAGCGGGCTGACATTATCGATTACATCTTTTCCAGCAAGCCTGAATTATTCCTACTAACATTGCTGTTGGTTTTCATTGCAGTAGATATTTAGGTTTCCATTTCTTCCTCCCCTTATCATTTACTAACCTACTGTAGGTGGACCAGACTTCAAAAACTGTATTCTCATGGCGACTGCATGGAAACTTGAGCACATTTTATGGAAAATTATTGAGCACAGTCTTTTCATGATCCCTGTATGCTGTGTGTCCTGAGGGCACTAACTCAGAGTGTCCTGTTACTCCCTCATCAGTGTGTCACCTGGACAATTCACTGAGCTCGTTCTCTCTGTGTGTGTGTGTGTGTCTGTGTGTGTGTGTGTGTGTGTGTGTGTGTGTGTGTCTATCTGTCTTTCTCTTTCATTCTTTTCCATTTGGCCCTGTTCTGTCCCAACATGAAGGCAATAATTTGTTACCTCATTAATGGATCTATCCTTTTAGTTTTTTAACCACTTCCCTATGCTACCCATGAAACCTAGTTGGGGCTCTGTTGTGTCTGATTTCCCCTGGCTTATTCTTTACTTTTTCCTCCTTTTCCAGGCTCAGCAGGGAGCTGCTGGAGGTAGTAGAGCCTGAAGTCTTGCAGGACTCACTGGATAGATGTTATTCAACTCCTTCCAGTTGTCTTGAACAGCCTGACTCCTGCCAGCCCTATGGAAGTTCCTTTTATGCATTGGAGGAAAAACATGTTGGCTTTTCTCTCGACGTGGGAGGTGAGTACCTTTCTATGAAGGTGATAAGGATCCACTGAGTCTTCCATATAAAGATCATATTCCTGCTCCAAGTGGCCATTACTGAGCTGAGAGATGTCATTGCCACAGGGAGGACCTATAGGCACATGTAGGTTGAATGAAACTCTAGTTCTACCTGGAAGCCCAGGCAAGGGATGGGTCAGTGAGCAAGACTCTCTTCCTAGTCTCAGGCCATACCTGTGGCGCCCTGATCCTATCCTCATGACATTGGACCTGGGCAGATGTGACAAATTCAGAGAACTATGATTTTGACTCAAGGGTTTGTAGATTTCCTTTTTCACTCTAATTTCAGTGTCTAAAGTCCTCACAACCATGAACAATCTGAGTATTTGATGAGACAGGGCTAAATATTGCAGTTTTTCTCCTAGAAATCATTTGAGGGTATTTGCTTTAAGTTGATTGGAAAAATATGGCATAACTGTTTGCACAAACTTGGGACAAATGATATTGGGATAACGATCTACTAGAATAGGGACATTTTACCCACAGTTTCTGGGAGAAAAACCGAGGAATTTCTATCATGACCAGCCTTCAGGCCTCCTGAAATATATCTCTCACGGTGTCCTATTCTTATGCTGAGGAGCCTGAGGTCCCTGTGTGAGGATTAGACAGTGGATTGTTATGTGTGTAGGGGAATCAGCTTAATGTGTCTGTCCATGTCTGAATTTATTGCAGAAATTGAAAAGAAGGGGAAGGGGAAGAAAAGAAGGGGAAGAAGATCAAAGAAGGAAAGAAGAAGGGGAAGAAAAGAAGGGGAAGAAGATCAAAACCCACCATGCCCCAGGTGACTTTCAGCAATTGTGGATGCTTAATTCTGTGTTAACACCTGGAGGCAACAGATTCAGGGAAACCAGAGTGTGTTTGATGTCATGTTTTCAACGAAGGCTGAATTACTCCTACTGTCATTGCTGTTGGTTTTCATTGCAGTAGATGTTTAGGTTTCCATTTCTTCCTCCCCTTATCATTTCCTAACGTACCATAGGTTGACCATACTTCAAAAGCTGTACTCTCATGGCCACTGCATCGAATTTTGAGCATATTTTATGGAAAACTATTGAGCTCACTCTTTTCATGATCACAGTTTGCTGTGTGTCATGAGGGCACTAACTCAGAGTGTCCTTTTACTCCCTTACCAGTATGTCACCTGGCCAATTCACTAGGTCACTTTCTCTCTGTCTCTGTCTCTGTCTCTCTCTCTGTCTCTGTCTCTCTCTCTCTCTCTGTCTTTCTCTTTCATTGTTTTCTACCTGGCCCTGTTCTATCCCAACATAAAGGCAATAATTTGTTACCTCATTAATGGATCTGTCCTTTTTCTTTTCAAACTCTTCCTTACGTTAGCCATGAAATCTAGCTGGGGCTGTGTGGTTTCTGATTCCCCCTGGCTTATTCTTTACTTTTTCCCACTTTTCCAGGCTCAGCAGGGAGCTGCTGGATGAGAAAGGGCCTGAAGTCTTGCAGGACTCACTGGATAGAAGTTATTCAACTCCTTCAGGTTGTCTTGAACTGACTGACTCATGCCAGCCCTACAGAAGTGCCTTTTACGTATTGGAGCAACAGCGTGTTGGCTTGGCTGTTGACATGGATGGTGAGTACCTTTCTATGAAGGTGATAAGGATCCACTGAGTCTTCTGGTTAGGGTCATATTCCTACTGCAAGTGGCCCTTACTGAGCTGAGAGATGTCATTGCCACAGGGAGGTCCTATAGGCACATGTAGGTTGAATGAAACTCTAGTTCCACTTGGAAGCCCAGACAAGGGATGGGTCAGTGAGCAAGGCTCTCTTCCTAGTCTCAGGCCATGCCTGTGGCGCCCTAATCCTACTCTCATGACGTTGGACCTGGGCAGATGTGACAAATTCACACAACTCTGATTTTGTCTCAATTTTGTAGATCTTGTAGATTTCATCCTTCACTCTAATTTCAGCGTCTAAAATCCTCGCTACCGTGAACAATCTGAGTATTTGATGAGACAGGGCTGAATAGTGCAGTTTTTCTCCTAGCAACCATTTGGGGGCATTTGCTTTAAATCGATTGGAAAAATATGGCATAACCATTTGCACAAACTTGGGACAAATGATATTGGGATAACGATCTACCAGAATAGGGAATTTTACCCACAGTTTCTGGGACAAAAACCAAGGAATCTCTATGGTGATCAGCCTTCAGGCCTCCTGAAGACTATCTCTCACAGTGTCCTATTCTCATGCTGAGGAGCCTGAAGTCCCTGTGTGAGGATTAGACAGTGGATTGTTATGTGTGTAGGAGAACCAGCTTAATATGTCTGTCCATGTCTGAACTTATTGCAGAAATTGAAAAGTACCAAGAAGTGGAAGAAGACCAAGACCCATCATGCCCCAGGTAACTTTGAGCAATTATGGATGCTTAATTCTGTGTTGACACCTGGAGATGCCAGGTCCAGGGAAAACAAGAGTGTGTTCAATTTCATGTTTTCAACGAAGGTTGAATTACTCCTCCTGATATTGCTGTTGGTTTTCATTGCAGTAGATGTTTAGGTTTCCATTTCTTCCTCCCCTTATCATTTACTAACTTACTATAGGTTGACCATACCTCAAAGGCTGTATGGCAACTGCATGGAATCTTGAGCAAGTTTATGGAAAATTATTGAGCCCACTCTTTTCATGATCACTGTTCGCTGTGTGTCCCGAGGGCACTAACTCAGAGTGTCCTTTGACCCCTTCATCAGTGTGTCACCCGGCCAACTCGCTGAGCTTACTTTCTCCTCTCTCTCTCTCTCTCTCTCTCCCTCCCTCTCCCTGTCTTTCTCTTTCATTCTTTTCTACCTGGCCCTGGTCTATCCCAACATAAAGGCAATAATTCATTACCTCATTAATGGATCTGTCCTTTTTCTTTTTAAACAGTTCCTTATGTTAGCCATGAAATCTAGCTGGGGCTGTGTGGTTTCTGATTCCCCCTGGCTTATTCTTTACTTTTTCCTACTTTCCAGGCTCAGCAGGGAGCTGCTGGATGAGAAAGAGCCTGAAGTCTTGCAGGACTCACTGGATAGATGTTATTCGACTCCTTCAGGTTATCTTGAACTGCCTGACTTAGGCCAGCCCTACAGCAGTGCTGTTTACTCATTGGAGGAACAGTACCTTGGCTTGGCTCTTGACGTGGACAGTGAGTACCTTACTGTGAAGGTGATAAGCCTCCACCTGGTCTTCCAGATAGGGGTGATATTCCTGTTCCAAGTGGCCCTTACTGACCCGAGAGATGTCATTGCCGCAGGCAGGACCTATGGGCGCATATAGGTTGTAATGAAACTGTAGTCTCAGTTGGAAGCCTAGACATGAAATGGGTCAGTGAGCAAGGCTCTATTCCTAGTCTCCAGCCATGCCTGTGGCAAGCTGAGCCCGCTCTCAGCACATTGGACCCAGGCAGATGTAAAAAATTCACAGAACTATGATTTGGACTCAAGGGTTTGTAGATTTCCTCCTTCATTCTAATTTCAGTGTCTAAAATTCTTGCATCCATGAACGAGCTGGGCATTTGATGAGACAGGGCTGAATACTGCAGTTTTCCTCCTAGAAATCATCTGGGGCATTTTCTTTGAACTGATGGGAACAATAAGGCATAACTGTTTGCACAAACTTGGGATAAATGATTTTGGGATAACGATCTACCAGAATGGGGATATTTCACCCTTGGTTCTGAGATGCAAACCAAAGAATATCATGACCAGCTTTCAGGCCTCCTGAAGTATCTCTCTCACATTGTCCTGTTCTCATGCTGAGGAGCCTGAGATCCCTGTGTGGGGATTAGACAGTGGACTGTTATGGGTGTAGGTGAATTGGCTTATTTTGTCTGTCCCTGTCTGAATGTATTGCAGGAACTAAAAAGGACCAAGAAGAGGAAGAAGACCAAGGCCCACCATGCCCCAGGTAACTGAGCAATTGTGAACAGCTACTTCTGTGTTGACATCTGGAGACTCCTGGTTCAGGGAAAACAGAGCGGGCTGACATTATCGATTACATCTTTTCCAGCAAGCCTGAATTATTCCTACTAACATTGCTGTTGGTTTTCATTGCAGTAGATATTTAGGTTTCCATTTCTTCCTCCCCTTATCATTTACTAACCTACTGTAGGTGGACCAGACTTCAAAAACTGTATTCTCATGGCGACTGCATGGAAACTTGAGCACATTTTATGGAAAATTATTGAGCACAGTCTTTTCATGATCCCTGTATGCTGTGTGTCCTGAGGGCACTAACTCAGAGTGTCCTGTTACTCCCTCATCAGTGTGTCACCTGGACAATTCACTGAGCTCGTTCTCTCTCTGTGTGTGTGTGTGTCTGTGTGTGTGTCTGTGTGTGTGTGTGTGTGTGTGTGTGTGTGTGTGTGTCTATCTGTCTTTCTCTTTCATTCTTTTCCATTTGGCCCTGTTCTGTCCCAACATGAAGGCAATAATTTGTTACCTCATTAATGGATCTATCCTTTTAGTTTTTTAACCACTTCCCTATGCTACCCATGAAACCTAGTTGGGGCTCTGTTGTGTCTGATTTCCCCTGGCTTATTCTTTACTTTTTCCTCCTTTTCCAGGCTCAGCAGGGAGCTGCTGGAGGTAGTAGAGCCTGAAGTCTTGCAGGACTCACTGGATAGATGTTATTCAACTCCTTCCAGTTGTCTTGAACAGCCTGACTCCTGCCAGCCCTATGGAAGTTCCTTTTATGCATTGGAGGAAAAACATGTTGGCTTTTCTCTTGACGTGGGAGGTGAGTACCTTTCTATGAAGGTGATAAGGATCCACTGAGTCTTCCATATAAAGATCATATTCCTGCTCCAAGTGGCCATTACTGAGCTGAGAGATGTCATTGCCACAGGGAGGACCTATAGGCACATGTAGGTTGAATGAAACTCTAGTTCTACCTGGAAGCCCAGGCAAGGGATGGGTCAGTGAGCAAGACTCTCTTCCTAGTCTCAGGCCATACCTGTGGCGCCCTGATCCTATCCTCATGACATTGGACCTGGGCAGATGTGACAAATTCAGAGAACTATGATTTTGACTCAAGGGTTTGTAGATTTCCTTTTTCACTCTAATTTCAGTGTCTAAAGTCCTCACAACCATGAACAATCTGAGTATTTGATGAGACAGGGCTAAATATTGCAGTTTTTCTCCTAGAAATCATTTGAGGGTATTTGCTTTAAGTTGATTGGAAAAATATGGCATAACTGTTTGCACAAACTTGGGACAAATGATATTGGGATAACGATCTACTAGAATAGGGACATTTTACCCACAGTTTCTGGGAGAAAAACCGAGGAATTTCTATCATGACCAGCCTTCAGGCCTCCTGAAATATATCTCTCACGGTGTCCTATTCTTATGCTGAGGAGCCTGAGGTCCCTGTGTGAGGATTAGACAGTGGATTGTTATGTGTGTAGGGGAATCAGCTTAATGTGTCTGTCCATGTCTGAATTTATTGCAGAAATTGAAAAGAAGGGGAAGGGGAAGAAAAGAAGGGGAAGAAGATCAAAGAAGGAAAGAAGAAGGGGAAGAAAAGAAGGGGAAGAAGATCAAAACCCACCATGCCCCAGGTGACTTTCAGCAATTGTGGATGCTTAATTCTGTGTTAACACCTGGAGGCAACAGATTCAGGGAAACCAGAGTGTGTTTGATGTCATGTTTTCAACGAAGGCTGAATTACTCCTACTGTCATTGCTGTTGGTTTTCATTGCAGTAGATGTTTAGGTTTCCATTTCTTCCTCCCCTTATCATTTCCTAACGTACCATAGGTTGACCATACTTCAAAAGCTGTACTCTCATGGCCACTGCATCGAATTTTGAGCATATTTTATGGAAAACTATTGAGCTCACTCTTTTCATGATCACAGTTTGCTGTGTGTCATGAGGGCACTAACTCAGAGTGTCCTTTTACTCCCTTACCAGTATGTCACCTGGCCAATTCACTAGGTCACTTTCTCTCTGTCTCTGTCTCTGTCTCTCTCTCTGTCTCTGTCTCTCTCTCTCTCTCTGTCTTTCTCTTTCATTGTTTTCTACCTGGCCCTGTTCTATCCCAACATAAAGGCAATAATTTGTTACCTCATTAATGGATCTGTCCTTTTTCTTTTCAAACTCTTCCTTACGTTAGCCATGAAATCTAGCTGGGGCTGTGTGGTTTCTGATTCCCCCTGGCTTATTCTTTACTTTTTCCCACTTTTCCAGGCTCAGCAGGGAGCTGCTGGATGAGAAAGGGCCTGAAGTCTTGCAGGACTCACTGGATAGAAGTTATTCAACTCCTTCAGGTTGTCTTGAACTGACTGACTCATGCCAGCCCTACAGAAGTGCCTTTTACGTATTGGAGCAACAGCGTGTTGGCTTGGCTGTTGACATGGATGGTGAGTACCTTTCTATGAAGGTGATAAGGATCCACTGAGTCTTCTGGTTAGGGTCATATTCCTACTGCAAGTGGCCCTTACTGAGCTGAGAGATGTCATTGCCACAGGGAGGTCCTATAGGCACATGTAGGTTGAATGAAACTCTAGTTCCACTTGGAAGCCCAGACAAGGGATGGGTCAGTGAGCAAGGCTCTCTTCCTAGTCTCAGGCCATGCCTGTGGCGCCCTAATCCTACTCTCATGACGTTGGACCTGGGCAGATGTGACAAATTCACACAACTCTGATTTTGTCTCAATTTTGTAGATCTTGTAGATTTCATCCTTCACTCTAATTTCAGCGTCTAAAATCCTCGCTACCGTGAACAATCTGAGTATTTGATGAGACAGGGCTGAATAGTGCAGTTTTTCTCCTAGCAACCATTTGGGGGCATTTGCTTTAAATCGATTGGAAAAATATGGCATAACCATTTGCACAAACTTGGGACAAATGATATTGGGATAACGATCTACCAGAATAGGGAATTTTACCCACAGTTTCTGGGACAAAAACCAAGGAATCTCTATCGTGATCAGCCTTCAGGCCTCCTGAAGACTACCTCTCACAGTGTCCTATTCTCATGCTGAGGAGCCTGAAGTCCCTGTGTGAGGATTAGACAGTGGATTGTTATGTGTGTAGGAGAACCAGCTTAATATGTCTGTCCATGTCTGAACTTATTGCAGAAATTGAAAAGTACCAAGAAGTGGAAGAAGACCAAGACCCATCATGCCCCAGGTAACTTTGAGCAATTATGGATGCTTAATTCTGTGTTGACACCTGGAGATGCCAGGTCCAGGGAAAACAAGAGTGTGTTCAATTTCATGTTTTCAACGAAGGTTGAATTACTCCTCCTGACATTGCTGTTGGTTTTCATTGCAGTAGATGTTTAGGTTTCCATTTCTTCCTCCCCTTATCATTTACTAACTTACTATAGGTTGACCATACCTCAAAGGCTGTATGGCAACTGCATGGAATCTTGAGCAAGTTTATGGAAAATTATTGAGCCCACTCTTTTCATGATCACTGTTCGCTGTGTGTCCCGAGGGCACTAACTCAGAGTGTCCTTTGACCCCTTCATCAGTGTGTCACCCGGCCAACTCGCTGAGCTCACTTTCTCCTCTCTCTCTCTCTCTCTCCCTCTCCCTGTCTTTCTCTTTCATTCTTTTCTACCTGGCCCTGGTCTATCCCAACATAAAGGCAATAATTCATTACCTCATTAATGGATCTGTCCTTTTTCTTTTTAAACAGTTCCTTATGTTAGCCATGAAATCTAGCTGGGGCTGTGTGGTTTCTGATTCCCCCTGGCTTATTCTTTACTTTTTCCTACTTTTCCAGGCTCAGCAGGGAGCTGCTGGATGAGAAAGAGCCTGAAGTCTTGCAGGACTCACTGGATAGATGTTATTCGACTCCTTCAGGTTATCTTGAACTGCCTGACTTAGGCCAGCCCTACAGCAGTGCTGTTTACTCATTGGAGGAACAGTACCTTGGCTTGGCTCTTGACGTGGACAGTGAGTACCTTACTGTGAAGGTGATAAGCCTCCACCTGGTCTTCCAGATAGGGGTGATATTCCTGTTCCAAGTGGCCCTTACTGACCCGAGAGATGTCATTGCCGCAGGCAGGACCTATGGGCGCATATAGGTTGTAATGAAACTGTAGTCTCAGTTGGAAGCCTAGACATGAAATGGGTCAGTGAGCAAGGCTCTATTCCTAGTCTCCAGCCATGCCTGTGGCAAGCTGAGCCCGCTCTCAGCACATTGGACCCAGGCAGATGTAAAAAATTCACAGAAGTATGATTTGGACTGAAGGGTTTGTAGATTTCCTCCTTCATTCTAATTTCAGTGTCTAAAATTCTTGCATCCATGAACGAGCTGGGCATTTGATGAGACAGGGCTGAATACTGCAGTTTTCCTCCTAGAAATCATCTGGGGCATTTTCTTTGAACTGATGGGAACAATAAGGCATAACTGTTTGCACAAACTTGGGATAAATGATTTTGGGATAACGATCTACCAGAATGGGGATATTTCACCCTTGGTTCTGAGATGCAAACCAAAGAATATCATGACCAGCTTTCAGGCCTCCTGAAGTATCTCTCTCACATTGTCCTGTTCTCATGCTGAGGAGCCTGAGATCCCTGTGTGGGGATTAGACAGTGGACTGTTATGGGTGTAGGTGAATTGGCTTATTTTGTCTGTCCCTGTCTGAATGTATTGCAGGAACTAAAAAGGACCAAGAAGAGGAAGAAGACCAAGGCCCACCATGCCCCAGGTAACTGAGCAATTGTGAACAGCTACTTCTGTGTTGACATCTGGAGACTCCTGGTTCAGGGAAAACAGAGCGGGCTGACATTATCGATTACATCTTTTCCAGCAAGCCTGAATTATTCCTACTAACATTGCTGTTGGTTTTCATTGCAGTAGATATTTAGGTTTCCATTTCTTCCTCCCCTTATCATTTACTAACCTACTGTAGGTGGACCAGACTTCAAAAACTGTATTCTCATGGCGACTGCATGGAAACTTGAGCACATTTTATGGAAAATTATTGAGCACAGTCTTTTCATGATCCCTGTATGCTGTGTGTCCTGAGGGCACTAACTCAGAGTGTCCTGTTACTCCCTCATCAGTGTGTCACCTGGACAATTCACTGAGCTCGTTCTCTCTCTGTGTGTGTGTGTGTCTGTGTGTGTGTCTGTGTGTGTGTGTGTGTGTGTGTGTCTATCTGTCTTTCTCTTTCATTCTTTTCCATTTGGCCCTGTTCTGTCCCAACATGAAGGCAATAATTTGTTACCTCATTAATGGATCTATCCTTTTAGTTTTTTAACCACTTCCCTATGCTACCCATGAAACCTAGTTGGGGCTCTGTTGTGTCTGATTTCCCCTGGCTTATTCTTTACTTTTTCCTCCTTTTCCAGGCTCAGCAGGGAGCTGCTGGAGGTAGTAGAGCCTGAAGTCTTGCAGGACTCACTGGATAGATGTTATTCAACTCCTTCCAGTTGTCTTGAACAGCCTGACTCCTGCCAGCCCTATGGAAGTTCCTTTTATGCATTGGAGGAAAAACATGTTGGCTTTTCTCTTGACGTGGGAGGTGAGTACCTTTCTATGAAGGTGATAAGGATCCACTGAGTCTTCCATATAAAGATCATATTCCTGCTCCAAGTGGCCATTACTGAGCTGAGAGATGTCATTGCCACAGGGAGGACCTATAGGCACATGTAGGTTGAATGAAACTCTAGTTCTACCTGGAAGCCCAGGCAAGGGATGGGTCAGTGAGCAAGACTCTCTTCCTAGTCTCAGGCCATACCTGTGGCGCCCTGATCCTATCCTCATGACATTGGACCTGGGCAGATGTGACAAATTCAGAGAACTATGATTTTGACTCAAGGGTTTGTAGATTTCCTTTTTCACTCTAATTTCAGTGTCTAAAGTCCTCACAACCATGAACAATCTGAGTATTTGATGAGACAGGGCTAAATATTGCAGTTTTTCTCCTAGAAATCATTTGAGGGTATTTGCTTTAAGTTGATTGGAAAAATATGGCATAACTGTTTGCACAAACTTGGGACAAATGATATTGGGATAACGATCTACTAGAATAGGGACATTTTACCCACAGTTTCTGGGAGAAAAACCGAGGAATTTCTATCATGACCAGCCTTCAGGCCTCCTGAAATATATCTCTCACGGTGTCCTATTCTTATGCTGAGGAGCCTGAGGTCCCTGTGTGAGGATTAGACAGTGGATTGTTATGTGTGTAGGGGAATCAGCTTAATGTGTCTGTCCATGTCTGAATTTATTGCAGAAATTGAAAAGAAGGGGAAGGGGAAGAAAAGAAGGGGAAGAAGATCAAAGAAGGAAAGAAGAAGGGGAAGAAAAGAAGGGGAAGAAGATCAAAACCCACCATGCCCCAGGTGACTTTCAGCAATTGTGGATGCTTAATTCTGTGTTAACACCTGGAGGCAACAGATTCAGGGAAACCAGAGTGTGTTTGATGTCATGTTTTCAACGAAGGCTGAATTACTCCTACTGTCATTGCTGTTGGTTTTCATTGCAGTAGATGTTTAGGTTTCCATTTCTTCCTCCCCTTATCATTTCCTAACGTACCATAGGTTGACCATACTTCAAAAGCTGTACTCTCATGGCCACTGCATCGAATTTTGAGCATATTTTATGGAAAACTATTGAGCTCACTCTTTTCATGATCACAGTTTGCTGTGTGTCATGAGGGCACTAACTCAGAGTGTCCTTTTACTCCCTTACCAGTATGTCACCTGGCCAATTCACTAGGTCACTTTCTCTCTGTCTCTGTCTCTGTCTCTCTCTCTCTGTCTCTGTCTCTCTCTCTCTCTCTGTCTTTCTCTTTCATTGTTTTCTACCTGGCCCTGTTCTATCCCAACATAAAGGCAATAATTTGTTACCTCATTAATGGATCTGTCCTTTTTCTTTTCAAACTCTTCCTTACGTTAGCCATGAAATCTAGCTGGGGCTGTGTGGTTTCTGATTCCCCCTGGCTTATTCTTTACTTTTTCCCACTTTTCCAGGCTCAGCAGGGAGCTGCTGGATGAGAAAGGGCCTGAAGTCTTGCAGGACTCACTGGATAGATGTTATTCAACTCCTTCAGGTTGTCTTGAACTGACTGACTCATGCCAGCCCTACAGAAGTGCCTTTTACGTATTGGAGCAACAGCGTGTTGGCTTGGCTGTTGACATGGATGGTGAGTACCTTTCTATGAAGGTGATAAGGATCCACTGAGTCTTCTGGTTAGGGTCATATTCCTACTGCAAGTGGCCCTTACTGAGCTGAGAGATGTCATTGCCACAGGGAGGTCCTATAGGCACATGTAGGTTGAATGAAACTCTAGTTCCACTTGGAAGCCCAGACAAGGGATGGGTCAGTGAGCAAGGCTCTCTTCCTAGTCTCAGGCCATGCCTGTGGCGCCCTAATCCTACTCTCATGACGTTGGACCTGGGCAGATGTGACAAATTCACACAACTCTGATTTTGTCTCAATTTTGTAGATCTTGTAGATTTCATCCTTCACTCTAATTTCAGCGTCTAAAATCCTCGCTACCGTGAACAATCTGAGTATTTGATGAGACAGGGCTGAATAGTGCAGTTTTTCTCCTAGCAACCATTTGGGGGCATTTGCTTTAAATCGATTGGAAAAATATGGCATAACCATTTGCACAAACTTGGGACAAATGATATTGGGATAACGATCTACCAGAATAGGGAATTTTACCCACAGTTTCTGGGACAAAAACCAAGGAATCTCTATCGTGATCAGCCTTCAGGCCTCCTGAAGACTACCTCTCACAGTGTCCTATTCTCATGCTGAGGAGCCTGAAGTCCCTGTGTGAGGATTAGACAGTGGATTGTTATGTGTGTAGGAGAACCAGCTTAATATGTCTGTCCATGTCTGAACTTATTGCAGAAATTGAAAAGTACCAAGAAGTGGAAGAAGACCAAGACCCATCATGCCCCAGGTAACTTTGAGCAATTATGGATGCTTAATTCTGTGTTGACACCTGGAGATGCCAGGTCCAGGGAAAACAAGAGTGTGTTCAATTTCATGTTTTCAACGAAGGTTGAATTACTCCTCCTGACATTGCTGTTGGTTTTCATTGCAGTAGATGTTTAGGTTTCCATTTCTTCCTCCCCTTATCATTTACTAACTTACTATAGGTTGACCATACCTCAAAGGCTGTATGGCAACTGCATGGAATCTTGAGCAAGTTTATGGAAAATTATTGAGCCCACTCTTTTCATGATCACTGTTCGCTGTGTGTCCCGAGGGCACTAACTCAGAGTGTCCTTTGACCCCTTCATCAGTGTGTCACCCGGCCAACTCGCTGAGCTCACTTTCTCCTCTCTCTCTCTCTCTCTCCCTCTCCCTGTCTTTCTCTTTCATTCTTTTCTACCTGGCCCTGGTCTATCCCAACATAAAGGCAATAATTCATTACCTCATTAATGGATCTGTCCTTTTTCTTTTTAAACAGTTCCTTATGTTAGCCATGAAATCTAGCTGGGGCTGTGTGGTTTCTGATTCCCCCTGGCTTATTCTTTACTTTTTCCTACTTTTCCAGGCTCAGCAGGGAGCTGCTGGATGAGAAAGAGCCTGAAGTCTTGCAGGACTCACTGGATAGATGTTATTCGACTCCTTCAGGTTATCTTGAACTGCCTGACTTAGGCCAGCCCTACAGCAGTGCTGTTTACTCATTGGAGGAACAGTACCTTGGCTTGGCTCTTGACGTGGACAGTGAGTACCTTACTGTGAAGGTGATAAGCCTCCACCTGGTCTTCCAGATAGGGGTGATATTCCTGTTCCAAGTGGCCCTTACTGACCCGAGAGATGTCATTGCCGCAGGCAGGACCTATGGGCGCATATAGGTTGTAATGAAACTGTAGTCTCAGTTGGAAGCCTAGACATGAAATGGGTCAGTGAGCAAGGCTCTATTCCTAGTCTCCAGCCATGCCTGTGGCAAGCTGAGCCCGCTCTCAGCACATTGGACCCAGGCAGATGTAAAAAATTCACAGAAGTATGATTTGGACTGAAGGGTTTGTAGATTTCCTCCTTCATTCTAATTTCAGTGTCTAAAATTCTTGCATCCATGAACGAGCTGGGCATTTGATGAGACAGGGCTGAATACTGCAGTTTTCCTCCTAGAAATCATCTGGGGCATTTTCTTTGAACTGATGGGAACAATAAGGCATAACTGTTTGCACAAACTTGGGATAAATGATTTTGGGATAACGATCTACCAGAATGGGGATATTTCACCCTTGGTTCTGAGATGCAAACCAAAGAATATCATGACCAGCTTTCAGGCCTCCTGAAGTATCTCTCTCACATTGTCCTGTTCTCATGCTGAGGAGCCTGAGATCCCTGTGTGGGGATTAGACAGTGGACTGTTATGGGTGTAGGTGAATTGGCTTATTTTGTCTGTCCCTGTCTGAATGTATTGCAGGAACTAAAAAGGACCAAGAAGAGGAAGAAGACCAAGGCCCACCATGCCCCAGGTAACTGAGCAATTGTGAACAGCTACTTCTGTGTTGACATCTGGAGACTCCTGGTTCAGGGAAAACAGAGCGGGCTGACATTATCGATTACATCTTTTCCAGCAAGCCTGAATTATTCCTACTAACATTGCTGTTGGTTTTCATTGCAGTAGATATTTAGGTTTCCATTTCTTCCTCCCCTTATCATTTACTAACCTACTGTAGGTGGACCAGACTTCAAAAACTGTATTCTCATGGCGACTGCATGGAAACTTGAGCACATTTTATGGAAAATTATTGAGCACAGTCTTTTCATGATCCCTGTATGCTGTGTGTCCTGAGGGCACTAACTCAGAGTGTCCTGTTACTCCCTCATCAGTGTGTCACCTGGACAATTCACTGAGCTCGTTCTCTCTCTGTGTGTGTGTGTGTCTGTGTGTGTGTCTGTGTGTGTGTGTGTGTGTGTGTGTGTGTGTGTGTGTCTATCTGTCTTTCTCTTTCATTCTTTTCCATTTGGCCCTGTTCTGTCCCAACATGAAGGCAATAATTTGTTACCTCATTAATGGATCTATCCTTTTAGTTTTTTAACCACTTCCCTATGCTACCCATGAAACCTAGTTGGGGCTCTGTTGTGTCTGATTTCCCCTGGCTTATTCTTTACTTTTTCCTCCTTTTCCAGGCTCAGCAGGGAGCTGCTGGAGGTAGTAGAGCCTGAAGTCTTGCAGGACTCACTGGATAGATGTTATTCAACTCCTTCCAGTTGTCTTGAACAGCCTGACTCCTGCCAGCCCTATGGAAGTTCCTTTTATGCATTGGAGGAAAAACATGTTGGCTTTTCTCTTGACGTGGGAGGTGAGTACCTTTCTATGAAGGTGATAAGGATCCACTGAGTCTTCCATATAAAGATCATATTCCTGCTCCAAGTGGCCATTACTGAGCTGAGAGATGTCATTGCCACAGGGAGGACCTATAGGCACATGTAGGTTGAATGAAACTCTAGTTCTACCTGGAAGCCCAGGCAAGGGATGGGTCAGTGAGCAAGACTCTCTTCCTAGTCTCAGGCCATACCTGTGGCGCCCTGATCCTATCCTCATGACATTGGACCTGGGCAGATGTGACAAATTCAGAGAACTATGATTTTGACTCAAGGGTTTGTAGATTTCCTTTTTCACTCTAATTTCAGTGTCTAAAGTCCTCACAACCATGAACAATCTGAGTATTTGATGAGACAGGGCTAAATATTGCAGTTTTTCTCCTAGAAATCATTTGAGGGTATTTGCTTTAAGTTGATTGGAAAAATATGGCATAACTGTTTGCACAAACTTGGGACAAATGATATTGGGATAACGATCTACTAGAATAGGGACATTTTACCCACAGTTTCTGGGAGAAAAACCGAGGAATTTCTATCATGACCAGCCTTCAGGCCTCCTGAAATATATCTCTCACGGTGTCCTATTCTTATGCTGAGGAGCCTGAGGTCCCTGTGTGAGGATTAGACAGTGGATTGTTATGTGTGTAGGGGAATCAGCTTAATGTGTCTGTCCATGTCTGAATTTATTGCAGAAATTGAAAAGAAGGGGAAGGGGAAGAAAAGAAGGGGAAGAAGATCAAAGAAGGAAAGAAGAAGGGGAAGAAAAGAAGGGGAAGAAGATCAAAACCCACCATGCCCCAGGTGACTTTCAGCAATTGTGGATGCTTAATTCTGTGTTAACACCTGGAGGCAACAGATTCAGGGAAACCAGAGTGTGTTTGATGTCATGTTTTCAACGAAGGCTGAATTACTCCTACTGTCATTGCTGTTGGTTTTCATTGCAGTAGATGTTTAGGTTTCCATTTCTTCCTCCCCTTATCATTTCCTAACGTACCATAGGTTGACCATACTTCAAAAGCTGTACTCTCATGGCCACTGCATCGAATTTTGAGCATATTTTATGGAAAACTATTGAGCTCACTCTTTTCATGATCACAGTTTGCTGTGTGTCATGAGGGCACTAACTCAGAGTGTCCTTTTACTCCCTTACCAGTATGTCACCTGGCCAATTCACTAGGTCACTTTCTCTCTGTCTCTGTCTCTGTCTCTCTCTCTCTGTCTCTGTCTCTCTCTCTCTCTCTGTCTTTCTCTTTCATTGTTTTCTACCTGGCCCTGTTCTATCCCAACATAAAGGCAATAATTTGTTACCTCATTAATGGATCTGTCCTTTTTCTTTTCAAACTCTTCCTTACGTTAGCCATGAAATCTAGCTGGGGCTGTGTGGTTTCTGATTCCCCCTGGCTTATTCTTTACTTTTTCCCACTTTTCCAGGCTCAGCAGGGAGCTGCTGGATGAGAAAGGGCCTGAAGTCTTGCAGGACTCACTGGATAGATGTTATTCAACTCCTTCAGGTTGTCTTGAACTGACTGACTCATGCCAGCCCTACAGAAGTGCCTTTTACGTATTGGAGCAACAGCGTGTTGGCTTGGCTGTTGACATGGATGGTGAGTACCTTTCTATGAAGGTGATAAGGATCCACTGAGTCTTCTGGTTAGGGTCATATTCCTACTGCAAGTGGCCCTTACTGAGCTGAGAGATGTCATTGCCACAGGGAGGTCCTATAGGCACATGTAGGTTGAATGAAACTCTAGTTCCACTTGGAAGCCCAGACAAGGGATGGGTCAGTGAGCAAGGCTCTCTTCCTAGTCTCAGGCCATGCCTGTGGCGCCCTAATCCTACTCTCATGACGTTGGACCTGGGCAGATGTGACAAATTCACACAACTCTGATTTTGTCTCAATTTTGTAGATCTTGTAGATTTCATCCTTCACTCTAATTTCAGCGTCTAAAATCCTCGCTACCGTGAACAATCTGAGTATTTGATGAGACAGGGCTGAATAGTGCAGTTTTTCTCCTAGCAACCATTTGGGGGCATTTGCTTTAAATCGATTGGAAAAATATGGCATAACCATTTGCACAAACTTGGGACAAATGATATTGGGATAACGATCTACCAGAATAGGGAATTTTACCCACAGTTTCTGGGACAAAAACCAAGGAATCTCTATCGTGATCAGCCTTCAGGCCTCCTGAAGACTACCTCTCACAGTGTCCTATTCTCATGCTGAGGAGCCTGAAGTCCCCGTGTGAGGATTAGACAGTGGATTGTTATGTGTGTAGGAGAACCAGCTTAATATGTCTGTCCATGTCTGAACTTATTGCAGAAATTGAAAAGTACCAAGAAGTGGAAGAAGACCAAGACCCATCATGCCCCAGGTAACTTTGAGCAATTATGGATGCTTAATTCTGTGTTGACACCTGGAGATGCCAGGTCCAGGGAAAACAAGAGTGTGTTCAATTTCATGTTTTCAACGAAGGTTGAATTACTCCTCCTGATATTGCTGTTGGTTTTCATTGCAGTAGATGTTTAGGTTTCCATTTCTTCCTCCCCTTATCATTTACTAACTTACTATAGGTTGACCATACCTCAAAGGCTGTATGGCAACTGCATGGAATCTTGAGCAAGTTTATGGAAAATTATTGAGCCCACTCTTTTCATGATCACTGTTCGCTGTGTGTCCCGAGGGCACTAACTCAGAGTGTCCTTTGACCCCTTCATCAGTGTGTCACCCGGCCAACTCGCTGAGCTTACTTTCTCCTCTCTCTCTCTCTCTCTCTCTCCCTTCCTCTCCCTGTCTTTCTCTTTCATTCTTTTCTACCTGGCCCTGGTCTATCCCAACATAAAGGCAATAATTCATTACCTCATTAATGGATCTGTCCTTTTTCTTTTTAAACAGTTCCTTATGTTAGCCATGAAATCTAGCTGGGGCTGTGTGGTTTCTGATTCCCCCTGGCTTATTCTTTACTTTTTCCTACTTTTCCAGGCTCAGCAGGGAGCTGCTGGATGAGAAAGAGCCTGAAGTCTTGCAGGACTCACTGGATAGATGTTATTCGACTCCTTCAGGTTATCTTGAACTGCCTGACTTAGGCCAGCCCTACAGCAGTGCTGTTTACTCATTGGAGGAACAGTACCTTGGCTTGGCTCTTGACGTGGACAGTGAGTACCTTACTGTGAAGGTGATAAGCCTCCACCTGGTCTTCCAGATAGGGGTGATATTCCTGTTCCAAGTGGCCCTTACTGACCCGAGAGATGTCATTGCCGCAGGCAGGACCTATGGGCGCATATAGGTTGTAATGAAACTGTAGTCTCAGTTGGAAGCCTAGACATGAAATGGGTCAGTGAGCAAGGCTCTATTCCTAGTCTCCAGCCATGCCTGTGGCAAGCTGAGCCCGCTCTCAGCACATTGGACCCAGGCAGATGTAAAAAATTCACAGAAGTATGATTTGGACTGAAGGGTTTGTAGATTTCCTCCTTCATTCTAATTTCAGTGTCTAAAATTCTTGCATCCATGAACGAGCTGGGCATTTGATGAGACAGGGCTGAATACTGCAGTTTTCCTCCTAGAAATCATCTGGGGCATTTTCTTTGAACTGATGGGAACAATAAGGCATAACTGTTTGCACAAACTTGGGATAAATGATTTTGGGATAACGATCTACCAGAATGGGGATATTTCACCCTTGGTTCTGAGATGCAAACCAAAGAATATCATGACCAGCTTTCAGGCCTCCTGAAGTATCTCTCTCACATTGTCCTGTTCTCATGCTGAGGAGCCTGAGATCCCTGTGTGGGGATTAGACAGTGGACTGTTATGGGTGTAGGTGAATTGGCTTATTTTGTCTGTCCCTGTCTGAATGTATTGCAGGAACTAAAAAGGACCAAGAAGAGGAAGAAGACCAAGGCCCACCATGCCCCAGGTAACTGAGCAATTGTGAACAGCTACTTCTGTGTTGACATCTGGAGACTCCTGGTTCAGGGAAAACAGAGCGGGCTGACATTATCGATTACATCTTTTCCAGCAAGCCTGAATTATTCCTACTAACATTGCTGTTGGTTTTCATTGCAGTAGATATTTAGGTTTCCATTTCTTCCTCCCCTTATCATTTACTAACCTACTGTAGGTGGACCAGACTTCAAAAACTGTATTCTCATGGCGACTGCATGGAAACTTGAGCACATTTTATGGAAAATTATTGAGCACAGTCTTTTCATGATCCCTGTATGCTGTGTGTCCTGAGGGCACTAACTCAGAGTGTCCTGTTACTCCCTCATCAGTGTGTCACCTGGACAATTCACTGAGCTCGTTCTCTCTCTGTGTGTGTGTGTGTCTGTGTGTGTGTCTGTGTGTGTGTGTGTGTGTGTGTGTGTGTGTGTGTGTGTCTATCTGTCTTTCTCTTTCATTCTTTTCCATTTGGCCCTGTTCTGTCCCAACATGAAGGCAATAATTTGTTACCTCATTAATGGATCTATCCTTTTAGTTTTTTAACCACTTCCCTATGCTACCCATGAAACCTAGTTGGGGCTCTGTTGTGTCTGATTTCCCCTGGCTTATTCTTTACTTTTTCCTCCTTTTCCAGGCTCAGCAGGGAGCTGCTGGAGGTAGTAGAGCCTGAAGTCTTGCAGGACTCACTGGATAGATGTTATTCAACTCCTTCCAGTTGTCTTGAACAGCCTGACTCCTGCCAGCCCTATGGAAGTTCCTTTTATGCATTGGAGGAAAAACATGTTGGCTTTTCTCTTGACGTGGGAGGTGAGTACCTTTCTATGAAGGTGATAAGGATCCACTGAGTCTTCCATATAAAGATCATATTCCTGCTCCAAGTGGCCATTACTGAGCTGAGAGATGTCATTGCCACAGGGAGGACCTATAGGCACATGTAGGTTGAATGAAACTCTAGTTCTACCTGGAAGCCCAGGCAAGGGATGGGTCAGTGAGCAAGACTCTCTTCCTAGTCTCAGGCCATACCTGTGGCGCCCTGATCCTATCCTCATGACATTGGACCTGGGCAGATGTGACAAATTCAGAGAACTATGATTTTGACTCAAGGGTTTGTAGATTTCCTTTTTCACTCTAATTTCAGTGTCTAAAGTCCTCACAACCATGAACAATCTGAGTATTTGATGAGACAGGGCTAAATATTGCAGTTTTTCTCCTAGAAATCATTTGAGGGTATTTGCTTTAAGTTGATTGGAAAAATATGGCATAACTGTTTGCACAAACTTGGGACAAATGATATTGGGATAACGATCTACTAGAATAGGGACATTTTACCCACAGTTTCTGGGAGAAAAACCGAGGAATTTCTATCATGACCAGCCTTCAGGCCTCCTGAAATATATCTCTCACGGTGTCCTATTCTTATGCTGAGGAGCCTGAGGTCCCTGTGTGAGGATTAGACAGTGGATTGTTATGTGTGTAGGGGAATCAGCTTAATGTGTCTGTCCATGTCTGAATTTATTGCAGAAATTGAAAAGAAGGGGAAGGGGAAGAAAAGAAGGGGAAGAAGATCAAAGAAGGAAAGAAGAAGGGGAAGAAAAGAAGGGGAAGAAGATCAAACCCCACCATGCCCCAGGTGACTTTCAGCAATTGTGGATGCTTAATTCTGTGTTAACACCTGGAGGCAACAGATTCAGGGAAACCAGAGTGTGTTTGATGTCATGTTTTCAACGAAGGCTGAATTACTCCTACTGTCATTGCTGTTGGTTTTCATTGCAGTAGATGTTTAGGTTTCCATTTCTTCCTCCCCTTATCATTTCCTAACGTACCATAGGTTGACCATACTTCAAAAGCTGTACTCTCATGGCCACTGCATCGAATTTTGAGCATATTTTATGGAAAACTATTGAGCTCACTCTTTTCATGATCACAGTTTGCTGTGTGTCATGAGGGCACTAACTCAGAGTGTCCTTTTACTCCCTTACCAGTATGTCACCTGGCCAATTCACTAGGTCACTTTCTCTCTGTCTCTGTCTCTGTCTCTCTCTCTGTCTCTGTCTCTCTCTCTCTCTCTGTCTTTCTCTTTCATTGTTTTCTACCTGGCCCTGTTCTATCCCAACATAAAGGCAATAATTTGTTACCTCATTAATGGATCTGTCCTTTTTCTTTTCAAACTCTTCCTTACGTTAGCCATGAAATCTAGCTGGGGCTGTGTGGTTTCTGATTCCCCCTGGCTTATTCTTTACTTTTTCCCACTTTTCCAGGCTCAGCAGGGAGCTGCTGGATGAGAAAGGGCCTGAAGTCTTGCAGGACTCACTGGATAGATGTTATTCAACTCCTTCAGGTTGTCTTGAACTGACTGACTCATGCCAGCCCTACAGAAGTGCCTTTTACGTATTGGAGCAACAGCGTGTTGGCTTGGCTGTTGACATGGATGGTGAGTACCTTTCTATGAAGGTGATAAGGATCCACTGAGTCTTCTGGTTAGGGTCATATTCCTACTGCAAGTGGCCCTTACTGAGCTGAGAGATGTCATTGCCACAGGGAGGTCCTATAGGCACATGTAGGTTGAATGAAACTCTAGTTCCACTTGGAAGCCCAGACAAGGGATGGGTCAGTGAGCAAGGCTCTCTTCCTAGTCTCAGGCCATGCCTGTGGCGCCCTAATCCTACTCTCATGACGTTGGACCTGGGCAGATGTGACAAATTCACACAACTCTGATTTTGTCTGAATTTTGTAGATCTTGTAGATTTCATCCTTCACTCTAATTTCAGCATCTAAAATCCTCGCTACCGTGAACAATCTGAGTATTTGATGAGACAGGGCTGAATAGTGCAGTTTTTCTCCTAGCAACCATTTGGGGGCATTTGCTTTAAATCGATTGGAAAAATATGGCATAACCATTTGCACAAACTTGGGACAAATGATATTGGGATAACGATCTACCAGAATAGGGAATTTTACCCACAGTTTCTGGGACAAAAACCAAGGAATCTCTATCGTGATCAGCCTTCAGGCCTCCTGAAGACTATCTCTCACAGTGTCCTATTCTCATGCTGAGGAGCCTGAAGTCCCTGTGTGAGGATTAGACAGTGGATTGTTATGTGTGTAGGAGAACCAGCTTAATATGTCTGTCCATGTCTGAACTTATTGCAGAAATTGAAAAGTACCAAGAAGTGGAAGAAGACCAAGACCCATCATGCCCCAGGTAACTTTGAGCAATTATGGATGCTTAATTCTGTGTTGACACCTGGAGATGCCAGGTCCAGGGAAAACAAGAGTGTGTTCAATTTCATGTTTTCAACGAAGGTTGAATTACTCCTCCTGATATTGCTGTTGGTTTTCATTGCAGTAGATGTTTAGGTTTCCATTTCTTCCTCCCCTTATCATTTACTAACTTACTATAGGTTGACCATACCTCAAAGGCTGTATGGCAACTGCATGGAATCTTGAGCAAGTTTATGGAAAATTATTGAGCCCACTCTTTTCATGATCACTGTTCGCTGTGTGTCCCGAGGGCACTAACTCAGAGTGTCCTTTGACCCCTTCATCAGTGTGTCACCCGGCCAACTCGCTGAGCTTACTTTCTCCTCTCTCTCTCTCTCTCTCTCCCTCCCTCTCCCTGTCTTTCTCTTTCATTCTTTTCTACCTGGCCCTGGTCTATCCCAACATAAAGGCAATAATTCATTACCTCATTAATGGATCTGTCCTTTTTCTTTTTAAACAGTTCCTTATGTTAGCCATGAAATCTAGCTGGGGCTGTGTGGTTTCTGATTCCCCCTGGCTTATTCTTTACTTTTTCCTACTTTTCCAGGCTCAGCAGGGAGCTGCTGGATGAGAAAGAGCCTGAAGTCTTGCAGGACTCACTGGATAGATGTTATTCGACTCCTTCAGGTTATCTTGAACTGCCTGACTTAGGCCAGCCCTACAGCAGTGCTGTTTACTCATTGGAGGAACAGTACCTTGGCTTGGCTCTTGACGTGGACAGTGAGTACCTTACTGTGAAGGTGATAAGCCTCCACCTGGTCTTCCAGATAGGGGTGATATTCCTGTTCCAAGTGGCCCTTACTGACCCGAGAGATGTCATTGCCGCAGGCAGGACCTATGGGCGCATATAGGTTGTAATGAAACTGTAGTCTCAGTTGGAAGCCTAGACATGAAATGGGTCAGTGAGCAAGGCTCTATTCCTAGTCTCCAGCCATGCCTGTGGCAAGCTGAGCCCGCTCTCAGCACATTGGACCCAGGCAGATGTAAAAAATTCACAGAAGTATGATTTGGACTGAAGGGTTTGTAGATTTCCTCCTTCATTCTAATTTCAGTGTCTAAAATTCTTGCATCCATGAACGAGCTGGGCATTTGATGAGACAGGGCTGAATACTGCAGTTTTCCTCCTAGAAATCATCTGGGGCATTTTCTTTGAACTGATGGGAACAATAAGGCATAACTGTTTGCACAAACTTGGGATAAATGATTTTGGGATAACGATCTACCAGAATGGGGATATTTCACCCTTGGTTCTGAGATGCAAACCAAAGAATATCATGACCAGCTTTCAGGCCTCCTGAAGTATCTCTCTCACATTGTCCTGTTCTCATGCTGAGGAGCCTGAGATCCCTGTGTGGGGATTAGACAGTGGACTGTTATGGGTGTAGGTGAATTGGCTTATTTTGTCTGTCCCTGTCTGAATGTATTGCAGGAACTAAAAAGGACCAAGAAGAGGAAGAAGACCAAGGCCCACCATGCCCCAGGTAACTGAGCAATTGTGAACAGCTACTTCTGTGTTGACATCTGGAGACTCCTGGTTCAGGGAAAACAGAGCGGGCTGACATTATCGATTACATCTTTTCCAGCAAGCCTGAATTATTCCTACTAACATTGCTGTTGGTTTTCATTGCAGTAGATATTTAGGTTTCCATTTCTTCCTCCCCTTATCATTTACTAACCTACTGTAGGTGGACCAGACTTCAAAAACTGTATTCTCATGGCGACTGCATGGAAACTTGAGCACATTTTATGGAAAATTATTGAGCACAGTCTTTTCATGATCCCTGTATGCTGTGTGTCCTGAGGGCACTAACTCAGAGTGTCCTGTTACTCCCTCATCAGTGTGTCACCTGGATAATTCACTGAGCTCGTTCTCTCTCTCTGTGTGTGTGTGTGTGTCTGTGTGTGTGTGTGTGTGTGTGTGTGTGTGTGTGTCTATCTGTCTTTCTCTTTCATTCTTTTCCATTTGGCCCTGTTCTGTCCCAACATGAAGGCAATAATTTGTTACCTCATTAATTGATCTATCCTTTTAGTTTTTTAACCACTTCCCTATGCTACCCATGAAACCTAGTTGGGGCTCTGTTGTGTCTGATTTCCCCTGGCTTATTCTTTACTTTTTCCTCCTTTTCCAGGCTCAGCAGGGAGCTGCTGGAGGTAGTAGAGCCTGAAGTCTTGCAGGACTCACTGGATAGATGTTATTCAACTCCTTCCAGTTGTCTTGAACAGCCTGACTCCTGCCAGCCCTATGGAAGTTCCTTTTATGCATTGGAGGAAAAACATGTTGGCTTTTCTCTTGACGTGGGAGGTGAGTACCTTTCTATGAAGGTGATAAGGATCCACTGAGTCTTCCATATAAAGATCATATTCCTGCTCCAAGTGGCCATTACTGAGCTGAGAGATGTCATTGCCACAGGGAGGACCTATAGGCACATGTAGGTTGAATGAAACTCTAGTTCTACCTGGAAGCCCAGGCAAGGGATGGGTCAGTGAGCAAGACTCTCTTCCTAGTCTCAGGCCATACCTGTGGCGCCCTGATCCTATCCTCATGACATTGGACCTGGGCAGATGTGACAAATTCAGAGAACTATGATTTTGACTCAAGGGTTTGTAGATTTCCTTTTTCACTCTAATTTCAGTGTCTAAAGTCCTCACAACCATGAACAATCTGAGTATTTGATGAGACAGGGCTAAATATTGCAGTTTTTCTCCTAGAAATCATTTGAGGGTATTTGCTTTAAGTTGATTGGAAAAATATGGCATAACTGTTTGCACAAACTTGGGACAAATGATATTGGGATAACGATCTACTAGAATAGGGACATTTTACCCACAGTTTCTGGGAGAAAAACCGAGGAATTTCTATCATGACCAGCCTTCAGGCCTCCTGAAATATATCTCTCACGGTGTCCTATTCTTATGCTGAGGAGCCTGAGGTCCCTGTGTGAGGATTAGACAGTGGATTGTTATGTGTGTAGGGGAATCAGCTTAATGTGTCTGTCCATGTCTGAATTTATTGCAGAAATTGAAAAGAAGGGGAAGGGGAAGAAAAGAAGGGGAAGAAGATCAAAGAAGGAAAGAAGAAGGGGAAGAAAAGAAGGGGAAGAAGATCAAAACCCACCATGCCCCAGGTGACTTTCAGCAATTGTGGATGCTTAATTCTGTGTTAACACCTGGAGGCAACAGATTCAGGGAAACCAGAGTGTGTTTGATGTCATGTTTTCAACGAAGGCTGAATTACTCCTACTGTCATTGCTGTTGGTTTTCATTGCAGTAGATGTTTAGGTTTCCATTTCTTCCTCCCCTTATCATTTACTAACTTACTATAGGTTGACCATACCTCAAAGGCTGTATGGCAACTGCATGGAATCTTGAGCAAGTTTATGGAAAATTATTGAGCCCACTCTTTTCATGATCACTGTTCGCTGTGTGTCCCGAGGGCACTAACTCAGAGTGTCCTTTGACCCCTTCATCAGTGTGTCACCCGGCCAACTCGCTGAGCTCACTTTCTCCTCTCTCTCTCTCTCTCTCCCTCCCTCTCCCTGTCTTTCTCTTTCATTCTTTTCTACCTGGCCCTGGTCTATCCCAACATAAAGGCAATAATTCATTACCTCATTAATGGATCTGTCCTTTTTCTTTTTAAACAGTTCCTTATGTTAGCCATGAAATCTAGCTGGGGCTGTGTGGTTTCTGATTCCCCCTGGCTTATTCTTTACTTTTTCCTACTTTTCCAGGCTCAGCAGGGAGCTGCTGGATGAGAAAGAGCCTGAAGTCTTGCAGGACTCACTGGATAGATGTTATTCGACTCCTTCAGGTTATCTTGAACTGCCTGACTTAGGCCAGCCCTACAGCAGTGCTGTTTACTCATTGGAGGAACAGTACCTTGGCTTGGCTCTTGACGTGGACAGTGAGTACCTTACTGTGAAGGTGATAAGCCTCCACCTGGTCTTCCAGATAGGGGTGATATTCCTGTTCCAAGTGGCCCTTACTGACCCGAGAGATGTCATTGCCGCAGGCAGGACCTATGGGCGCATATAGGTTGTAATGAAACTGTAGTCTCAGTTGGAAGCCTAGACATGAAATGGGTCAGTGAGCAAGGCTCTATTCCTAGTCTCCAGCCATGCCTGTGGCAAGCTGAGCCCGCTCTCAGCACATTGGACCCAGGCAGATGTAAAAAATTCACAGAACTATGATTTGGACTGAAGGGTTTGTAGATTTCCTCCTTCATTCTAATTTCAGTGTCTAAAATTCTTGCATCCATGAACGAGCTGGGCATTTGATGAGACAGGGCTGAATACTGCAGTTTTCCTCCTAGAAATCATCTGGGGCATTTTCTTTGAACTGATGGGAACAATAAGGCATAACTGTTTGCACAAACTTGGGATAAATGATTTTGGGATAACGATCTACCAGAATGGGGATATTTCACCCTTGGTTCTGAGATGCAAACCAAAGAATATCATGACCAGCTTTCAGGCCTCCTGAAGTATCTCTCTCACATTGTCCTGTTCTCATGCTGAGGAGCCTGAGATCCCTGTGTGGGGATTAGACAGTGGACTGTTATGGGTGTAGGTGAATTGGCTTATTTTGTCTGTCCCTGTCTGAATGTATTGCAGGAACTAAAAAGGACCAAGAAGAGGAAGAAGACCAAGGCCCACCATGCCCCAGGTAACTGAGCAATTGTGAACAGCTACTTCTGTGTTGACATCTGGAGACTCCTGGTTCAGGGAAAACAGAGCGGGCTGACATTATCGATTACATCTTTTCCAGCAAGCCTGAATTATTCCTACTAACATTGCTGTTGGTTTTCATTGCAGTAGATATTTAGGTTTCCATTTCTTCCTCCCCTTATCATTTACTAACCTACTGTAGGTGGACCAGACTTCAAAAACTGTATTCTCATGGCGACTGCATGGAAACTTGAGCACATTTTATGGAAAATTATTGAGCACAGTCTTTTCATGATCCCTGTATGCTGTGTGTCCTGAGGGCACTAACTCAGAGTGTCCTGTTACTCCCTCATCAGTGTGTCACCTGGACAATTCACTGAGCTCGTTCTCTCTCTCTGTGTGTGTGTGTGTGTCTGTGTGTGTGTGTGTGTGTGTGTGTGTGTGTGTGTGTCTATCTGTCTTTCTCTTTCATTCTTTTCCATTTGGCCCTGTTCTGTCCCAACATGAAGGCAATAATTTGTTACCTCATTAATGGATCTATCCTTTTAGTTTTTTAACCACTTCCCTATGCTACCCATGAAACCTAGTTGGGGCTCTGTTGTGTCTGATTTCCCCTGGCTTATTCTTTACTTTTTCCTCCTTTTCCAGGCTCAGCAGGGAGCTGCTGGAGGTAGTAGAGCCTGAAGTCTTGCAGGACTCACTGGATAGATGTTATTCAACTCCTTCCAGTTGTCTTGAACAGCCTGACTCCTGCCAGCCCTATGGAAGTTCCTTTTATGCATTGGAGGAAAAACATGTTGGCTTTTCTCTTGACGTGGGAGGTGAGTACCTTTCTATGAAGGTGATAAGGATCCACTGAGTCTTCCATATAAAGATCATATTCCTGCTCCAAGTGGCCATTACTGAGCTGAGAGATGTCATTGCCACAGGGAGGACCTATAGGCACATGTAGGTTGAATGAAACTCTAGTTCTACCTGGAAGCCCAGGCAAGGGATGGGTCAGTGAGCAAGACTCTCTTCCTAGTCTCAGGCCATACCTGTGGCGCCCTGATCCTATCCTCATGACATTGGACCTGGGCAGATGTGACAAATTCAGAGAACTATGATTTTGACTCAAGGGTTTGTAGATTTCCTTTTTCACTCTAATTTCAGTGTCTAAAGTCCTCACAACCATGAACAATCTGAGTATTTGATGAGACAGGGCTAAATATTGCAGTTTTTCTCCTAGAAATCATTTGAGGGTATTTGCTTTAAGTTGATTGGAAAAATATGGCATAACTGTTTGCACAAACTTGGGACAAATGATATTGGGATAACGATCTACTAGAATAGGGACATTTTACCCACAGTTTCTGGGAGAAAAACCGAGGAATTTCTATCATGACCAGCCTTCAGGCCTCCTGAAATATATCTCTCACGGTGTCCTATTCTTATGCTGGGGAGCCTGAGGTCCCTGTGTGAGGATTAGACAGTGGATTGTTATGTGTGTAGGGGAATCAGCTTAATGTGTCTGTCCATGTCTGAATTTATTGCAGAAATTGAAAAGAAGGGGAAGGGGAAGAAAAGAAGGGGAAGAAGATCAAAGAAGGAAAGAAGAAGGGGAAGAAAAGAAGGGGAAGAAGATCAAAACCCACCATGCCCCAGGTGACTTTCAGCAATTGTGGATGCTTAATTCTGTGTTAACACCTGGAGGCAACAGATTCAGGGAAACCAGAGTGTGTTTGATGTCATGTTTTCAACGAAGGCTGAATTACTCCTACTGTCATTGCTGTTGGTTTTCATTGCAGTAGATGTTTAGGTTTCCATTTCTTCCTCCCCTTATCATTTACTAACTTACTATAGGTTGACCATACCTCAAAGGCTGTATGGCAACTGCATGGAATCTTGAGCAAGTTTATGGAAAATTATTGAGCCCACTCTTTTCATGATCACTGTTCGCTGTGTGTCCCGAGGGCACTAACTCAGAGTGTCCTTTGACCCCTTCATCAGTGTGTCACCCGGCCAACTCGCTGAGCTCACTTTCTCCTCTCTCTCTCTCTCTCTCCCTCCCTCTCCCTGTCTTTCTCTTTCATTCTTTTCTACCTGGCCCTGGTCTATCCCAACATAAAGGCAATAATTCATTACCTCATTAATGGATCTGTCCTTTTTCTTTTTAAACAGTTCCTTATGTTAGCCATGAAATCTAGCTGGGGCTGTGTGGTTTCTGATTCCCCCTGGCTTATTCTTTACTTTTTCCTACTTTTCCAGGCTCAGCAGGGAGCTGCTGGATGAGAAAGAGCCTGAAGTCTTGCAGGACTCACTGGATAGATGTTATTCGACTCCTTCAGGTTATCTTGAACTGCCTGACTTAGGCCAGCCCTACAGCAGTGCTGTTTACTCATTGGAGGAACAGTACCTTGGCTTGGCTCTTGACGTGGACAGTGAGTACCTTACTGTGAAGGTGATAAGCCTCCACCTGGTCTTCCAGATAGGGGTGATATTCCTGTTCCAAGTGGCCCTTACTGACCCGAGAGATGTCATTGCCGCAGGCAGGACCTATGGGCGCATATAGGTTGTAATGAAACTGTAGTCTCAGTTGGAAGCCTAGACATGAAATGGGTCAGTGAGCAAGGCTCTATTCCTAGTCTCCAGCCATGCCTGTGGCAAGCTGAGCCCGCTCTCAGCACATTGGACCCAGGCAGATGTAAAAAATTCACAGAAGTATGATTTGGACTGAAGGGTTTGTAGATTTCCTCCTTCATTCTAATTTCAGTGTCTAAAATTCTTGCATCCATGAACGAGCTGGGCATTTGATGAGACAGGGCTGAATACTGCAGTTTTCCTCCTAGAAATCATCTGGGGCATTTTCTTTGAACTGATGGGAACAATAAGGCATAACTGTTTGCACAAACTTGGGATAAATAATTTTGGGATAACGATCTACCAGAATGGGGATATTTCACCCTTGGTTCTGAGATGCAAACCAAAGAATATCATGACCAGCTTTCAGGCCTCCTGAAGTATCTCTCTCACATTGTCCTGTTCTCATGCTGAGGAGCCTGAGATCCCTGTGTGGGGATTAGACAGTGGACTGTTATGGGTGTAGGTGAATTGGCTTATTTTGTCTGTCCCTGTCTGAATGTATTGCAGGAACTAAAAAGGACCAAGAAGAGGAAGAAGACCAAGGCCCACCATGCCCCAGGTAACTGAGCAATTGTGAACAGCTACTTCTGTGTTGACATCTGGAGACTCCTGGTTCAGGGAAAACAGAGCGGGCTGACATTATCGATTACATCTTTTCCAGCAAGCCTGAATTATTCCTACTAACATTGCTGTTGGTTTTCATTGCAGTAGATATTTAGGTTTCCATTTCTTCCTCCCCTTATCATTTACTAACCTACTGTAGGTGGACCAGACTTCAAAAACTGTATTCTCATGGCGACTGCATGGAAACTTGAGCACATTTTATGGAAAATTATTGAGCACAGTCTTTTCATGATCCCTGTATGCTGTGTGTCCTGAGGGCACTAACTCAGAGTGTCCTGTTACTCCCTCATCAGTGTGTCACCTGGACAATTCACTGAGCTCGTTCTCTCTCTCTCTGTGTGTGTGTGTGTGTGTGTGTGTGTGTGTGTGTGTGTCTATCTGTCTTTCTCTTTCATTCTTTTCCATTTGGCCCTGTTCTGTCCCAACATGAAGGCAATAATTTGTTACCTCATTAATGGATCTATCCTTTTAGTTTTTTAACCACTTCCCTATGCTACCCATGAAACCTAGTTGGGGCTCTGTTGTGTCTGATTTCCCCTGGCTTATTCTTTACTTTTTCCTCCTTTTCCAGGCTCAGCAGGGAGCTGCTGGAGGTAGTAGAGCCTGAAGTCTTGCAGGACTCACTGGATAGATGTTATTCAACTCCTTCCAGTTGTCTTGAACAGCCTGACTCCTGCCAGCCCTATGGAAGTTCCTTTTATGCATTGGAGGAAAAACATGTTGGCTTTTCTCTTGACGTGGGAGGTGAGTACCTTTCTATGAAGGTGATAAGGATCCACTGAGTCTTCCATATAAAGATCATATTCCTGCTCCAAGTGGCCATTACTGAGCTGAGAGATGTCATTGCCACAGGGAGGACCTATAGGCACATGTAGGTTGAATGAAACTCTAGTTCTACCTGGAAGCCCAGGCAAGGGATGGGTCAGTGAGCAAGACTCTCTTCCTAGTCTCAGGCCATACCTGTGGCGCCCTGATCCTATCCTCATGACATTGGACCTGGGCAGATGTGACAAATTCAGAGAACTATGATTTTGACTCAAGGGTTTGTAGATTTCCTTTTTCACTCTAATTTCAGTGTCTAAAGTCCTCACAACCATGAACAATCTGAGTATTTGATGAGACAGGGCTAAATATTGCAGTTTTTCTCCTAGAAATCATTTGAGGGTATTTGCTTTAAGTTGATTGGAAAAATATGGCATAACTGTTTGCACAAACTTGGGACAAATGATATTGGGATAACGATCTACTAGAATAGGGACATTTTACCCACAGTTTCTGGGAGAAAAACCGAGGAATTTCTATCATGACCAGCCTTCAGGCCTCCTGAAATATATCTCTCACGGTGTCCTATTCTTATGCTGAGGAGCCTGAGGTCCCTGTGTGAGGATTAGACAGTGGATTGTTATGTGTGTAGGGGAATCAGCTTAATGTGTCTGTCCATGTCTGAATTTATTGCAGAAATTGAAAAGAAGGGGAAGGGGAAGAAAAGAAGGGGAAGAAGATCAAAGAAGGAAAGAAGAAGGGGAAGAAAAGAAGGGGAAGAAGATCAAAACCCACCATGCCCCAGGTGACTTTCAGCAATTGTGGATGCTTAATTCTGTGTTAACACCTGGAGGCAACAGATTCAGGGAAACCAGAGTGTGTTTGATGTCATGTTTTCAACGAAGGCTGAATTACTCCTACTGTCATTGCTGTTGGTTTTCATTGCAGTAGATGTTTAGGTTTCCATTTCTTCCTCCCCTTATCATTTCCTAACGTACCATAGGTTGACCATACTTCAAAAGCTGTACTCTCATGGCCACTGCATCGAATTTTGAGCATATTTTATGGAAAACTATTGAGCTCACTCTTTTCATGATCACAGTTTGCTGTGTGTCATGAGGGCACTAACTCAGAGTGTCCTTTTACTCCCTTACCAGTATGTCACCTGGCCAATTCACTAGGTCACTTTCTCTCTGTCTCTGTCTCTGTCTCTCTCTCTGTCTCTGTCTCTCTCTCTCTCTCTGTCTTTCTCTTTCATTGTTTTCTACCTGGCCCTGTTCTATCCCAACATAAAGGCAATAATTTGTTACCTCATTAATGGATCTGTCCTTTTTCTTTTCAAACTCTTCCTTACGTTAGCCATGAAATCTAGCTGGGGCTGTGTGGTTTCTGATTCCCCCTGGCTTATTCTTTACTTTTTCCCACTTTTCCAGGCTCAGCAGGGAGCTGCTGGATGAGAAAGGGCCTGAAGTCTTGCAGGACTCACTGGATAGAAGTTATTCAACTCCTTCAGGTTGTCTTGAACTGACTGACTCATGCCAGCCCTACAGAAGTGCCTTTTACGTATTGGAGCAACAGCGTGTTGGCTTGGCTGTTGACATGGATGGTGAGTACCTTTCTATGAAGGTGATAAGGATCCACTGAGTCTTCTGGTTAGGGTCATATTCCTACTGCAAGTGGCCCTTACTGAGCTGAGAGATGTCATTGCCACAGGGAGGTCCTATAGGCACATGTAGGTTGAATGAAACTCTAGTTCCACTTGGAAGCCCAGACAAGGGATGGGTCAGTGAGCAAGGCTCTCTTCCTAGTCTCAGGCCATGCCTGTGGCGCCCTAATCCTACTCTCATGACGTTGGACCTGGGCAGATGTGACAAATTCACACAACTCTGATTTTGTCTCAATTTTGTAGATCTTGTAGATTTCATCCTTCACTCTAATTTCAGCGTCTAAAATCCTCGCTACCGTGAACAATCTGAGTATTTGATGAGACAGGGCTGAATAGTGCAGTTTTTCTCCTAGCAACCATTTGGGGGCATTTGCTTTAAATCGATTGGAAAAATATGGCATAACCATTTGCACAAACTTGGGACAAATGATATTGGGATAACGATCTACCAGAATAGGGAATTTTACCCACAGTTTCTGGGACAAAAACCAAGGAATCTCTATGGTGATCAGCCTTCAGGCCTCCTGAAGACTATCTCTCACAGTGTCCTATTCTCATGCTGAGGAGCCTGAAGTCCCTGTGTGAGGATTAGACAGTGGATTGTTATGTGTGTAGGAGAACCAGCTTAATATGTCTGTCCATGTCTGAACTTATTGCAGAAATTGAAAAGTACCAAGAAGTGGAAGAAGACCAAGACCCATCATGCCCCAGGTAACTTTGAGCAATTATGGATGCTTAATTCTGTGTTGACACCTGGAGATGCCAGGTCCAGGGAAAACAAGAGTGTGTTCAATTTCATGTTTTCAACGAAGGTTGAATTACTCCTCCTGATATTGCTGTTGGTTTTCATTGCAGTAGATGTTTAGGTTTCCATTTCTTCCTCCCCTTATCATTTACTAACTTACTATAGGTTGACCATACCTCAAAGGCTGTATGGCAACTGCATGGAATCTTGAGCAAGTTTATGGAAAATTATTGAGCCCACTCTTTTCATGATCACTGTTCGCTGTGTGTCCCGAGGGCACTAACTCAGAGTGTCCTTTGACCCCTTCATCAGTGTGTCACCCGGCCAACTCGCTGAGCTTACTTTCTCCTCTCTCTCTCTCTCTCTCTCTCCCTCCCTCTCCCTGTCTTTCTCTTTCATTCTTTTCTACCTGGCCCTGGTCTATCCCAACATAAAGGCAATAATTCATTACCTCATTAATGGATCTGTCCTTTTTCTTTTTAAACAGTTCCTTATGTTAGCCATGAAATCTAGCTGGGGCTGTGTGGTTTCTGATTCCCCCTGGCTTATTCTTTACTTTTTCCTACTTTTCCAGGCTCAGCAGGGAGCTGCTGGATGAGAAAGAGCCTGAAGTCTTGCAGGACTCACTGGATAGATGTTATTCGACTCCTTCAGGTTATCTTGAACTGCCTGACTTAGGCCAGCCCTACAGCAGTGCTGTTTACTCATTGGAGGAACAGTACCTTGGCTTGGCTCTTGACGTGGACAGTGAGTACCTTACTGTGAAGGTGATAAGCCTCCACCTGGTCTTCCAGATAGGGGTGATATTCCTGTTCCAAGTGGCCCTTACTGACCCGAGAGATGTCATTGCCGCAGGCAGGACCTATGGGCGCATATAGGTTGTAATGAAACTGTAGTCTCAGTTGGAAGCCTAGACATGAAATGGGTCAGTGAGCAAGGCTCTATTCCTAGTCTCCAGCCATGCCTGTGGCAAGCTGAGCCCGCTCTCAGCACATTGGACCCAGGCAGATGTAAAAAATTCACAGAAGTATGATTTGGACTCAAGGGTTTGTAGATTTCCTCCTTCATTCTAATTTCAGTGTCTAAAATTCTTGCATCCATGAACGAGCTGGGCATTTGATGAGACAGGGCTGAATACTGCAGTTTTCCTCCTAGAAATCATCTGGGGCATTTTCTTTGAACTGATGGGAACAATAAGGCATAACTGTTTGCACAAACTTGGGATAAATGATTTTGGGATAACGATCTACCAGAATGGGGATATTTCACCCTTGGTTCTGAGATGCAAACCAAAGAATATCATGACCAGCTTTCAGGCCTCCTGAAGTATCTCTCTCACATTGTCCTGTTCTCATGCTGAGGAGCCTGAGATCCCTGTGTGGGGATTAGACAGTGGACTGTTATGGGTGTAGGTGAATTGGCTTATTTTGTCTGTCCCTGTCTGAATGTATTGCAGGAACTAAAAAGGACCAAGAAGAGGAAGAAGACCAAGGCCCACCATGCCCCAGGTAACTGAGCAATTGTGAACAGCTACTTCTGTGTTGACATCTGGAGACTCCTGGTTCAGGGAAAACAGAGCGGGCTGACATTATCGATTACATCTTTTCCAGCAAGCCTGAATTATTCCTACTAACATTGCTGTTGGTTTTCATTGCAGTAGATATTTAGGTTTCCATTTCTTCCTCCCCTTATCATTTACTAACCTACTGTAGGTGGACCAGACTTCAAAAACTGTATTCTCATGGCGACTGCATGGAAACTTGAGCACATTTTATGGAAAATTATTGAGCACAGTCTTTTCATGATCCCTGTATGCTGTGTGTCCTGAGGGCACTAACTCAGAGTGTCCTGTTACTCCCTCATCAGTGTGTCACCTGGACAATTCACTGAGCTCGTTCTCTCTCTCTGTGTGTGTGTGTGTGTCTGTGTGTGTGTGTCTGTGTGTGTGTGTGTGTGTGTGTGTCTATCTGTCTTTCTCTTTCATTCTTTTCCATTTGGCCCTGTTCTGTCCCAACATGAAGGCAATAATTTGTTACCTCATTAATGGATCTATCCTTTTAGTTTTTTAACCACTTCCCTATGCTACCCATGAAACCTAGTTGGGGCTCTGTTGTGTCTGATTTCCCCTGGCTTATTCTTTACTTTTTCCTCCTTTTCCAGGCTCAGCAGGGAGCTGCTGGAGGTAGTAGAGCCTGAAGTCTTGCAGGACTCACTGGATAGATGTTATTCAACTCCTTCCAGTTGTCTTGAACAGCCTGACTCCTGCCAGCCCTATGGAAGTTCCTTTTATGCATTGGAGGAAAAACATGTTGGCTTTTCTCTCGACGTGGGAGGTGAGTACCTTTCTATGAAGGTGATAAGGATCCACTGAGTCTTCCATATAAAGATCATATTCCTGCTCCAAGTGGCCATTACTGAGCTGAGAGATGTCATTGCCACAGGGAGGACCTATAGGCACATGTAGGTTGAATGAAACTCTAGTTCTACCTGGAAGCCCAGGCAAGGGATGGGTCAGTGAGCAAGACTCTCTTCCTAGTCTCAGGCCGTACCTGTGGCGCCCTGATCCTATCCTCATGACATTGGACCTGGGC
Source organism: Homo sapiens (assembly GCF_000001405.40). NCBI lineage: Eukaryota > Metazoa > Chordata > Mammalia > Primates > Hominidae > Homo > Homo sapiens. The sequence goes on along the minus strand of NC_000001.11, from coordinate 145,297,703 downwards.
AGATGTGACAAATTCAGAGAACTATGATTTTGACTCAAGGGTTTGTAGATTTCCTTTTTCACTCTAATTTCAGTGTCTAAAGTCCTCACAACCATGAACAATCTGAGTATTTGATGAGACAGGGCTAAATATTGCAGTTTTTCTCCTAGAAATCATTTGAGGGTATTTGCTTTAAGTTGATTGGAAAAATATGGCATAACTGTTTGCACAAACTTGGGACAAATGATATTGGGATAACGATCTACTAGAATAGGGACATTTTACCCACAGTTTCTGGGAGAAAAACCGAGGAATTTCTATCATGACCAGCCTTCAGGCCTCCTGAAATATATCTCTCACGGTGTCCTATTCTTATGCTGAGGAGCCTGAGGTCCCTGTGTGAGGATTAGACAGTGGATTGTTATGTGTGTAGGGGAATCAGCTTAATGTGTCTGTCCATGTCTGAATTTATTGCAGAAATTGAAAAGAAGGGGAAGGGGAAGAAAAGAAGGGGAAGAAGATCAAAGAAGGAAAGAAGAAGGGGAAGAAAAGAAGGGGAAGAAGATCAAAACCCACCATGCCCCAGGTGACTTTCAGCAATTGTGGATGCTTAATTCTGTGTTAACACCTGGAGGCAACAGATTCAGGGAAACCAGAGTGTGTTTGATGTCATGTTTTCAACGAAGGCTGAATTACTCCTACTGTCATTGCTGTTGGTTTTCATTGCAGTAGATGTTTAGGTTTCCATTTCTTCCTCCCCTTATCATTTCCTAACGTACCATAGGTTGACCATACTTCAAAAGCTGTACTCTCATGGCCACTGCATCGAATTTTGAGCATATTTTATGGAAAACTATTGAGCTCACTCTTTTCATGATCACAGTTTGCTGTGTGTCATGAGGGCACTAACTCAGAGTGTCCTTTTACTCCCTTACCAGTATGTCACCTGGCCAATTCACTAGGTCACTTTCTCTCTGTCTCTGTCTCTGTCTCTCTCTCTGTCTCTGTCTCTCTCTCTCTCTCTGTCTTTCTCTTTCATTGTTTTCTACCTGGCCCTGTTCTATCCCAACATAAAGGCAATAATTTGTTACCTCATTAATGGATCTGTCCTTTTTCTTTTCAAACTCTTCCTTACGTTAGCCATGAAATCTAGCTGGGGCTGTGTGGTTTCTGATTCCCCCTGGCTTATTCTTTACTTTTTCCCACTTTTCCAGGCTCAGCAGGGAGCTGCTGGATGAGAAAGGGCCTGAAGTCTTGCAGGACTCACTGGATAGATGTTATTCAACTCCTTCAGGTTGTCTTGAACTGACTGACTCATGCCAGCCCTACAGAAGTGCCTTTTACGTATTGGAGCAACAGCGTGTTGGCTTGGCTGTTGACATGGATGGTGAGTACCTTTCTATGAAGGTGATAAGGATCCACTGAGTCTTCTGGTTAGGGTCATATTCCTACTGCAAGTGGCCCTTACTGAGCTGAGAGATGTCATTGCCACAGGGAGGTCCTATAGGCACATGTAGGTTGAATGAAACTCTAGTTCCACTTGGAAGCCCAGACAAGGGATGGGTCAGTGAGCAAGGCTCTCTTCCTAGTCTCAGGCCATGCCTGTGGCGCCCTAATCCTACTCTCATGATGTTGGACCTGGGCAGATGTGACAAATTCACACAACTCTGATTTTGTCTCAATTTTGTAGATCTTGTAGATTTCATCCTTCACTCTAATTTCAGCGTCTAAAATCCTCGATACCGTGAACAATCTGAGTATTTGATGAGACAGGGCTGAATAGTGCAGTTTTTCTCCTAGCAACCATTTGGGGGCATTTGCTTTAAATCGATTGGAAAAATATGGCATAACCATTTGCACAAACTTGGGACAAATGATATTGGGATAACGATCTACCAGAATAGGGAATTTTACCCACAGTTTCTGGGACAAAAACCAAGGAATCTCTATGGTGATCAGCCTTCAGGCCTCCTGAAGACTATCTCTCACAGTGTCCTATTCTCATGCTGAGGAGCCTGAAGTCCCTGTGTGAGGATTAGACAGTGGATTGTTATGTGTGTAGGAGAACCAGCTTAATATGTCTGTCCATGTCTGAACTTATTGCAGAAATTGAAAAGTACCAAGAAGTGGAAGAAGACCAAGACCCATCATGCCCCAGGTAACTTTGAGCAATTATGGATGCTTAATTCTGTGTTGACACCTGGAGATGCCAGGTCCAGGGAAAACAAGAGTGTGTTCAATTTCATGTTTTCAACGAAGGTTGAATTACTCCTCCTGATATTGCTGTTGGTTTTCATTGCAGTAGATGTTTAGGTTTCCATTTCTTCCTCCCCTTATCATTTACTAACTTACTATAGGTTGACCATACCTCAAAGGCTGTATGGCAACTGCATGGAATCTTGAGCAAGTTTATGGAAAATTATTGAGCCCACTCTTTTCATGATCACTGTTCGCTGTGTGTCCCGAGGGCACTAACTCAGAGTGTCCTTTGACCCCTTCATCAGTGTGTCACCCGGCCAACTCGCTGAGCTTACTTTCTCCTCTCTCTCTCTCTCTCTCTCTCTCTCCCTCCCTCTCCCTGTCTTTCTCTTTCATTCTTTTCTACCTGGCCCTGGTCTATCCCAACATAAAGGCAATAATTCATTACCTCATTAATGGATCTGTCCTTTTTCTTTTTAAACAGTTCCTTATGTTAGCCATGAAATCTAGCTGGGGCTGTGTGGTTTCTGATTCCCCCTGGCTTATTCTTTACTTTTTCCTACTTTTCCAGGCTCAGCAGGGAGCTGCTGGATGAGAAAGAGCCTGAAGTCTTGCAGGACTCACTGGATAGATGTTATTCGACTCCTTCAGGTTATCTTGAACTGCCTGACTTAGGCCAGCCCTACAGCAGTGCTGTTTACTCATTGGAGGAACAGTACCTTGGCTTGGCTCTTGACGTGGACAGTGAGTACCTTACTGTGAAGGTGATAAGCCTCCACCTGGTCTTCCAGATAGGGGTGATATTCCTGTTCCAAGTGGCCCTTACTGACCCGAGAGATGTCATTGCCGCAGGCAGGACCTATGGGCGCATATAGGTTGTAATGAAACTGTAGTCTCAGTTGGAAGCCTAGACATGAAATGGGTCAGTGAGCAAGGCTCTATTCCTAGTCTCCAGCCATGCCTGTGGCAAGCTGAGCCCGCTCTCAGCACATTGGACCCAGGCAGATGTAAAAAATTCACAGAAGTATGATTTGGACTGAAGGGTTTGTAGATTTCCTCCTTCATTCTAATTTCAGTGTCTAAAATTCTTGCATCCATGAACGAGCTGGGCATTTGATGAGACAGGGCTGAATACTGCAGTTTTCCTCCTAGAAATCATCTGGGGCATTTTCTTTGAACTGATGGGAACAATAAGGCATAACTGTTTGCACAAACTTGGGATAAATGATTTTGGGATAACGATCTACCAGAATGGGGATATTTCACCCTTGGTTCTGAGATGCAAACCAAAGAATATCATGACCAGCTTTCAGGCCTCCTGAAGTATCTCTCTCACATTGTCCTGTTCTCATGCTGAGGAGCCTGAGATCCCTGTGTGGGGATTAGACAGTGGACTGTTATGGGTGTAGGTGAATTGGCTTATTTTGTCTGTCCCTGTCTGAATGTATTGCAGGAACTAAAAAGGACCAAGAAGAGGAAGAAGACCAAGGCCCACCATGCCCCAGGTAACTGAGCAATTGTGAACAGCTACTTCTGTGTTGACATCTGGAGACTCCTGGTTCAGGGAAAACAGAGCGGGCTGACATTATCGATTACATCTTTTCCAGCAAGCCTGAATTATTCCTACTAACATTGCTGTTGGTTTTCATTGCAGTAGATATTTAGGTTTCCATTTCTTCCTCCCCTTATCATTTACTAACCTACTGTAGGTGGACCAGACTTCAAAAACTGTATTCTCATGGCGACTGCATGGAAACTTGAGCACATTTTATGGAAAATTATTGAGCACAGTCTTTTCATGATCCCTGTATGCTGTGTGTCCTGAGGGCACTAACTCAGAGTGTCCTGTTACTCCCTCATCAGTGTGTCACCTGGACAATTCACTGAGCTCGTTCTCTGTGTGTGTGTGTGTGTGTCTGTGTGTGTGTGTGTGTGTGTGTGTGTGTGTGTGTCTATCTGTCTTTCTCTTTCATTCTTTTCCATTTGGCCCTGTTCTGTCCCAACATGAAGGCAATAATTTGTTACCTCATTAATGGATCTATCCTTTTAGTTTTTTAACCACTTCCCTATGCTACCCATGAAACCTAGTTGGGGCTCTGTTGTGTCTGATTTCCCCTGGCTTATTCTTTACTTTTTCCTCCTTTTCCAGGCTCAGCAGGGAGCTGCTGGAGGTAGTAGAGCCTGAAGTCTTGCAGGACTCACTGGATAGATGTTATTCAACTCCTTCCAGTTGTCTTGAACAGCCTGACTCCTGCCAGCCCTATGGAAGTTCCTTTTATGCATTGGAGGAAAAACATGTTGGCTTTTCTCTTGACGTGGGAGGTGAGTACCTTTCTATGAAGGTGATAAGGATCCACTGAGTCTTCCATATAAAGATCATATTCCTGCTCCAAGTGGCCATTACTGAGCTGAGAGATGTCATTGCCACAGGGAGGACCTATAGGCACATGTAGGTTGAATGAAACTCTAGTTCTACCTGGAAGCCCAGGCAAGGGATGGGTCAGTGAGCAAGACTCTCTTCCTAGTCTCAGGCCATACCTGTGGCGCCCTGATCCTATCCTCATGACATTGGACCTGGGCAGATGTGACAAATTCAGAGAACTATGATTTTGACTCAAGGGTTTGTAGATTTCCTTTTTCACTCTAATTTCAGTGTCTAAAGTCCTCACAACCATGAACAATCTGAGTATTTGATGAGACAGGGCTAAATATTGCAGTTTTTCTCCTAGAAATCATTTGAGGGTATTTGCTTTAAGTTGATTGGAAAAATATGGCATAACTGTTTGCACAAACTTGGGACAAATGATATTGGGATAACGATCTACTAGAATAGGGACATTTTACCCACAGTTTCTGGGAGAAAAACCGAGGAAGTTCTATCATGAACAGCCTTCAGGCCTCCTGAAATATATCTCTCAAAGTGTCCTATTCTTATGCTGGGGAGCCTGAGGTCCCTGTGTGAGGATTAGACAGTGGATTGTTATGTGTGTAGGGGAATCAGCTTAATGTGTCTGTCCATGTCTGAATTTATTGCAGAAATTGAAAAGAAGGGGAAGGGGAAGAAAAGAAGGGGAAGAAGATCAAAGAAGAAAAGAAGAAGGGGAAGAAAAGAAGGGGAAGAAGATCAAAACCCACCATGCCCCAGGTGACTTTCAGCAATTGTGGATGCTTAATTCTGTGTTAACACCTGGAGGCAACAGATTCAGGGAAACCAGAGTGTGTTTGATGTCATGTTTTCAACGAAGGCTGAATTACTCCTACTGTCATTGCTGTTGGTTTTCATTGCAGTAGATGTTTAGGTTTCCATTTCTTCCTCCCCTTATCTTTTACTAACGTGCCATAGGTTGACCATACTTCAAAAGCTGTACTCTCATGGCCACTGCATCGAATTTTGAGCATATTTTATGGAAAACTATTGAGCTCACTCTTTTCATGATCACAGTTTGCTGTGTGTCATGAGGACACTAACTCAGAGTGTCCTTTGACTCCCTTACCAGTATGTCACCTGGGCAATTCACTAGGTCACTTTCTCTCTCTCTCTGTCTCTGTCTCTCTCTCTCTGTCTTTCTCTTTCATTGTTTTCTACCTGGCCCTGTTCTATCCCAACATATAGGCAATAAATTTTTTTTTTACCTCATTAATGGATCTATCCTTTTTCTTTTCTAACCACTTCCTTATGTGACTTCTGAAATCTAGTGGGGCTCTGTGGTTTCTGATTTTCCCTGGCTGCTTCTTTAGTTTTGTCTCCTTTTCCAGGCTCAACGGCGTGCTGATGGAAGTGGAAGAGCCTGAAGTCTTACAGGACTCACTGGATGGATGTTATTCTACTCCGTCAATGTACTTTGAACTACCTGACTCATTCCAGCACTACAGAAGTGTGTTTTACTCATTTGAGGAACAGCACATCAGCTTCGCCCTTTACGTGGACAATAGGTTTTTTACTTTGACGGTGACAAGTCTCCACCTGGTGTTCCAGATGGGAGTCATATTCCCACAATAAACAGCCCTTACTAAGCCGAGAGATGTCATTCCTGCAGGCAGGACCTATAGGCACGTGAAGATTTGAATGAAAGTACAGTTCCATTTGGAAGCCCAGACATAGGATGGGTCAGTGGGCATGGCTGTATTCCTATTCTCAAACCATGCCAGTGGCAACCTGTGCTCAGTCTGAAGACAATGGACCCACGTTAGGTGTGACACGTTCACATAACTGTGCAGCACATGCCGGGAGTGATCAGTCAGACATTTTAATTTGAACCACGTATCTCTGGGTAGCTACAAAATTCCTCAGGGATTTCATTTTGCAGGCATGTCTCTGAGCTTCTATACCTGCTCAAGGTCATTGTCATCTTTGTGTTTAGCTCATCCAAAGGTGTTACCCTGGTTTCAATGAACCTAACCTCATTCTTTGTGTCTTCAGTGTTGGCTTGTTTTAGCTGATCCATCTGTAACACAGGAGGGATCCTTGGTTGAGGATTGTATTTCAGAACCACCAACTGCTCTTGACAATTGTTAACCCGCTAGGCTCCTTTGGTTAGAGAAGCCACAGTCCTTCAGCCTCCAATTGGTGTCAGTACTTAGGAAGACCACAGCTAGATGGACAAACAGCATTGGGAGGCCTTAGCCCTGCTCTTCTCAATTCCATCCTGTAGAGAACAGGAGTCAGGAGCCGCTGGCAGGAGACAGCATGTCACCCAGGACTCTGCCGGTGCAGAATATGAACAATGCCATGTTCTTGCAGAAAACGCTTAGCCTGAGTTTCATAGGAGGTAATCACCAGACAACTGCAGAATGTAGAACACTGAGCAGGACAACTGACCTGTCTCCTTCACATAGTCCATATCACCACAAATCACACAACAAAAAGGAGAAGAGATATTTTGGGTTCAAAAAACGTAAAAAGATAATGTAGCTGCATTTCTTTAGTTATTTTGAACCCCAAATATTTCCTCATCTTTTTGTTGTTGTCATGGATGGTGGTGACATGGACTTGTTTATAGAGGACAGGTCAGCTGTCTGGCTCAATGATCTACATTCTGAAGTTGTCTGAAAATGTCTTCATGATTAAATTCAGCCTAAACGTTTTGCCGGGAACACTGCAGAGACAATGCTGTGAGTTTCCAACCTCAGCCCATCTGCGGGCAGAGAAGGTCTAGTTTGTCCATCACCATTATGATATCAGGACTGGTTACTTGGTTAAGGAGGGGTCTAGGAGATCTGTCCCTTTTAGAGACACCTTACTTATAATGAAGAAGTACTTGGGAAAGCGGTTTTCAAGAGTATAAATATCCTGTATTCTAATGATCATCCTCTAAACATTTTATCATTTATTAATCCTCCCTGCCTGTGTCTATTATTATATTCATATCTCTACACTGCAAATTTTGGGTCTCAATTTTTACTGTGCCTTTGTTTTTACTAGTGTCTGCTGTTGCAAAAAGAAGAAGACATTCTCTGCCTGAGTTTTAATTTTTGTCCAAAGTTAATTTTAATCTATACAATTAAAACCTTTTGCCTATCACTCTGGACTTCTGGATTGTTTTTTACATTCAGTGTTATAATATTTGATTATGCTGATTGGTTTTGGTGGGTACTGATGCGAATTAATAAAAACATTTCATTTCCATGTTTATTTTCTAATCTCTTCCACATTGTAGGCTATGTTTACCATATGTAGCAGAATGTATTTACATTTCTTGGTTCTAGTCATTTGTATTCTTCGTGAGTGTGAGTGTGTGTGTGTCTGTGTGTCTGCGTGTGTGTCTGTGTGTGCCTTTGGCATTTAGGAAGGGTTGTATAGCTCATGTTAAATATTGCACTAAAAATGTTTTTGATGGTTTTCCTCCCTTTTAACTAGACACACTTCTAATATTTGGTTTATAGTTTTAAATTATAACTTTCAGCATCAAATATTTCCATACAACAGTCAATTACATGATGTGTTTTCTTTTTCCTACCTCCTTTACCTGCCACTTCTCATAATAGTATTTGAACCTAAACATATACCGGTGACATTCTGTGATTATCATCTTGCCCCTACCTTGGTTTTGGTTTTTGGTGCAGTTCCAGGCTCTTGGTGTCTTTGTTTGGGACACCAAGAGCCTGGAACTGCACGGCACCAGCTGGTAAGAATTAGGCTTTTTTGGCCGGGCGCGGTGGCTTATGCCTGTAATCCCAGCACTTTGCGAGGCCAAGGCGGGCGGATCACGAGGTCAGGAAATCGAGACCATCCTGGCTAACACGGTAGAACCCCATCTCTACTAAAAATAAAAAAAATTAGCCGGGCGTGGTGGCAGGCGCCTGTAGTCCCAGCTACTCGGGAGGCTGAGGCAGGAGAATGGCCTGAACCCGGGAGGCGGAGCTTGCAGTGAGCCGAGATCACGCCACTGCACTCCAGCCTGGGCGACAGAGAGAGACTCTGTCTCAAAAAAAAAAAAAAAAAAAAAAAAAAGGCTTTTTTTTTTCCCTAAGGGTTAACAACAAACCAGCCCTTTGGAAAGACTTGCTTCACCACTGTTACCAACCAACGGCCTGATGCTTTCCCTCAGTTTTGTGATTTTGACAAAACAAGCAAGCAGCATTCCCTCCTGATAAGAGACCACCGACCTAGGAATGATTCTGGCCAGACTAGAGAGGATGCACAGTGAGGGTTTTCATGTCCTCTGCTTCAGCTTTTGATGTCAGAGGGCCACAAACTCCACTCTCAGATGATTGCTAATGCCACCATTTTATGAACATGGACCCCATGGAGAGGCACGAAGCTCAATTGCACTTCTGCACATTTTTCCTCCTATAAATATTGCTATTGGAATATTATTTGGTACGGCTCCCGTGAAAGATACATTTGCAGAATGTACTCAAATTAGAAGCATCATGTAAAGCCTATAATGTAGCAATAGTGCATCAACTTCCCTACACTATAGAAATATCTGCGGTGTAGACATTTCCACAATGACCAGATATGTGTACAAGAAAGGTGGCTGCAGCATTCTTTGTAATCCTAAAACAATGAAACCTACCTCATCTCAAAAACTTTATTTTTTTATTTTTATTTTTTTTTTGAGATGGAGTCTCGCTCTGTTGCCCAGGCGGGAGTGTAGCAGTGCAGCCTCCATTGGTGCAGCCTCCACTGCAGCCTCCACCTCCCAGGTTCAAATGATTCTCCTGCCTCAGAATCCCAAGTACCTGGGATTACAGGCACATGCCACCATGCCTGGCTAACAAAAACATTTTGAAAAGGGTTAAATAAATCATGCACAAACTGAGGAAAAATACTCTTCAAAAATGATGGAGAGGATCACTATGATGATGAATGATTCCACTGGTCACATTATTGATAGAGCAATCAGTAAATCCAGGCACATCCTCGGGATATTACTGACCTCCTATTATTAACATATGAAAAAATGGAGGCATGTAAATTACTCATTTAAGCGTATAACGGACTGAATTAGAATTTTATCACACCAGAAGTGGGTTCCTAGGTCTCTGTTTCAGGATTCCTGAGTTACACACGTATAAACCCAGGATTTCAGGAGATACCCGGTTAAGAATCCGGTTGGGGAGGTGGGCTGGCCCTTGACATGGATAAGTCACAAATTAGTGGCTTAGGACTCCAGGAAGATAAAATCTTCCCCATTTATCTAGTGATTGACAATGCATGAATACTTTAAAAGCTCAAAGAGGCGTCCCTGGGTGGGCTCGAACCACCAACCTTTCGGTTAACAGCCGAACGCGCTAACCGATTGCGCCACAGAGACAGGTACTGTTAGTTCTACTGGGCGCTATAGGAAGGGCGCACGCACGAAACTTCCTCCGTCCCTTGCATCCTCAGGGCCCGCCCGGCAGGAGGACTGAGCAAGGCCTTGGAAAACTGGAGAGATTGGAGCGGTAAGTCGCGCTGGTCACGTTGGACACCTGCGCGTTGGGAGATTCTGGAGCCAGAAGGATAGCCGAATGGCCTTCGCCCGCCCTGCCCCTCGCCTGCTTCAGAAACCCCCGGAAACGCCCCGGTTGAGACCCCGGCCCGAGCCGCCTGGGGGCCCTAGGGAGGCTGAACGCCCGGTGGCTCCCGGGATGGCTCTTCCCATTCTTTGCGCCGCCTTCACCCAGTGAGGGAGCCTGTGCCCTCCCTGCCCAGTCGCTTTTGGGGCCGCTGCGGAGCTTCCGCTGCCATCTTCGGATCCTGTGTTCCGCACGGGGGCTCCACCAGGGCAGGGATCGTGGTGAGGGTGGCTCGTGGGTCCCCCTCACGGGGAGCAGGGTCTGGCACTCACCAGGGCGCAGGACTAGGACTTGTCGAATGAATCCATCCTTTTAGCTTTTAGTCCTTTGAAGAGCCTTGAGAATGGAAATCATGAGAGATTTTTCCATGGGGAAGTTCCTTTTACAAAGCATTTATTTACGTTGACTTCTTGACACCCCGCGGGGCGGCAACGGGCAGGGCCTCCAGTGCACCTTCTGCGCCGTGGAGCCGCGGGGGCTCAGCTGGGCGGTGGTCGGGTCCTGAGGCCGGAGGGCGGGAGCAGGGGAGGGGAAAAGCAAAAGCGGGGAAAGAAGCCGGGGAGCGGTGGACCAGACGTCCAGACCTCCTGAAAGGCTGGCGGGGAGGCACAGGCGGGATCTTCCGGAGGTGAGAATTTTTTTTTATTATAGCAGAATGGGGAGGAATTGAGGGGAAAATGGAGATAGAACCTGAAAGAGCCCCAAACGCCAGAACCTGTAGCTCCCCAAGAATAAGATCTTCCAGAAGAACTAGACCCAAAACTAGCCGTTGGGGAACACCGAAATCCTTGGAGGAGCAACATCCGCATGACCCTCTGTGTTTCTTTAGGCAAAAGGACTTGCTTCCATTGTTTGTTCAATTGTTTGTGTTTGTTAAATAAATAAAACGATTTTCATGTATCTTTGAAATTACTTTGGCGCTACTATTTTATGATTGCAAATAATTCGGCAGTGATCATTCTTGTACACTTCTCATTGGCCATTTGTGTATTTCTATAGGGTAGAGGCCTGGAGAGCAGTTGCTCCAGCATAGGGATTACACAGTTTTTGTTTGTTTGTTTATTTATTTATTTATTTATTTATTTTTGAGACAGAGTCTCGCTCTGTCACCCAGGCTGGAGTGCAGTGGCGCCATCTCAGCTCTCACTGCAACCTCCGCCTCCCGGGTTCAAGCGAATCTCCTGCTTCAGCCTCCCAAGTAGCTGAGATTACAGGTCCGCGCGAGCCACCACATCGGGCTAATTTTTGTATTTTTAGTAGAGACGGGGTTTCACCATTTTGGCCAGGCAGGTCTCAAACTCCTGACCTCAAGTGATCTGCCTGCCTTGGCCTCTCAAAGTGCTGGGATTACAGGCATGAGCCACCGCACCCAGCGATTACATGTTTTTTTTTTATATATCATTCTATTTTCTTTCCTTATTTGGCTTATTAGCTGTAACTCTTTCTTTTGTTATGTCAGTGATGGCTTTAGGGTCCCTAGAATACATCTTTATCCGTCTGCCATCAAGTGACATTATACCTCCCCTTCTGGCCTTTATGCTAGTGTTGTCAGGGAATTTGATTTTGGACATGTTATAAACCCCAACATCCAAGTACGTACATAGCGATTTTCAGTCGTCTCCATTTCTTTGTGTAGGTTCAGATTTCTGTTTGGTATCCTTATCCTTAGGCCTGGAGGACTCCTTTAATATTTCTTGTAGTGTGGTTCGGTGAATTCTGTCATTTTTTTGTATGTCTTTAAATGTCCTGATTTCAGTCACATTTTTGAAAGATATTTCAATTTGGCATAGAATTCTAGAATAACTTTTTTTCTCTCAGTACTTTAGGATGTTGCCACTTTGACGCTTTGTCATTGACATATCTTTCCTGTTTTTGTAAACTTGGCATAAAGTGGGTTTCCTGTACTTGTTATATGATTTTTGGATTGTGTATTCAAATTAAAAGTATTAAATTAAAATTAAAATGGCCTGGGCGAGGTGGCTCACACCTGTAATCCCAGCACTTTGGGAAGGGGAGGCAGAGGATCGCTTGAGACCCAGAGTTGGAGACCACCCTGGGCAAGATAGCAAGACCCTGTGTGTGTGTGTGTGTGTGTGTATACACATAAATATGTATATATATTATATGTATGTATGTATATATAAGTCCTACAGTCACCTTAAGTTCCACCAACAGTGCGCTTAAAGTAAAATGTGCCCAACCTGAGGCTCAAACCTACCTGCTGGCACGCAATTTGTGTTTGTGAGACAATCTCAACAGCATTTGCTTTTTCTAGCATAGTGGTTTTCCTGTTTTCCTCACATGTGAATGTCTTCAGTGCAAAACCTGTCAGAATTCATTTCCTTTGCTAAAATGTTTTAAAATAACTCTTACTTCAAGTAAGTGCATTAAAAATAAACTTCTCAGTTGCATCCCTGGAATCCATGGAAAGTCCAGGAGAGACAATCAAGTGCTACAGGATCAAGCCCAAACAGAACAGGACTAGGCATGGCTTCCTCACTAGGAGCCAGGCCAAAGTCATCTCCTTTGGTCTCCAATGGAGGCCAGAACTCGGTTCACCTGCAACGGGAGGACCTGGCCCAGAAGAGGTGGCCTTCATCTTCATGGTGCCTTCAGATAGGAAATCTAGGATTTCTTTTCTTCTCTTTGATCTACTTCCAACTCTCCCTTTCTATTTATTTATTTATTTATTTATTTATTTGAGACAGAGTCTTGCTGTGTTGCCCAGGCTAGAGTGCAGCGGGGCAGTCTCAGCTCACTGCACCTCCGCCTCCTGGGTTCTAGAGATTCTCCTGCCTCAGCCTCCTGAGTAGCTGGGATTACAGGCGCCCGTCACCGTGCCCGGCTACTTGTTGTATTTTTAGTAGAGACAGGGTTTCACCATCTTGGCCAGGCTGGTCTCGAACTCGTGACCTCGTGATCCACCCACCTCGGCCTCCCAAAGTGCTGGGATTACAGGCGTGAGCCACCGCATCTGGCCCTCCCTTTCTATTTCTTCAAGACCTTTTTCGGATCCCTCCTGCGCAGGACCTAAACGGGCGGTGCCCTTACCCACTGGTCCCTCCCTGCCTGGTGTCTTCGGAGCCCTAGCTCACCCGGAACGTTACTGCCCGCCGGTGACAGCGAGAGGACCAAAGAGGGCAGCGGGTGCGGTGGGAACCACAGAGTCACCGCGCACCTGCGCCTCGCAGGCTCCTCGCAAATTGAATAAACGCCCCCTGAAGCTTCTCTTCAAGTCACAGGGAAGGGGAAGGTGGCTGCCGACCCGGCGGGAGAAGCCGGCCCTGCCCCTGGTCCTTGAAGACAGGTTTGGCCAGGCTGATTTTGACTGGTAGGCCCAAAGAAAAGCCTCAAGGGCAGACCAAACTCCGACAGGCTCCGAGATTAAGGCTTTCAAACGTCTGATCGTTTTCAGCTTGGTCAGTAAAATCGATCCCGCCTTTATCAGGAGATTCCTTTGTCAAAGTTCAGAGACCTGGGGTTCCCGCTGCTTGCCACACAGAAAACCAATCACTGAGACGGTTATTGCCAAGGAAGAGGCTTTAATAGGGTGCTGCAGCGGAGGAGATGAGAACTCAGTCTCAAATCCATCTCCCTGACCAACCAAAACTAGAGGCTTAGATGGCAGGGAAAGAATGTGACAATGTGTAAGAAAACAGGAACTAGACCAGGCGCGGTGGCTCACGCCTGTAATCCCAGCACTTTGGGAGGCCGAGGCGGGCGAATCACGAGGTCAGGAGATCGAGACCATCCTGGCTAACACGGTGAAACCCCGTCTCTACTAGAAATACGAAAAGAAATTAGCCGGGAGTGGTGGCGGGCGCCTGTAGTCCCAGCTACTCGGGAGGCTGAGGCAGGAGAATGGCGTGAACCCGGGAGGCGGAGCTTGCAGTGAGCCAAGATAGCGCCACTGCACTCCAGCCTGGGAGGCAGAGGGAGACTCTGTCTCAAAAAGAAAAAAGAAAAAAAAAGAAAAAAGAAAAGAAAGAAAACAGGAACTAGGGAGGGGCAAGGAAGCAATCAGGATGAATGAGGGGTCCGGCATCTCATTGTCTGGGTGACTTTCAGTTCTTTGATATCTTTTTTGAGAGGCCTGAAGGAAGGAACTCAAATAAAACAAATATCGAGTTTCAAACTTTCAGATCAGAAGGGTCCATTTCTATGTTTATCCAAAAATCTACGTATGGGACTATTGGGTGGGTTTCAGACCAAGAAAGAGTGTGCATATCAAAGTCTGCGGTTAACCAAAGAGAAAACATAATTTTCCGACCAATAGGATGTATGGGGGTCAAAGAACGACCAGCCTACAGTACTGTTTATTGGCCTGAGCATACGGAAGGATGAAGTTGCACCAGCGAAATGGGATTAAGCTGCAGGTGCGGGCTGGGCGCGGTAGCTCACACCTGTAATCCCAGCACTCTGGGAGGCTGAGGTGGGTGGATCACTTGAGATCAGGAGTTTGAGACCAGCCTGACCAACATGGTGAAACCTCGTCTCTAATAAAAATACAAAAATTAGCCGGGCGTCATGGCGGGCACCTGTAGTCCCAGCTACTAGGGAGGCCGAGGCAGGAGAATTGCTTGAACCCGGGAGATGGAGGTTTTAATGAGCCGAAATTGCGCCACTGCCCTCCAGCCCAGGCAACAGACCGAGACACCTTCTCAAGCAAAAATAAAAACAAAAAGCTGCAGGTGGAAAAAAAAGTCTGGATTTTGGTTCAGAGCCCCTGGGGCCTTCCTCAGTAGTTTTCTCTTTCCTTGAAAAAGGAAGCTTGTCTCAGTCTCTGCATCTCTCTGAGTCCTTTTGGAGATTGAGGATGGTGAGGTCTCAGTGCTTGGCCCCCTTCTAACTCTGGGTACCTCCCCTCCCGTGGGTCAACCTGGTCCAGTGCACAGGCCCCAGCTCCGACGACCATCTCCCCCCTACCCTTTGCTCCCAGCAAAGGCCATTTCTAGGTCAGTCGTGAGGTACAGCCAGGACAGGGCAGCTCGCTCCGAGATTTTTGGCTCTCGAAGGCCTTGAGCGCTGTGGTTCTGCAGAACGCTGTCTGCCTCTGGTGGAGGAACTGACACCCGCTGGAGAAAGTGTGGAGGGAAGCGAGGGCTGCACCTGCACGCAGGAGCTGAGGCAAGCGGCGGTTCCCAGCTCTCAGTGCAAAAGACATTTGTCATCTGAGAGGCTGGACTCAGTTATTATAATTTTCAATTTTGTCAATAAAAACCGAATGGAAATTTGTTTTCTTACTTGTAGAAACCTCCTCACAAGACCTCCCATCTTACATTCCAGGGAGACTTAGCAGGGTATTCCGCCAAGACATAGGTTAGACTGCGGTTCTGAACTGCAGACCTCGATGCCCTGCGCCGGGGCACCAGGGCATGGGCAAAGCCCTCCCCCTACACAAAGCAAGGGTGTTATGCCTACAACCGAACGGGGACACTAAGAGCCCCCAACATGCACGGTTTTCATTCCAAAGAAAACCACCAGTTCTGAGTACAACTTCCACCTGGCTCTATTAACTGAGTACACGTTTCCCCAGCACAGAAATCCTACAAACTCCCGTGAATGCTGTGGTGAAAAGCAGGAGCTGCCAGGGCAAGATGGATCGCACCTGTAATCCCAGCACTTCAGAAGGCTGGGCGGACCACTTGAGCCCAGGAGTTGGAGCCCAGCCTGAGCAGAATGGTGAAACCGCTACGAAAAAAGAAAAAGAAAGAGAAAGAAAAGAAAAGAAAAAAAAAAAAAGAGAAAAAACTAGCCGGGTGTGGTGGCGTGCGGTTGTCCTACTCGGGAGCCTGAGATGGGAAGATCGCGCCACTTCTCCAGCCTGGACGGTACAGCGAGACTTGTCTTAGGGAGGGGGGGAAAAAACAACAACAAAAAAACAGAGGCTAAGAGGTAACTCCGAGGATGACAGAAAACACCAGAGTTTTTAAGAGATGTTAGAAGCCCTGGGAGCACTGAACAAACCAGAAAGCTCCCGACCCTTGATCCCTGAGCTCCACCTAGCAAGTACCGCGGCAGCTAACCTGGGAGAACAACCCAACCAACAGAGACTGAAATTCGCCTCCCAAGAGAGCAAGTGGATAGTTCTAAGCTGTCCCCAAACATGGCCTCACAAAGGAAAACTAACCGTTGCGAACGGAAACAACTGACCGGACAGAACACAGCCACAAAACACGAGCCCGCACCCTGAATTACAAAAACACTTACGGCTCACCTACTATTCGCACCACAGAAGCACCAAGAGAAAGCGCGAACGTAGTTCCCTACTATCACAAATTATGCACTCGAGTTTCCCACACTTGGGGAAATCGCAGGGGTCAGCACATCCGGAACGCAATGGATAAGCTTCGCCCTGAGAAAAACCACCTTCGTGATCATGGTATCTCCCCTTCCAGGTAAGTATGAGCTTTTGCACCTCCGCCCCGCCACAGCCTCACACGCTTCACCCTTTACACGCACGGTCACTTGCCCCGCGAACGCCCCCCCCCCCACCCCACCCCCCCACCGCCCACAGCCCTCCTAGCCCTGACACACAGCTGGGACTCTCAGGTCCGACCAGCGGTCCTGAACCCGCTCCCACGGCACGGGAACTCCTTAGTGGCGAAGCAGCAGCCCCTGCGCTGCCTCATCTACATAGAAATCGCCCTATCCGTGATGTCACCGACAGCGCCTTTCCCAGTCCCCGTCTGCTCTTCCGCCCCACCCTCCGCCGACTCAGCCGATCAACCCGCTGCCGGAGCTGGCGGAGGAAGTGACGTCTGTCTCTTTCTCCTTTTCCTCCTGCCATTGTCCTTTGGGGAGGTGTGCAGAGATCCCGCGTCTGGTCTCCCCCTAAGACTGTGGTACTTGATCTGTGTCCTGCAGAGAACCCTTCTGGCGGCCAACAGGAAGCTTGTGCACCCTTCTTCAGATAATGTCTTTTAATGCGCAGACTTGAACGTTTAGGATTACAAGGAAAACCGGTTCCTTTCAAACCTGTTTATCTTTGTGATGTAGCATTCCGTTTCAAGTTGAAAGCCGTTCAATGTCAGAGAGAAAACATATCTATGAAACCAGAGAGGCTGCTCAGATGGGTTGCAAACTAGCCATCCTTACTGGTTTTACCACTAGAAGTGTTACAAAGACAGTTGTCCAATTTTATGAATCTTGAAGGGTTTTTTGTTGTTGTTGTTGTTATTTCAAATACAGTGTAATACAAAAATATGTGGCCCCCGCAGAGACGATTGGACACTCTCAGGCATGGTGATGGAGTTTGTCATCTCTTCCACGGCCATCTCAGAACCTTAGTGCTTACCTCATGTTAGTATTTTATATTCTCCAAAGACACAAAGATAATCCCAATTTGACAAAACAAACAAAAAAACATCTAGGGCATGTCTTATTTGAGGCGCTTAACAAATGACTGGATCATCTCCCTTGTATATAACCCAGAAAACACTGTGAAGTAGAGCAAAATTGGAAAGCCCAAGTCAAAGACCATTTGCAAATTTCAAGTAGATTCCAGTCTGTTGCTCAAATCACAAAACATGAAATGGAGGGGTCTCCCTTGGAGACCATAAAGTCTGTGACATGGTGGCCAGTTGGGTCACTGGAAAACATGGCAAAATATTGAAAATGAGGGATTAGGTGAGAGTGTAGCAACTGAACACTAAATGCTTGATCCAGGTGCCATTCCTGGATACTGACAGGGAGACACATTGTCCAGGTAATACTGGAAAAATACTTTCTATAGTGTAAACCACAAATAAAATTCCAAGCCCCTCAACTATTTGAATGCACCCCTCCTCTCAGCCAGGGTCATTCCAAAGTTAACCTGAAAAACTGGTTCAGACCATGATGGGAAGTAGGGGTCAGATATGCCTCATTATACCCTCCTTCCTTTGGAATTCAGGCACAACTGACCAGCACATCCGACCAGGCCCAACTGACATTACAACAGCGATCTCAAGACTTTTTGTAGCAATAAGACACCAAACTCCAGGCTGACTCTAGTGTAGCATTACATGACAGATAGCAGGCCCTGAAAGAAATACAAATATTTTACCCTAAAATACATTTTTTATCATATTTTGAAATGTCCCTACAAAGTTGTCTCTTGTGGGGAAAGTCTACATGCTACAGGGAATCCCTTTCCAGGCCTTTTCCCTAATCTAGGCACCTTTTTAAGTCTGATAAGAAACATTTACAATCAATTCTCTCTGAAGCCTGCTACCTGGAGGCTTCATCTGCATAATAAGAACAACCCCTTAACACAGAGACTGCCTTCTATGGATTCCAGGTCTTTAGATAAACTCTTTCAACCAATTGCCAGTCAAAGTATCAGAAAATAACGGCTGGTAACTATGTAATTATGCATATATATGAGTAGAATTTTGGGGGTGGGCACAGTGGCTCATGCCTGTAATCCCAGCACTCCCTCAGGAGGCTGGCAGATTGCCTGAGTCCAGGAGTTTGAGACCAGCCTGGGAAACATGGTGAAACCCCATCTCTACAAAAAAAAAAAAAAAAAAAAAAATTAGCCAGGCATGGTGGTGAGCACCTGTGGTCCCAGCTACTCAGGAGGCTGAGGTGGGAGGGTTACTTGAGCCTGGGAGGTGAAGGTTGCAGTGACCCAAGCTTGCAACACTGCACTTCAGCCTGGATGACAGAGGAATGGGCCTTCACTAGACACTGAACCTGCTGGCAACTTGATCTTGGACTGACCATCCTCCATAACTTGAGCAATAAATTTTTGTTGTTTATAAGTTACTCACTCTGTGGTATTTTGTTATAGCAGCACAACTGGATTAGGACATCAACCTGACCTTAAGAAATCATCTCATTCAGTCTTGGCTCTGGTGGGAAACAAGGGGCACACTCGGATGTGTGATTTAAAGAGAGTTGTGTTTTTTTTTTTTTTTTTTTTTGAGATGGAGTCTCGCTCTATTGCCCAGGCTGGAGTGCAGTGGTGCCATCTCGGCTCACTGCAAGCTCCGCCTCCCGGGTTCACGCCATTCTCCTGCCTCAGCCTCCCGAGTAGCTGGGACTACAGGCGCCCGCTACCACACCCGGCTAATTTTTTGTATTTTTAGTAGAGAGCGGGTTTCACCACGTTGGCCAGGATGGTCTCGATCTCTTGACCTCCCAAAGTGCTGGGATTACAGGCGTGAGCCACCGCGCCCGGCCTAAAGAGAGTTTTATGAAGAGAATATTTATAAATATAATATGGACAGGATCAAAACAACCCAACCAAGGACTGAGAGGCGCTCAGAATCTGGAATCAGCAGAGAAGTTGTATTGCCTCTAGGACTGGATTGTTGTATAAGTCTGTTCAGGTTGCCATAACAACCTGGACAGGACCGTAGTCCTGTCCAGTGATCCTCCCCAAGACAACCGTTCTCTCTAGTAACTATGGTTTTCCTTTCTCATTTCAATTGCCACCTCAATTGACTGAAATGTGAACACCAACTCCCGCACTTAAACGTTGAAGCCCTAACACCCACTGTGATGATTTATGCAGCTGGGGCCTTTGAAAGGTAATCAGGATTAAAAGAGGTTATGAGAGTGGTGTCCTCATGCTGAGATTAATGCCATTACAAGAAGAGAGACACTAGAAAGCTTGCTTGTCCGCCTTCCCCCTGGTGCACGAAGAAATGGTCACATGGGCACACAGTGAATCTACAGCCACTTACAGGCCATAGGAAGAGACCTTAGAAAGGAATCCGCTTTGCTACCACCTTTATCTTGGACTTCCCAACTTCCAGAAGTGTGAGAAATACATTTCTATAGTTTAAGCCACTTGGTGTATGGTATCTTGTTATGGCAACCTGAACAGACTTATACAACAATTAAGTTGCCTTTCCACTGATGGACTTAGACACAATCTCTTTCCCAAAAAAGAGCTATATTTAGCTACTTTTCTTTTGCATATTGTTCCATTTGCAGCCACACTATTTGTCTTCCCCCACACCACTTCTATCACCAGGAATCCATTTTCCTTGTTTTCTTTTTAATATCGGGAGCCTCTGCTCACTGCACTGCATAGTCCTTGGGGCTTTTTTTAAACTTTATTTTTAACAATCATTTGAGCAGAAAGTAGCCAATTCAGTTCTTTAATTTCCCATTTTATTCTTGGTTTGAAACTGACCTGATTGTGTCCCTTTTGTTATGACCAGTTACTTAGAAGCCATACAGCCCACAAGGTGCCCTTGGGTATAAATCCAACTTCTTCATTTTAATGGTGAGAAACCAAAAGCCCACGTTTCCTGATTTCTGGCCCAGCACTGGAACTGTTTTCATGGCACGTCAATTCATCATACATTTTAATAGTGATATTTTATATTTGCATAATTTTATTGCCTTTGCAATGGGCTTTCACATCTATCTTCTCATGTGTATATAGTTTAAAGGCCATTTTTACCCACTATCTCCTAATCATATCGACCACAGCCTCAGGAAATGTCTGCTCTATTATTTCACTTGCCTGTCTGGGTTCTTGGGCGACAGCATAGAATCCTGCACTGTGTTTTCCCTCACGCTTTCTCACTCTCTGCAGAACAAATTTTTGTTACATGCCTTATTATCATGGTAATATTGGCCTTCAGTCCTGTATAGAAGCATTAAAAATGTGCGTAATGTATATCCTTTTAAAATGTTATCCTAAGAAGCATCTTTTGGAGTTAAGGAGAGTTAGATGAATAAAGAAAGAATACAGTTTCTCCTAAACAAACCCACTAAGAAAATCATGGAAAGAATTATGACAACTATGAAAATGAAGGAGGTATACTTTGTCAACAAAAGCAAAATAACCAAGCTACTCTTAGACATAATCTCACGTTATCTTTCTGTAGTGCTCTAGCATTTTCTAAGCCTTTCACACACTGTTATCTCTTTTTTTCTTTCTCCTTCTAGAAATTAATTATGACTTTTCCTTTCAAAAATGAAGGACTTTTTTTTTTTTTTTACTCTTTTCATTTTTTCCTGAGACCATATGTCAAAGGGAATGTGAGGAACAACTTTGGTGTGGTAATAGCCAAATTCCTCCAGGTCTGCTCCTCAAGCTTGCAAAGTCAAGACTGGCAGAAGTGGTGATTTTTACCTGGGTATCCTGAGAACCTTGCACAGTCTTTATCACATGCAGGTGTTCAGAGTGTGCAAATAAACGAAGAAATGTGAGATTGTGATGATATTTTCATGGCATGCTTTTTTTCCACACTTCCTCATGCAGCCCAACATCCTCTACACTGTGTTGTTCACTTAAACACTACCCGTTTAAGTGATTTACCACTTCTCCATTAAGCCAACTTAAACCATGTTGCCTTCAACTCAACATTGATTGATCCCCAATACAGTCCTGAAGGGAGGCAAGAAAACTTACAAACGAAGTGGTAAAGAAAGAGAGAGATTAAGCAATTTGCCCCAAATCTCATAACCACTAGGTGATAAATCTTCAACTAGAACTCAAATATCTGGCTGAGAATTCAGTGCTCTTTTCATTTAAATCACATTGCTTCATAAAAATAGATCTGCAGGAAGAATAAAAATGTCCAAAGTGCAATGAGACAGAGAAGATAATATGGAGACAGACATATTGCACAGAAAGCATTTGACCATATGTCTGCCTGATCCCCTTCATGTGTCTTGTTCATAACTTACTTTACTCGGGCAGCAGGAGATAGCATAACAACTGTCAGAGTGAATTTAGGCCACAGTTTTGTGTTGCTGAATGTGTTGAGTCATTTCCCTTAGTTCACATTTCTACCTAACTTTATCTTTTAAGTCATCATCATGGCTTTAATCTCTTATTTATTTTGACTGTTGAGATTTTGTAGCCATTATCCAAATAAAACATTTATTTTCACTCGTGAGTCCCTAATCCTTCGTCAATGGAATTAGCTATTTATTTGATGCAATAGCTAGACCAGTAGGGTTAAAAATGCTTTTATAAAGACATTAATAGCTGGGTATGGTGATGTGCACCTAGGGAGGCTATGGCAGGAAGATCACTTGAGTCCATGAGTTTGAGGCCAATGCCTTCGCAACATAGTGAGACCCTGTCTTTAAAGTAAAAATTTAAAAATTAAAAGAAAAGATATTTAAAAAGGCTGTTTACCAAAATGATGGTTAATTGACAGAAAATAGAAACTGAAACTAGAAATCATTGCCATCAGCTTTCTCTAATGTGTACTTGATCCTTTTCTCCCTGTGATGGAAGTCGAAAGTCTTTTTGTTTTTTTCTTAATCCACTACTGTTCAAATGAGAATAAACAGCCAAATGACTGAATTAGTTGGTAGACATAATTCCTAGTCTTCAATTATTTTTATATTCTTTTGTAATACAGTCATTATTTTTTCAGACTTCTATAATATTGCATTTAACCAATCCCCAAATAGGGAAACGTTATGTAATTTTTCTATTATTTACAGTTCCTTGATTATAATCTTTTATTTGAAAAGATTATATATTTATATAAAAACCCAGTTTCTTTCTTACATATAAATATTATTAGTAGTCTAAAAATGTCACTCTCAATAAACAGGATGAGTCAACTTGAGGACTAGAGAATCAGGTAGTCAACATCAGAGAACTGGTTTAGCAAACAGAAGGGGCCTACCCAGATAGAGAGAAGTCAGGCAGGGCTGTGCTGTGAAAATATTAGAGAAGCTTGATGGGAGGCCTAATATAGTTTGTCTTTACACCTGTATATTTTGCTTCTTGCATCTGCTTCAATGCCCTCTGTCATTTATTATAACTAGATTTATTGTTCCAATAGATTTGTACTACAGTCAGAACAAACAAATCACTGGATCCAGCAGAAGCCTTAGATATATGACATAACAGAGATTTGCACAAAGATTTGCCCCATTGCCTTCTCGAATTTCTCTTATCATCAATCCATCTAGCTGGAGCTCTCTGAAGGTCATCAGAGGTCAGTATAATTTTAATAAGATTTTAACTGAAGGATAGCCTTGATGTTCAGTGACCTTCAGACATGTTTATAATCGAGAAGCCACTCCCCCTGTTGAATGATAACCTCTTCCATGAATTACCAAACCAATGGTGCTCACATTCTGATTAACGATTGATTCCCATAAACCCAGCTTCCCCCAACACTGATGATCTAAATAACCTGAATTATTTGCATTGCCTTATCAATTCCATCTCATTTCCTTTCTTGGTGGTTTTGCTCACACTGCTTCTATGTGGAATGTCCGTATGTAGCCACTCGAGTTTCCACTTCATCGTTCCATCATCTGTAGTCTCTATACACTATCCATCATCAGGACTAATGTGAGCTGACTTTCCTCCAAAAAGCTTTCCCTGAACTTATCCTGAAATAACGTTTTTCTTTGCTAACTTAGCATTTGTCACGTTAGTATACAGCTTCTCTAACTGTCATGAAATGAAATAAATGGGAAGAAGATGAAACATGAAAAGAAATCTGCTTCTTAAGGCAGGCCCTGGGGGAATAGCCCTGGCTGGAGGTAATGTAAGGTCTAGATGGTGTTTTTAGAATCTGAAGACTGCAACACCAAACACAACAAGTATAAGCCTAGGCAAGCTGTCAGTGCAGGGCCTAAAATTAGGTATTTCAACAAGTGGATGAATCAATTTGGGGAATTGTATTAGTAAACAGAGGAAGCCCATCCAGTAAAAGGGAGAGTAAGCAGGGATGCAATTTAAAACTATTGAGGAAAAATGGCTAAGAAATAGTAAAATTAACACATGGCCTAAAATATTAAGAAATTAAGCCTGTTACAGAATTACGGACCTGGCTAGTATATAGGAGCATTAACAACACAAAAACAGATTAGGTCGGGATTAGCAGTGGGGGTGAAATAATCTTCAGGGCTGAACTACTGAGCTAGAAATATTTAAATCCTCCTTGCAGATGAAAACTATAGAGGACAATTTATTGGTTCAGCATGAATTTCTGGTCTTCTGTTAAGAAATACGCTCTTTCATTGAAAGTGAACATTGAGGCAGTAAACTCCAAATACAGCTGCAGGTACTATCTCCTGCTGATTTGTGTGTATAGAGCATGAAAGAAAGGCTCAGAAACAAAAGCATGTTGGAAAAATAAGCAGAAGGAGACATTTACTTGCAAATAAATGTGAGGAAGTCATTCTTCAAAAGAACTGCCCAAAAAATTAAAAAAATAGAACTTTTTAAAACAAACAATATTATGAAGACTATAGGGTTTATATTAATCTCTTCATGGCAGAAAACAGCAATTTTATCATGGTTATTGTATTCAGAAAGTTCATGACATATCTTCAGACAATAAACAGCATTGTAAAGTCAAGGATAAAGTGATTTTCATTAAGGAGTTAGCAACTCTCAGGAAATGCTCAAGGTTTTATTCATTTGGAGGACTGCAGGTAGACAGAGAGACCCTTTTATTGTTTCTTTATGTCAGAGTGCAGAGTTTTTTTTTCTCTGTTTCTTCAGCAGTGGGACATGATGAACGGGCTGACAATGGTGTCAGGCCCCAATGTCACTTTGGTTTTTACACTTCATCTTGCGGTCATGTTTCCTTCTCTACAGGACATGTTTGTCTACCTCCATTTGCTGAACAATGTTCCTAATCAGTACTATTGATTTTACATTTTAATTTGATCCATTTTATTTGCACAGATCTAAGAAGTGTTGATTAATATTTAATGACCTCCTAGTATTTTTTTGATGAAACAATAAACTAAGGCTCACAAGTTTACGTCTATCTATAGATTTATAAAGCCCTTGTGCTTTAAATTTACTTTTACATGTTTAACAGCTCAGTTTAGAGCAGACCACACCAGTCCGTTCACCTCTACCTGATTTCATCTGCAGTATTTATAATGCAAATGTATCCTTTTTAATAAAAGATATCCAATGTCTCGGTGTCCCTGCTCTGCCAAGAAAGGACATTCTTTCTTACCTCCAAGCCTGAGATTGCATAGTCCATAGAGCAAGCACCAGATTGGTTTCCTAGAAGGATGTTATAGGCATCGCTTCTGCGTGAAAAACATAGAAATTATTCTTATTACTGGATTTGTCTTGTCTAATTAAATTGAATTTGTAGCACAGCTATAAATTTTTTATTAAAAAATTGATTCTTCCTGGCTGGGCAAGGTGGCTGATGCCTGTAATCCCAGCATTTTGAAAGGCTGAGGCCGGCAGATCACCTGAGGTCAGGAGTTTAAGACCAGCCAGGCCAACATGGTGAAACCCCGTCTCTATAAAAATACAAATAGTAGCCTAGCATGATGGTGGGTGCCTGTAATCCCAGCTACCTGGGAGGCTGAGGTGGGAGAAGTGCTTGAGCCCAAGATTGAGAGGTTGCAGTGAGTTGAGATCACGCCATTGCACTCCAGCCTGGGCAACAGAGCAAGACTCCATCTCAAAAAAAAAAAAAAAATTTCTAATTAGTAATATATTCAGGTAGAAGGGAGGACAAATTCTTATTGAACCAATACAAATAACTACATAGTCACATAAAGTAAATGTTTTTATTAAAGAAACTTTGTGCAAGATTTAAGCAATATTGCTAATTAAGGGTATGTTAATAGACAAAACCAAATATTGTATGTCACAATTCTTTACAAAATAATTATTTGTATGTTTTTCTTGGCAACTTATTAGCTTTGTTTTTATATTAAGAATTTCTGCAAGGTATTTTTTTCCTCAACACTAAGAATTCAGAGTGTTTTATTTAGTTTTTACAAATTTAATAATTTGTACATTTAATTGGAGATTAAAGGTAGATTAAGAAGAAAGAAAATGGGTTTCTCTCATGTTCATTAAAGTAGAAAATTAAACTAGCCTCAATTAAATTGCCTTACTGAGGCCCTTTAATCCTAAATAACAACCTCTTGTCGTGCTGGTCTTGAGTTAAGCAGTCTACTTTCATGAATTCATCGGCTTCTACACTGTGAGTGTCTTGGAACTCCTGACTCATTTATTTCGTATAGTTGGAATATTGTCTGTGGGGACAAGGTCAGCCTATTCTTGGAGGCCTATATCCATGAGTCAATTTCCTGTGGTATCAATAGTATCAACAGTGTCTGCTACCATTATTACTGGAGCTCTTTTGATATTTCTTCCAGATGACTCAAATTCTGATTGGCGCTTTGTAGAGAGGCTTTTAGGTATGCTTAAAGGGAAAGGAGGGCTGGGCACAGTGGCTCATGTCTGTAATCCCAACACTTTAGGAGGCTGAGGCAGGCAGATCACTTGAGGTCCGGAGTTTGAGACCAGCCTGGCCAACATGGTGAAACCCTGTGTCTACTGAAAATAGAAAAATTAGCCATGCATGGTGGCGGGCACCTGAATATAGCTACTCGGGAGGCTGAGGTAGGAGGACAGCTTGAACCCGAGAGGTAGAGTTTGCAGTGAGCTGAGGTCATACCACTGCACTCCAGCCTGGGCAACAGAGCGAGATTCCATCTAAAAAAAAAAAAAAGCAGCGGGGATAGGGGGAGGAGATGTTGCTAATAATAAAACTGTAAAGTTTGGTTAATTTTTTGCCATAGCAAACAACATCACAATGGGGGACAGTGGCATTCTCTGTTGAGGTGTAATACATACTCATCTAATGAAATTTTAATCAGTGATTACCGTAAAAGACAGAACACATGAAGAACAATTAGTGCATCCCGATACCTCTCCAGGGCCTTTAATTTTCCCCACAAAGTAGATATTATTATTTGTCACCAACTGATAAGTTTACTTTTTTTAATCAGTTGGTTGACATTTATTGCACCAGTCTTTGTACATGAACATAAATATGCCTGAATCCAACCTGAGAAGTGCACAATTATTGTAACATAGCCACAGTAATCATACATAATTATTGCATTTAATTAATTTAAGATGATTTTATTGCTATTTTCTCAGAATATGGCCTTGAAAAACACAGCAGCTTCCACTATATTGAGCATAGTTTTGAGCAAATTAAATATCTGGAGAATGCAAAACATTACCTTTATTTCTAATATATCTTCATGTTAAGAGCTAGGAGGAGGATCTCTGGAGTTTCCCAGCAGCCATCTGAGAAACCCAGAGATACTGTATTCATAAGTAACATCTCAGTAGTTTTACTATTTTGGATTTGAGGGTTAAATTTGGGGAATATGGTATCAAAAACAGTGTCACAGGTGGGGGCTGCAGATGTGAAGGGCCTGCTATCAATCAGGTGACCCTGGATGGACTACCCACTCCCTGTGTCAGTCCAGAATCCCAGCTGTAGTGGGTTCCTCTCTGCTACAGCACATGTTTCTAAAGGGCAAGAATCTGGGCTCCCAATAACTGACCTCTGTCTCCTCCATCCTGGCTTGTCATGGTAGACCCGAACCACCCTCCCATTGAATTTGGGCCCTTGTGGCTCATAGCCACAAGGGAAATTGGGAGCTCACATGTGAAAGGCAGAATTAAGTTAATGCACCTTCTTCCAAAGTCTTACGTTTGTTTGTAGCCCAGGTGCCCCTGTTTCCAGCAGGAGTATTAGCAGTACCAGGCAGCCACTCCCCAGAGTTTGTGTTTCTGAGCTTTCCCATCATCAGTTAATTGGAAATTTCAGGAACTGTCCCTGCCTTACAATGCCTGCTCTGATCTACAGGTCTTTTGGAGACAGACAGCAGGTGATGGGGCATGCCAAAGAGATAAAAATGTCTTCTGATAATCAGGGGTCAGCAGATGAGTATGAAAGCTAATTATCCCCACAACTCAGGGAATTTAGAGGCTTCCCCTTTTGTCTTTGTAGGAATAGCAGACTTTCTGACTGTAATGTCCAAAGTTCTTTACAAGTTGAAGTACAGAAGAGATCAGAAAATGTCTTACGCACATGAGAGTTGTTATCCAAAGATTTGTCATAGGAGCAGCGACTCTAGGTGTTCTCTATTCTATTTAGAAGAATTACATTAGATTTTGATTCCTCAATGTGGCCAAGAAATAGAGCTACTTGCTGGGAGCAAGAAAGACAACATGACTTCTGGAAACTATTTATTATGAAAAATGAATTTTCATTATGTAGCAAATTACACTGCAGAAGTATTACAAAGAATTCTCATAGACATGGTATATTAAATCTCAAATCAATAATCATACATAGTCAATTAAAAATATCTTTGTTGATATCTTTCAGAACCTGGGAAATAATTTTCTGACTTTCAAATTTTTTAGTTTCTATTCAATGGCAGAAAATCTATATTGTGCCAAACCAGTCTGAAAATTAGTAGTTGATTATATGCTGGACACAGAAAAATTTTCTATAACCTGTTAAATGCAACACTCCATTCATTGCTTAATTCTCCCCAAATAGCATAAGGTAATTAAGGCTTTTGTAAACTTTTTTCTTTTTTTAGAACAGCCTACAGTGACAGAGGAGAATGGTTATATTGTTAATTAAAGCTGGTTCATCACTCATGTGGTAAACCTGACTCACATGGAAACTTAACTATTTTATCACGAAGATAAATGTTTATCATTTAAATATGTATGTATTCACTTTTATACTTCTTGAAAGGATTTCTAGGAGTACAAAGTAAACTACTATAAATCTCTTTTCTCCCGGATGGCAATATTGTTGTGGGTGAGAAACAATTTAGTCCAGGAGAGCTATATCTAATCCGGTAGGACACTGTGGAGAATACAAGTGTTAAATTTTTGCTAAAAAACTAATATATGGCCGGGAGTGGTGGCTCACGCCTGTAATCCCAACACTTCGGGAGGCCGAGGAGGGTGGATCACCTGAGGTCAGGGGTTCGAGACCAGCCTGGCCAACATGGTGAAATCCCATTTCTACTAAAAATACAAAAAATAGCCAGGCATGGTGGCAGGCGCCTGTAATCCCAGCTACTCAGGAGGCTGAGGCAGGAGAATCACTGGAACCCAGGAGGCAGAGGCTGCAGTGAGCCAAGATGGCGCCATTGCCCTCCAGCCTGAGGGACAAGAGCAAGACTTTGTCTCAAAAAAAAAAAAAAGGCTAATATATGGAGATTGATTTATCATTTTATCAAAAAGGTAACCCAAATACTAATATGACTTTTTTGAGACCATCCATTTAACAAATTGGACTAAAAGACTCAAAAGTTCTTTTATGTTTTATGCCCAAACTAATTAACATTGAGTAAAGTTAGTCCAAAAATTATAAACGTTTTATTGCTCATTTAAACTCATTATTTGCAGCTATTATAAGCTATAGCAAATGAAGTTTACTTCCCTCAGATATTCTACAATTATTGTATGCCCTTAAATTTGTATTTTAAAATTCAGTTTTATATTCTAGCAAAACTCTACAATTTGCCTTTTAGACAAAATTACTCTCTTTGCCTTGATAAGCAAAAACACATTAATTATATTGCATGCACTTTTCTAAATACTCAAACTGACTTAATTTCTTAAAGTAGTATAAAAGAACATGTGCATTAATCAGAACTAAGGGTACTTTTACATACTGTTCATTCTCCTACTTGATAGCCACTCTATAATGTGTAAAAATATGCAGCAAGGATATGTTAAAAATTTTATGAGACTCATCCAAAGATTTTTCACTAATTATCTCAATGAAATATTAGCCAAGCTCATAAAGCTAACTAGTATGTTAAAATTCATTTTAAACTGACACACTGCAGAGAATTTATACTAAAATATAAAAATTTACATGAAAATTGTGTTACATATGAAATTTGAATTTTTTACCATGTAGGGTATGTGTGGTTTTACCTATACAGTATAATTATTTGTAGCCCCATCTCAAGTTACAGGAACAAATGTTTTAAAAAATACTAGTTTAATAATTCAATTCAGCTGAGCCATAAATCCAGTAGGGGACATCTAGAAAGCTCTGGTAAGTTAAAATATTTTATAAACCAGAAAAATATGCTAACATTAATTCTAAGATTGTGATAAAATCAGAGAAAAAACATAATTAATTTAAACCAAAATTATCAAACCATATACATTTATCCAAGGATTTCCCATGATTAAAAATATTACTGAACTTTACTTCAGTCAAATTTTTAAAACGCTTCAATTTTGTTCTGAAGCACTGAAGTCCTTTGCGTTATGCGATTCTCTTACCCGCCTGCCTTCCCTTGCTTCTCGCCTTCTGACATAGCAACAAAGTCCATTAATTCACCTCAGAACTAAACCTCTCTATAGATTTTTTCTTCTGAGCTGCAGTTCAGCAAGTTACCTGTGCTAGTATACATAAGCCGAGGAAAACAGAAGCTCCATTAAACTTAAGAAATTGTTTAACCTAATTCATTAATTTTCTCCAGAGATAGGAAAATGTACAATAATTTGTTCAGAAGATATTTACATACATACAACAAGAAGTCATTATGAAATTCGGAGCCAGTGATGATTTTCTCCCTGCTTTATTGTAGACTTTCATATGCTATTTATTTATAGTCCTTATCCAGTCAGATTATAGATTATGGTAGAGACGTAATTTTTGAGGTTGAGTAATACTTTACTGTTGATGTATAGAATATTCCTCACAACTTATTTTAACTCATTTTTATATTTCTATGAGATTTTCCTTGTTTGGGGTTTTTTGTTTGTTTGAGAAAAGGGCTAGAGAAATTTAAATGCTTGAAAACCTTTAGAGTTTTCAGAAGCACCCAGAACTTCAAAGAAACACAAAGCTATTCTCATTAATGCTTTCTTAAGACAAATAAAGCAAAGCCCTATCAACAGTTAGAGCTCTCCATTTTTCAGGCTATGCAAGATTGTCTCCAATAGTTATGGCTTCAGCAGTGGTTCAACTTGAGTGTGCATCAGAACCACCTGCAAAGCCTAATTAAACGGATTCCTTGGCTCACTTGGCAGTATATGACTCAGTAGGTAAGATTTGAGAATTTGCATATCTAACAAGTTGCCGGGTAATACTGATACCGATGTCTAGGGACTATGAGAATCACTAACCTAGAGTGTTTAAAAAATGACCAATTTCTGTGCCCAATTATCTGCCAAAGTTTCCTAAGAGAAGGAAAACAACAACAAACAAACAAACAAACCAAAACAGAGAGAAACTGAGAGAAACAGCCACAACTGGAAACTAGTAACACAAAAACAAACCATTGTAAAGGCTAATTAACTTATTTTCATACCAATGGGGAAAGATTTTTATTTCATTTTGCACCCACAAAAAGCTTTAGGAGTTTTTTCATGTGCCAGAAGGAAGCACATAACCTCCAAATTCACAATCTATTCTTTGCCCGTTTGCTGTAGTTACTCTTTGTACCAAAGGTTCTGAGTCTGGAGTCTCTGCTTCCACTGGTCAGATAGACTCTCTCCTTACATTGTGGTCTCTCACTGAATGTTCTCACCCACTGCTTCCTCACTACGTAATACCTGCCCAAGAAGCTCCCGTCTTCTCATTCTCCCATCCCATATGCTGACATTCTTTCCAGTCCCTGCATTGTTATGAGAGCTCAGTGGGGGAGGGAGCTGAATGTCTGTATTCAGTCCACAACTACGATCTAGGATACTCTGTATTAACCATAAATAATTGATGCAAGTTTCTTCCACTCAGCCATAGCTGAGCCAGATTACCCGCAATGCTATCTCATCCCACCACAGTCTCTACGACTAATTTCTATTATACAAGGTAAGATCAACATTTGAAGTGATTGAGTTTAAACATAAAAAGATGTATTGGCTCCTGCGACTGGGCAGTCTTCAGGGTTAGTTGCTTGAGTGATCAACGATACCATTAAGATTATGATTGGGACATGAAAAAAAGAACTGGCAAATAAGGAGAGAACTTTGACAATAGAAAGGCATTTAATCCTTGTGTTGTTTTGAGCGCCCTAAAGGAAAAGACAAATTAAAGGCAGATCCTAACAGAACTATTAACAAAGAAGGAAGAGGGTGAATGAGACTCTTGAATCAAAAATTCTTAATTCTTAACTCCACCTGTGAAATCTTACTTAATCTGGTTATACTGAGAATAATCATCACACCATTCTGTCTCACATTCTAGAAGGCTTTGTAGTGGTAGAACTGTAAACAACATATAAACATTTCTGAAATATTGTGGTTGTTTTATCTTCCATAAGCCTCACACAAGCCGTGTGTATGATCATCCATCTTCTGGGCCATTATCTGATTATTGCTGCTATCTCTCGCTTTGGGGAAAGGAGAGTCTCTTTCCTTATCAATAGTATTGGATCAGCTCTTCTAATTTCATGATGACATGAGTGTTCAGGAATGATGGAAGGCAAATGTAACCCTGAGAAAACTTGGTTTAACTACTGCATTTCACAAGTCCATATCCATCCTAGAAGGTCTTCCAGCCTGCTCTCTGCCTTGCTCCCAAGATGGCCACATGTAGGTCTCTTCTTTCCCGTAACCAGAGGGTTATAGATTATATTATCCTTCAAAGTCTGGGATAAACCAATTTCTCACTCTAAAGAGAACAACGTGTTTTGATTTTTCCAACCCTAACCCTAGCCTAAAGTCTACCTTCTAATCCTATCTTATTATAAATGTCCCTGGATTGATCTTTCAAGGGATTTTTGCCTACTGAAAAAATATTACTCTCACTCAAAGAATTGTGGCCTGACAAGAAATCTACAAGAGTCTTGGACACAGAGGCCAAAACATCATAACGTCTGGATTATTCAGGCTAAAGTAATATCACCTGTGGGTTACCCACAGCCCAGTCCTCAGCTTC
This sequence comes from Homo sapiens, assembly GCF_000001405.40. Classification (NCBI taxonomy): domain Eukaryota; kingdom Metazoa; phylum Chordata; class Mammalia; order Primates; family Hominidae; genus Homo; species Homo sapiens. The sequence continues at coordinate 145,264,875 of NC_000001.11, read as the reverse complement.
AGACAATGCCGGAGTCACTAGTGTTCTGTTTTCTTTCCTCTATCATTCCTATTCAAAAATTCTAAAAATTTGGAGTTCCATTTCTCTTAAGAAGACATGAATACATTAGTACAGTAACATATTTATTTCTACTTCCTTGAAATTTTATTGAGAAATCCATCATTTTCCAAACTTTTCTTTCTATTGGTGTAAAACAGGGATGAATGGCCATGAGCACTTCATTGCCTCATCTCAGGTGACACTTTTTTGCCCTTTGAAAAGCCTATAATGTACTTTATAATGTAGTTTAACTTTTCCACTTCACCTCATGTAAACAAACTGATTTTCCAACTTATCAACACAGTATGAACATTTCTCCAAGTCAATTAACAGAGGAAATATCACTTTAAATGAATGCACAGTTTCTCTATATAGAGAAAAATAATATGTGTGCATATATGCATGTGTAAATATATGTATATGAGTAAATTCTACAAGTTTTTAAACTATCTTTTTACTGATGGAGACTCATCATGGTTTTTTTCCCCCTGTACTACAAACAAAGTAGCCATAAACATTCTAACATTCTGGAGTATGGTATCCCTTATATGAAATGCTTGGGACCAAAAATATTGTAGATTTTGGATTTTTTCAAATTTTGAAATATTTTCATATCATAACATGATATGTTAGGAATGAGACCCAATCTAAATTTATTTACATTCCCTACATATAGTATACATGTAGCCTGAAGGTAATTTTATGTATTTGTAAAATTTTGTGCAAGAAACAAAATTTTGACTGTCTTTTGGCTGTGACCAGTCATATAATGTCATATGTGAAATTTTTCACCTGTGGCATCATATCAGTGCTCAAAATGTTTCCAATTTTGAAGCATTTCAGATTTCAGATTTTTTAGTTGACCTTGGAACAACATGGGTTTCAACTGTGCAGGTCCGCCTACACTGGTATTTAAAAAAAAAAAAAATATATCAGAAAAAGTTTTGGAGAATTGCAATTGAAAAAACTAACAGACTAACTGCATAGCCTAGAATATAAAAAAAAAATTAAGAAAAAGCTATGTACATCCTGAATGCATAAAGTATATGTATATATTAATCTATTTTATCATTTACTACCATAAAATATACACAAATCTATTATAAAAAGTTAAAACTTATCAAAATGTATGCACACAAACCGTACAAGTCACTATTTGCAGTCAAGAGAAACATAAACAAACATAAAGATGCTGTATTAAACCACAACTGCATACAATTAACTATAGCACATACTGTACTACCCAAATAATTACTTTTATTTTATTTTTATAAATGTGCTAGGTACAAGCATAGTTTTATTATATGATTGTTTTGTTATTTGGATATATTGCTAGTGGTGAAGTCTGAGGTTTTACTGTACTCATCACCCCAATAGTGAACATTGTACCCAATAATCATTTTTCAACCCTCACTCCCCTCCAACCCTGGCATCTTTTGGAATATTCTCCAGCGTCTACTTTCCAGTGTATGTACTATTATAATAATTTTGTAGCCACCCCCTGTTGCTACTGTGGAGAGCTCATGTTGCCAGTATCTGCCATGAGCACTTGGTCTCTTCAGTAAATTCTGTATCTAAGTAAATAGTGTGTTCTCTCACAGTTCTCTTTTCATTGTGCTTAGTGTAATACTATAAATCTTGAATAACACCATGAGACCAATACAAAGTGCCACAAGTGATGCTGGGAGTGCTCCCAAGAAGCAGAGAAAAGTTGTGACATTATGAGAAAAAGTTAGATTGCTTCCTATAGATTGAGTTCTTCAGCTGCCTGCCATTTCAAAATAAATGAATCCAGTGTAAGGTCCCTTAAAAAAAAAAAGAGAAATTCATAAGGCCTCATTTCGTGCCAACAGGCATGAAAACCTTGTCCTTTCTTATCTCATATTCAAAATGCAGCTTTTATGTGGGGTACAGAATTGCTATAAGAAAGACATACCTATAGACTCTTATTTGATTCAAGAAATAGCGAAGTCATTATTTGACAACTTAAAGTAAAAGCAAGGTGAAAGATCTAAAGCTGGAGAATTTAATGGCAGCAAAGGATGATTTGATAATTTTAGAAAGTGGTTTGGTTTTAAAAATGTCAGGATAATGGGAGTAGCAACTTCTGCCAACCAAGAACCAGCAAGTGAATTCTCAAATGCCGTTAAGAAAAACATTGAGGAGAAAGGATATCTGCCTGAATAGGTATTAATGCAGCTGAAAGTGCCCTATTCCAGGGGGAAAAATAAAAGCCACAAAGATCATTTATTAGTAAGGAAGAGAAGCAAGCACCAAGATTTAAGGCAGGAAGGGATAGGCTAACTCTACTGCTTTGTGCAAATGTAGTCGGGTTTATGATCAGGGCTGCCCTTAACTATAAAGCTGCTAACCCCTGAGTCTTGAAAGGGAAAAGAGAAACACTAGTTGCCAGTCTTTTGGTTGTACAACAAGAAGGCCTGGACTATGAGAATGCTTTTTCTGGATTAGTTCCATCAGTGCTTTGTCCCTGAAGTCAGAAGTACCTTGCCAGTAAGGGACTGCTTTTTAAAGTTTTTTGTTGTTGTTGTTTAATTGGAAAATGCCCCCTGGCCACCCAGAACCCCATGAGTTCAACACCAAAGGCACTGAAGTGTTCTCCTTTTCCCCCAAACACATCTCTACTTCAGCCTCTAGATAAGGGAGTCATAAGGACCTTTAAGGCTCTACATATGGCACTCTATGGAAAGGTTTGTCAACATTGCAAAAGAGAAACCCAATAGAGAGAACATCATGGAAGTCTGGAAGGCTTACACCTTTCAAGATGTCATCAGTTGATAGAGAAAACCATGAAACTCAAAACAATAAATTCCTGCTGGACAAAAGCACAATTTGTGTCCAGATGTTGTGCATAGCTACAGAATTACGACAAACCCAATTTAGAGAAAACCATGGAAAGAAGTATGGATATGAAGGGAAAAAAAGGTGTGGAGTGAAGGGTTGTAAGATATGGATCTTGGAGGAATTTAAGAGCTAATACACACCACACCAGAGGAATTAACAAAAGATGACTTCATGGAGATGAGTGCTTCCTAACCAGTGCCAGATAATGAGGAAGAAGACATAGGAAAAGCAGTGCCAGAAAACAAATTGGCATTCAACAATCTGGCAAAAAAGCTTTGATTATTCAAGACTACTTTTGACTTCTTTTATGACATAGACCGTTCCATGATACAGGAACTGAAACTAAAGCAAATGGTGGAAGACGGATAGGTACTACACTGAAATGTTTTTAGAGAAATGAAAAAGCAAAATAGACAGAAATAATGATGTATTTTTGTAAAGTTTCACCAAGTGTGCTTGCCTCTTTTGCTTCCCCTTCCATCCCTTCACCCTCTTCCACCTCTGCTACCCTAAGACACAAAGACCAGCTCCTCCTCCTCCTCCTCTGCCTACTCAACATGAACACAACAATGATGAAGACCTTTAAGATGATCTACTTCCACTTAATGAATGGGTCATATATTTTCTCTTCCTTACAATTTTCTTGATTATAATTTCTTTTCTGTAGCTTAGTTTATTGTAAGAATACAGTATATAATACACATAGCATGCAAAATATGTCTTAAATGTAACGCATGTTATCAGTAAGCCTTCTGGTCAACAATAGGTTATTAGTAGTTTGGGGGGAATCAAAAGTTGTATGCAGATTTTTCACTGTGTGGGAGGCCAGCTCCCCTAACCCTATGTTGTTCAAGGGGCAACAATATTCTTTCTCACTGGCACTTTACTTTCCATAAATTCAAATCCCAAAAGTAGAACTGCAAGTTCAAAAGGATTTTTAAAAAAATAATTACTGTCAGATTACAGAAAGTTTCCAATTTACATTTTCACTACCAATGTACAATGTTGGCGTCCCTGAATCCTTATCAGCAATGAATTTTTAAATATACTATAAGAGATGAAAAAATTTTTTTTAAATTTGGAATTCCCTGATCACTAATGAAGTTAAGCATCAATATTATTCCTTTAATATGCAAATGCTGAAAATACATTTAACTATAATAGATGTCAAAAATCTGTAAATCAGGCTAGGTGTGGTAGGCACTCACCTGTATTCCCAGCCACTGGGAGACTTGAGTCCAGGAGTTCCAGACTGTAGTATGCAATGATCAAGCCTGTGAATAGCCACTGCACTCCAGCATGGACAACATAGCAAGACCCCATCTTTTTTTAAAAAAAAGAGTCTATAAGACAAAGGTCCTCATAAATTAAGAGAAGCCAAGACAGTCACTGTGACTGCAGAATATTTTAATTTTTTTTATTATACTTTAAGTTCTAGGGTACATGTGCACAACGTGCAGGTTTGTTACATATGTATACATGTGCCATGTTGGTGTGCTGCACCCATTAACTCATCTTTTACATTAGGTATATCTCCTAATGCTATCCCTCCCCCAGCCCCCCACCACAGAGCAGGCCCCAGTGTGTGATGTTCCCTTTCCTGTATCCATGTGTTCTCATTGTTCAATTCCCACCTGTGAGTGAGAACATGTGGTGTTTGGTTTTTTGTCCTTGTGATAGTTTGCCGAGAATGATGGTTTCCAGCTTCATCCATGTCCCTACAAAGGACATGAACTCATCCTTTTTTATGGCTGCATAGTATTCCATGGTGTATATGTGTCACATTTTCTTAATCCAGTCTATCACTGATGGACATTTGGGTTGGTTCCAAGTCTTTGCTATTGTGAATAGTGCCGCAATAAACATACGTGTGCGTGTGTCTTTATAGCAGCATGATTTATAATCCTTTGGGTATATACCCAGTAATGGGATGGCTAGGTCAAATGGTATTTCTAGTTCTAGATCCTTGAGGAATCACCACACTGTCTTCCACAATGATTTAACCAGTTTACAGTCCCACCAACAGTGTGAAAGTGTTCCTATTTCTCCACATCCTCTCCAGCACCTGTTGTTTCCTGACTTTTTAATGATCGCCATTCTAACTGGTGTGAGATGGTATCTCATTGTGGTTTTGATTTGCATTTCTCTGATGGCCAGTGATGATGAGCATTTTTTCATGTGTCTGTTGGCTGCATAAATGTCTTCTTTTGAGAAGTGTCTGTTCATATACTTCGCCCACTTGTTGTTGGGGTTGTTTGTTTTTTCTTGTAAATTTGTTTGAGTTCATTGTAGATTCTGGATATTAGCCCTTTGTCAGATGAGTAGATTGCAAAAATGTTCTCCCATTCTGTAGGCTGCCTGTTCACGCTGATGGCAGTTTCTTTTGCTGTGTAGGAGCTCTTTAGTTTAATTAGATCCCATTTGTCAATTTTGGCTTTTATTGCCATTGCTTTCAGTGTTTTAGACATGAAGTCCTTGCCATGCCTGTGTCCTGAATGGTATTGCCTAGGTTTTCTTCTAGGGTTTTTATGGTTTTAGGTCGAACATGTAAGTCTTTAATCCATCTTGAATTAATTTTTGTATAAGGTGTAAGGAAGGGACCCAGTTTCAGCTCTCTACATATGGCTAGCCAGTTTTCCCAGCACCATTTATTAAAGAGGGATTCCTTTCCCCATTTCTTGCTTTTGTCAGGTTTGTCAAAGATCAGATGGTTGTAGATGTGTGGTGTTATTTCTGAGGGCTCTGTTCTGTTCCATTGGTCTATATCTCTGTTTTGGTACAACTACCATGCTGTTTTGGTTACTGTAGCCTCGTAGTCTAGTTTGAAGTCAGGTAGCGTGATGCCTCCAGCTTTGTTCTTTTCACTTAGGATTGACTTGGCAATGCGGGCTCTTTTTTGTTTCCGTATGAACTTTAAAGTAGTTTTTTTCCAATTCTGTAAAGAAAGTCATTGGTAGCTTGATGTGGATGGCATTGAATCTATAAATTACCTTGGGCAGTATGGCCATTTTCACGATATTGATTCTTCCTATCCATGAGCATGGAATGTTCTTCCATTTGTTTGTGTCCTCTTTTATTTCCTTGAGCAGTGGTTTGTAGTTCTCCTTGAATAGGTCCTTCACATCCCTTGTAAGTTGGGTTCCTAGGTATTATTTCAAATATTATTGTAAAACAATGAGATATTGAAACATACATTGGAGCAAACTCTTCTTCATCTTTAAATCCTTTCAGCACAGAGACAATCAACTGACTGTCTGGGTACTACCTGACCACTATTGGAGTCTCTTTCATCTGCCTGAGTCTGTGCAACAATATGAAATTATAATTTTACTATGCACCTAAACGTTCCTCAATATATTGAATTCTTACAGAATTTGAAGAGTCATATTTTGTAAATCCAGTTACCTTTTTCCACTACTCTAGGCCTCATATACTATCTGGCCTAAGGGTTAAAGGTCCATAATTGAATAAGCCAAACTTGTTAATTTGAGGGTAAAGCATGTCAAGAAATCTGGCCTTAATGTCCAATGAACTTATGTCATATTAAGTAGCTGGATAGAAACATGCATTCCAAAGTGGATACTGTTTATCAGGCTCAGTGCTCTATTCTTGACAGTAAATCCCAGAATAGGGTGGATGCTTTAATTTTGTATTAAATAGTATTAGGTGTAATATCAAAACCACTAAGGGAACACTAATGATGAGAATAGGAACACTAGCTGTGGAGCTGGCAATTTTCTATAGAAATCCTATCTCTTTCAATTGCCTGTTTAGTGGGCAAGTGTTTCAGTTCCTATAATATCTAAATTGGAGAAAATCACCCCACCTACTTCTTCAGGTGTTATGATAATTATGAGGGATAACATCTTTTTAAGTGTTTAACACAATTCCTCACACATAGAAAGCAATAATAAACATTGGCTAGCATTGTAAGGATGGATTATTGTCTTCCAATGTGTTTTCATACATTTTCTTTCTGGGATCTTGAGTGAAACATGTGGATCTAGAACAAGAACAAAATGATGTTACCTTGATGATCTCTATGTAGGGTCACACTCAAGGCATCTTAAAATATTTTGCTGGCCAACAAAAGACACCTCCTGTTCTAATTGGGCATTGTCCTTTTCTTTAAACTATGCAGACAAACAATATTATAAAGTGAGAACATCCGCATAAAAAACCTAAACATAAATCTTAATAGTGAGTTCATGAAAATTCTTACTGATGAAATGGCAATGTCACAGACTGACTGTTTATGTCCCCCCAAATTTGTATATTGAAATCCTAACCCCCAAGCTACTCGTGTTAGGAGATAGAGCCTTGGGGAGGTGATTAGGTCATGAGGACAAGATTCTCATGAATGGGATTTGTGCCCTTATAAAAGAGATCCCAGAGAGCTCATTGGCCCCTTCCAAAGTATGGGGATACAGCAGGAAGTTGCCATCTATGAGCCAGAAGGGTGAACCTCACCCCAGATGCTGAATCTGCCTTAATATTGGACTTCCCAGCCTGCACAACTGTAAGAAATTTCTGTTGTTTATAAGTTACTCAGCTTGTGGTATTTTGTTACAGCAGCCTACACAGACTAAGACAAGTAGCATTTTGAGGATTAAAATTTCTTCATAAATGAATAGAGTATGCCCTGTTAAACCATATTCTCAGCTAACCCCATTTACTCACTGTTCCTCTTTATTTTAGTTTCACATTTTTGCTATTTATCTCTGTAATTTTATTCATTCTTCACAATTTGCCATTCTTATACTTCGAATCATGTTATCAGTTTATAATACCTCCATCAAATGATAGTCTGCATTTGTTTATCCTTGGCTGATTCAAAACACTTGGCATAATTTCCTTAAAGGAAATCATCTTCATCCCACCTCACAACACTGTATTATTTTCAATTAATTTCCAATAAACTCTTAATTGTCCATGCTCTGTCAGAGTTGGCAGAGTTAATCCCTGTTTAAGCTAATAGGTTCAACTTCTTCAACAAACAAATCTTTCATGAAAGCTGCTGACAAGCCAGAGTATTAATTAAATCTAGTTTCATTGCTTCTCAATTTCCTTGATCTTTCTCTCTTGTTCTTTGGGAAACAAACAGTCACAGAGTTCTGGCGCTAATAAATACTATAAAAAGTAGGAAATACAGTCTAAAGAAGCAGAATATTCTGTTTAAAGTTGATGTGGTGCTTTTTGTGCACCAAGCATTGGCTCAAAAGCCTGAAAATTAGGCAGCAATACTTCCTAAGCTCATCTTCAACCATAAGGCAGAAAAGCCAAACATATCTGAAAATATAATATCACTGGTACCTTATACCAGCACTAAGAATAAGAAAACCCTGGAAAGTGGCTCGAGTACAGTATTTTTCTATTGGAATTAATTTTTCAAAATGGAAAGGACTTCATTGTTATTTTTATTATAAAATTAGTATATGTTTATTATTAAAAATAAGTACAAAAATCTCTAAAAGAAAAAGGGAAAAATTACCAGCAGTTCCACATTCCAGATATCATCACTGTTAGCATTTAGGATACAAATATCCAAACACTTTTTCTGTCAATACATGTAATTTTTAAATTTGACCATTACACAATGTACACATGCACTAAAGCACCACACTGTACCCCATAAACATGTGCAATTATTATGTCAATTAAAAACAAAATAAAAGCATTTTACAAAAAATCATGTTTTGTTAATAACTTGTTTTTCTAATTTTATACACCATAAAATAAATGTCTTTACATGACATTTATTTTATGATAATAACTAATTTATTCATTTAAACAGCAAGGTACATTTCATTCTACAGATATACTATATAATATTTACTCCAATCTCTGGATGAGAATTTATGTTGCCCGTAAATATTGTATCACAAACATTATAAGAATAATCTCTGTAAAGGTTTTCTTCCTGAATTATTATTTGGGTAGAAAAATTACTAGAAATAGAATAACTGGGTCAAAGATTAAAGACAATTTAAATTTCAATATATAGAATCAAATTATTCTCCAAAATATTGTACTCTACAGTATTTGAATTTTGATTTTTTTCTCCATTTTCACTACTGCCAATAACTTTAATCTTTGTCGATAAATGAGACAAAAAAGACAAATAATGCAATATTATACAAGGGAGATTAATAGGTAGAAAAAGAAATGCAATGGCCAGGAATAACAGAAGATGTTCAACATCAATCCAACCAAATTATTGAGTCTTTAAAATGCAATAGCAGTCAATGTTAGCAAGAGTGTAGGTATTAGACATTCTCATAGGAATATAAACTAGGGCCATGTTTTAGGATCATATTAGATCACAGCAATTAAAAAATGTTAAATTCATATGTTCTATAGCAACTTCTCAGGTTGGAATTTATCACATGGAGAATCTTGTAAAATACATAAACCAAGATATGTTATTAATGTTATTGGTAGCCTATTGTTTAAATAAAAAATATATTTATACAATACAGTTGTTAAAAGTTAAGAATATCTTGAAGGTAAATTATTAAACAAAAATAGAAAGCCTAGGCCAGGCAAGACTTCATCTCATGCTTGTAATCACAACACTTTTGGAGACTGAGGCGGGAGGATTGCTTGAGCCCAGGAGTTTGAGACCAACCTGGGCAACACGGTGAGACCTCATCTCTAGAAAAAAAAAATACAAAGCCTAGTTCTGAACATCCTTTTGTGTAATACTAAAAGATAAAATTTTATTTTCTAACTTGTTTAAGATCTATATTCTATATGGGGGATGTGTATTAAGGTCATTTTTAAAAAGATACTCAAGAAATTGTCAACAGTGATTATCTTAAGGAGAGATTCTAGATGTCTGGGGGTAAGAGACTAGAGGAAAGAGAATTTTATATTTCATTTTTACCTTTATTTAATTTTTTGATTTTCTTACTGGGTGCATGAATTATATTTTTATGTCAGCATGTTTTATCAGACAAATAAAATTATGAGCTATTTCTGTTTTCTCTCATTTGTTTTATGTTTAAATAAAGGAAAATGAGATATGTCTTTTTAAATTAGATAATCTTGAGTCCATGATTATTATGAAAGCCCTCTGTTATCTTTTTCCTTCCTTTCACAATGACTATTTATGTTGTAGAATCATTAATTTCTCAAGACAAATGTCTTAGAAGGTAGATACAAAAAAAGGTATACATTTTTTGATTCAAGCTAATTTCATGTTATGAACAAAATTACGTAATGTCATTTCTAAGACCTTTCTGTGATCTATCAATCCACTAGGTTAAAGAGCAGAAATCACTTCCAAAACAAATCCTTTTGCAGTCAGCAAAATGAAGCAATTATATGAATAAGTTTTTCCACTTGGCCTATTTTTCTACCCATGGTTATTAATCAGTCTCACTGACTACATTTTCCGTTTTACATCCCCTTTCAGGCACTACTGCAGATGGCCAAGCATATCACATTATGTAAATAAAATAAAACAAAATCTTCTCCCATTGAGCAAATGGATATACTTCACCTCTAATGCTTCCAGTCTTTCTCAGATCATTCAAAAAGCATGATATGGTTTCCATAAAAGGACATTCATCCCATTTGACTAACTGGAATTTCTTTACTCCAGCTAATCTTTACCAAAGAGCTGAATTAATTCAAGTTGACACCCTGTTATCTACCAGCTCTTCCAGCCCTTTTGCTTGATTGTTTTGTCATTTTGCCTTTTCTTTTCTTCTAAAGTGGGAGTATGGAGATTTACCCTTCTGAAACAGCTGTGTCACATCATGATCCTTGAGGATATCAGCTCTTAACTGGCTGCACATCAAAATCACTGTTTCCTTTGACCAATACTCTAGACACACTCAAGCAGAGATTCTGGATTCTGATTTAATTGACACAGAGTAGGGCCTGGGCATTTTTACAGCTCCCCACATGATTCTATTGTGCCTCATCTATCCTAGCCCTTAAGCAGGACCAAACATTTGTTCTATCTTAATTATTATTCTCTTAAACTTAGTCCAATTCCTTACAACTGATAGCTTTCTATATACTCATCTGCCTTGAGTGATGACAATTGATATGGTTTGGCTGTGTCCACACCCAATCTCATCTTGTAGCTCCCATAATTCCCACATGTTGTGGGAGGGGCCCAGTGGGAGATAACTGAATCATGAGGATGGGTCTTTCCTGTGCTGTTCTTGGGTTAGTGAGTAAGTCTCATGAGATCTGATCATTTTTAAAATGGGAGTTTCCCTGCACAAGCTGTCTCTTTGCCTGCTGCCATCCATGTAAGATGTGACTTGCTCCTCTTTGTCCTCCACCATGATTGTGAGGCCTCCCCACCCATGTGGAACTGTAAGTCCATTAAACCTCTTTCTTTTGTAAATTGCCTGGTTTCAGGTATGTCTTTATCAGCAGCATGAAAACAGATGAATACAACAATACTGTAACAAATCGACTCACATCTGTTCTCTTTATAGGAATTGCAGTGCTACAATATTAGTGGCTCTTAATTCTAAGAGTGTTAAAAAAATATTAATGCTTGTCTCACCCCTAAAGTCTAGGGTGTGACCTGAGTATTAGGTTATTTAAAACTTTTCTCAGGTAATAGACATGTGCAGCCGAGGTTGAGAACCACTCTATAGGGCCAAGATATGTAAGAAAATTCAAGTCCTTTAGCTGGGCATGGTGGCACGCAGCTGTAGCCCCAGGTACTCTGGAAGCTGAGGTGGGAGGTTTGCTTGAGCCCAGGAGAGAGAGGCTGCATTAAGCTATGATCACATCACTGCACTCTAGCCTGGGTGACAAAGTGAGATCATGTCAAAAAAAAAAAAAAAAGAAAGGAGAAAGAAAGGAAGAAGAGGAAGGAAGGAAGGAAGGAAGGAAGGAAAAGAAGAAAGAAAGAAGAAAGGAACAAAGAAAGAAAGAAAGAAGAGAAAAAGAGAGAGAGGAAGAAAGAAAGAGAGAAAGAAAGAAAAGAAAAAGGAAGGAAAGAAAGGAAGAAAGAAAGAAAAAGAGAGAAAGAAGAAAGAAGAAAAGGAAAGAAAGAAAGAGAGAGAGAAAGAAGGAAAAGAACGAAAATTCAAGTCCTGCCTTGTAAAATGCAGTACTCCATTTTCCCAAAGAGATCCCAAGGGAAACTTAACTACAGGATAAAGACAGACAAAAGGACATAAATTACAACTACTCTAGGTTCACATATTATTTTGTTTCTGAAATGGGTTTTAAAATATCTATGTCAGAGTTCATTTCTAGAACTTTATCTCTAGAAAACATATTTTCACTTCTCAATACAGGAAAATGGAGATTGGAAAAATGAGTTTGGAAAATGATTTCCATGCTTATCTCTCAGCTTCTTTTTTCAACTTCCCTTTTTCATCTCCGTATCTTCACTGATACCTAGGAATCTCTGTTACATCACAGTCTTCAAGAGCTTTGCTCACAGCGAATTAGTTAAGACATTAGCTTTCAAAAGTATATGATATTCTCTCACAAGCATTTGTCTACTTTTAATAGGGCAAGCTACGTAAAGATGTTAAATCTCATTCCAGAAATACCACATCTATTCTACCTATTTATGAGAACAGTCGTCTCTAGACCAAGATAGAAATTCATAGTTAGGAAATAAATCCCTGTAGGGTTTTTCCACAGTCCCAATATGTCCCCTACTGTCCCGATTTTAGCAACAAAAATCCCCCATCCAGAAAATCCTTCATTCCTGAGTAAGTTGAAAGATTGGTCACCCTATTTCTATCTGTGTCTCTTTCTTTCATAATTGGCTCATAATCATAGCAGTCACAATTTTGAAAAATGTTATTTTACTGAATTACTCATTGCTGTTTTCTCATTTTTTAAATAATAAACACTTATTAAGAAACATTGGAAATATACCAAAAATAGTAAACAATAAAACAGAAACCATTGGCAGAAATAGTCACTATTAAAATCTTAATATACTCCCTTCCAATGTTGTTTCTGTTAATGCAAATTAAAAAATCAGAGATTCGCCTCTGTGAACTAGATCTCTTTTTACCTTTAGATATTATTTGACAAATACATAGCTCAATCATCTATCCAAACTTCTCTTTTACAGACTCCATGCCAATTAACCTTCTCCTATGAAACTATTATTTCTTCACATAGGATAAATATGGTTATTGACACACAAACTTTCTTAGTTACACTGCAATCCAGTTGTGCGTTCCTAAATTTATACCAATTGGATTTAGAATGATCATTACTAAAGAGGCTTGGCCTTATCTCTTGCAATTTGCTTCTTCCTTCTTAAATTCAATTCTTGTAATGTAACTATAATTTGGGGGTATCTTTTTGCCTCATATTCAAATTCTCTTTCAAACTGAGGTACATTTCTGTATTTCTGTATTTGTATATTGCATATAATAGTATAGAAAACAATAATGAGATTATAGTGTACATAAAAGTTTTGAAGTATAATTAAATATTTAATATATAAATATATTAAATATGGGCTGCTGACTCACCAAGCCTGGTTTGGCTTCCATCACTTGTGTAATCAATCACCTGTATTAAATCACCTCTGCTTGAAAGACGAAGAATAGTTTCTGATTTATAAGCAAACACTGAAAGCTCTTCTATTTCTTGTTTGCTAAACAAGATTTGTCAAAGTTAAATATTTTATTTTATTGAATTCACTTTTTGCCTCTCCTACAATGATGATTTGCTTTTCCTCCTTTAACTTGTTAATGTGATGAATTATACATAGTTTTTTTTTTCTATTGTTAGAAATCCTTGCATTCATGGAACAAACACAATTTTCATACTATATTTTTTATAGACTTCTAAACTTAATTTGCTAACTTTTAATTTAAAATGTTTGCCGTTAGGTTCATGAGGAAAGTTGGCATGTAATTTTCCTGTCTTACACATTTCTCATATAACATTGGTATCAAGGTTGTACTGGCCTCATAAAATGAACGAACAAATGGACCTTTTTTTATTCTGGAGTTGTTTTTATAAAATGGAAATAATCCATTTCTTGAAAACATTTGATAGAACTCACCAGTAAAAATGTCTGGGCCTGCTGGTTCTCTTCTTCTAAGAAGAATTTGGAACTTATAATTAAAGCTCCTTTAATGTGTTAGAAAACTTTCCAGGTTTCCTTGAACATTAATAAATTCCAATGACGAAAAGCCCTCAGATATTAAATATAACCTTAAATATAACCTTCCCTCAATTCAATTTTTCTTTTGCAGATATGATTAGATACTCTAATTTTTCAACCTCTATTTCACATATCCATTTTCCTTTCCTCCTCTGTACTGTCTTCAGCATAATTTGTTTAGTCTAACTTCCAACTCACTTATTTTCTTTTTGGTTCTATCCAATATTGTGTTTAACCTGTCCATTTAGTTTTTAATTTTCATTATATTTTTTATTTCTAAAAGATCTCTTAAATTCAGTTTCAATCTGCTTAATATAAGATACATACACTGTCTCAATTTATATTCCTGGCACACCTCATTGATTTTTTAAACATATTAAACACAGCTTTTATAGTTATATAATCGTCCTAATATCTGAAATCTTTATGGGCATAATTCTGTTTCTGCTCATGATGTTTATTTCCTCATGAGTTTTGTAAGAGTCTTACTTTTTTCTCATTTTGGATGAAATTTTACCTGTGGCCATTCTTTGAGACATGGGCTGAATGTGGGTTTCTCCAAAGACACTTTGCCTTCGTCTTGTGTTTGGTGGTAATACCAACATGGGATAACTATAAAATAAATTATCAGTTTCATGTGTGGGTTTTTTTTAACTTATACTTACAGTGAAAATTTAAACCACAAATTCATGTGAAGATGGCCTTCTCATTTTTCCTCTAAATAGCACCGAGTTTGAGGCAGGAAAATTTCCTGGTTGTCTCCCCCTGAGGAACAGGTTTTTATCTAGTTTATCCTTTCCCTGAAATTATAGTCCTTCGTATCTGTGGCTTTCAGCAGTTTTCTCCTGTAAGACTGCTATACTGGGCAGGCACTAGGTTTTGTCTCACACTCTCCCATATCCCAGGTGGTCATAAAAATTGAAGCTCAGGGTACTAGGACCAGGACTGTCCTTATGGAAGCTTCTGGTTTGGGGGTCTGCATACCTCTCTGGATTTATGTATTCTCCTTATGCTTGGCCTATGTGGTTCACCTTAGTTTCTATTCAAGTCAGTAATATACTTTTGAAAAATGACATGTACATTTTATCTGGTATTTGTAGATTTCATATAGCAGCATAGTGATTCAGCAAATTTAGTCTACCACAATGCTGGGAATAGAATTCCCCTAATTTTTGAAAACATTATATTAAATCATGTTTATTGCCATTAATAGTTTTATAAATGTGCTTTTAAGTAACTGCATTTTGTCATAGCTCATTGTGATTGTATATTTAACTAGTTCACCCCTACCTCATGTTTTTTGGGAGTGAAGGTTGTACTCAACTCATTATGTTAAGTAATACTACAGTAAACATCAATCTATACATGCATTAATAATGATTTCCAAGAAAGTAGTGACACATGGTCATAATCATCTTTGAGGCTGATGGTACATATTTTCAAATTGCATCTCAGAAATAATATACCAATCTGTGCTCTAATCAGCCGCATATGAAAGTGTCATCTTTCTGTTCTCCAACGAATACAACTACTACTGTTTTTATACCTACAAATCTGACAAAGATGGGAGAAGGCATCTTATAGTTTCAATTTGTATTTCTTTGGTAACCAATGTACTAAATTACTCAATGTACTAAATTACTCTTTTCCTGTTTATCATCCATTTCAAACAAAATGTAAACCATTTTTTAAATTTTTTTATATTAATGCAAATTGTAAATCACTACTTTATTTATTCAACTTCCTAAGCAAAATTATATGTTGTCCCATTTATACATTTTATATTAGATCATTCTGCCTTACATTTATAACCTAAAAACTGTCAGAATTATATAATAATGATGAACAGTTGATTATAAATAATGTCTTTATTAGGATATTTCTCCATAAATCTAAATTTCATCAATCTTTCTTTAAATATCTCTACACAATGTCCTCTTGTATTATATTAATAATTGCAGATACACTTCTTTTTGCTATTTCTATTAATTCTTTCCTATTCCTATTGTCTGTTAGTCTCCCATTTCTCCCATAAAATAAATAAAAATTTTTCTATCAGATTCTGTGATATATTACTTCTTATTCCCAGCCTTCAACATTTTAAGAATTCAGATTGACCTTTTCTCCCATTCTTATTTCAAGTTATCAGCATGTCGATACTTGGGAAATCCCATCAAGTGTTTAACAGTGCATACCTTACTGATTCATTATTTATTTCAATTTAATCTTTCTTATTTTCATTCAACTTTTTTCTCAGTAATACAACTTTTTCAAGCTTTTTATTTTCTAATGCATTTCTCCAAATAGCAGCCATAACCCTTATATGCCCTCTTTCAATGACAACAACAAAAGTGTGCTAGGCTTCTTGGAAGAAAATAATGATACCAATTCAAGAAGGAGAAAATTGATGTACTGATAAACAAATGGGCATCTTAGGATCATGTTTCTCACAAGTAAGGCAGTTCCAGAAATTCCTAGGACCATAATGGGTTTTATTCTAAATAGGTTAAACATATCACTTAAAAAATTGTTTTCTACAGTTCTCTAATATTGCTTACAATTGTCCACGTTTCCATGTTTATAAACTTGCACTTTTTTTTTTTTTTTATGGAGTTTTGCTGTTGTTGCCCAGGCTGGAGCCCAGGCTGGAGTGTAGTGGCGTGATCTTGACTCACTGCAACCTCCACCTCCCAGGTTCAAGCAATTCTTCTGCCTCAGCCTTCTGAGTAGCTGGGATTACAGGTGCGTGCCACCACACCTGGCTAATTTTTTTGTATTTTTAGTAGAGACGGGGTTTCACCATGTTGGCCAGGCTGGTCTCGAACTCCTGACCTCAGGTGATCCACCCGCCTTGGCCTCCCAAAGTGCTGGGATTACAGGCATGAGCCACTGCTCCCGGCCTTATACTTGCACACTTTTTAATTGTAAGACCTTGCTACTCAGTGAGGGATCCTGGGACTAATACCATCAGCTTGACTTGAGGCCCTGTTTGAAAGCAGACTCAGAATCTGTAATTTATCAGGATCCCCAGGTAATTTGTATGTGCAGTCTAGTTTGGTAGATCTGCTCTGGCAGACTGGAAGACTCTTCTATCTGCCTCATGTAAGGTGCAGGTGACATAATTAGGTAATCAAGCAAAAGATCACATATTTTAATAAGAAAGAGACACTGGCTATTATTTTGAGTGGTAAAACAGGTTATTCAGTCCCAGTTTAAAATGGAAATGACAGAGACCAAGATGAAGATTTTTAATTTGAGATGTGCCTGCGATGCAATTACATTTGCTGAATGAAACTGCTTCAGTAATTAGATGCAGGTTTCTTCTCTCTTCTTTTTGAGATGTAAAGAAGACACAATAGACTCATGGAACTTAAAGAACTAGACGCCAGCTAACAAAACATGCTATCCAGGCTCTTTCGTTTCACCATATTGCTTTCTTGAAAACATAGGACAGTGCCAGTTTAGCACTGAAAAAAATCAGTTCTCCTAATTCTAAAAAGAGGAGACAGCCAGGCGTGGTGGGTCACTAAAAATACAAAAAATTAGCTGGGCATGGTGGTGCATGCCTGTAATCCCAGCTACTTGGGAGGCTGAGGCAAAAGAATCACTTAAACCCGGGAGGTGAAGGTTGCAGTGTGCTGAGATAGCGCCATTGCACTCTCGCCTGGGCAACAAGAGCGAAACTCCGTCTCAAGAAAAAAAAAAAAAAAAGAGAGAGAGAGAAACTGTAATTTCATTTCAGAAGTTTTATAGGGTACTATTTCCAATTCTTTTTTTCTTACTCCATTAAAGTGTAATTAGCAGTATGTGAAAATTTCCACTTTATCCTCAATCAGAAGCCTCTCCTTCCAATTAGCATATATTTTTTCTATTAACTTTGTAAAGTGGGATTCTTGTTTTATACATACCCATGGAAAGTATACTTAAACTGTGAGACCCTGGGATTTTATATTTCCAAATAGAAGATACCATCCTCTTGTATCACAAAATGTACCTAAGATGGTTTGGATTATATTTAAATATTCTTGAATGAAATAGACTTACTGACTGAAGCCAATTATTATATTTTTCCACACCAAAATAAATGCAATAGGAAAAGATGACAGTTCTATGTAGTATTCCTGCTTCCATATTGCACAAATTAGAAACATACATATTCCATTATGTTACAGGGTCTAGGGCTTTGGGAGGACAAGGCTGCAGGCAGCCGAGATTGTGCCGCTGCACTCCAGCCTGGGCGACAGAGTGAGATCTTTTCTCAATAATAATAATAAAAGTAAAAAGAAATATAATATTTAATCAATATATGCACACACATGGGTTTATCATGACACACACGACATGTGTGTACAGTGAAAAAAATGAGTAAATCTAGAAACCTGTATTGCCTCAATAGCTAGCTAAGTACTTCAATATGCATGTTTATTTCAACAATTTTGTGTTAAGCTTCAGTGGTAAATAAGCAGAGTACACTGACCATAATGAATACTTCTTTTGATGAGGGTTATCACTACACAATTAAAATATTACATAGTTGGCTGGGCACGTTGGCTCACACCTATAATCCCAGCACTTTGGGAGGCCGAGGCAGGCAGATCACCTGAGGATGGGAGTTCAATACCAGCCTGACTAACATGGAGAAACCCCTTCTCTATTAAAAATACAAAATTAACCAGGCGTGGTGGCACATGCCTGTAATCCCAGCTACTCAGGACGCTGAGGCAGGAGAATCACTTGAACCTGGGAGGCAGAGGTTGTGGTGAGCCGAGATAGCGCCATTGCACTCCAGCCTGGGCAACAAAAGCAAAACTCCGTCTCAAAAAAATATATAATAATAAATATATATATATTATATATAATCAATATAAATATAATATATAATAAATATATAATATGTATTATACAAATAATAAATATATATATTATATATAATAAATATATCATATAGATGATATAGTTTAGAGTTAAATACTGACTGCTCTTGGGAACTTTGAGGTATTCTGAGGGATATAAATAACACGAAGAGAATAGCACATTGGCTTGAAGCAGATTAGAGTCTGCTACCTGCGTGAATACTTGTTTTTCATGAACTATGAGGATGCCCTTAGCTTTTGAACCACTTCTACTTGTGTTGAAATTTACCCTTTAATTTTGGGGTTTGACAGGCTCTGCCCTTCTGTTATGCTTGAGTCTGGCTTTTCCTACTCTGACTCACTTTGATTCTTGACCTCTGAATCTTATTCCTATTTTACAATAAACACACATCGCACATACGCCAATTAGTAGAGTGGAAGAGGGAAAAATTGCCAAGGAACTATGTTTAATTTTGTTCCTTTCGCAAACCAGACACCATAACAGAAAAATTTTAGGAACATGTGCATGTTCAGTAGCCTTCAATGCAATTATACTGGTTATTAAAAAGTGTTGGATAATCAATATTTTTTAAAGATTCACTAGTCCCTTCTGATAATTT
This sequence comes from Homo sapiens, assembly GCF_000001405.40. Taxonomy (NCBI): domain Eukaryota; kingdom Metazoa; phylum Chordata; class Mammalia; order Primates; family Hominidae; genus Homo; species Homo sapiens. The sequence continues at coordinate 145,245,379 of NC_000001.11, read as the reverse complement.
TAGAACTTTGGGAAGTAATAATACAAATGTATTTTTAGCTGTGTCCTTTAATCTTTTACTGTTTCCTCTATGTGTGGTGTTTGGTTTGTGTGTGTGTGATAATTATTATAAAGATCAGAGGCTAACAGAGGTGTTAATCACGAACTTTTAAATTTTTTTTATTTTTATTTTTTTAGTTTTTTTAAGAGACAGAGTCTCGCAGTGTTGCCAAGGCTGGATGCAGTCACGCCAACTCAGCTCACTGCAACCTTCGCCTTCAGGGTTCAAGCGATTCTGCTGCCTCAGCCTCCCAAGTAGCTGGGACTGCAGGAGGGCACCACGATGCCCCACTAATTTTTGTATTTTTAGTAGAGATGTGGTTTCACCATATTGGCCAGGCTGGTCTTGAACTCCTGATCTCATGATCCGCCCACCTCAGCTTCCCTAAGTGCTGGGATTACAGGCGTGAGCCACCGCGTCTGGCTGCATGACCTTTTAACTTGTCTCATACACTCAATATTCTCAAGATATACCTTCCAAAGTGCAAAATTATGGCACTTTGCAGCCCTGACCACTAACTGAGAACTTTGATGCTTTGGATTTTGGAGACCTCATTTTATCACCTGGTCCTTTTACTTCATGACTTGTCATGCTGCCACATTTTGATGGGATTGAGATGAAGATAATAATTCCCAACTGGTCAGGAATATTGTGCCCCTTTGTTTTTATATCCAGATGCAATAGAGCCTCTGACACACCACTACTATTGTTCTTAGGATTTGGAACAAAATGCATTTCTTTGACAAAATAAATGTTTTCTTTAAAGAACTCTTGATTGATCCTGGACCATTGTAGAAACTGAAGTCCTATCAATGCAAAAAAATATGACAACATGAGCTGCTTATCATGAAATAAGTGTTTTCCAATTAACTATCCTGCTTCATCAGCAGGTAGGAATAATAGAATCTATACCTATGTCTTCATGGGAAGTTCTCTATGGCCAGTTGATTAGTGAGGGAAAAATTGAGCCTGATTTACAGAAGTCACTGTACAACATCACAGCAGCAGCCAAAAGTAGATTGCTTAGGCATTATAACCTACGTGAATGCAATTTTAAAAGAAATTCAGCCTATGTAATTGGTTGTCCACGATGTCTAGAAGGAGAGATATTATTGATGTATATGTGGCAGCTAATAATTTGTCTAGATAATTAGGGACTTGGGGCCAGGCCTGATGGCTCACACCTGTAATCCCAGAACTTTTGGAGGACAGGACAGGTGGATTGTCTGAGGTCAGGAGTTCGAAACCAGCCTGGCTGACATGGTGAAACTCCGTCTCTACTAAAAATACAAAAATTAGCCAGATGTGGTGGTGTGTGCCTGCAATCCTAGCTACTTGGGAGGCTGAGGCAGGAGAATCTCTTGAATCCAGGAGGAAGAAGTTGCAGTGAACCAAGATTGCACCACTGCACTCCAGCCTGGGCAACAAAGCGAAACTCTGTCTCAAAAAAAAAAAAAAAAAAAGAAAAGAAAAGATAATTAGGGACTCGGAAAGACAAAGACTGAAGGATTGGTGGCAATGAGTTTTGGGGAAAAAATATGTAGATGAACCACAGAAAATGAGCCAGAGTGTAAGAATATTTGTGCTTAATACGAATGCTCACCAAACTATCATCAGGAAGGTTATCAAATAGATATGAAGGTATGAAACAATCTCTTTCACCAGGCACTACATTGCTTGCTTAGAAGGCTAATAAACAGCAACATTGGTGGTAGCAGTAGAGAATACACATAGGTTCAGCAACATGTTGGACTTTACCACTCTCGCTTACAAAAGCCTATTTAGCTGTCAAGACTATTAGGTGTCCAACACACAAGCAACAAAGTCCAAGGCTAAGCACACAATAACATATCCTGGGTGAATAAACCAGTCACCTTTTGTCAGACTTGTTGATTTTATTGGAACTCCTCTATGATAAAGGCAACAAGGAATTTTGTAAATGGAATCTACCTTTAACCTTGAATTACATTTGCTTTACCTGACATCATTTTTCTCTGATCGCCACTCTCCACGGGTACATTGAATGCCTTATATATACTGCCATAATATCCTGTTCTACATCCTTCTCTTAAAAGAACTTGTTGTATAACAAATGAGTAGATATTCATTGGACTCACCTGGTCCACCATTTATCCTATCACTAACCAAAATTATTATTATTACAGAATGGTGAATATTTTATTAAAGACTCAATCACAGTGCCAGCTGGAGACAATGGCTTATAAGGTTGTACTCATGCTAGAGGATGTGGTGGTGTATCCTCTGAACTAGTAACTAAGTATAAGCTTGTCTGGTGTCTCCTATATAAAAAATACAACAATCTTTGATATTTGTTATGAATGTTGAAGTGACTCCTTTTGTCATTACATCTAATGATCCACTCCAAATACTTGTCTCTTGTCTCTGAGATTCTAGGTTTTTGCAGAATTAGTACCCAAAGGGAGAGTCTTAGCAGTATTCCATTTTACAATCCATCCTTCGTTAGAGGATGAGAGACTTCTATCTAGCCTTTTAGGTTGCCTGAGACCTTTAAACAAACAGTCAAAAATTTAAAATTTAAAATGCGGCTACACTGTGGCATGGGGTAGTAAATCTTGACCTTAAAACTGGTATTTGTAAGAAAAACAGAAAGAATTCAGGGATCCCCTTTGATGGCTCCTAATTCTATACAGTCCTGTAAATATTCCTGAAGACTAACCAGGCGTGGTGGTGCACACCTGTAATCCCAGCTACTCCAGAGGCTGAGGAAGAGAATCACTTGAACCTGGGAGGCGGAGGTTGCAATGAGCTGAGATTGTGCCACTTCACTCCAGCCTGGGTGACAGAGCAAGACTCTGTCTCAAAAAAAAAAAAAAAAAAAGAAGAAGAAAGAAAGAAAGAAAGAAAGAAAGAAAGAAAGAAAGAAAGAAAGAAATGAAGACTGCCACAACTTGGAAGCAACCAAGATGTCCTTCAATAGGTGACTGCATAAGCAAAATGTGGTATATTCCTACAGTGGAATATTATTCAGTGCTAAAAGGAAAAAACTATCAAGCCACAAAAAGATACAGAAAAACAAAGACATTTTGCTAAGTGAAAGAAGCCAGTCTGAAAAGGGTACATACTGTGATTTCAACTATACAACACTCTGGAAAAGGCCAAACTATAAAGACAGTGAAAAGATCAGTGGTTATCTTTGCAGACGCCACCATCGCTGTGAGCCCTGTACTATCAGCCATGGTCAACTCCGTCGTCTTTTTTGAAATCACCAGGGATGGCAAGCCCTTGGGCCGCATCTCCATCAAACTGTTTGCAGACAAGATTCCAAAGACAGCAGAAAACTTTCGTGCTCTGAGCACTGGAGAGAAAGGATTTCGTTATAAGGGTTCCTGCTTTCACAGAATTATTCCAGGGTTTATGTGTCAGGGTGGTGACTTCACACGCCCTAATGGCACCGGTGACAAGTCCATCTATGGGGAGAAATTTGATGATGAGAACCTCATCCGAAAGCATACAGGTTCTGGCATCTTGTCCATGGCAAATGCTGGACCCAACACAAATGGTTCCCAGTTTTTCATCTGCGCTGCCAAGACTGAGTGGTTGGATGGCAAGCATGTGGCGTTTGGCAAGGTGAAAGAACGTGTGAATATTGTGGAAGCCACGGAGCACTTTGGGTACAGGAATAGCAAGACCAGCAAGAAGATCACCATTGCTGACTGTGGACAATTCTAATGAGTTTGACTTGTGTTTTATTTTCACCACCAGACCCATTCCTTCTGTAGCTCAGGAGAGCACCCCTCCACCACATTTGCTTGCAATATCCTAGAATCTTTGTGCTCTTGCTGCAGTTCCCTTTGGGTTCCATGTTTTCCTTGTTCCCTTCCATGCCTAGCTGGATTGCAGAGTTGAGTTAAGTTTATGATTATGAAATAAAAACTAAGTAACAACAACAACAACAAAAAAGCTCAGTGGTTGCCAGGAGTTTGGGGATGGGTAGGGAGATAAACAGTTCTGAAACAGGCGATTTTTAGGGGATTGAAAATACGTTGGTAATAATGTAATGATGGGTACATGACATTATGCGTTTTGCAAAACTCCTAGACCTGTACCACACAAAGAGTGAACTCTAATGTAAACTGGGGGTGGGATAAAGGTGACAGTATGTGAGAACTCTGTACTTTCTGCTCGATCTTTCCATAAAGCTAAAACTGCTCAAAAAATAAAGTCTATTATTTTGTTAAATGAAAGAAATTAACAATGACCATGGCACGCTCACACAAAAAGATTATCAAGGACATTTCTCTGTCAGGAATGAATATTTGGTCATTTCACAAGGCAAAACCCTGACTAGCAGAGGTGTTAGCTGAGGGCACATGGCCATAGATGCCAATAGTGACCTGCTGGCCACTTGCAGAAAGGAGAGCCTTTACATCCAAACACATTGTTTCTCTTGTATTGTCCTGTGCATACTTATGTATCTTAACAACTTTCCTTCTTTCCTCTCCATTTATCCCTCTTTTTAAAACAGGGCTTATTGAGGGTGATTAACTTAATTTTTAAATGATATATGGCAGAATGTCAAGAGAGTATAGTGAAGAACTTTGTAGAGGAATGGACATAACCCAGAATTCTTAGACTTAGAGTACATGCTGTGATTGAGAATTTTTTATTGTTTCATTGTTCAAGAGATTGTAGGTACATGTTCAATTATTAGAGAAATAGTTGCACTCTGTTAGAAGGAAGCTTGGGTCTTTCGTGTTTACTTTCAAAAGGGAAAGTTTATATTGATATTGAGCAAGTTAAAGCATGAATATTTACTATTTGATGTTTGTTCCTGTGTTTGAGGAATTCCTCAGCCTCTCAGTTTTGACGAAAACAAGAAACCACCTCCTGCTTTAGAAGCTAAAATGTCAAATGCTTGCTTTCTCAGCCTCCTTTGCAGCTATCTGTTGCAAAGCGAACAAGTGGGAGTGGTGCTGGTGGCTTTGCAGTTAGCCTAGGATTGAGCAATTGCTGCAATTGTTGCTCTCTGCATCTTCGGTGTTACTTCTTACTGGTGGTGACAGTGGTTTCCTCCCTGGATGAGTTCTACAGCATGGTTTGGGGTACATTTCCTGGCTGCCTAGCTTTGATCTGGCTCTCTAGCCTTCTCAACAGTTCTACAAGTTCCCCACTATTTCTGTGATAAACCTATTTATTGTTAATGTCAGCCATAATTGGCTTCTGTGGTTTATATTTTTTAAAATTCCAAGATATACCAACGTAACAGATAGCTCAACAAACATATGTCTTTTTAAATTAAGATATATTCTGTGTCACATGAAGTACAATGGACAAAATGCAACAAATTGAATTGAGCTAAAGACCAAATATATATTAAGCCTGGCTGGTCTTAAAAATGTAACTGGATACAGCCAGGCATGGTGGCTCACGCCTATAATCCCAGCACTTTGGGATCCTGAGGTGGGCAGATCACCTGAAGTCAGGAGTTTGAGACCAGCCTGGCCAGCATGGTGAAACCCCATCTCTACTAAAAATGCAAAAATTAGCTGGGTGTGGTGGTATGCCCCTGTAATCCCAGCTACTCGGGAGGTTGAGGCAGGAGAATCACTTGAACCTGGGAGGCAGAGGTTGCAGTGAGCCCAGATCATGCCAATGCACTCCAGCTTTGGCAACAGAGTGAGACTTTGTTTCAAAATAAAAAAATAAAAATAAAAAAATAAAAACGTAACTGGATAGACCTAAGGATCTTGAATAAGCAGAAAATAATTTAGGTAAAAACCAAATAATAAACTAACATTCTGAAAGGTTTAGGATTTGGAGGCCCAAATGTCTTAGCTAAAAGTGTTCATTCTAACCTCACAGGAAAATTGAAATATGAAAATATACAGAAAAATCTTAGGCAGTATTTATCAATTTTAAGAAACAACTATTTACAGGTTTTTCAATAGGCATTACATTAAAAACAAAATATATAGTTAATAAATATGAAAACTGTGGATATAATCAACACATTTATTTTACTTCTTGAAGTGTTAACATGTGCTGTCTCAAATATCAACAGTGTACACGTGAGAAAAAACATTTTACATAGATTTTCTGCGACAGAAAACAGCATCTCATTAGACATCCCAAGTTTTTTTCATTTGGAACACACACTCATTCCCCAGTATACTAGGGGTAATAATAATTTAAAGAGTTTAATTACTTTTTACTACTAGAAAACTAATTTTATGTTTGGCACAAATTTCTGAAATGATATTCCACTGCAAAGAATAATACCTATATATGGCCAGAATTACTTTTCTTCTATAACATTAAGATAATACTTGTCAGCCTGAGCAACAAAGTGAGACCTCATCTTTACAAAAAATAGATAAATTAGACGGGTGTTGTGGTGATGAGGGTCTGTAGTCCCAGATACTCAAGAGGCTGAGGTGGGAGGATCTCTTGAGCCTAGGAGGTCGCGGTTGCAGTGAACTATGATTGCACCACTGCACTCCAGCCTGGGTAACAGAGCAAGATCCTCTCTCAAAATAAAAATAATAAAAAAAAAGATAATATTGGTATAATTCAGGGTTTTTGCCTCAATCCCCATGCTTCTTCATTTGACCTTCCCTGACTCCCTGATGAATTTTAGTTTGAATTTTTGCTATAGTCCAGAAGTTAATTTAAAAGATCTTAAAATTTCCACCTGCCTAGATATTACTTATTTGTTACACTTTAGTCCATGATTTCTATTGTCATTTACATTACCCCAAAAATATGACCTGCTGAATTTCTGCTGTCATGAATTGACTAACATATTTTGTGCCTAAAACCTTTACATTTAGAATCTTTTTGTTTCGTATTGGAAAATATTGTAAGTCCTCCATTTATTGGTCAAAAGCACTGCCTATTTATTTCCATGCTTAATCAGAGAGACTTTCCAATAGTTATTTAATATTATTTACGTTCATTCACTTGTTGACTATAATGAGGTTAGTTGCTATGATATCTTTAGGTCATTAATATAATAAAAATATGTCAACTTTTCTCTTCCAATGTGTCTTTGGGTTATTAATTTTTAACTCAGGTATCAAGCTTGTAAAATGTTTAATGGCTTATAATAATGTCTAACACATAGTATCCACTGAGTTCTGATAACTCTGGTTTATCAAATTCTCTTTTTTTGTACCATTCTCCAAATGCAATGCTATTTGGTTTTATTTTTATTTTTTAAAAATGTGCTGCCTGTTTTGAGTCTCTAAAAGTGTGAAATGCTCAGCATTTCCCAAATGTATTTGAACATGGAGTGTTATATTTACTAAAAAGTTAACAAGCAAGTATTCCCCTAAACACTCTAGCAAATACTACTAGTACAGACAAATTATGATGTAACATTATAGTACATTTTAACTTATTAGGTTAATTTTGGTTGCAAACAATCAAAATTCAAAATGGCTTGTATAATAAAGAGATTTTGAACAATAGTATAGGCTCAAGATAGCCTAATGCAGAAGTTTAATAATGACACAAAATAAATGCTTCTTGTCCTCCCTGTTTCTTCACTCTACCTTAAGTGATATAGATTGAATGTTTGTATCCCCCCCAAAATTTGTATGTTTAAATCTAATCCCTAGTGTGATGATATTTGGCAGTGGGTCTTCGGGGGGTGATTAGGTCATGAGGACAGAGCCCTCATGAATGGGATTAGTGCCCTTATAAAAGAGACCTTAGAGAACTTCCTTGCCCCTTCCACCATGTGAGGACACAGCAAAAAGACAGCTGTCTGTGAACCAGGAAACAAATCCTCATTAGACCCTGAATCTGTTGACACCTTGATCTTGGACTTCCTGGCCTCTAGAACTGTAAGAAATAAATTTATGTTGTTCATAAACCATCCAGGCTGTGATATTCTGGTATAGCGACCTGAAAGGACTAACACATTAGGTCTCAGTTTTATTCTATGGCTTAAAATATCATGTCATGAGTAGACAACTTCCAATCCTAGTACCTCATGCTTCCTCTGCTGCATTTGGAAAGAAGGCATTTCCCTCTTCAATCATGGAATGAAAAAGTTGTACTTCATTCTGATTTGATTAGCAGAAGGCACAGGTTCCTTCCATGCACCAATTACAATGACCAAGAATTGGGCATGGGACTCATGTCACTTAAACATTGTGAAGCTGAGAAATTCATTATTTGGTTAGGAGTGTGTGAGAGCAGGGAACACTGAATGCTTGAGACACCACCACGATGTCCACTACATGTATTTCCATTTCAGTAAACATTTCCATTAAGATAATGCTAGAACAAAATCAGAGGAGTAGATCTTGGTGTCCCCAACTTTTGTTGACCTAACAAAGTGAAGTTGCTTCAACTGGACACTTCTGAACCACATTTATGCCTATATGTTCAGTTCAAATTTATTATAAGCAATTTTCAGGTCCATATGTTTAGGATATTTCATTTGTTTGGTTATGCATTATATGTATACATGTTTTTAACATACATACACCTCTACATATATTTTGGAGGCCTTTACACAAAAGTGTTTTCCCTGAAGGGAGAAGAGAAAAGTTGAATGCAGAAGTAGAAAAAAAAATTCATTTGCACTTGTAGTATTTATATCTAAATATTTTATATTACAGATGTATTAAAATTTTTATAATTTTAAACACTACTTTAAAACAGGGAGATGGTTTACCTTCAAAAAATTTGGCTCTCAACTCAAAGTTATCAAAGTATATCCTAGATGTAGTTTGCTTGTCAGGCTTCTACATGAAAATCTAAAATGCTCCTGCATTTCAGAATGAGCCTAACATATGTAATTGCACTCATCCACTATGTCTACATTGCCAACCAAATACTGACAGAGAGAGCTAGAGTGCCACAGAGAGCTGGCAGTTCCTCTGTTTGCATTAGCTTCTACTTGCTTCTTCATCTTTCCTCTATGTCTGACACATTTCATGTTACTGTTTTTAAATGTTCCCTTAGCTACAGAGCTAATGTGCTTATATCTGTAAGGGGTCTCATGTGAACCTCTAAATAATTAAAGATTCATTAGCTCCCTGGAGGGCCACCATGATTTCCAAAACAAGTCACAATACCTAAAGATCTAATTGTACAATTTCCCTCAGAAATAGCCTTGAGAAAGAAGTCACATCACTCAGCAATGAGTATTATAATTACTCACAGCAGTTTTCATGGTACTATATAACATCCAATTTACAGAATTAAAGGTAATGTAATTCAAAAGAAAAATAGCTGGTTTTAAGGAATGAAGGGCCATGTCAACTATTGGAAGCATCTTTGAACTGGAGCCTCTATGTTCGGGTTTCACCAGGTTTATGTTTTTAATTAATATCCTATTCAGCTTGCTGTAATTTCCATTGAGGTTTTCTAGAACAAGACAAGTCAGAAATTGATCTTTAATTATAAGCTAAGAGCAAACTGCCAAAGAACTGAGAGAAATTTTGAAGAAACAGGTCTATCAGGACTAACCATTTTAAGATAGTAAAGACTAATCAGACACACACACATATGCACAAAAAGAGGGAGAGAGAGAACAAAAATCCTATGAAATACATTTTAAAAACTTAATTTTTTTTTTTTTTTGCCCAAATTTATTTTTATTTTGCACACATAGGAAACAGGATCCTATCAAAAGAGAACAAAAAAGAGAAATGAGCCAATTGTTGCAGAGGAAAAGCATGCAGAGATCTGCTTCAAGTTTACTCTGAACCACAGACGCTCCGGGAATTCTACACACCAGGAGCTGTCTCACTCCAGGAAGTGGGCACAACCCACCATCCACACAATGGAAACAAGAATGGCCAGGAAATGTCACCGAAGTGGGACTTCCATATGCAGGATCAGCGTTCACAGTAGCACAATTCTAACCAAGTTCAAGGGAAAACAAACTCTGTCTCACACAAACATGGGAATACAAAATTGTTGAGCCCTAGCCATCACTGTCTCTTAACATTATTTGCTATCAAAAAGACAAACGAAATTTAGTCACGGACTTTTGGGTGCCTATTCAGCTGCACCCGATTCCAGGGGCAGCTTAGTGTGCTTTTTCATTACAAAAAATAAAGACATTAAAAATGCAAAACAAATGACCTGGAGGAAGAGGAGTGTTTGGACCCACGCAGTTGTCTTGGTTGTAAACAGTGAACATTGTGCTTTGTTGTCTCATTTAGATGGAGGCCTGCAGCATGGGAGGTACCACGCTGGCAGTCAGCAGTCACACCAGGGTGGTCAGAGACACTGGTGGCAGCATCTGTGCTTGCAACTGCATTCCCAGGGTGTCTGTTTTGTTCCCAAGTGTCTCCCACAAAATTCCCCAGGAGGTTCTCCGATTAAATGTCCTCAGAGTGAAAAGCATGGACACCAAATCACTCCGTATCCATTTCCATGAGATGTCTTGATGCTCCAGTTCAATGAGTAACAATTTCTCAAGAGTCTCTGATTAGTTCATTAAAAAATAAGCACCCCCACCTCATTCCCCGTGATACAGCACATCTAGTAATCTAGGCGCCTCAGCTAAGCTGCATAGCTCTTAGCACACAGGACAGGTCAGCGTTCACACATCAACACTATAACTATGCGGCGGAACTAGCTCCCCGCTAGCCGTCAACTACTCAGGAGACTACCTGTGAGATCCTGGGGTGAGCTGTGATTCCTATCCAGGAATGTGCATTTCCAACCACTTCTTCTTTATTCTAATTATGACAACATGGTCAGTGCAGTTGAGTCAGTACTTCTCCTGTCTTTTCCCAGCAAGCTCCTCCTCCTTGGAGCCCAGCACACACCCGCTTAGACCCAACACAACCTCAGAGAGAGACGCCTCAGCTGGTCTCTCTCCCTGGAAGAGTCCATGTGACTTCCCAGCCAGATGTGCCCCCTGTTTTGAAAGCACCCTTCAGAACCCACCACTGGAGCTGCCTGAGGGAAGGAGACCCCCGGGCCTGAGAATGACCTGGAGAGGCAGTGATGTCCAGGGAAGACACACACCCAGTCTGATTTCAAAGGGCAGGATGCTCTACATGCACTTCCATAAACACACCAAAAAATGGGTAACAGTCCTTTCTCCAAATCAGACCAAGAGCTCACAAAATGCAATGTCTCAGTTTGGGGCAGGAAGTGATTTCCCATGAATTTAAATAAATTTGCTTAGTGGATGTCAGATCACTGTCAGGCCTCCAAGGCAAGCCTGATTCTAGGCCCCATCCTGCGGTGAGAGCTGCACGTGCTACCCTTCCCTGGCGGTGCAGGAGAAGTCTATCTTTAGGATATGAACAGAGACAGAAACATGACAAGGGGCTTGCTCTCTCCTGAATGTCTCTCCAACAGCTTCTGGAAGAGGAAGGCTGACGAGAGGACAGGCTGGAGCAGATGACCTGCTGGGCTCAGCTCAGTCGGCTGCTGCTTCATCGGCTGAGCCGCCCGGCGTGGGGCTTCCTATTAATACCCGGGCAGAAGGATGCTTGCCTGGGATGCTCGGCCTGGCCCCTCTACATGCCACCTGCACCTCCAGCACTGCCTTCTTCCTCTCAGTCTCTCTCCTGTAGATCTGGTCACGCCACCGTAAGGACGTCAGCCCTCGGGGACTGTCACCACACTACCATGTGAGAGCACAGACTGCGTCAGAAACAGAAGCAACAGAGGAGACAAAGTGTGAGTTCATATATTGTACTCCATGGAAAGCCTGAAAGAGAGCTGTGCTTGCTGTGAGGATATCAGAGGAACTGCCCTTAGCAGCCCACGAGACCGTTCCTGGAAGTGAACATCAACGAAGACAGAAAGGCCAGGGAAAGGCCCTCTCCTGTCTCTCCTCTTGCACGTGGGCACCCCACTACTTGGCCTTCACTACCTGTTCGTACGGGGGCGGAGGCGTGTTGCAGTAGGCTGGAGGGGGCGGGCAGGCCACACTCCCCTGGGGTGAGTTGGGTGGGACCTGGAAAGCCATTGCCATGGAATTCCCGACAGGGTTCATCCCCGGTCCTCCTGGGTCGGTGTAATAGGGTGGCCCCGGCTGCTGGGCTCCTGGGCCGGGATTTGGGGGCTGCCTGGTGTAGGACACATTGAAGGCTGGCTCCTCGATCAGCGGCGGGGGGTACATGCGCCTCCGGATGAAGAAGCCGGCTCCGCAGCAGAAAAGCACGCCCATCATCAGAAGGAACCAGAAGTACCACAGCCACTGTATGGAGAGGGCCCGCACACAGCACCTGGAGCCACAGCAGTCCTCGTAGGAGCGGCATATATAATAGGTTGGATAGAGTCCTTCGAAATACCAGCAATGCTTTTTGGCTTCTGTGCACTCCAAGAGCAGCCCGAGCAGCAGCGCCGCCACCTTCGCAGGCTGGCGCCTCATGGCTCCTCGCGTCCTCTCCAGCGCGCCCGGACGCCGGGTCGCAGGCGCGCTTCGCGACTCGGCCCCCGCGCGGGGCGGGCGGGCAGACTGCAGCCGGGAGCCGTCCCGCCGACCGCTGAGGGGCCCGGCTGGGAGCGGGCGGGAGCCGGGGCGCCGCGCGCTCCCGACACCAAAAACTTAATTTTTTTAAGAAGAAGCATTTGATCTGCCAAAGAGAAGAGTTAGCAGTTTGGAGATCTGACATTGCTAATCTCAGGGCAAGAAAATAACAAAATAAGACACCAAAGAATTACCTAAACTGTGGAAGATGAAGCTTTCAGAGTTCTCACAGAGAAATGGGATACTAAAGTACCAAGTTTAAGAGGTGTAATCTATTAATGTTTAATTTATGTCCCAAATACTTAAAAACTATGTTTCATTGTTATACATATTTATTTTATTGTAAAGATAATGAATGCAGTAGGGTTAGATTTAAATAATTCATTGGGTTTAAAATGAGAAATGAAAGTCTGGCTTTTTACAACCTACAGTCTTATCACCAAAGTTAGCTATTGTTAATAACTTCTTGTCCATTCTTGTATGTGTTATAGTTTCTTTCTTAGAAAGAAGTATGCTATACTAGTATACATACTATTTATTCATGAACCTTGCACTTATCATGTAATCATATGTCTTAGTGGTCTTTTCATAATAGATGTCTCTCTTTCCCATGCTGTCAGTGGTGATTGCATGAGGCATTGTACAGACGTACCAATAATTACTTACTCTGTGTCATATTGTTGGTTATTCAGATTGTTTTCACTTTGTCCTTGCAGACAACACTGCAATGAACATCCTTATGCATATATTATTCCAAATACATCATCGTGATGGCTGTGTGAGAGAAATATACATTGTTGATTTTATTTTTTTATTTTTTATAATTTCAACTTTTGATTTTAGATACAGTGGGTACATGTGCAGGTTTGTTACATGGGTATGTTGTGTAATGCTGAGGTTTGCGGCATGATTGATCCGATCACTCAGGTACTAGGCATAGTAGTTGTTTTTCAACCTTTACCCCCTCCCTCCTTCTACCCTCGAGTAGTCCCCAGTTTCTATTGTTCCCATCTTTGTGTCCACGTGTACTCAATGTTTAGCTCCTGCTTATAAGTGAGAATATGTGGTATTTGGTTTTCTATTCCTGTGTTAATTCGCTTAGCATAATGGCATCGAGTTGCATCCATGTTGCTGTAAAGGACATGATTTTATTCTTTTTTATGGCTGCAAAGTATTCCATGACATATATGTACCATATTTTCTTTATCCAATCCACAGTTGATGGGCACCTAGGTTGATTCCATGTCTTAGCGATTGTGAATTACACTGCTGATTTTAATAGAAACCACTAATTTTTATGCCAAAAAAATCATCAATGTGCACATGCTCCAAGGCTGTGTGAGCATAGCCCTTTTTCTTGGGATGTCAACAACACTGGGTTTTATCAAAATATAATTTTTGCCAATTTATTAGTTAACAAATGCTAACTCAGTGCTATTTGGATTTGAACTACCACTGGTGCTGAGCAACTTTTTACATATTCACTGGCAATTTATTTATCTTTCTCTGTTGTTTATCTTTTTCTGTGTAATAATTTTCCCTATCTTCTACTCTTTTAAACATTAAGTTTTCACTGTTTTCTTAATAATTTTTAAGTTTAAAAAGTGACCTTTTGGCTGGGCGCAGTGGCTCACGCCTGTAATCCCAACACTTTGGGAGGCCAAGGCGGGTGGATCACAAGGTCAGGAGATCAAGACCATCCTGCCCAACATGGTGAAACCCCGTCTCTGCTAAAAATACAAAAATTGGCTGGGGTGGTGGCACGTGCCTGTAATCCCAGCTACTCGGGAGGCTGAGGCAGAAGAATCACTTGAACCAGGGAGCTGGAGGTTGTAATGAGCCAAGATCACGCCACTGTGCTCCAGCCTGGCGACAGAGCGAGACTCCGTCTCAAAAGAAAAAGTGACCATTTTATCTGCTGCATATAATTCTAATGATATTTCTCAATTCGTTTATCTTTTAACAATGGTAATATATAATGTCTTGCTATTTAGAAAGATTTTTAAAAGTATTTTACATAAAGAAATTTTTATTCTTTGCCATTAATACTTGCAGGTTTGGAATTTTCAGGACCTCCTCAAAGGCCACCTACAGGAAATGCTCTTCAAAGACATTTCACTTTTTCCCCACTTGATTGTGGAGCAAAGACTAACACTGGCAATGCTTTGAAGTACTTGAGTCAAATGGGTCTCTCATGTGGTCATTACTATACTCACTCTCAGGCTCCAATGCAAATTGTTTCCTTATGCCAACTACTCTTGCTTTCTTTTAATAGACCTATTCCTCCTGGGCTGTCTGAAACTAACATTTAATTGTAAATAAAGTCCTGCAAATCCTTGGTATCTCAAAGAACCCTCCTTCCATTTAGTTTTAGGATAACTCTCCTTCTAAAACTCTATTCTTCTCCCTGGAGTCCAGACCCCCATTCCTTGCAACAAATGAACTCTTGATTTGAGCACTGAAGGGAGATAATTGGAAGTTTGACTTTGTGTTCTAGGTTTTCCCTGCCAATATATGCAGCGTCTTTAAAACTAATTGGGCTGAGGCAGGAGAACTGCTTGAACCCAGGAGGAGGAGGTTGCAGTGAGCCGAAATTGCACCATTGAACTCCAGCCTGGGTGATAGAGCAAGGCTCCATCTCAAAAAAAAAAAAAAAAAAAAAAAAAAAAAAAAAAAACAGCAAAAAGAAACTAATTAGGTTCAAGAAGTTCGAATGAATTCAACTTAGACAAGCTCTTAAGCAGACATGTTGGAAGTTCCAGAAAAGACAGTTTGGGAAAATATTTTATTAAAAAAAAAAAAAAGACTGTCCTCCACTTCCTCACTCTTTCTTCCCACTTATTTTCACTCCACTGGTGCAGTTTGGTGTCAACTCTCCTCACTCTACTGAAACTGCTGCAGCCGAGGTTACTAGTTATTTAATTAACAAAAGCAACAGATTTTGTTTTTTTAATTGCATTATACTCTACTATTTTGTGACATTTAAACTATTGACAATGTCTTTCTTGAAAATGTGTCCTTTCTGTTTTTTTCAAAACACGACTTTCTCCTTGATGTCCTCCTTTTTCTCTCATTATTTCACCTTTACATTCTCTGCTGACACCTTTCACCTTACCAAACCTTAATTAAATGTGTATGCTTCCCAGTCTCCCATTCTTGGCTCTCTTCCCTTCCCTCTTATTGATCATTATTGTATTCTGTGATCTCACCAATTCTCTTGGCTTTAACAATAACCAGATGACTCCAGAAAACTATTCAAAATTCCGGACCTATGGAGACTTTGCACCCAGATATGTACCAACAACTCAACCTCAGTTATCTCTAATATTATCTCATTAAGTGCCCTCTAACTACAGAATGACTCCTCCTTCTGGGTTTCCTCTGCCTGAATGGCACCACCATTCAGTGGCCCACGAGAAATGTGGACCTCATTTGGAACTTCTCCCTTTCCCTCATGTTTCATTTTCTCTTGGCTAAAGAGTTATTAGATTCTTCATTTTTAGCTTTTCTCTAGCCTATCTTCAATTTTATAGTGGACAGTTAAGTATACCCTATATCCCAGGAGAGAAGGGATATCTTCTTCTATGCCCCTACTATGAACTAGCATATCCTTTGAGTCCTTTCTTTGTATGAAGCACTGGGGAAATTTAATCAACTTCATAATCACTTATAATCCTCACAGTAATTTTATGAGATAAGTTCTATTTATTATCCCTATCTTAAGGATGAGGAAACTGTGGTTTAAAGAGCTTAAGTAATTTGGGCAAATCATAAAAGAAGCAGTGAAGACAGAATTCAAATCTAGGCAACCTGAAATCTGAGCCTGAGCACTTTGCCTCCCTAATAACTATCTCCCTTTGAGAGTTGTATTACAAAGTTGACAACATTTAGCAACCCTTATTCCCCTCCCCACCCCTATCTCTCTCCAAGAAATCTGCTGTGAGGTAGAGAATGTGTTGATTTTCTCTGCAGTTTTTAGTGCATAGCATAGGGCTTAGAAAGGAGAAAATGTTGAAAAATATTTATTAAAATAATTGTTTTTCTTTGATAGTTGTTATAACCATCTAATTGTGAGTGCTTAACAATTACTATAAAGGAGAATGGAAATCACAGATCTTTTCACAGAATTTTTTTTTTTTTTTTTGAGACAGAGTCCAGCTTGTCACCCAGGCTGGAGTGCAGTGGTGCGATCTCAGCTCACTGCAACCTCCACCTCCTGGGTTTAATCACTTGCCTTGGCCTCCTGAGTAGCTGAGATTACAGGCGTGCACCACCATGCCTGGCTAATTTTTGTATTTTTGGTAGAGATGGGGTTTCACCACATTGGCCAGGCTGGTCTGAAACTCCTGACCTCCAGTGATCCACCCATCTCAGACTCCCAAAGAGCTGGGATTATAGGCTTGAACCACCGTGCTGGGCCTTTCTCAGATAATTTATAGTTTACCTGGAAATGTAAACCATATATACTTAAACTGAGGGATATTTACAAAAGAGCTTTCTACTTAAACCACAAGAAGCTGTATTAATAACAAAGCAAATCAAGCTTGTTCACAGGCAACTGAATGGAATGAATGGTTTTGATTGGTGTTGCCAGTTATATTTCTAACAAGAGAAAATTCAATGTGAGCCTCATTTGGAAACAAGATATTACAGAGAGGAAAATTTGGGATTAAGGTCAGATTTGGTGCAACTATGCTAGATACAGAAAAGGCAAACTTTCAGCTCAATCCCCAGCTAAGTACAAGTTCAATGGTGAAGGCATAAGAAAATGAGCCATTATAATAAGTCTGAAATAAGTTTATGATTCCACCTCAATATGGGCATGCAATATATTCTAACATTTAATCCCTGGAAAAAATGATGACATCACACTGAAATCTTGACTCATAAGAGAACTTTTTTATGCTGTTCCCTAAGTCAGTTTATTTCTACTTCATTCTTGCGTTAAGGGTAGGCTCAATTCTTACTCATTCAAAAATGGTATCACCTGAAGCTTTTCTTTAATTCTTGTTTTCTCTGCAGTGAGAAAATTAATCAAGGGGTTAAAATGTATATTAAATTATATATGTATTATATGTAAAAGTTATATAATATAGATCAGAGAAGAATATATTGCATATGTTATAGGCTGAATTGTGTCCTTTCCCCAAATTAATATGCTGTACCCTGCCCCCTGCCATCCCGGTATATCAGAAGGTGGCTATATTTGGAGATAGAGACTTTTAAGAGGTAACTAATGTAAAATGAGGTCACATGTCTGGGTCCTAATCCAATATCACTGGTGTCCTTATTTGAAGAGGAAATTTAGGTACAGACATACATGTGCACAGAAAAAAGTCCATGAGAAGACAAGATGAGAAAATGACTATCTAAAAGCCAAGGAGAGAAATTTCAGAATAAAATTAACACATCTGATGCCTTGACCTCACACTTCTAGCCTCCAGAACCGTGAGAAAATAAATTTCTGTTGTTTAACTCATCCAGTCTGCAGTAATTGTTATAACAACCCTAGCAAAGTAATATAGGAAGTATATATATATATATATACACACATACATATATATATACACATATTTGTGTGTGTGTGTGTGTGTGTGCGTATATATATATATATATATATATATATATGATAGAGTAGATAGATAGAGACATATACAGTCATCCCTCAGTATTAGTGGGGTATTGCATTCAGGAGCCCTGCATATACCGAAGTCTGCACATACTCAGGTCCCACAGTCAACCTTGCAGAGCTCGCATATGAAAAGTTGGCCCTCCACATATGTGGGTTTCACGTCCCACAAATACTATATTTTCAATCTGTATTTGGCTGAAAAAATCCACCTATAAGTGGACTCACACAGTTTAAACCAGTGTTATTCAAAGGTCAACTGTTGATATATAGATATATAAATATCTCATATGTATAGAGCAAGCGGGAGAAAAAATCTCTAATCTCTCTTCCTTCCTGCTCTTTTTGGATTGCAAACTCTTCTCTCATAAGTACAAAAAGTAATGTTAACAAAGTAAAGAGAATTGGAAATAGTAGTGTTTTTGACCACTAGTGTTTTGTAATTTTAGAAAAAAAAATTACTGAAATGTAACTTTTTATTTATATTGAGATGTTT
Source organism: Homo sapiens (assembly GCF_000001405.40). NCBI lineage: Eukaryota > Metazoa > Chordata > Mammalia > Primates > Hominidae > Homo > Homo sapiens. The sequence goes on along the minus strand of NC_000001.11, from coordinate 145,226,776 downwards.
TGACTCATACTCCAATCATACAGAAATAATAGATAAAATATGAAAAAGACTTCTTTTTACATACATAGCTGGATTAAAATATTAGAAATAATTTTCTTCCCTCAAAGGATCCCCTGTTTAATAAACGGTGCTGGGAAAACTGGCTAGCCATATGTAGAAAGCTGAAACTGGATCCCTTTCTTACACCATACACAAAAATTAACTCAAGATGGATTAAAGACTTAAATGAAAGACCTAACACCATAAAAAACCCTAGAAGAAAACCTAGGCAATACCATTCAAGACATAGGCACGGGCAAAGACTTCATGACCAGAACACCAAAAGCAATGGCAACAAAAGCTAAAATAGACAAATGCGATCTAATTAAACTAAAGAGCTTCTGCACAGCAAAAGAAACTCTCATCAGAGTGAACAGGCAATCTAAAAAATAGGAGAAAAGTTTTGCAATATACCCGTCTAACAAAGGGCTAATATCCAGAATCTACAAAGAACTTCAACAAATTTACAAGAAAAAAACAACCCCATCAAAAAGTGGGCAAAGAATATGAACAGACACTTCTCAAAAGAAGACATTTATGCAGCCAACAGACACATAAAAAATGCTCATTATCTCTGGTCATCAGAGAAATGCATATCAAAACCACAATGAGATACCATCACATGCCAGTTAGAATGATGATCATTAAAAAGTCAGGAAACAACAGATACTGGAGAGGATGTGGAGAAATAGGAATGCTTTTACACTGCTGGTGGGAGCATAGATTAGTTCAACCATTGTGGAAAGCAGTGTGGCGATTCCTCAAGGATCTAGAACTAGAAATACCATTTGACCCAGCGATCCCATTACTGGGTGTATACCCGAAGGATTATACATCATGCTACTATAAAGATGTATACATGCACACGTATGTTAATTGTGGTGCTATTCACAATAGGAAAGACTTGGAACCAACCCAAATGTCCATCAATAATAGACTGGATTAAAAAAATGTGGCACATATGTGCCATGGAATACTATGAAGCCATAAAAAAAGATAAGTTCATGTCCTTTGCAAGGACATGGATGAAGCTGGAAACCATCATTCTCAGCAAACTATCACAAGGACAGAAAACCAAACACCGCATGTTCTCACTCACAGATGGGAGTTGAACAATGAGAATGCATGGACACAGGGTGGGGAACATCACACACTGGGGCCTTTCAGGGGGTGGGGGGCTGGAGGACAGATAGCATCAGGAGAAATACCTAATGTAAATGACAAGTTGATGGGTACAGCAAACCAACATGGCAACATGTATACCTATGTAACAAACCTGCATGTGGTGCACACGTACCCTAGAACTTAAGATTAAAAAAAAAAATTTCTTCCCTCATGAGGTACAAAGCCAAGCATTACACTGGGGCCATGATAGTCCAGGTTGCTGAAAGATTTAGATCTAAAGACCGAAAATTGGGATATATATTGAGAGAGAGAGAGAACAAATGGTAACCTAAATTTAATAAAATAATAATAGACAAATTAGGGTAACAGGCATATGAGTATTTTTTGTTCTAACAATTCTTTTATTTTCAAACTTATCTATAATCTTACATTTATTTCCCAATAAAAAGGATTTTAAGTTAAAAAAAGAAAGTTTTTCTGTAGTAACATTTTCACAACTAGGGCCTTTAAGACTGAGGAAATACTCCAAGCTCTGAGCAAACTCAGTAAGTATAAATCCTTATGTAGACATACCACAGTAAAATGCAAGATACTAAAGACTAATACAATATTTTCAAATCAACCAGAGACGGAAGGCAGATTACCTGCAAAGGAAGGACAATTACTTTATCACAGACTTCTCTTCATCAACGAGAACAGACAATACAGGAATAACATCTCCCAAGTTGTGAGGGAGACTAACAGATGACATGAAATTCTACGACCAAATAAAGCATAATTCAATGGGCAGCAGTTAACAGAATTAAGCTGTTTCCAGACATCTATGGAGAGATTTAACTCAAAGATGTCACTGTAAATTTGATTGTTGAGATGTAGTAATGGATACTTGGTAAGGTTATTGAATTAGTTAAACGATCTTCAAAGCTTAGGTCATGTATCTTCATTAAACACATGGTGCTTTGCATTTACTAAAGAAGGGCTTCCGTTTTCTCTCCAAATAAATCATTGCGACCTTAGCACCCCAAGTGTAAAAACCTCTTTTATTTCTATTCTTGATCTCTAGTCCCTGCTTATGTGTATGCATAAATGCATGACACCGTGCTTCTCTTTTAGTTATTTATTTCTAGAGATCATGTCTTTGAAAATCATTATATTCCCAGCAACTATTTAGAGTGGTACTAAGCTAACTTGGTTTATGGTGTCAACCGCATAGCAGTTATTTGATTGGCCCATTCCTTTATAAAATATTTTATGCTTAGATGATGAACTCTACATAAATTCAGCCAGGAGAATGTTTTCCTTGGCAATCTCTGGGAGATTACAAATGTTCCTTTTTTTTTTTTTTTTTTTTTTTGAGATGGAGTCTCGCTCTGTCTCCCAGGCTGGAGCCCAGTGGCGCGATCTCGGCTCACTGCAAGCTCCACCTCCTGGGTTCACGCCATTCTGTTGCCTCAGCCTCCCAAGTAGCTGGGACTACAGGTGCCCGCCACCACGCCCGGCTAATTTTTTTGTATTTTAGTAGAGACAGAGTTTCACCGTGTTAGCCAGGATGGTCTCGATCTCCTGACCTCATGATCCGCAAGCCTCGGCCTCCCAAAGTGTTGGGATTACAGGTGTGAGCCACCGTGCCCGGCCTACAAATGTTACTATTAACTCCTCCTTCTGCTAAGAAATAAACCAAAATAAAATTATTCACAAATATAACTGTTTTGATCATGCTTTCAGATGATATGTAAAGTAGCCCACAGAAGGTAAATAATATTCAGGGGAAATAAATTATTACTTAAGAGTGGGTGCTGAGAAAAAGAAATGTGTGAAGTGTGAGGTAGGAAGTATGTGAGAAAAGCTAGGGCACAGTTGTGTCTTATATTTTTGTTAAAATCTGCCTGTTAAGACTTCCTGATTGGGTAATGGGAATGATACAGTAAAATACTCTTCCTCAGAGTGTCTGACACCATTGTGATAATTTACTACATAAAAGTACAAGTTACATTATATAAAAAGACAGAATGGCCTGGCTCAGTGGCTCACGCCTATAATCCCAGCACTTTGGGAGGCTGAGGCAGGTGGATCATCTGAGATCAGGAGTTCGGGACCAGCCTGGCCAAAAGGATGAAACCCTGTCTCTACTAAAAATACAAAAAATTAGCCAGGCATGGTGGCAGGCACCTGTAATCCCAGCTACTCAAGGGGCAGAGGCAGGAGAATCGCTTGAACCTGGGAGACGGAGGTTGCAGTGAACTGAGATCATGCCACTGCACTCCAGCCTGGGCAACAAGAGCGGAAACTCCGTCCCCCCAAAAAAAAATGACTCCAAGAAACTGAGGTTTCCAGATGAGGGTTACACAATGTGGATCTAAAAGCAACAGGGAAAGGAAAAGGATTTGGGCCCAGAATGTGGGGAATTTTAGATGCTGCAGAAAGCCTTCTGGTGTCTTTCTAGAATGGCTGGATTTTGGTTAAGGCAAAGAAGAAGTAACTTTTCATGGAGAACAGTAGCATACAGGAGTGCGGATGGTTTGATCATTTAAGGCAGGGATGTGAGGTTTGATGGAATATGTTGATAACAAAGATTCTTTGCTTGGCCAACTTTAGTCAGGCTTCTAAATCTTCAGCTAGGCTAAACTGTGCACTTCCTCGCAAAATCCAGCATTAGCAAAGAACACTGCCAAGTTTACCAAAGAACCCCTCATTCTCAATATCTGATCAGGTTCTTCATTCTTCACCATTCTGCAGGTGATGTCTGATCACCCTGGCCAGTCTTCAGCAAGAATTCTTTTAGGGCGGTTTAGCCAGAATCTCCCTTACTCCTGATGTTTCCTCTTAGTGATTTTCCATTCACTGACCCCTGCATTGCTCCTGGGCTATAAATTCCCACTTCCGCATGCTGTATTCAGAGTTAAGCCCATCTCTCTCCCCAGCTCCAAGACTGTGTTGCAGTGGTTCCTATATCTATGGTGATGGTCCTGAATAAAGTCTTCTTTACTGTGCATTTGAAGTATCACTGAATAATTTTTTCTTTAACAACTATGGTGTTGAAACTCAACTAGGACAGATTCATCACTGGATCCTGGGCCTCTCACTCAGAACCCTAAATGCATGCCTTTGAAGTCTTTGTTGTCATTTCTGACTGATTAGGGATCCATTGGTGAATCAGATTCCTGAGCCATTGCTCCAGACAAAAGCCCGTTGATGGCTAAGGACAGATTTTGAATCTGAAGGGATGAATATTCTCTCTGAAGCTGGGGTAGAGTCCCAGGCTTCTTTTGAAAGCAATCCTCTGGGCAGGAAGGTCTTCGTGTGGGCTTCTTGTTCTGAGTGGTCTATTCTCTGAGTCCCTAGGCTAGAAGTCTCTTCTTTCTGGCTCTCTTTTTCTGAGTGAGGGGTTATTCCCTGATTCCCTGGGCTACAAATTGTTCTTCCTGGCTCTCTATAAAACCACTCTGCTCTTTCTCTTCTCTCTATTGGATCCTGCTTCTCCCATGGGAGCTCTGTCACCTGAAACCCCTCTTCTCAAGTCTCTGCTGACTATTTCTCTGTCCACTCTTGCCAGACCCGTTTCTTTTCTGCTGAACTTCAGGACCCCTATCCTACCCTCCTTTGAGGGGGCTCTCAAGGGACTCAGAGGCCCCTCAAAAACAAGCACCTGGGGCTGATAATAGGAGAAAAAAAGAAACTGTTTGGAAACTGATAAAGTAAAAAAAAAAAAAAATCTTAAAAAACCTCCTCCACAAATATTGGTAAAAAGCTTTAGCCTTTGTTATGTAGGTCAACTCAACTTATCCCTTTTTCACCAGAAACACAATTTGGATAACAATATAAAGCGGAGATAAACCAGTGAGTTTGTATTTTTGTATTACTCTGTTTTACTGCCTCATGGTTAAAAACTTTTTTTTTTTTTTTTTTTTTTTTGGGACAGAGTCTCACTTCATTGCTCAGGCTGGAGTGCAGCGGGGCAATCTCGGCTCACTGCAACCTCCACCTCCTGGGTTCAAGTGCTTCTTGTGCCTCAGCCGGGCGCCACCATGCCCCACGCCCAGCTAATTTTTGTATTTTTAGTAGAGACGGGGTTATGCCATGTTGGCCAGGCTGGTCTCGAACTCCTGACCTCAGGTGATCCACCCACCTCAGCCTCCCAAAGTGCTGGGATTACAGGCATGAGCCACTGCACCTGGCCTGGTTAAAATTTTTTAAATGAGAAGTCATAAGATCTGGTTACATCACTCTATATGTTTGTGTATGTGTACATGTGTGTATCTATGTTATTATGTTATGTATATGTGATATTTTTCTACCTCCAACGTTATTACCAAACTAAAATACCCAAATTGGCTAGGGATAAATGAGCACTCAAACAAATAAGAATGTATAAAATTTTCAGAAAAGTAGAAACTGACCCAATTTTTTTTAAGTTCACATAATCTGGGATATTCCTTAGTAAATAAAAACTAGTTTAAAAAATATTGGTAAAATAAAAATAGAAACATTTTCAGAATTGTCAGCATACACTTGTTTTACCTGGCTTTGCTGATTAGACAAGTTTGTGTTGTTACTGTTAGATGTTTAAGGCCATAAAACCATAAATTCAACCTAAGAGTAGAATATGTAGTAAAAGTAAATTGCTTAATTGTCTGGTGTATGTCTGTTGCAAAAGTAAATAAGAAAAGATGTCTAGAAGGATTGTGAAAATCTTATCTTGTATGGTCTAAGCTGACTGAGATTGGATAGATTTATTTATAAGGTTTTATTAAAACTTAGTTTTAGTAATACATTGATTCAAAAGTAGAATTTGATCTTCTCCGTTAAAATGGTAAAGTTTTCTTGGAATGTTGGTCTGAGAATGTAAAGGGTATTTTTTTCCTTTTAAGTAATTGGCCTCAGAAACAGAGACTCTGTTTCATCAAGATAATTTCTTGAGTTTCATGTTGTTTTATTAGGTTTTTGGTTACTTAAGAAAAGTGAGTCTTCTCAATATTAAAGGAGCTAAGTTCTTGTTCACAACTATGTAATCTGAATTTGCCTTTAAAATCTTTTAATGGAGCTTTTATTAAATAGATAACTATGGTCATATTTGTTTTAAATGTTTTAAACTTTTTGACATTTTTGACAATCTTCCCAAAATCACATTCTAAGTTAAGTCTTTTTGACCTCAAATTAACTTAGGATTCTCCATATTGGACCCTCAGAAAGCCACAAAGAATTTTTTTTTTGTATGAAAGAGAGATTAAACCAATTAGATTTATTTAATATGCTAAATTATATGTGTAGCATTCAAATAAAAAGTGATGCTAAGCCATCTTTAAGTTATATTTATGGATATATTATTGGGATAAGTGTACAAAAGTTGTATGAGATTCCTAGAAATCTAGTATGTTATCAGTCATAATTTTGGTTATTATGTTAAAATGCTGTATGCCATGCTAACCAAATTTTCTTATAAATTGCATCATTGTAATGAACTCTCATTAGATTTTTTAACCATGGACATTTTAAGTCCTTGTCATCTGTAGACAGTTATTGTTTTAATTTAATTGTTCTCTAAAAGCATTTGAAATTAGCTACAGTCCAAAATGGCTTCTTCTTCAAGGAGATTTATGGAAAATACTCTTATGACTATTCTGGAATACAGGTTTCTGAACAACTTTAACGTCATACAATTGGACTGGTAAGAATTTCCAGAACTCTAATAAAACTGATGGGTTCATGTAACTACTAACCCAAGATCAAGCAAAACAAGATTTAATTACATGGTACTGAATGAACTGATGAGAATAATTTTTAAAATGAGTTTTTGTTGGAAACATTGCTAGTTCTTTAAATGTTTTGTTTTCCAGATTTCAGAAAACTTTTTTTTAAGCTATCTCTAGCTTACACCAATTCAGTAAAGAATACTTTTGTGCAAAATGGAAACATTTACTTTTTCTCCCTAACTTATCCCTCCAGAATTTGGAAACTATTTGTGCATATTCTTATTTTTATGGCAATGTATTTATTTGCATAAGTTTAATAAGAATCTGTTGTCTTTGTAACAGGACAAACTGGAAACACAGGTTATATCACCAAGGCTTTGACTGAAACATCATGTTTTCAGATATGACCAGAAGGCTTTAGGGGACTAAGGTTGGCTTTATGGAACCAATAAAGTACCATCTTGGAAAAACTGGCTCTAGGGTTCCCAGACTTACAGGTAAGTAAAGAATGTCACTGCTTGGTGGGTCTGGAAACCTTGGGATATTTTAGGGACCTCAAGAAGAGAGAAATTTATCTAAATCTATAAATGTAACAGGTGCAGACTAATGACAAGTTTTGGGCTTGTATCCCAGCCTCAGGTGGCTTTTAAAAGTTTAATCTGACTGGAGACAGTGGCTCACGCCTGTAATCCCAGCACTTTGGGAGGCCAAGTCAGGTGGATGACGAGGTCAGGAGTTCAAGACCAGCCTGACCAATATGGTGAAAGCCCTGTCTCTACTAAAAATACAAAAAATGAGCCAGGCATAGTGGCACGCACCTATAATCCCAGCTACTCGGGAGGCTGAGCAGAAGAATCGCTTGAACCCAGGAGGCGGAGATTGCAGTGAGCCAAGATCGCACCACTGCACTCCAGCCTGAGAGACAGAGGGAGACTCTGTCTAAAAAAACAAAAACAAAAAGTTTAATCTGAGATTTCTTATCTGACAAACGCAACCTTTAAAAGAGCCTAAATGGTCAATCACTACTCTTAACTGCACTTGTGTACAAAACCAGTACAAGTTTAATGAGATTAAACTTATTTAGCAAACAAATCAATCTGACTTTGATTATCTTTGACAGAAATGAGAGTGAATATAGAGAGAAAAGTTATGTTTCGGGAGAAAACTGCAGTGCACCCAATATTAGATTCTAGCTGTTTTTTTTTTTTTCCTGAGGTTTTATTATCTGCCTGCAATCTGCAATAGATCCTCAATTTTTCTAGCTTACTACAATATTTAGCTACAACACTCCAAATTAATATTTCATTTTTTTCCTGCTATTCTGGCTTGGAATCACTAAAATTATAAACTTTTCATTTCTTGAAGTCCTTCAAACTGAAACTGGATGACTTGACATAAGCTTCAGAAAAATTACCACAACAGCTTGTGTGTGGCCCATCTTTATGGCATTCAAACTGCAAACTAATCCAATGCCTCTTCTCACTCCAGCTGAAGATACTACAAGCCCAGCATCTAGAAATCTTATTGATCAGCTGCCCTCTGGGCTCAGAAACTGTCTTTATAGTTTGTTCCAACTATTAATCTTTTTTAATTTTATTTTTATAGAAACTAAACTTCCCACATTAAAGGCCTGATAGCTCACACTATCCAGGAAATATCCTCTGCTACCAAGTCCCAACTGATGATTCAACTGGTCCTTAATGAATAAAAGGTGATCAAACAAGAAAAGAGACTTATATTGTTTGAAGGAAAGATGAGTGTCTCTTCTTTCCTTAAACAAGAAGTAGTACTAACAAAGATTCCTTGCTAGGCCAAACTTTAGTCAGATGTCTATCTTCCTTGCAAAATCCAACTTTTTTTTTTTTATGTGGTACAATGTGATGTTTTGTTCTTTTTTTTAAATTTATTATTATTATACTTTAAGTTTTAGGGTACATGTGCACAATGTGCAGGTTAGTTACATATGCATACATGTGCCATGCTGGTGCGCTGCACCCACTAACTCGTCATCTAGCATTAGGTATATCTCCCAGTGATATCCCTCCCCCCTCCCCCCAACCCACAACAGTCCCCAGAGTGTGATGTTCCCCTTCCTGTGTCCATGTGTTCTCATTGTTCAATTCCCACCTATAAGTGAGAATATGCGGTGTTTGGTTTTTTGTTCTTGCGATAGTTTACTGAGAATGATGATTTCCAATTTCATCTATGTCCCTACAAAGGACATGAACTCATCATTTTTTATGGCTGCATAGTATTCCATGGTGTATATGTGCCACATTTTCTTAATCCAGTCTATCATTGTTGGACATTTGGGTTGGTTCCAAGTCTTTGCTATTGTGAATAGTGCCGCAATAGACATACGTGTGCATGTGTCTTTATAGCAGCATGATTTATAGTCCTTTGGGTACATACCCAGTAATGGGATGGCTGGGTCAAATGGTATTTCTAATTCTAGATAGAATGTTTCCTCTTATAACTCATAGTGAATATGACTGGACAATGAAACTATTTTGTAATTTCTTTCCTGAAAGGTAAAGGCGTTAGAACATAGAATCTTTCACTGATTCTACAGAATCTTAAGACTCCTTCAGAGATGGCAGTCATTCCTACCGTGCTGAACATCATGTTGTCACGGTGAGAATCAGAACTAAATTGATTAAGGGTCTGAAACAGTTTGGCACTCTTGGGCACTTATTCTGATAAGAAAGCTGATGAGACAGGGTAATGAAAAGAGGCTGCAAGAAATGACCATTCATGCATTCAGCCAACATTTAGGCCACCCTCCTGTATTCCAGGCACTGTACGTGGCACTGAGAATGCAAAGCAAAACGAGTCATGGTCTACTGGCGGGAGCCTTCTCAGCGGAGAAAAGATCAACAAGAAAAGTGCCTGCTGGAGACCTCTCCTAGGGCATAAACCAATATAGAGGTGGGGCAGCTACGTCAGCCTGAGGTGTCCTTAGGCAGAACAGAAAGTGAGAATCAGAGCAGTATCTCATTTCTGAACACCTGGATTGTAGCTTTCCCTGGACTGACTGTCAAAGGAGGTGGTTTTAAAAAGCAAGCCAAACAGGTTTCCATCCTTTAGGAAGACCCTGGAACGTGCCAGTTGATTCTGACAATTTCTCATGAACAGAAACACCTAGGAAGGGAGAACTGGTGAGTCTTTTCAAGAGGAGGAAGTCCCTCAAAAGGGGCTGTGTTTCGCAAACGGCGCCCCAAAAGGGCTGAAATACTTCGATCTGGAGGAAAAAGACTCAGGCACTGAGGGAAGGGGAGGGTGCACATCTGGAGTAATTTCAAGGCTTTTTCCGTGTTATCTGAGGTGGCAACAAGTAAAGATTTGTTCGTTTTATTATTTTTTTAATTTTTAAAGATTTTCTTTTCCCCCCTTTTCCCCCTCCCGGCCACTCCGGTTTGTGTTTGCCACAAGACTCATAATTCCTTTAGAAAGTGGAGTCGAATTCATAAAAGTGACGGGGGGAGAGCGCGGAGAGGGAAGGCTGGGAGCCCCAGGGAGTCTTCACTACCTACACTGCCGCTCAGCTCCCGGCGCGAGTGGAGGTCGGGGTGGGGAGACGCGACTCCTGCCCGGGATGGCTGACACTCTGCGAGCCCCGGCGGCCCGCGGCCGGGCCGGGTGACTAGGCGGAGGGCGCGGAGGGTCCGCGGCGGGCGGGTGGCGCTGCAGCAGCCTGGGCACGGCTGCCGCCGCCCGCGGGCGAGAGTGTGCACGGGTGTGGAAGGCCGGAGTGCGGGCCGTGAGGGGTGTGATCGCTTGAGCCGGAGCGGGGCTCGCCCCTCGTCGGCTTCCGCCGCCCAGCCCGTGATCGCTCTCCGGCCGTCCCCGGCACCCTCGGCCCCCCACGGCGGTTGGTCCCGGCGGGGGAAGGAGAAAGTGAGACTCGGTGTCATCACCAATCCGTCGCCAGAAGGGGAGGAAACTGGAATCCAGCAGCGGCGAGCAGCAGCTGGGCGGTCACATCTGGAAATGGAAAGCCGACCTCCCCCTCCTCCTCCACCTCTTCCTCCTCCTCCTCCTCCTCCTCTCACCCAGGATCACTTCCGAAACCACTTGGCCTTCAGCCCCTGCCTCGGCCAGAGGTTTCATTTTTAACTGAATATTTACGAAAGCTGAAAGCGTGCGAGGGGGGTGGGGTGGAAATAGCGGCTGCTTCTTTTCCAAGGATTTATTTAATGGGGATGTGTTCAAGGCAAGACCGAATTCAGAAGGATATCGACGTCGTGATCCAGAAGTCCAGAGCTGAGGACTGCCTGTTTGCAGGTGAGTTCTTGCTTTTCCAGAACCTCGGACCCAGCGCCCCCTTCCCAGTTCTCTGACCGCGACGTGTGTGGCTGGGGGTGGGGTGGAGGGTTTGCACGTCCGCATTCCGGGGTTCATTTGGCAACAGCTGCTGCAACGAACGCGGGAGCCAAAAGCGGGAGGGGGCGCCAGCCTCGCCCCTTCCCCTCCCCCCACCCCCAAGTCTGGGGCAGCTACCAGCTTTGAGGGCAGAACCCGCGTGGCCCGAGCGGGGGTCTAGGCGAAGGGGCAGTGCGTGGTATTTCCAGCCCCGCGTAGTGCCCGAAGCCTGCAAGCACGCCTCCTGGGTTCCAGCAGCGGCGGCACAGCGGGGTTGGTTGGACCCGCCAGGTTTGCGTAATGGGCTGAGCGGCGGCGGCCGGGAATGGAGCCTGCTGCGCTGCGCTCGTAAGCTGCGCCCGGCGCCGAGGACCCCCGGGGGGCAGCGCTCGGCCCATCTCCGGCCCCTTCGGCTCCATCTAGTCCCCTCCGACTGGCAAAGAGAAGGGATTCCTCGGATTCCCAAGGCACCCAGCGCCCCTGCCTGGGGGGTCGCCTTTCGTCCATTTTGCTCCCCCGGGAGAGAGATCGGATTTTGCTTTCGCTGCCGCGAGCCCGGCTGGGGCTGCTTCCGGCCTCCCCGACCGGGAAATTCCCGCCGTTGCCATGGCACCCGGCACTTGCTGCCGGGGGCGGCCTGCCGCTGCACCCAGTCGGGGGCGCGCCGCATCCCCTCGGACGCTGCGCGGAGAGACCTCGCCGCCCTCTAGCCCTCGCCTCCCGCCCGGCCAGGCCTCCCCTGACTCCACCAAATGGAGGGCCCAAGTCCTGATCGGGGTTAAAACAAATCCACTCCAGGGGTAGCTTTTGACAGGACTTTCTGTTTCAGATTTCAGGTACTCAGACTCCACCTTTACTTTTACCTATGTTGGCGGCCCCAGAAGGTATTTATGGGTGTAGAGTTGCTTCATTTCCTGTTCACACTCTTGTGTTTCCTTTGTTCTTAGCGTGTTCCGTGTTCGGGTATTTTGGTTGCTTGTTTGATTACTGTGGCTTTTCTTTACCTACAACCCAAGCCTGACGTCCCTCGGTTTTAAATAGCAGGGGGAGGGGAATCAATGTTTGATTCAGGTGTTTCGAAGACCATGCCACAGGCGATGAGCAGAACTCTTCATGTTGAAACGGTTCTGCTACAGTACTAGATTGCTCTCAGGCGATTTGGGGTTGATACAGGCAAGCCGGTGCAAAACTGGAATACTGGATATGAAGTGAAATGTATAAAAGACATAAAATGTCACAAAATAGTTTGATCACAAGTGTTGATTTTCCTGGTGAGTTGGGGCTGCGTGTTTCCATGTTTTCTGAAGGTTCACATAAACATGCAGCCTGCCAATTCTCTGTACATTTTTTTTTTCAATGAGTGGTATTTCGGTTTTCACGTTTAGTTGTAAGACAGAAATTGGAGACTTATATGTAGCTGGAGTGGATGACTTCTTTCTTTTGGGGGAAGAATGAGAGATGCACATTTCGTTAGTAAATTGTGAACAACTTGAAACAAACCCAAATCCAATTGTGAATTTAAGAAGTAGAGTTAAAATGAAAGGTAGCCATTCAAATACTATGCCTTGCTGCCTTCACTTATTAAGTTAGGATTTTCTTCCTTTTAGCCCTTTAGGGATACAGTAGTTTAAAAGAGCAGTAGCCACATATGAAAGGATCAGATTTAGCTTAGAGGGAATTCCTTAGACCAGCCCTGCTGTTAAGACTTGACATTCAATATTGTTTGATCACATTCCAAAATATAGCTTAGCTAATGGCAACATTTGTAAACATATAAATTGCAAAAGAAGCTTTCTTGTGTACATACATTTTTAAAAGCTTGAAATTGATGTGAACTTTTAAAAACACGTAGGATCTGTATTACATTCTACATCTCAAAACAAATTTAATTAAAGTGAATATCATTCCAGTATATACAATATGCCTAAGACCCAGAATTGGCACATTGATTTACTAGTTGAAAATATAACAGTATTCACCAAACTTCAATGTATACTTTTTGGAGAGAATGAAATTACAGTATTTCTTAATTTACTGTAATGTCATCTTTGTAATTATGAATTAATTCAATGAGAGGAGACTTGGTTGATTAAATTAATGCTGGTCCTACACATTATATCTAAAGGATCTTCGTATATGACTACTATCTTCTTGGATTATTTTAACAGTTAAAATATACAAAGTGGCCCATTAAAAACAGAGTTGACTTTTCACCATTGCTGTTTTTCTGGTGAGACATGTGGAAAGGAAGGACAGGTGGACTTTTCAACTAACTAGCTCTCTGATTTTTAATAAGATACCTCAGTTCTTTTGGCCTCAGTTTACTTATCTGTACAAAGAGTAAGTCATATGCTTAATCACTAAGATCTGTTAGATACTGCAGTTAAGATTCTTTATCAGCAAATTACTGAACTCTAGTGTTAACATAGCTAGAGGTGGAAAAGGGAGCAAGACCAGGTGTTGGGATGAATAATTAACTAATCGAGATAACATCAGTTTTCACCATAGGAACAAGTACCATGGTTGCTCTTAAAGTAAGAGATGTTTCCTATTTTATGTAATTTTACTAAGGGATAATGTTTTCTTTTGTCACTGATTTAAATGTACCTGGATGTTTCTCAGCCATTTGGCTAAGATCGAACACAAGTAATACCTGGGCCTTTTATATCTAATCTAATGTAGACCAGCCTGTTAAAAGAGAAAGACAATTGGTTAAACTGCTGATGTGTTGCTTTGTCTTCTCAAAAGCTTGTTCTATAATACAATATGTAAAAAGTTGTTACAGTGTAGTAACCGTAGATAATCCCTTTATGATTTGTACCTAATGGCGAAGACCTTTTATTTTCTGAAAATAACGTGTTTGTTTTCATTACCGACATTAGAAGCCAATATTTATTAATCTATTTCTCATCCTGACATTTCAGTCAGACTCTTAAAATAATCTTGCTGTGTTTTGATTTAATGTGCTTATCAACTTAGAATATTGAATTAATGTTAATAGTGTCATTTTAGGTGAACTAGACTTCATTGAAGGAGGTGGGAGCCTTATGGAGAGAGAGTATATGATTATCTCTATTTGTATTTAATTACCATTTCATCTAACCATTCAGAACGTATTTCAAGAATAATTTTAATTCAAGTTGTAGATAAAACTTACTATACCATTTTCATTTTGACGCTTTCCAAGAATGAGATACACGGTATTTTAAAGACAAAGATTGATCTTACATGTTACTATTAAAAAAAACACGATAATTTTGTTCTACATTTATACTTTTAATTTTTCTGTGGATAATAAGAAATGCCAAGAGTCGATTGTGTCCATGCTGGCAAGTGGCCTAATAAATTGTCCTTTTATTTGGTGGTCCTCAGAGTGGCAGTTAACATCTTGCTATTCTGCCTTGTGGACTTGAGGTGGAAAGGTTCATGGAATTATATCCTTGCTTTTGGATGTGCAAACTGAGGCTCAGAGAGTTTAAGACACATAGTCACTTTCACCAATTAAATGATGAAGCTGCCATGTAAACGTATTTCATCACACTCCCGAGACCTTCTTCTCCAGTAGTGTTTTCAAGCTTTTTGAGCATGCAGACACTACCATCAAAAAATTTTGTAGAGACATACTTGAGAGTTACAGTTTAAAGAAAAACAAGGTGTAATTATTTGGTTATTAGTAGCATTTACATATGCTTGAAAACTTCTGCTATATATACAGTAAGATTAATTTATTCTAACAATGATCTTGATAATCCCCCTGATTCCCAGACTCCTTGGAATAGCTCCACAGCTATCAGTGGTTCTGCCACAGGTTCAGAGCCTTCCCAGTACTGCCTTCTTATTTGAGAGGTGTGCTAAGAGCTATAAAGCAGAGGCTTCAATTGTACACAGTTTGGAAGTTTAGGCAAAAGTCATTTCTTCCCTATATTTTGTCATGCTTATCTCCTGTCTCTTTCTGTTTTACAGATTAGCAATAAACTCCTTAAAACCCAAAGGTTTGGGCTTCTGTTCCTTTCACTTGCAGTCAGACATGGAGTTAGTGGTAGAAGAAACAGAAGGGGTAACCTGCATGGTGACAGCTACTGAGGGGATGGATAGGAAAGCAGGCTGAGTCCCTGGGGCCAGTGGTTACCAAAGCCAAGGAGAGAGCAAGGGGAGCCCAGTGGGCCTGGCCATGGACTGCTCTGGAATTCCGAGTGTGAACTTTCAGCCAAGAAGGTAGTGTGAAAATATTACTGTGAGGTTTTAAAAGTACACAAATAACAATTGTTTTTTGTAAAAAGAAAAAAAAAAGTTAGAAAAAGAGATATGCCAAAAAGAAGAAAGTAAAAAATACATGACTTCTGTCTTCTGTTAACATATTAAAATTTATTCTTTTAGATTTTTATGTGTCTATATACATGTAAAATATATATGCATCCCCAAATTGTATTATACTCTTTTGAGACCTCACATTTTTTTTCACCCAAGAATATAACATTAATTTCTTTCCTTTAGAAAAGACATGAGACTAAAGAATGTTTATTGTGTTGAGAGTTTCCCAATCAAGGAGTATGACTCTGTATAATAATAAATCTAATGTTTTATTAGAAATTATAATAAAATTAGAAATTTAATATTTGGCAGGATGTGAGTTGCCTGCATATGTACACCCTTTATTATATGACTAGACACTCTTTTGTGTGGTCATGGATATATTGGCATCTTTTGAAGTGTATCCTTTTTGTTTCAGGAGCTTCTGTCTAGATGAATAGCAAGTGTGACACTGATAATAGTAATCGAATATTCCTCCAAGTACAGGCTCCTTCCTCTTTCTCCTGGACCTTTGCACATGCTGCCTGGAAAACTCACCCACAACCTACTTTCCATCCTCTCCTTCAGCTCATCCCTGCTCAGCCCTCTTTGTTGAGATATTTGCCAAGCCAGATTCTCTGAGAAGCCTTTCCTGGCATCTTCGTCTATATAATTCTGCTAGTTGTTTCTAAAACTATGTTGTTAGTGTATATTGTAATCACCTATTTATGTCTGTTTGACTGTGAGCCTCTTGGAGATGGGAATTCTCTCCTATGCATTGCGGTTTCCCCAGCCCCTAGCACACTGTCTAGCCCAGTATTCCTTCTCAGTAAGTAGGTGTTGAATGACTTACAAAATGAATGCTAAAAGACCTGGTAGACAAGAAGGAATTTCTTAGCCTAAATGACCAGATGTGGAGAAGATACTCAAACACTTCAGGGTCCCCGATCTGGTGATGTCACTTGCAGTGGAATTTCATATGAATCCAGTGTGACAGAAGTTGCCTAGTCAAGTTGTAAGTCCTCTTCTCTGGGTCACATGTTCAAATACTTTTAGGGGACAGATAATGCAATATTTAAGATACAGGAAGTGATGAGGACTGTGGCACACTGGAGAGTTTGGACTCCAAGAGTAATTAATTCAGTTGAAAAAATCAACAGCACTCTGTTGATCAAGCAAACTTTCTAGGGGCCCTAATCCACCGGGGCCTGCAGTATGTAATTCCATAACTCATGGGATGCCATCAAGAGAGACAATCTACTTGATTGCTAAAGGGCCTTTGTTTTCTTTGGAGTTCCCCAGGAAGGAGAAATGTATGTGTGTGCAGGGGTGAGGAGGGGGGAGAGTGAAGAAACAATACTATCCCCCTAAAAAGGTTTGTCAGTTTTCATTATGAAAGAAGATCAAACGTGCCCACTCCAGAAATCTTGGCATATGCAGTTATTTTGAAGCCATTCAGCGTTCTTCAAGATGTCACAATGAAAAGAGTGATGATTTTTTAAATAAAAAATTAACATGTTTCTCTTGGCAATGGGACTTTCTCACCATACTTTTAAGTTACATCACTTATTATATATTCAAAATACTGATTTTTTAAAAGTATGTTCCTTGGAGCCCTGGGAACCTGCCTCAGGAGCTGGGGTGGCTGTGGGGAGGGAGTATGAAGGGAGCTGAATGAGTTAGTCAGAATCTGGGTCTTCATATCTTTTTTAAAATTGTGGCTGCTTTTTTCTGTTCTGTATAACAACTCTTTTTGAAAACAGTTTCATTGTTGAGTTTTAAAACCACTGACCTAAAATAACCACCAATTTAACGTAAGTATAACTTCATTGAGTTTTTTTGTATTAAAAAAATTAAACTCCATTTTCTTCATGGATTAAGGTGATCCTACTAGGATATTTATTAAGCATTGTCTCTGCTGTTCTTTTTGCTTGCCTTGCTTTATCCCGTGTTTCCAAAAAATACAAATAGGTATTTTGTCAGCTATTTTACATTTTATAGCAGGGAAAACAGAGGCTTGGGTGATTTAAGTAAGTTACAGTTAGTAAGAGCCATAGGATACATTTCGGTGTAAGTCAATGTTTATGTAAGGCTTAAGGGACATTGGTTGAATTGGCATGACTAGAATAGTTGGGAATGTTTGGGAATGGGGAGAGATTGCTAGTGGGATGTCTGCCAGGGGCAATACTGAAAATCTGCTGGTTGGCAAAGGTAGTGCCTGAGCCCAGTGCTAACCATAGTAGTTGGAAAATTGTGTACGTTGGCTGTGGAATCCTTATGCAAATATTTGTCCAATCCATCTAAATTTCTCTCTGCAGCATTTTTAAAAAGACAGATAGCTGAAATTTTGTCAGTCCTAAAAATATTTTGTATTTCTCTGCCCAGATTTGCATTTGGGTAGATCGTGCTGTAGAAGATATATCTTGCTTTAAGATAGCTGCCACTGATTAGTTTATTTTAGTCTATTTTAATCAACTTATTGCCTTGTAATCTTTCCTTTTTCATTCTCTAAATTTCTGAAATTCTATCTTTCATGTTCCCCAGGAAAGACTAGTAAGACGTGTTTTTATTAATAAGACATTATCCTCATTTCACCATGACATAATTTGGGCTTTCTGTTCCAAGTTATCCTACTTGAATGCTGGACACTTCCACCTGAATATTTGTCATTTTCACCTCAACCCAGCACATCAAAACAATCCCTTATTACCTCTTTAAAAGAAGCTTCTCTCTCCAGCCTTTTCCTAGTCAGTATCACATCTTTTGAGCCAGGCATGGGGATTGCAGTTTCAGATTTCACCTCAAGTCTTCCTCTTCTGGTTCCTGAAGCTCCGGCAACCTCTACTTTGAAACATTGTTGGCCTCTTCATCCCATCCCATGTCAATATTTAGCCCATGCCCTGTTGGCTTTGACTTAGCTCAATCACCTTAACCCAGTGTCTTAAAATTCTTGATTTTGAGTTTCTTATCCATCCAGTTTATTTACACCTGAACTCTTTAAGCATGAAATTAATCATTCTTCTGTTCAGAAGCCTTCGAATGTGACCACAGCTTTTTCCATATAGACCTAAAACTTATATTCTTGGCCTTTGAGAGCTGCCTTCCCTACCCACTGATATATGTTTCTCGTGCTTCCTAACACCTACATGCTTCTGTTTGCTTAGTGACCCCCCCCACCCACTCATCAGCAGTTTGTATTAATTTAGTGTAAAGCTGTGTAAAGTTTATTGATTGATAATATCTGTGTCAAGATCATGGTTTTTATTATAAAGAGCAGTTCATTGTGTTTTTTCCTTGCCCATGAATGGTATCTCTGTTCATTAGAATACATAATATTTTATGCATAGGAGGATAGAGTGAGAAAATGAGTAGAACAAAGTAAGAATGAGAGGAGAGGATAGTGAAATTTGAGGATAGGATGAGAATGTAAATAGATTTATGTCCATCCATTACAAGATTAATAACCACAACGATAAAAGTCTTGAATGTTATTTATTTGCATATGAGTGATATTTCAGTTTGTGGCTGATACCCTTTTGGTATTAAATGGAAGATGACAAATCATCCAATATTAATTTTAGAGGGAGACATCTATTGAAATCTTTGTGCAGTCAGGTCAAGTTTCTGTGTACAAAAATTAGCAGAGAGGTTGCTGCTGGTTGACTTCCCCTAGGATGGTGTCTTTCTGAACATTTTGAAATGTAGATTGAAAAGGTGGATTTGTCAACTAACTCTGAAGTGCTGTAGTTAGTTGTGTTTTCATCATTGTTTTATTATTTATTTTATTTTTAAGATGGAGTTTTCGCTCTTTTTGCCCAGGCTGGAGTGCAGTGGTGCAATCTTGGCTCACTGCAACCTCTGCCCCCCGGGTTCAAGTGATTCTCTCGTCTCAGTCTCTCAAGTAACTGGGATTACAGGCACACACCACCACGGCCAGCTAATTATTTTGTATTTTTAGTCGAGACGAGAATTCACCATATTGGCCTCAGGTGATCCGCCCGCCTCGGTCGGCCTCCCAAAGTGTTGGGATTATGGGCGTGAGCCAGCCACGGTGCCCGGCCTGTTTTATTGTTTGAAAAACAAGTACAGGTTGTTATTATCCAAGAATTGTTGATAGAGTATATACTGTATTTGAAGTGTAGAACTGAGGCAGAGGCTGATTAATATAACTAGTTTACATTTGTTAGCCTTTCACATCTGTGAAGGAATAAAGTACAGACAAAAGTGGAAAACAAACCAGGAAAAACAAATTGTGAAGCACAGAGCTGCTTAAAAGAAAAAAGTCACAGAAATAAGTCAGTATTTTGTTTAGAGACTAGAACTCCAACTGCTAGCCAACTGCCTAGAATATAGTAAATATTTTCTAGTTTCTTAAATGACTAGTAATATTCCTACATTATGTGATGGCATTTCCCAAACTGTTTAATTAGATGTTAGATTTGTAGCCAAATATGTCTAGGAAATGCTTAAACAATATAAAACAGTTTTAATGATTGGCTTTTTAGAACGTTATATATTAGTGTGCTTTATGCATATCCAAGAGGTGAGTGAGGTATTTGGGGTTTTTCAGACTTACTTGATTACAGATCTGGAGTATCTCAAAACAGTTGTTTTGTGGAAAACACTCTGGCAAACTCTGAGTCTTAGTCATTAAAAATAGTTTTTGGGTAAACAAAAGTGTAATAGAAATGGAAATTACTGATTCACATTGAGCCATGAAGAATTTATTTTCAGCAATTTTTATAGAAGTTGCTTTATGACAAAGAAAGCTTTGGTTAACTGGCATTTGGCATTTCATGCCCCTAAATTTTCTACATGAGGATTTATTTCTCTGGTTCTCTCACTTTCTCACTCAGTTATACTGAATTCATTTATGATGAGCGCTCTGAACCATTCTTATTCATCAAAGCCCTGAAGTTGGCAGAGCCCTCTCTGGTACCTGATTAGAAGTCCGTCTTCTGTCTCATAGGGAAGTGTTAGAGATGGATAATGTTTCTGTGTAGCAGAAGTAGTCATTATGTCCCCTTAAATTCGGTCACTTTGACTGCAGTAGAGCTTCTTAGTGAGCAGTCTGTGATGGAGTATACTTTCGGAGAAGCTCATGGTGGGGGAAATCTGGAATTTATCTAAATATTTCATTTCTTTGATAAATTACATTAAAAAATTAATGAGAGTATCTATTTGGTGAAATCATTTTCCTCCACGTGACCAAATGAGAAATTTAGTGAAAGATTTAAAATCATTTTTCAGACTTTTTCCACATTAGTCGGGAAGCAAACCCCTTTTTTAAGGCAATGTCAGTTATTAAGCTTTAGGGAACCACATGCCACTTTAGGTAACACGTGATTGGAGAGATTGAAGAGTGAAGTCCCTGCTTTAAAGTGTACTCCTGTGGACACAGTAATACATATATTTAAAATGGTTCATGTTAAGAGTAGGTATATTTCTATCTAAATACTCTGTAGCTTTTGTGATTCAGGGAAATGAGTGGAGCCTCACAGGCACAAGAATCTAGTAAATTCTAGGTTTCTTGTGTGGAAATCAGTGGGCAAAATCTTAACTGAGTGAATTCTTGATTATTGGTATCACATTTGTTAGTCTGTATGTATCTGTGTCATCGATCTCCTTAAGAAGAGACTCGTAGATATTGACTGGGAGACCCAAGCTGAATGCTAAAATCTGCTCCATGGATATAAGCTGATGCAGTCATCATTTCACATTAAAATGTACCACAGCTATATATGCAGCAAAAAAAAAAAAAAGTTAGTCCCTCCAGCTGAAAAGCGGTCATTACTTTATTATCACCACAGAATTTGAAATGATTTCTGTAGTTAACAGTCAGATTTTATTTTTACTTAACTAAGACAAAGTGAATAATTAGCCAAATTCTTTCTTGATTCCTCTTTTTGGAGCAGTCCATCTTTATGGGAAAACCAGCCTAGAATGGTGATTTCAGTTTCAGGTGATTTCGATAGAATTGTATTTGGCTCAGAAATGATAAGACTGGGGCCAAGAAAAATTTTAAACTTTTTTTTTTTGTAATCATATTACTAGTTTGATTTCATATGAACTTCCTTTGTTGACTTTCTTTTCCATTAATTTAAAAGTTCCAGTATCCTCAATATTTGATGTCTTATATGTACAGAATCCTTTCCAGCTGTAAGTCATCAGCAAGTAAAAAATTTAGTATGGCAATAGTTTTCATAAGAGGTTTTTTAAAACAGAAAAATGTTGACATTGCCAGCCTCTGGGTTGCATTTTGGGATATGCTACATTTCAAAGGTATCTTTTAAATCTGAAGGCAAAGACTTTTTCAACATCTGAATATTCTGATTTACAGAAATTAAAAAAAAAAATCCCGGAACATTACACAGGCATATAAATTTGAATCAGGAAAATATAAAATTAGCTGATTATTTTTATTCAGTAAAAGTGCCTTGGCACAGAACTAAAATTGATAACTTATGGTTTTAGCATGTAGATAAGTACATGAGAGTAAATCACATTTCTATATGAATAGAAATATCCACTTTATTCATGTATAGATTATAAAACTATACTAAACAAAAAGTAATCATTTACTATTACAAAAATTATTAAGAGCCATTACAAAAATTCTCTGCCTACTAATTTTCAATCACCATAGAAATACAGTATTTAATAATGCTGCTGCTGTACTTACATAAAACATACTAAGAATAGATGTTATATTTCTGTGTTTGAATATTGAGCTTAAACATAAAACATGTTTGAAATGTGTTTGTGTGTGTCTCTCACACACACACATAACATGTACATACCTGAAACTCATACTGCAATTGCAACACATCTTAAGTTTTTCCTTTTAAACATACCAAGATAACATTCTAAAATGAAGAATAATATCTATGTCTCTCTTCATACTACATACTATCTCTCTATGTATATGCAATTGCTATAAACATATCTTCATATTTGATATATATAGGTACATATATATGGATAGATAAATATAGATATATGAGAGAGAAATGGAGATTAGAGATCTATGTTTGCCATAAATCATACTTGTTAACATAAACCATCTGATTAAACTGATATTTTGTGGCCCAAGACCTGAGACATGCAAAACTATTCTTAGCAGATAGAATTTTCTAAAAGCTGAGAGCTCATTCTCCAGGAGCTGGCCAAGGACCAGTCCTAAAGGCAGACCTTTCTTGGAAATGTACAGAGTCTGGGCAAACAAGACCTGCTGAGTTAACCCTTTCCTATACATATGCAGATGGTATTCAGCACAGGGCCTGACAGAAGGCAGTGTTTGTTATTATTATTCATAGCATGAGCCCATTTCTTGTTGTGAGCAACATGAACAAGGAGACTAAGGGGAAAAAAATGCCCTTTTTTAGGGTGACCACCCTAACTGATTTGAAAGTCTACAATTTTTTCAGTTTAAAATGGTATTTATTTGTAACATGTACTATTATTGAATAACAATTTCTAATAAAAAAACTACGCTAGTTTTCTGCCTATGGAGAAGCCACCTTTTTATTCTTTTACTTTCTTAATAAGCTTGCTTTCACTTAAAAAAAATCTACCCTACATATACACAAAAGTTAAAAAGCAGCAATAGTGTACATTGGTCAGTATAAATGCATGCAGTTTTCTTTTCTTCAGTGTAGAAAGTCCAAGTCTAAACCTTTATAATTTTTAGAGTCTAGCGATTCTCCAGACTCCATACTTTTCGTTGTTATCAGATGCCAGCGTTAATTGCTTTTCCTTTCTTCTGTTTTGGGTTCCTGATCTTCATCTGTGTCTTTAAAACAGATTATTTTCTTTAGATTTGAAAGGTTGGGTTTTTGTCTTCATTTCTTATTTGTTTAGCCTTGTATTTCCCTTTCTTTAATTGAATTGTGTTATTGAAAATTAAATAATTTCTCTGTGAAGTCAAAAATCCTGTTTCAGGGTGGGCTCTAGAGCCTTCCTCTTGGGCCATATCCTTAGAAAGCCTGTGTGTATTCTGATACATTTGGCAATTTCTACTGGCTTTTCTTGTATTGTCTGACCCCTTTTTATTTCAGCGGTGCATCCTGGTCTTACCCAACAGGCAAGTGGTGACTCCAGTGCAGGTGACGCAGAGGTGACACTAGAATGAAGTGAAATATTCTGTTGAGGGCTAAGTTCATGTTTTTGCTGACAGTGGTGGATAAATGTCATGGCTTCCCCCTGCATAGTGCTTAGGACATTTCTTTTGATATGTGTTTTAGAGAAAACATAAAACTTGTAATCAGGAAAATGCAATAACGGAAGAAATGCTTACTTGAGTAACTAATGTGAGTTAGGCAAAGAAGATACAAATACTTCCCATTTCCTACTTCTAAATTACAGTCAAATTGTCCTAAGCAAATCTCTCATTGTCTCCATGTAAAAGATATAGAGAAGCCGTTAGAAAAAGGTGGCTGGAACAACTTTATACATACAGCCTGAATGAACTGCCTCATCATTTATATGTTTGAGGAAAGTGTCTGTTTGATAATTTAAATTAAGTTTAAACTGTCATAAACGGAGAGCTGTACAGATTCTGTGGGAGAGGATACTGGGGTACCAGATACTCATTACTAGGCTCTCCACTCTGCCTTCTTCAATACTCTGGATCGGTGCCCTTTATTCATTTTTTTCACAACTTCCTCCCCTTTGCTCACATTCTTTACAAGCTTCCAGGATTTTTAAATTTTATTTTATTTCTTTCCACAATGACTCTCATGGCTGTTGCTATAGTTGCTATAAAAGGCAAGGTGGGGAACAGACAGGTGAATGAGCACAGAGGTCATTTGTAAACCGTTTGTGGTTAGTGCTCCTCTGTTTACTGTCTGTCTGTCTCTCTCAGTGTCTCTGGGTATGTGTCTGTTTACAACATAAAATATATGCACACAAATCTCCAATTTTTCTAGAGTAACTATTAACACAGTTAAAATCTGGAAGAACTCTATCTTTTAAAGGAAATACCAATTAGCAAATAAAAGAGTTGATTCCCCCCAACTCTCATTCCCCAGAGCTTGCTTAAGTGTATGGTTTGCACACATTCCATAAATAAAAACATTGCTGGCTCATAACTATGCTTCATTTTCATAAGCCTTCCAAATGTTAGTAACTTAGCCTTCTCCTTTTGAAGGGTTAGTCTGTAAGTGATACTGGAAGCCATGTGGTAAGAAAGAGGACAGAAGTATAAAATCAGACTCAGAAAGTAAAATCTGGCATATTTGGCATAGATCCATTCAGCTTCGTATACTTTGTTAGGACCCGAGGGCATGCCTGATTTTCATAAAATCGATGCACTGTTATTAAAACAAACAGGTGAAAATCACTTTTGTTAAACTACTTGACAAGGCATCTGACTACCTTAAGTGTGTTATAAATTTTGCAAGTGGTTAAAATTTTATGCTTATGAATTCAAAAGATAGACTTTAGTTAAATTAAAAACTAATTTATGTAGATATTTTCCCTAATAATATAGCACAAATGGGTTTTATTTCCAACTGAAAAGAGTATTTATTACCATGGATATAACTAGAAGAATCATACAAATATATGTAATTCCATTAGAAAATATTTTTCTTAAAATTTGAAATGACAAGAACTTAATGAATCTTAAATATCTCTTGTTTTATTTTGAAAAATTGTTTTCATAAGATACAATTGAGCAATTGAGATTTGTTCTCCCAGTATCTGAAGATTTTTTTGGTCTTGTTTTGTTTTTTGGGTTTTTGGCCCTAAAATTAGGTGAATTCAGCTTTGGGTCTATTTCATCCATTCTGGAAGGTTCCTTGGGTCACTGATCTGAGGCATTCTTGATGTGGTTAGGACTTCCCAGCATTATTTTTTTTAGATCCTGTTTATTTAAAATGAAAAGGATTAGCATGAGGGATGGTAACATTCCTTTTTGATATCTGTAGCAGCAAGTTTTCTTATGATTCATTATTCTTCTTCTTACAGCTTTAAATCATCTAGGAACTTCATATAAAATTTAATTCCAGTTTCAACTAGTTGTGGAGCATTTGATCCAAAATAAAATGAAAGTCCTCTCTGAAGCTGTAGAGGAGACTCAAGAATCAGAACAACCTGAAGTTCTTTAAGCTGTCAGTTGAAGGACTAGGTAAAAAACAAATATCATTTAGTGTGATCATTAATGCACATGAGTCATTATTCCATGTGGTTGCTGTCGACTGGTCAGGGGCACTTCAAGCCCTTATCTGTACTTTGTCCTGTCTCTCTACACCCCGTTCTACTTTTTCAGCTTGTTGCCTGTAATATGTGAATGGAAATAAAATAATCAAGCTTGTTAGAATTGTGTTCATAATGACACAAAAGACCTGAGAGAATGTAAGAACATATAGAACATCCAAAATAAGACATATGTTTGGTTGGTTTAAAACCTTTTTGTTTGTTTCATTTTCTTCTGTGCTTAATGTGTAGTTACTATTATTTCATATCCTTTGACTTACAGGTTTGACTGCAATGCAGTGTGAATATCGCACATGGGACCATTTGTCATACTGTCAGATGGCAATACATAGATGGATAGAATTTTGCTGTTTGATCAAAGCTGTGCCATCGGAAACTTGTTTTCCCAAGTATGGGTACATTCTCCTCTTTTCCTGAGTGGAGAAACCTAGATCTGAGCAAAAAGCATGAATCAATACACCTTGGGAGGCAGGGTGTCAAATATTTGATGCCATTTCCTTTGCTTGTAAATTGTTCATTTCATTTGAATATAAATATAAAAGGACTTCTACCAAGAACATGAAACTAACATTTTGCCAAGCTAAATTTTAATGAATTTATTTGGACTTTTTTATAATCACTTAATATTTTCAGTTCATGTGCTAATATTAACTCTACTTACTGGAGAGAAAGAAATGGTATTCAATATGATAACTGCCTTGTTACTGCAGAAATGTAGAAGTTTGGCATCTTAAGTATCAAATATTTTAAGTCAAAAAATTACCAGTGTCCCACAGCACAGAGAGAGAATATATGTTTGCTTGTGTCCCTTTAATCTTTCCCCTGTAAAATTAAGCCTAGGGGCCTTACACTATTTTAAATTTTCAAAATTAGGTCATGTAAATGTTGTGTCATATTTCCAATTCATAAGTAGTATACTTATGAATACTGAATAGTGAACATAGGGTACATTTATATCCTACTGATTGCTTAGCTGTGGACCAGAGGTAAACAGAGAATGAATGGTATTTTCACAGGTTAGTAAACTGTTTTTCTATGATCTCTTATATACAAGTGTGATGAACATTTTTTCCCCCTTCCTGAACTAATATAGGAACATATGGTCTAATAAGTGTGAGTTCATTTGGGGAGGGCAGGATAGAATGCTTGAAATTAGGACTGACCCAAAAAATGCCTTGGTCTCAGTATTTGTGGATTACGAGGAGGAAGGGCTGAAAAGGAACCTTAAAAGCATTAGAATGGTAGAGTACAGATTAGCAGCAACACTCAGGGCTCCATCATGAAGAGAGTGAGATGAGTTCCCATGGTTAATGCAGCAGGGGCTCTAATTGAAAGCCCTCTACCTAGGAAATGATTTAAATCCTTTTATCCTAGCTGGATTGTGAACGTTTTATTTACTTTGAGGAAGTTGTTTAACCCTTTTTGTAGATTGCATCAATATTTAGAGTAATGTAAATACATTTTCCCTTTGGCTATTTTACAAGGACATTGAGGATTAATTAAATTTAAAAGAAAGTAGTGCAGTTAACTCCCAGGAGACAGAGGGAGATGTTTATCATTTTTCTCATCATTCATTCCTTATTCATTCATTTTACAAATGTTTGTTGAATAGTAATTATAATGAAGATACTATACCAGCTTCCTGAATTGGGAATACAAAGATGAAGGATGAGAGTGACTTCTGCCTTCATTATGTTATGTGTTCATATTTTCTTTTTAAAATTCTCATTATACTATGAGTAATTGTGCAGGGATTTAATATTGCTGGTCTCAGCAATAGTTGATCTTTGATTAACATCTCACTGACACATATTTTCACTGTGTATATTTATTTTTCCTTTCTAAATTTAGAACTACTCTTTATCTTCTACTGTAAGAGATATACAACATACTTTTGTTTTTTTCTATGTTGTAATCAGTGCAGTTTTTTTAACCAAGAATAAACACAAGTTCTAATAGCAAACAGAAATAAACTCCCTACACATTACCTTCTCCATTAAAATATGTTTTATGCCACATGCAGAATTTTAATATTATATAGTTATTTGTGAAAGTATAACTAAATAGAAATTTTAAGAAAGAATGCCTCTAATATTCATATCTTAGCACTAAAGAAGCATATATTATTCTGCAGATTGAATTAAAATGTTAGTTACCAAGATATGAACTTAGACATTTTCAGTAAGCATTTATAGGCTATTCTAGTAGAAAACTGTACACAATTTCCCATGAGGCTGGTGAAGGTTTCTTAGCTTAAGCGACTTTTTATCTGGTTCTTGGATTTTATTAAATAATATTTGAATGAACAGTTTTGACTAACAGCCTGAAAATATTAATCTTTCCTCTCAGTCTGAGCAAGCGAAAGTAGATAAATTCATATTGTATGTCTGATTCTCTTTGGGTTTGAAAAGAAATAAAGACTCTACTTCTAAATTAGCATAGAAAAAAGGAGAATTTCTCTTGATTTATTTCTCAGTTTGGGTTTGTGCTTTTGAAAAAGGAAAATAATGACCCTGAAATCAGTAGGCTTTGTCTTTGCCAAAAAATGTGGACATGTTGATCTTAGGGGGGCTGATTATATAAAACAATAGAAATGTAGTCTTAGATGAAAATCTGTAAAGATGTAAGAATGCTGAACTAACATGAAAATCAGGGGCTGAGAAAATGCTGGATTGAGAATAATGTGATAATGAAGGTTTTATATATATTCATATATATAAAATGCATTCATATATTCTCTTCAACATACATAATGTCATAAAAAGGATAAAACGCCTAAGTCTAGTCTTGACAGAGCACCAGCTTAAATCACATGAGCCTATCAGAGAACTTATGACAATATTTAGGGCTAAACTGATGTTACTGGTGAACCAGTATCTGGAATGATTTCCATAACTCACTTAACTTGCACATTTATAATGTGGACTTTAAAAAATAATTATCAGGATGGCTACTCTGAAGCCAGGAGCTTAGGAAGTGTCACAGATGGTATATATTTGTATTCCTGCCTCATGTCCCTTTCCCTGAAGTGGCGTGTGGAGTATGAGGGATTACGGTGTATTTGTAGGTGGTGTCCCTGAAAGGCTATCAGGGGACTTCTGGTTCTGCTTCAGTTCTGTTTTGTGAAGGCGGTCAAGTGATTTAAGGTCTCTTGCTTCAGCCATCCCACTTAGAAAGCAGTTGCTTTATAGTCCTTTGGGTATATACCCAGTAATGGGATGGCTGGCTCAAATGGTATTTCTAGTTCTGGATCCCCGAGGAATCGCCACACTGACTTCCACAATGGTTGAACTAGTTTACAGTCCCACCAACAGTGTAAAAGTGTTCCTATTTCTCCACATCCTCTCCAGAACCTGTTGTTTCCTGACTTTTTAATGATTGCCATTCCAACCGGTGTGAGATGGTATCTCATTGTGGTTTTGATTTGCATTTCTCTGATGGCCAGTGATGATGAGCATTTTTTCATGTGTTTTTTGGCTGCATAAATGTCTTCTTTTGAGAAGTATATACCCAAAGGACTATAAATCATGCTGCTATAAAGACACATGCACACGTATGTTTATTGCGGCACTATTCACAATAGCAAAGACTTGGAACCAACCCAAATGTCCAACAATGATAGACTGGATTAAGAAAATGTGGCACATATACCCCGTGGAATACTATGCAGCCATAAAAAATGATGAGTTCATGTCCTTTGTAGGGACGTGGATGAAATTGGAAATCATCATTCTCAGTAAACTATCGCAAGAACAAAAAACCAAACACCACATATTCTCACTCATAGGTGGGAATTGAACAATGAGATCACATGGACACAGGAAGGGGAACATCACACTCTGGGGACTGTTGTGGGGTGGGGGGAGGGGGGAGGGATAGCATTGGGAGATATACCTAATGCTAGATGACGAGTTAGTGGGTGCAACGCACCAGCATGGCACATGTATACATATGTAACTAACCTGCACAATGTGCACATGTACCCTAAAACTTAAAGTATAATAATAAAAGAAAAAAAAGAAAAAAAAAAGAAAGCAATTGCTTGAGACTACTTCACTGTAAGCTCCTTTTTTTTTTAAATAAATGCAGATTTTATGATATTCCTGATCATTCTCTTTGCACTTAGTTTTAAAATGTTATTTGCAGTTGATTAGAGAGTGGTGATAAGTAAGCCAGGATTTCTGGAATGCCAGGGCACTGTCCCCATGCATGGAAAACTGCACAAGAGCTTGTGTGTCTTGACATTCCCACATGTCAGGATGCCTTCATTTGCTAATGACAGAATACCCAACTCAGACTGGATTAAATAAAAGGGGATTTTCTTGCTTATTTAACTCTAGATTCAGTGGTAAATGGGTTTCTGGGTTGATTGGTTTGGGGCCTAACAATGTCTTCAAGGACTTGGTTTCTTTTCAACAGTCAGCTTTTGCCTTCCTGTGAGCTAGCATTGTTTCCCATGGGATTGCAAGTCAGCTGCATACAACTCCTGCAGTTCTTCCTTTTCCATATCCAGAGAGGGGACGTCCTTTCAGACGCTGATTATTTTAGGTGTAAATTCCATGTCCCATCCCAAAACAAACAAACAAACAAACAAAAAAACATCTAGGGCATGTCTTATTTGAGGCGCTTAACAAATGACTGGATCATCTCCCTTGTATATAACCCAGAAAACACTGTGAAGTAGAGCAAAATTGGAAAGCCCAAGTCAAAGACCATTTGCAAATTTCAAGTAGATTCCAGTCTGTTGCTCAAATCACAAAACATGAAATGGAGGGGTCTCCCTTGGAGACCATAAAGTCTGTGACATGGTGGCCAGTTGGGTCACTGGAAAACATGGCAAAATATTGAAAATGAGGGATTAGGTGAGAGTGTAGCAACTGAACACTAAATGCTT
This sequence comes from Homo sapiens, assembly GCF_000001405.40. Classification (NCBI taxonomy): domain Eukaryota; kingdom Metazoa; phylum Chordata; class Mammalia; order Primates; family Hominidae; genus Homo; species Homo sapiens. The sequence goes on along the minus strand of NC_000001.11, from coordinate 145,196,158 downwards.
GATCCAGGTGCCATCCCCTGGATACTGACAGGGAGACACATTGTCCAGGTAATACTGGAAAAATACTTTCTATAGTGTAAACCACAAATAAAATTCCAAGCCCCTCAACTATTTGAATGCACCCCTCCTCTCAGCCAGGGTCATTCCAAAGTTAACCTGAAAAACTGGTTCAGACCATGATGGGAAGTAGGGGTCAGATATGCCTCATTATACCCTCCTTCCTTTGGAATTCAGGCACAACTGACCAGCACATCCGACCAGGCACAACTGGCATTACAACAGAGATCTTAAGAGTTTTTGTAGCAATAAGACACCAAATTCCAGCCTGACTCTAGTGTAGCATTACATGACAGATAGCAGGCCCTGAAAGAAATACAAATATTTTACCCTAAAATATATTTGTTATCATATTTTGAAATGTCCCTACAAAGTTGTCTCTTGTGGGGAAAGTCTACATGCTACAGGGAATCCCTTTCCAGGTCTTTTCCCTAATCTAGGCACCTTTTTAAGTCTGATAAGAAACATTTACAATCAATTCTCTCTGAAGCCTGCTACCTGGAGGCTTCATCTGCATAATAAGAACAACCCCTTAACACAGAGACTGCCTTCTATGGATTCCAGGTCTTTAGATAAACTCTTTCAACCAATTGCCAAAGTATCAGAAAATGATGGCTGGTAACTATTTAATTATGCATATATATTAGTAGAATTTGGGGGGTGGGCACGGTGGCTTATGCCTGTAATCCCAGCACTCCTTCAGGAGGCTGACAGATTGCCTGAGTCCAAGAGTTTGAGACCAGCCTGGGAAACATGGTGAAACCCCATTTCTACCAAAAAAAAAAAAACAAAAACAAAAATTAGCCAGGCATGGTAGTGAGCACCTGTGGCCCAGCTACTCAGGAGGCTGAGGTGGGAGGATTACTTGAGCCTGGGAGGTGAAGGTTGCAGTGACCCAAGCTTGCAACACTGCACTTCAGCCTGGGTGACAGAGGAATGGGCCTTCACTAGACACTGAACCTGCTGGCAACTTGATCTTAGACTGACCATCCTCCATAACTGTGAGCAATAAATTTTTGTTGTTTATAAGTTACTCACTCTGTGGTATTTTGTTATAGCAGCACAACTGGATTAAGACATTAACCTGACCTTAAGAAATCATCTCACATCAGTCTTGGCTTTGATGAGAAACAAAGGGCACACTCGAATGTGTGATTTAAAGAGAGTTTTTTTTTTCTTTTTTGAGATGGAGTCTCGCTCTGTCCCCCAGGCTGGAGTGCAGTGGCATGATCTCGGCTCACTGCAAGCTCCGACTCCTGGGTTCACGCCATTCTCCTGCCTCAGCCTCTGGAGTAGCTGGGACTACAGGCGCCCGCCACCACACCTGGCTAATTTTTTGTATTTTTAGTAGAGACGGGGTTTCACTGTGTTGGCCAGGATGGTCTCGATCTCTTGACCTCATGATCTGCCCGCCTCGGCCTCCCAAAGTGCTGGGATTGCAGGCACGAGCCACTGCACCCAGCCTACAGAGAGTTTTATGAAGAGAATATTTATAAATATATGGACAGGATCAAAATAACCCAACAAAGGACTGAGAGGCGCTCAGAATCTGGAATCAGCAGAGAAGTTGTATTGCCTCTAGGACTTAATTGTTGTATAAGTCTGTTCAGGTTGCCATAACAAAATACCATATACCAAGTGGCTTAAACTATAGAAATGTGTTTCTCACACTTCTAGAAGTTGGGAAGTCCAAGATAAAGGTGCTAGCAAAGCGGATTTCTTTCTAAGATCTCTTCCTACGGCCTGTAAGTGGCTGTAGTTTCACTGTGTGCCCATGTGACCATTTCTTTGTGCACCATAGGGAAGGCTGATGAGCAAGCTTTCTAGTGTCTCTTCTTATAATGGCATTAATCTCAGCATGAGGACCCCACTCTCATAACCTCTTTTAAACCTGATTACCTCTCAAAGGCCCCAGCTGCATAAACCATCACACTGGGGGTTAGGGCTTCAACATTTAAGTGTGGGAGTTGGTGTTCACAATTCAGTCAATTGGAGTGGAAATTGAAATGGGAAAGGAAAACTATAGTTACTAGAGAGAGCTATTGTCTTGGGGAGGATCACTGGACAGGACTATGGTCTTTGGAGAAATAAGCGAGTTACAACTGACAAAGATTCTTTCTGTGAAAATAAGTAATTTAAAATGTAAGTTGTTGGAATTCCAAATTACTGTGAGCCTTAAAAAAATGTGAGTATGGGCCAGGCACCATGGCTCACACCTGTAATCCCAGTACTTTGGGAGGCCCAAGGCAGGCAGATCACCTGAGATCAGGAGTTCAAGACCAGCCTGACTAACATGGAGAAAGCCCATCCCTACTAAAAATACAAAATTAACCAGGTGTGGTGGTGCATGCCTGTAATCCCAGCTACTCGGGAGGCTGAGGCAGGAGAATCACTTGAACCTGGGAGGCAGAGGTTGCAGTGAGCTGAGATTGCACCATTGCACTCCAGCCTGGGCAACAAGAGTAAAACTCTGTCTCAAAAAAAAAAAAAAAGAAAAAAGAAAATGTGAGTATGGAGCCTAAGTCACATGAGAGGCACCTGTAAACTAGGCAGTTGTAACCTTTGTTTCTCTGATTATAGATTGGCCTTCTTCCTTACATACATTGTTGGTTTTTTTTTTTTTGTTTGTTTGTTTTTTTTTTTTGAGATGGAGTCTTGCTCTGTGGGCCAGGCTGGAGTGCAGTGGCATGATCTCGGCTCACTGCAACCTTGGCCTCCTGGGTTCATGCCATTCTCCTGCCTCAGCCTCCCGAGTAGCTGGGACTATAGGCGCACACCATCACGCCCAGGTAATTTTTTGTATTTTAGTAGAGACGGGGTTTCACCATGTTAGCCAGGATGGTCTCCATCTCCTGACCTCATGATCCACCTGCCTCAGCCTCCCAAAGTGCTGGGATTACAGGCATGAGCCACTGCACCCAGCCACACGCATTGTTTTCTAACATGTTATATAAATTATTGAAGGGTGCCAGGTAAGATTGCTTCCCTCTGCACTGCTGACTTTCATTATAGATTAACTTCCTTCTTACCTTGCTCTCATAAAGACTTCATGGCTATTGCATTGTCTTAAGATGCAATGTTAAATACACTCCTTTAAATTGGAAAGGAAATGTGAGCCAGCTATAAAGAAAGAAAACAAGTAGTATGGAAAGAGAAAAAGGTTGGGCACAGTGGGGCTCATGCCTGTAATCCCAGCACTTTGGGAGGCTGAGGTGGGTGGATCACTTGAGGTCAGGAGTTTGAGACCAGCCTGGTTCACATGGTAAAATCCCATCTCTAGTAAAAATACAAAAAATTACCTGGGCATGGTGGTGGGCACCTGTAATCCCAGATATTCAGGAGGCTGAGACAGGAGAATCACTTGAAACCAAGAGGCAGAGGTTGCAGTGAGCCAAGATCATGCCATTGCACTCCAGCCTTAGCAACAGAGTGAGACTCCATCTCAGAACAACAACAATAACAAAAAAAAAAACAAAAAATTCTGCAACTAATTAATTTGTTGTAACTCTTAAAGCAGCCTTATATAGAAAATGTTGTGATCCTATTAATTTTTTTTCTTTCTATGTAAGCAAGAACTTCACTTTTGACTTTGCAGCACTGACCCCATTTCTCTGGAGTCTGTGTGCCCTGATTGGCTATTCCCAGATTTTTGTTTGAATAAACTCTTTTTTAATTTTTACCATTAGTTCCCACAAGCAGAATGAATAAACATTTTAACACTGAATTCTGAACCTTTCATTTATTTCAGGTTGACATCTCCTTGGCCAAACTAATCAGGCTCTTCTGAGTCCTCTTCTCACTAGGCCTCAACTATTGAGCTTCTGTGTTCCTCTCTGCATTGTTCAATCTCAGCAAGAATCCTTCTCAGTCAATTTAGCCAGAATTCCCCATCTTCAATAGCTGATCACTCATAATATCTAATAGGGCTCCTCATCCTTCACCATCTGCTAGGTGATGTCTGATCACCCTGCATTCAGCAAGAATGCTATATGTTGGCTTAGCCATGTGGGAAGCCCAAAATATGCCACCCCAAAATACACTCCTTTGGTATAATTTGAGATGGCTATTTAGAGGGGCTGCAGATGTTACTGAGGGGTCTCACCCCAAAAAGGGACTCTTTCCTGTTTATTATTGCAAAGCCAATGTATGAAACCAAGAGTGAGCGTCAAGCAGTGCAGGCTCTATTCAATGGCATTGGAGAAGTAGGAGCATAGCATGGAATTGGAGAAGTAGTATAGCTTGCAAATCACCTTCTCAGCTACTGAGAACCAGGAAGTTACAAATATAGAGGATCTTTAATGAAGGGAATGAGCAAGGTGAGGAATATTCATGCTTTTCTTAGGAAGGGATGGAGATTTTCCTAGAATCAAGGAGTCACCTCATTTCTGTCCTTTCTTGGTCTCTTCCGTTCATTGTCACAGTGATTGTCAACTGTCATGCACTGATGGGAGTGCTATTTAGCATGGAAATTGGATTATAATAAAGCTAGATGTTTGTCAGAGGTTGCGTAAGCTGCCATCAAGGATTTCACCAGCTTCAGCTGGTTTAGTCCCAAGAAGAAACTTCTGACCACAGACATCCTGTTTCTTAAAAATAAGCAGAGTTAAAGGTGAGTAAGAATTCAGCCATGTCACATAGGCACTGCAATGGCCAACAACATCTGGGTAGGGGTCCAGGTAAGTCATGTAGGCAGTGCAATAGGCAACACAGTCACAGAAATACCTATGAAAAGCTGTCCTTTTGTCAGGGAGATTAGCATGTGTAGAGGAAGTAAACATCAACTGCAAATGGCTTTCTCTGAGACCTTCTTATCTGCTTTATCTGGATCCAGGTAAGATTAACTCACAGGAAAAGGAAACAAAAGATCTCATGCTTTTAAAGGTCTGACAGAGAAACTTTTTTTTTTTGAAACGGGGTCTTACTCTGACACCCAGGCTGGAGTGTGCAGTGGTGCAATCTTGGCTCACTGCAACCTCTGCCTCCCAGGTTCAAGCCATTCTCATGCCTCAGCCTCCCGAGCAGCTGGGATTACAGGTGCCCACCACCACACCAGGTTAATTAATTAATTTATTACTTATTTATTTATTTATTTTAGACAGAGTCTTGCTCTTTCGCCCAGGCTGGAGTGCAGTGGTGCCATCTCAGCTCACTGCAAACTCTGCCTCCCAGGTTCATGCCATTCTCCTACCTCAGCCTCCCTAGTAGCTGGGACTACAGGTGCCCGCCACCACGCCTGGCTAATTTTTTTGTATTTTTAGTAGAGACGGGGTTTCACTGTGTTAGCCAGGATGGTCTTGATCTCTTGACCTCATGATCCACCTGTCTTGGCCTCCCAAAGTGCTGGGATTACAGGCATGAGCCACCGAGCCCGGCCTGTATTTTTAGTAGAGATGGGGTTTGCCATGTTGGCCAGGCTGGTCTTGAACTCCTGACCTCAAATAATCTGCCCACCTCAGCCTCCCAAAGTGCTGGGATTACAGGCATGAGCCACCACATCTGGTGGAGGGCTGCTTCTTGAGAGACTTCATCTGCATCACATCTGCATCACAACACAGCCTTTGCTCACCATGTCTTTCCTCCCCTCAACCTCCCATAACCTGTGGCCACCACCCCCTAAGAACTCCAAGCCTAGTTAGTCCTTTATGTGCTGCATATAAACTTCAACCATACGGCCTTCTTTGAGGCTTTTTTTTTTTTTTGAGACAGAGTTTTGCTTTTGTTGCCCAGGCTGGAGTGCAATGGCATGATCTCAGCTCACCGCAACCTCTGCCTGCCAGGTTCAAGTGATTCTCCTGCCTCAGCCTTCGGAGTAGCTGGGATTACAGGCATGTGCCACCATACCTGGTTAATTGTGTATTTTTAGTAGAGACGGGGTTTCTCCATGTTGGTCAGGCTGGTCTCGAACTCCTTACCTCAGGTGATCGGGATCCACCCACTTTGGCCTCCCAAAGTGCTGGGATTACAGGCGTGACCCACTGTGCCCGGCCTGAGGCTCATATTTTAATTGACTCTGTATTAGTCAGGGTTCTCTAGAGAGACAGAATTAATAGGATAGATATACAAAGGAGTTTATTAAGTATTACACTTACTTTTTTTTTGTCTTTTTTTTCTTACTTTTTGTGGAAAACAGGGTCTTGCTATATTGCCCAGGCAGGTCTCCAACTCCTGGGCTCAAGCTATCCTCCCGCCTCTGCGTCTCTGAGAGCTGGGATTACAGGTGTGAACCACCACACCCAGCCAGGAGTTTATTAAGTATTAACTTACACAATCACAATGTCCCGCAATAGGCTGTCTGCAAGCTTAAGGAGCAGGAAAGTCAGTTCAAGTCTCAAAACTGAAGAACTTGGAGTCTGATGTTCCAGGGCAGGAAGCATCCAGCACAGGAGAAAGACGTAGGCTGGCAGGATAGGCCAGTCTTGCCTTTTCATGTTTTTCTGCCTGCTTTATATTCATGGGCAGTGGATTATATTGTGCCCACCAGATTTAGGGTGGGTCTGCTTTCCCCAGCCCATTGACTCAAATGTTAATCTCCTTTGGCAAGGAGATACCCTCACAGATACGCCCAGGATCAATACTTTCATCCTTCAATCCAATCAAATTTGTGAGAAACAAATTCACCCGTCTAAACCCAAACAATGAACTCAGAGACCCAGAGAACAGCAAAAGTGAGACTTTTAATGACGGTCTTGCAAGATCGGGTGTCTGGCATGCAGGCACACCCAGCACAGTTTCAACAAGCAATTTACGCCCTAGTGCACAGGCCCCTCCCTCAGTTCCTCATAGGCTGAGTACTAGCCTTCCACAATCTTCCTAGACATCACCTATTGATTGTTCTTCAAGTACATTCTTTAGGGTCTTTCTGCTGCATTTTATTGCAGCACACGATGCATTATGACTCTCAGGATTTTTCAAACATTTGACTTACGGCTCTAGTGGCTGCACTTAGCTGATAAGAGAGGGTACAATTATCTATGTTGCAAGCTAGCTTAAACTAAATTTCTTTGTGGAGTGGGGAAGGGGTAGATGAGGGGGCCCCCACCGATAGATGCCTGGCCACTGGGTGAAAGGGAAAGAAGGAAGGTGGAGGGGGTGGCTCAGTACATTCTGCTTCTTTATTTCTTTCTTTCCAGGTAGCCTGCCTAAACCTATACCAAGCCACTTAGAATTGAAAATAGATAATCACATATAGGTTATTTCCTACAATTCCCTCCTTTTTCTTTTTACCCTTTTTGGTTTCATTTTCACTTAAATTGCTTTTTCAAACTGTTCCAGAATTGTTTACTTTTTTTTTTTAGACAGAGTTTTGCTCTGTTGCCCAGGCTGCAGTGCAGTGGGGTGATCTCGGCTCACTGCAACCTCTGCCCCCCAGGTTCAAGCGATTCTCCTGCCTCAGCCTCCCGAGTAGCTGGGATTATAGGCGCGCTGTAATTTTTGTATTTTTAATAGAGACGGGGTTTCACCATGTTGGCCAGGCTGGTCTTGAACTCCTAAACTCAGGTGACCATGAGCACCCGCTTCAGCCTCCCAAAGTGCTGGGATTACAGGCGTGAGCCACCACGCCAAGCCAGAAGTTGTTTACCTTCTTCCTCATAGGAGGAGGAGTTTATTTGGTTTCTAATAATAGTAGGTTATTTTGTTGGAACATCAGGGGCATCTGTTTACTGAGAGTTGTTTTAATAAACCTTAGTGTTATATATATATATACATATATATATAAAATATATTACATATATTATATATAGTAGTAGTGTTAAACCCCTTACACAAGTATTGATGCAACATCGTATGTCAATGACAGAATCTGATAAGTTGGAAGAGTATACTGTAGAAGATACATACTTCACTTTTTTTTTTTTTTTTTTTTTTTTGAGATGGAGTCTTGCTCTGTTGCCCAGGCTGGAGTGCAGTGGCGCAATCTCGGCTCACTGCAACCACCGCCTCCTGCGTTCAAGCAATTCTGCTGCCTCAGCCTCCCAAATAGCTGGGATTACAGGTGCCCACCACCACACCTGGCTAATTTTTGTATTTTTAGTAGAGACAGGGTTTCGCCATGTTGGCCAAGCTGGTCTCGAACTCCCAACATCAGATGATCCACCCACCTCGGCCTGCCAAAGTGCTGGGATTACAGGCGTGAGCCATCCAACCCAGGCTTAAGTCTTTTCACAGTTGGAAGGTCCTGATTAGAGCAGCTAATTCTGCTTTTTGAGCAGAATTCTGAGAAGGTAAACCCTTGGCCTCAATGACTTCTTGTTAGCTAACCTTCCTTTCTTACTCCCTCATGAATAAAGCTATTTCCATCTCTAAACCACTCAACACTGGGGTTAGACAAGGGCTTGTCTTCAAGGTTGGACCTTCTAGAGTAGATCTCTTCCATGGTTTCCACCCAGGAGTCAATGAGTTGGGGATCTGTTTCTTGGGATGTGAGGTCCAGCAACAGAGTAGCAGGGTTTAAAAATCAGCATACTTTAAGGGTAACATCTGGGGTGTCAAGCAGAAGAGCCTGATATTTAAGTAACTGGCCCCCTATTAGCCATTGGTATACTTTTGCCTCTAGGACCCTCTGTACTGTACTTCATGGGGTGGTGGGGGGCGGGGGTGGTATGGCATCTACTTGTTGTCCCAAGGTAAACTTACTGGCTTCTTCTACCAATAGAGTGATGGTAGCCACAGATCTCAAGCTTCCTGGTCACTCAGCTGCCACCTGGTCTAGCTGTTTAGAGAAATAAGCCACTGGTCTGAGGCAATTCCTGACCCTTCGAGTTAGAACATCCAAAGCTGTCCCTTGTTATTCATCCACATAGAGGATGAAAGGTTTTTCTAAGTTCGAGAGTCTTGAAGCAGGGGCTGTCCCTGGCTTTTCTTTTAAGGCTAAGAATGCCTTTTGACAGTCTCCATTGCAATTCAAAGGCTTATGACCACTCACTTTTGGAGGTTCATAGAGTGGTTTTGCTACGAGCCCAAACCTGGGAATCCAAACGCAGCAGAATCCAGCTATTCTCAAAAAGGAATTTGAGGGACCTGGAGTGCCAGGATGGTCTCTTTTCATCCCTGGGTCAAGATCCTGGTCCCAGGAGTGAGAATGTGTCCCAAATACGTGACCCTTTGGACAGAAATTTGGGCCTTTCGGGGGGATACCTGATACCCTTGTTTTGTTTCAAAATTAAGGACTTGAAGTTGTATGTATCTCAGAGTCTTCCCCTAGTAGGGCTGGAAATTAATAGGTGATACACATATGGTAAGAGGGATCCATTAATTAACTGTAGTTCCCATACCTCTTTTGCCAATGCATTGCCAAACAGATGGGGATTGTCCGAAAACCTTGGGGACAGGACAGTCCAGGTAAGCTGAGATGCAGCATGAGTGTCTGGATTAGTCCATTCAAATGCAAAAATGTATTGGGTGTCCAGGTGTAAAGGTGTGTGAAAGAAAACATCTTTTAAATTTAATACTATGAACCAATAAGCATCTTCAGGGACTTGAGTTATTATTTTATAAAGATTAGGAACTATTGGGTGACTGGAACTAATGCCTCATTAACTGCCCTAAGATCCTGAACAAATCTATATTCCCCGTTTGGCTTATTAACAGGAAAAATGGGGGTGTTATGTTGGGACTGATAGGATTGCAATAATCCATACTTCATTATCAGGGGATGGATGCCCCTTGGAGCCAAAGGTCTAAAAGGATACTGGATTTTTCTTTTTTTTTTTTTTGAGTCAGAGTCTTGCTCTGTTATCCAGGCTGGAGTGCGGCGGCGCAAGGCTCACTGCTACCTCTGCCTTCCGGGTTCAAGCAATTCTCCTGCCACAGCCTTCTGAGTAGTTGGGATTACAGATGTACACCACCATACCTAGCTAATTTTTGTGTTTTTAGTAGAGATGGGGTTTTGCCTTGTTGGCCAGGCTGGTCTCAAACTCCTAGCTTCCAGTGATATGCCCACCTTGGCCTCCGAAAGTGCAGAGATTAAAAGCATGGGCCACCACACTTAAAAGGATATTTTTTTTCCCATAGATAATTAACACTGGGTTTCAAAATAACCTGGACTGGGAGAACATTTGCAGTTCTTCCAGGAACTACCATGTCACAAGCAGACGGGTCTACTTGAGAAGTAATATTTGATGGAAGGAACGACTTTTCTTTATCTGTGTTAAGACATGAACTTAGAGCTAGGAGAAGTGTCCCTTCCCAGCCTGTGGCCTTCTCTTGAGGTGCTCCAAATTGAACTGCAGCCTGTTATTGGGAAAGTAAGTCTCTTCCCAGTAAAGGAATAAGGCACTCAAGACTAAGCAAAAATCTGTGGAAAAACATGGTTCCCCACAGTGCAACTAAATGAATGGGTGAATCTCCTAGCTTTTAGCTGGTCATCAATCCTCATTACAGTACAGGAGTTGGAAGACAGCGGCACCAAGGACTAGATCAGAACTGAGAAGGCGGCTCGCATATCCAATAACTCAATATTTTTACCCGCCATGTCAAGAATTACCTGAGGCTCTTCTGTAGAGAAGGCAAGGTGTCTGGTGGAAGCTGTAGGGAATCTTGGGCCCTGTCAGTCCTCTGTTCTCTTAGCCATTAGGGGTCCGAGAAGCTCAGACTCCGTTTGGAGACTGAGGCAGTCTTTCCTCCAGTGGCCCTCTTGCTTACAGAAGGCACACTGATTCCAGCCTAGGGGATGATGAGCTGGCTTTTGTCTGGGCATCCCAAAGCCACTCTTGCAACACTTTCTCAGGATGGGCAGCTCAAAAGCAGTAGGAGGCTGAAAGCAGCTGCAAACAATTGCATTTTTTGGCTATTTCTTTTGGTTTTATCCTCTTCCTCTGCCTTGTCCCTATTGTTGTAAACTCCAAAGGCCATGTTTAAGAGTTGGCTCATGGAGTTTGGGGTCCCATTCCTGCCTTTTGTAACTTCCTCCTAATGTCAAGGATAGATTGAGTAATACAACGCATGCCTAGAAGAGCCCACCCTTCCGGGTTGTCTGGGTCTACATTAGTATATTTCCTGAGTGCCTCAACCAAGCAGCCCTAAAACAGAATGGGATTTTCATCCTTCCACTGAGTTACTTCTCTATCCTTGTCATAATTAACTGGCTTAATCACACACCTTTTCATACTTTCTATTAAACAAGTTAGCATGTGATTTCTATGTTCAAGTTCTTGGGAACCCTTCTGGTAATCCCACTGAGGGTCTCTATGTGGAACTGCATCTCCCCCTACATAAATGGTATGGCCTTGGATATGAGCAGCTACTCTAACTGCATATTCACAGGCCAGTACCCAGAATCCCTCTCTTCTCCTCTATAATACAGGAAGAGGACAATAATATTTGCAAGTTGTGCCAAGTTAAATCAAAGGACATCATCAACCTGACAAACTCCTCTATAAACTTCCCTGGATCCTTCAAAAACCAGCCATATTTCTCCTTGAAGAAAGCCAATTTGGACAAAGGAAATGGCACATATACTCTGATTGTTCCCCTATCTCTGCCAGCTAACTCCAGCAATGGACACAGATTCAATTTCAGGGGCTGATAGAGAGCTCCACTCCTGGTGGTTCTGGTTGGGCTTACTTCCTTGGGCAGTGGGGGATACAGGCTGGAGCTAGCTAAATAAAAGGGAGGGTTTTCTGATGACATTGGGGTGAAATCCCACACTGGAGAACTGGCAGGACCCCTCGCAGAACTGGGGGACTGAGAAGACCCTGGAGAGGGCATGGGCCCTCCAGGGGGTGCCGCCAGGAAGGGAGCATCGAGGATATCCCACGCGGTTTCTTGGTGCCTGGAAGTAACATGAGCCAGACACATCCTGCAGTTGACTCTTAAGTCAGAATCCTGGTAGGGGGCCGTAGAAGCCTGTACGTAAGGAACTTCTCCCCATTTTCCTTCCTTTTTACTGAACAAGTCCAATTGTAAAATAGTATGATAATGTAAAGAACAAGTTTCAGGCCAAATTTCTTGTTCTCTCAAGAAAATTGTTTCTTTTTCTTTGAGCCATCTCATTTGAATTTGCTCCAATTGCCTTAAAGACACCCTAGTGGGGAGTCCTTTGGGATGCTCGCCTTTGTCCCCATGTCTAACAAGGATCTCTACTACACCCAGAAGTTTTTCTAAGTCTAGCAAAAGCTCAGTTACTTTCCCTTTCAAATTCCCACCTCCTGCAGAGAAGATGTAAGTACAGTTAGCAAAGTGTTATGAAAGTAGATTATGAAATATGAATGCGAAGTAAAATGATGGGTCTGAATTCCACAGAGTGAAGAAAGCATTTTAGTTTGGGCAAAGAGGGGTTAAAAGAAACAAGGTGATCATGGAAGGGAGGAAGGGAAAGCATGAACAGCGTTGTCCAGACTGAGGTGCCAGAAAATCTACCCAGCAGCCACAGAGACTGAGGAAAAATATTTGGGCAAAATGTTTGGGTGGCTGCTGCTTGTCTGCCACTATGGGTAGTTGTCACTTGGGCCAGGGATTCAGGAACCCCTGGTCCCTGTGACCAAGAGTTCAATATGGGCTTGAGCAAAGTCACGTAGGAGGGGGCCCACAACTGGCTGTTATGGAAAATCGTAATCTTTTAATTTAAGGGCGGAGAAGATGACATCCACACTCCTCCAGGGAAGGAGCTCTAATCCACAATCCTATAGGGAATGTCAATGCTGAAAACCCCAGAGCATCCAGGGAGAGGCCAACAGTGACAGTGGAACTCTCACCACAACGAAATGCCAAAAACCCAGAGTACCCAAGTATCAGCCAGTGATGGTCCCCACACTGAATGCTGAAACTGCAGGGGAGGCAATGGTGAACCCCAAAGGCCAAGTTAGGGGCCACTGAACAATGTGACTTTGGCATCTCAGGGTCAGCACAGTAAGGGACTTTTCACGACCAAGTGTCCTGCCTTAAACAGTTCTTGACTCTGTCCTGTCCTGTCCTGTCCTGTGTTATATCATGTCCTGTCCCATCTTGTCTTGTCTTTGTGGTCACCAGATGATGCAAGGAAGGACAACCCCAAAATTGGGGCTTTGCCCAGGTAAGAATTCAAGGGCAACCCAGCGGTGAAAGAAAGCAACTTTTGTTAAACTGGTACTGCTTCTCGTGGAGGAAGGCTAACCTATGGGCAGTGTGTGGGTTGCTAGCTAGCTGTATTTATTTAGATGCTTTTAATTAGATGCTAATTAGGAAGTGGGTTATTCAGAACTTTTTGGAAAAGGGATGAGGAGTTTCCAGAAGCATATAAGGTAACTTCCTGGCCATTGCCATGGCATGTTGACATGGCATTTATAAACTGTCATGGCACTGGTAGGAGTGTCTTTATGCTAATGAGCAGTGAGAGCAACTAGAGGTAGCTTTTGTCTCCATCTGCTGGTTTTGGTCAGCTTCTTTACTGCACCCTGTTTGGACCAGATCCTGCTCTGATCAACTGGGCCACAACCGCAAATAAGTCCTGCCACTTTCCTACCTCAGTAGAATCTCTGCCAAAGAATGATCTTGAAAGTTTGCTGTTTACTCATCATCTGGAAAAATCTTCCTGTATAGGCCAAATTCCCACCCTTGAGATTTCTGAAGGACCAACAAGTAAAAACAGTATACTCCAATGGGACTGTTAGATTTCAACTAACTTACTCTCCTTTGGATTTCTTTTTCTGAAAATAAATTCTTCACACACACTGACTTGTCTTTTGCAATCCAATGTAAAAGTGGGACATCTTCTTCAGAAGCTTTGAAACATACAAATTAGCCTCAAACTTACCTACCAGACTTCCAGGCTAGAAGGCTGATTCATGTAAGAAGGACTAAGAAGACACTTCACCCATATCCTGGGTAACAGGAGGGGATCCTTTAGATAGGTTTGTACACCAGGCTGGTAACCTACACTTTCTTCTAGCAGTGAGAGGTACTGAGATCCGTCCCCCCTCCTGCAAGGCCAAGACCCAGAGAGAGCCAAATTTTAGCCTAGAATTCAGCCAGCTCTTCACAGTCTTCCATGTTTTACATTTTCCTCCACAATCATTTACTTTGAAAGACTTCAAACCTATAGAAAAATTGAAAAAAAAAAGAACTCCTCTACACCATTCACCCAAGTTCAACAGTTAACATTCCTTTACCTTTTTTCTCTGTCTACACACACCTACACACACATTCATATTTCATAGTAAATGCAGACCAAAAAAACTCCACTTCATCCCTAAATAGTTCAGCATGTATTTCATGAGATTAAGGACATTATCCTATATAATTATAATACAATTCAATTATCAAACCTAAGGATATTAACATTTATTCAATAACATTATCTAATATATAGTCCAGATAAAAATTTTCTGTTTAGAAAATGTCACATCTATACACATATATGTGCATGTATATAGATATTTATGCATACATAGTGTGTGCATGTGTGTATGTATGTGTATATATAACACACATGCACATTACATATGCATAAATGTTTTAATTTAATAATATTTATATGCATCAATATCTTAAAGATATATACATATCATTAGCTGGAAGCTGCCTCTATCCATATATTAAAGGTTTCTCCATATGTAGTGAACTGTAACCTAACTGGATGTGTAAACAACCTGTAACCTACTCTTGAGCCAATGACTGAGTTTTAGCCAATCAAAGGTGGCCAACTGTTCAAACTGGATTCAAATAAGACAAACTCAGAGCTGTAGCCAATCCGATTATTTTTGTACCTCACTTCTGTTTTCTGTAAGTCACTTTCCCTTTTCCATCCATAAATCTTCTTCTACCACATGGTAGCACTGGAACCTCTCTGAACCTATTCTGGTTCTGGAAATTTCTGATTCAGGAATTCTTCTTTGCTTAATTAAACTCTGTGTGTGTGTGTGTGTGTGTGTGTGTGTGTGTATTATATATTATATACACATGTAATATATATATGTATGTGTATATATAATATTTATTTAAGAGAGAGAGAGAAGTGACTTGTGGTACTGATGTTGCTTCCCTAGGTTCCAAGTAAAGTTCCTCAATTGCACTTTACTTACCTAGAGCTGTCCCTCCATTTCTTTGTCCTTGTTGCTAAGTTTTTGAAGTGGATAGGCTAGTTATCTTGTTCAACATCCTGCATTCTGATCAAACTAAACATTTTTGGAAAGAACAGAATATAGGAATTTGTGCTTCTTACCACTCAACCTGTCAGAAAGCAAGTGATGCAAGAACAAAATATTGTGAATATGTTTACATCGAAAGTGTTAAAGAAAACTCAGCATCTGCCAGCAAGTTTATGGCGTGCCACGGTGGTATAGTGATTGGCACTTTGTGTTGTGAATGCAGAACCTTGATTCCAATCCAAAATGGCAGTGTGTGGCATCTTTTTGGGGAGAAACTGAGCTGTCTTTTGGTTTGTTTTCAATCCGTGCACTGACTGAGTCCTTTAGCAGGGTTTACCACTGACTCCTGCAATGCAGTGCAGTCAGGCAAAAAGGAGACCCCACATTGCACATACCTAGGGCCCAGGACATGCCCTATGTCTCACCATTGAGCAGAAAATATCCCAAAGGGTAAAATGTCACCTTTCAAACCGCCATGTTGGTAGCTTCCACTAATGCAGTGGTGTGGTCATAACTGGTTTTTACTGTTCCTTACAATGGCTGCAACCCTTATTTGTGACTAGAGAACAAGGCTTACCACTGAATTGCCAGCATGATACAGCCAGGGCCATCAAAAACACACCTGCACTAGATCATTGGGAACTTTGGAGGTGCCTTACATCTGGGCATGCATTGAACCACCACACAAGGTGAAATGCCTCTTCTCAAAGAGGCTTGCCTGCAGTTTCCACTAATGAAATTGTGAGTCATAGCTGTTCTTCTGTTTGAGATATTAGGAGGGATTTTGTGGGGGGTGAGGGGGGATGAAAGTGAGCTTTTACTGAGTTTAAAATAAAATCCAAACTCCTTGCCATGGTCTACACTGGCTTGTCTCCATCTTCCATCCCCCACCCCCCATGTTTATGCTAAAGAGCAGACTATTGAAATGTAATTCACACAGTGTAAAATTCAAATATATTAACTAGGACAGGTTATTAAATATTGACAAATGAAATCATCACCCAGATCAAGTTATAGAAAATTTCCATCATCCCAAAAATGTCTGTGGATGCCAGGCACGGTAGCTCATGCTTGTAATCCCAGCACTTGGGAGGCTGAGGCGGAAAGATTGACTGAGCCCAGCAATTTGAGACCAGCCTGGGCAACATGGCAAGACCCCCATCCCTATAAAAATTTTTTTTCAAATTCAAAAAATAAAAAATATTTAAAAAGGTCCAAGAGTCCCTTTCCAGGCAATCCCCACCCTTCTCCCCTTGGTTTATCACTATTCTGATGTTTATCACCATAGATTATGTTGCTCTCTTCTTGAAATTCATATAAATTCACTTTTTGTGTTAGCGTTTTTTTCACATCTTTGAAATGTATCCATATTATTATATGTATCTAGTTTATTTGGGTGTAACTGGTGAGTGTTATCCAATATGTGAATACACCACTGTTGATGGACAATTTGGTTATTTCTAGTTTGGACTATTATGAAGAAGGCTGCTGTGCATGAATATTATTGTACGAATCTATTTATCAACAAATATTCTGTGTTTTCTTAGATTTTGTATTTGTCTCTATTTGGCATCTATTCACCGCAGAACAATTATAATAACTATATTTTCTTATTTTCTTTATTTTTTTCTTAAAACAATTTATTGATGTATGCCTGGTATACTAAAAGCTGTACATATGTAATGAACACAATTTGCTGAGATTGGAAATAAGTATGGACACATTAAATCATCACCACAGGCCGGGTGCGGTGGCTCACGCCTGTAATCCCAGCACTTTTGGAGGCCGAGGTGGGTGGATCATGAGGTCAGGAGATTGAGACCATCCTGGCTAACACGGTGAAACCCTGTCTCTACTAAAAACATACAAAAAAAAGATTAGCCAGGCGTGGTGGTGGGTGCCTGTAGTCCCAGCTACTTGGGAGGCTGAGGCAGGAGAATGGCGTGAACCCGGGAGGCAGAGCTTGCAGTGAGTGGAGATCGCACCACTGCACTCCAGCTTGGGCAACAGAGCAAGACTCCATCTCAAAAAACAAAAAAATCATCACCACAATGCATACAATAAAACTATTCAGCTGGGCACAGTGGCTCACACCTATAATCCCAGCAGTTTGGGAGGCCCAGGCTGGTGGATCACTTGAGGTCAGGAGTTTGATACCAGCCTGCCTAACATAGTGAAACTCCATCTCTACCAAAAATACAAAAATTGTTACAGAATAATTATACATGTTTATAGGGGTACATATGATATTTTGATATATGCCTACGATGTGTAATGATCAAATCAGGATGTTTAGGATATCCATCATCTCAGACATTTTATCATTTCTTTGTGTTGGGAACATTTCAAATTCTCTCTTCTTAGCTCCTTTGAAATGTACAATATACTGCTGGTAGCTGTAGTCACCCTACTGTGCTGTTTCTTTTCTGAGATTCCACCTAACCCCTTGATGTTCCAACTGCTGTGGTTGTCTAAAACTTTGTCCTCTGTTCCTTTAATCTAGGAAGACAGTTTGGTTTTGTATTGTAATTTAGCTAATCCAAGTAAGGGGGAGCAAAGTTTGTTCTATAAACGAAAAATAAAATCCTAAGTCCCCCAACTGACTAAATGGACCCCCCGTTGGCCAACGGGACCCTAGGCAAACCTTATAAACTGAGTCCCAGGCCAAGAAGGAACGGGAGGCCAGACAAGCCTCATTATATTCCCACCCTTTTGCAATTTAGACAAAACTGACCAACATTAATGTTATCACAGAGATCATAAGACTGACGGAACAGACTCTTTATGGCAATAAGACACCAAATTATAAATAGGACTTAGGACCATTCCGGGCAAGGATTAACTCACACACCCCATATATGCAAAGAATAAACTATGTTCTAACTGCCACAAGGATTTTCTCTAGCAGCTAAACAAGCACTGGCCTTGAGAATAGGGAGTGTTGAAGCACTTGCTGCTCACCCCTCACCAGATACCGAACCCCGCTGTTCCACAAGCCATAACTACAGCCTTGACTGACAAGAGACTGATTTCAGTAACTTTCTTCTGATGAGAAGACCAGCGACCATGGACTGGTTCTGTCAGTTTTACAGTATCTGTGCATTTGAGTGCCTTTGTGTCCTGAAAAGACCTTTGTGTATAGGGCCTAATTGTAATGCATTTAAATGCTAAGTATCCATAACAAGGTGAACAAGGTTGTATATTACGTGAATGTTTGTTCAATAAGCATGCATCAGGACCCCTTCACAAATATTCATAAATCCTCCTATAACTTGTTGAATATGTATTTTAGGCCCACCCATTCAACTTAAATTCCTGTCTTGCCCCTCCCTCCCTCAAAGTGCCTGCTTCTGGGCTTCCCGCGATTCCCAGCCTGTCAGGATGACCACCTTACATGCTGTAACCCTTTAGAAGAAATAAATTCTCCTCTGTAAGCTCACAAATTGTATGGTTTTTCAGTTAACAGCCCTCTGCTGAAAGTTTGCAAAATGGGATACTCACTACCTGCCATTCTTCCATATGTCCGCCTGCTTTTGTTCAGTCTTCCAGCACCTTCAAATTATATAATATATATATGAAATAAATTTTTCTAGTTTATAGTCGTTATCTGTGGGAGAGTTACTCTGAAAGCAGCAAGAAGCCATTACCAGATGCAGATCTCATTCTGTCAGTAATGGCAACCCAGCAAATAGGGCAGGAGCCCCACCCAGGTGTGGATCAATGCATGGCTGTATAACCTTGAGCAAGCTGCTTAGTCGACCTCTGAAGTCAGTACTGCTGTATGAGAAATGGAGATATGAAAAGAACAGGAGTGCTAGGGTGCCCAAGGGAGAAAAGAGTAGGTAACAAGATTTTCGGTCAGGAGCATGAGAAACAGGGAGAGGGTCGCCATTAACTCCCCTTCTTCACCAGAGTTTTCTGGCACCCAAGACTACAGAAACTCTCCTGCAGTGGGCTTTGGGGCACATCGCAAGTTCCAGTAACAAGGGCTAAGGTCGCCCGCTTTTGGAGACCTTACAAAGCATGTATTCCCTGACCAGGAATCGAACTCGAGCTGCAGGCGGTGAAAGCGCCGAATCCTAGCCACTAGACCACCACGGAAACAACAGCAAGCACTTTTCATTCCTCTTGCCTTCCAAAGGTTTCTCCAAAAGGTGAACCTGTCTGCAATGCTCACGAAGCCCGCCAGATGCACAAGTCAAAACTGATCTAGAGATTCTGAAGTACGCTGTGCTCCTTGAGAAGTGCGGAGCCACTGGAACCACAAGCAGCTTCAGACAGGAACCAATGAGGCCATCAAAACCCTCAGCAGAGGCATCTGTGAGTTCATTGTGGTGGCTGCAGACACCACGCTGCAAGAGAGCATTCTGCACTCCCACTGCTGTGTGAAGAGAAGAATGTGCTGGGCCTGCCTGGAATGTTTGCGCACTCCAGGCGGGCCCTGGGGCGGGCCTGTGGGGTCTCCAGTCCTGTCATCACCTGTTCTGTCACCATCAAAGAAGGCTCACAGCTGATCCAGTCCATTCAGCAGTCCGTTGAAAGGCTTCTAGTCTAAACCTGTGGCGTCTAAACCCGTGGCCTCTGCTGCACAATCTCTGCTGACTCCTCCCCCTGAGGTTATTCTCAGCTACTTTCTATTGCTATAAAATATTATAGTACTAAATCTGGTTTCTGGGGTTTTGTATAGTTTTTGTTCTGTTTTACAGGGTTGTTTTCCCCCTTCTCCATGCCCACCCTTTCTCTGCCATCCTGCATCCTCTTCAACTCTCTATTGAAAAATGAACAAATGTTCAGAACAGAGGAAGTAGAGTGGTGGCACCATCAAAGGCAGGAAGGGCCAGGAGAACCTGATGGGAGCGGGGATACAGACCTGGTTCTAGCTTCCAGTCTTCCAGTCACTAACTTTCTGCTGTGTGCAGGGCACAATGGAAGTAAACACCACCCACTATATATCCCCTGTGCCTGGCATACAGAATCATTCATACATGTTGACCGAAGGGTTTCCTTTGCTTCTAGGGGATTATGTATCATTTTGGGAGGAAGCATGTATTCTGTGAGGTTGTTTAGTTTATGTCCAAGCGCCATTTACTAATGTATCCCTGCTCTTTGCTTTCGGTATGTATGTTCTTCCTCCACCTGACAATTGTGCCCCCAATGGTGGCCAGGCAGCAGCATACCAAAGAGATGTGCTGCAAGATTTCAGAGGTGGGTGAGTGAGACATGGGAAAGTGGACTCAGGTCTTGAAAGAGTCAGGAGTGGCCAGGGCAAAGAACATGAACTGGTGCTGGAATGAAGGATTCTGGGAAGGTTGTGGAGACCTGGCTGGTAGCTAGAGCAGAGATGATGGAATCCAAGGAAACAACTTCTCTCCGGTGAATCAAGATTTCTTCAGTGGACACTTAGTCCCAGCTCTGATAGCCCTTACCCCTGTTTCCTGCCACAGTGTGGGTCATATGTATTCTTTATCATATGAGGAGAGTGCTAATTAATGTGTCATTTATTTTGTGAGCATGCTAATACATATATTCATATTCCAATTTAGTGAAAAAAAACTGATCTAGAGATGCCCCTTTTCGAGGTGACAGCATGGCTCTGGAGAGATGGCCACAGGAACCATGGCAGTGGACCAGGTTGCTGGGAGAAGGCAAAAGGGGAGGCACCCAAGCTGAGAAGGGGCTAAGCACTCAGCCCCTGGGACCACCAACAGCAGGCCTGAGACACATGCAGGAAACCAGACAGCCTGGATGAAATTTCTTTCAAGCAAGGCCAGTGGTCCCTGACAGAACACCAGAGGTTTCCCCCTAAATCCTTTCGCATCTGTACCGTTTCCATCTTAGTTGGAGCTCTTTGTTCTCATCCTTGCAATACGCAGAGAAAAAAAAATCACAGGTTGTTGATTGTTTGAAGATAGGGTATTGCTCTGTCACTCAGGCTGGAGTGCAGTAGCATGATCACGGCTCACTGCAGCCTCGAACATCCGGGCTCAAGTGATTCTCCCACGTCAGCCTCTGGTGTAGTTGGGACCAAAGGTGTGCCACCACAGAGGCAGGGTTTTGCCATTTTGCCCAGAATGGTCTCAAACTCCTGAGCTCAAGGGATCAGCCTGCCTAGGCTTCCCAAAGTGCTGGGACTACAGGCATGAGACACCTTGCCCAGCCAACCAGAGTTCTTTTTGATGCCGATATTTTACTCGGACTCCACATCTAGGTAGGAATTCATGTTTTCAAGTACGGACATTGCTCTACACAATCCTCTCCTTTCCTGATCACTAAATTAGAGTAAATCACTGTCCTGAAGAAGGTACCCTTGGGAGAGTGGGTTGGCCTGTCTTTCCACCCTTTCTTGACTCTGCCCTCACCTTCAAGCCTCTTTCTGGCCTGTGTTCAAGGTCCAGAGGCATGCTTAAGACCTCTCTGTGTGGCTCTTCTTGAAGAGTCAGGAACCCCATACTTCCTGTTCAGCGGGCAGAGAAGCTTCAAGCCGCACAGTTTTGGGTATGCTAGGATCCCACAAGGCACAGATGTGCAGTGGCCCACGAAGTGAGTTTGTGGGTCTCCAGTTACCTGCAGCCCTTTCTGCTCCTGTAGGTTAAAGGGCAATTGCCTTTTTTTTTCTGTCCAGGAAGGACCCCAGAATGTTCTGAGTCAGAAAGACAGTGAATCCTCTCCTCTGGGTCAGTGGGGAGGGAGAGAGAGAGAATTCAGAGGGAAGAAAGCAGAAAAAGATGTCACAAAATTGCCTAATCAAAAGTTACCATGATGCCTGCCTCATCTGGAACTGGGCTCCCAGTCTCTAGTGAGGGAGACATAGTCCAGTCCAGTCCCAGTCTCCAGTCTGAGCCAAAGCAGAACAAAGCTGGACACTGCAGCCTGGCATCCAACGAACATTTTGTCACTTTCCCCAGGGTGGGAGCATTTGAACTTTGGATGTGAAGGAAACATGGTAACCACTGCAGTAAGAAAAGCAACTGCTGGAGAAAATGGCACTTTCTTCCCCAAATTTGTTTTTACACTCATGTCTAAGGAACACCTTAGAAACCACATTAACATCTTTCAGCAAAAGGAAATTCTGCCTGTTGATCTTTTGCTGTGAGACAAACTTGAAAAGTTCACAGACACTGCCTTTCTCTGAAAACTGCCCTTACCTCTTTGTTATAATTCACTTCAAGATCTGTTGAGTAGGAACATCAAAAATGCAAATAAAAAGTTTCAAGTATTATGAAAGAATGCAATAAAACTGCCTTTAAAAAAAATCTCAAGATGGAGGTGGAGATCCTGTGATCATGAAATCTGAATAGGCTGCTCCTGTGTCCTTCAGTGGTGATGGCTCTGAAACCCTTGTGTTTTATGAACTTCATGCCCTGGTCTTCAAACGAATTCAGTGCAGGCCAAGAAGCACAGTTTGGCCTGGGTTGGATGCTCTATATTTTCAAAGAGTGAAATGCCTTGAGACACAGCCTTTGCTATAGTACCTGCTAAAACTTCAACGTGTGGATAAATATAGCTTACATTGAATCGAATAGACTCAGCGAGAGTGGCAGTGAAGGATGCCCTCTGGAAGATTCGAGGTGCTGAGGCCAAAGGGCTAGCAAGGAAACAGCGTGCGGGTCAGGCCCTTCAGCCTGGTGGAAGAGCAGGCAGGGAGGGTCCTATGGTTCCTGGGAGGACCGGAAGCATGATCGCCTGTCAAGAGCCAAGAGCCCTAATGGCCAGCGCCGGGGAAAGGGCCCCCGAGGGGCAGTCAGCAGCCCTGCAGGGGCGGCGTCCACACTCCTGTGTGGCACGGGACACTCATGGCTCCACCAGCTCCTGAAGCTTCTGGGAGCCAGAGAGTCAGCAGGGAGAATCCCACACACGGGCACTCAGTTCCTGGAAACCCTGCATGAGATGCGGGATCCCGAAGCCAGATTGGGGGTCCCTAGGGTCTTGGCTTCGGGGCTAGGCGCGGAACCGTAAATGAGGGTTCAGCCTGTCTGCCTGAGGGATTGTGTTTCCTGCCGTATTTATCACTCAAATTTTGAAAAGCAGTCGAATTTGTTATATTGGAAACCCTAGTAGTTAAAAACAGCAGATGGTAACATTTCAGGAATATGTCTTGTGCCAGGAACTGTGAGGGGTTTCTGTAGTGTAGTGATTACATGTTCGCTTCACATGTGAAAGGTCTCAGGTTTGGGACCTTTCATCATCAACATGATGAAACCCCGTCTCCAGTAAAAATACAAAAATTAGCCAGGCGTGGTGGTGCATGCCTGTAATCCCAGCTCCTCGGGAGGCTGAGGCAGGAGAATTGCTTAATTCCAAGAGGTAGATGTTGCAGTGAGCTGAGATTGTGCCATTGCACTCCAGCCTAGGCAGCAAGAGTGAGACTACGTCTTAAAAAAAAAAAAAGAAAGAAAGAAAAGAAAACAGAGGACTTTAAAACCGTTATTATGTCAATATTCTATGGGTCCAAAGAATTAAGCAGAGGTATCAAACATATAAAAATGGTCAGAATCAAACTTTGGAGATTAAAAACTACAACATCTGAGATAATAAATTCACTGGATGCAATTAACAGCAGATTAGACACTGCAGAAAAAAAGATTATGAAACACAAAGCCGCCGGGCGCCGTGGCTCAGGCCTGTAATCCCAGCACTTTGGGAGGCGGAGGCGGGTGGATCACGATGTCCAGAGATAGAGCCCATCCTGGCTAAAACAGTGAGACCCCCGTCTTTACAAAAAAAAAAAAAAAAAATATATATATATATATAAATTAGCTGGACATGGTGGCGGGCGCCTGTAGTCCCAGCTAATCGGGAACCTGAGGCAGGAGAATGGCATGAACCCGGGAGGCGGAGCTTGCAGTGAGCCGAGATGGTGCCACTGCACCCCAGCCTGGGCGACAGAGCAAGACTCCCTCTAAAAAAAAAAAAAAAAAAAAACCGCACTGAGGGGAAAAGTCAATGTGAAATTCTACAAAAGCTGAAAATTCACTACCCCCAGCCATTACCACAAAAAAAAAAAAAAAGTTGAAGGAGTCCTCCAGGCAGAACGAAACTGACATCGGATGAAAATCTGGTTGTACAAAAAAAAAAAAAAAAAAAAAACTAGACATGACATCTAATAGACGAATATATAATTTTAACATCTGACTGTTTAGCTGGGCGTGGTGGCTCACGCCTGTAATCCCAGCACTTTGGGAAGCTGAGGCAGGCAGATCACTTGAGGTCAGGTGTTTGAGACCAGCTTGGCCAATATGGTGAACCCCTCTCTCTACTAAAAATACAAAAATTAGTCCGGTGTGGTGGCCCACGCCTGTAATCTCTGCTACTCAGGAGTCTGAGTCAGGAGAATCACTTGAACCCGGGAAGCAGAGGTTGCAGTGAGCCAAGATTGTTCCACTGCACTCCAGCCTATCTGGAACCTAGTTTGATCTGGAGGGATCTTATTTTATAGGAGGCTTGGAGGGGGACCTTTTGCTTTGTGTACTTATAGGATGCACAAGACACAAGGGAACAATCTCTCACTTTTTAAATACAGTGATAGGCCTGAGGAGAAACAACTGCAATTTTTTTTTTTTTTTTTTTTTTTAATGAGATGGGATTCTCACTGGTCTTGAACTGAGCTCAGGCGAGGCTTCCCCTACGTCGGCCTCTCAAAGTGTTGGGATTAATAGGCGTGAGCCACCGCGCCTGACCACAACTAACCAACATTTAAAAGCACGTCCCTGGGTAGGCTCGAACCACCAACTTTCCGGTTAACAGCCGAACGCGCTAACCAATTGCTCCACGGAGATAACCTCAGTTGGTCGCTTTCATCTCAACATAGATTAAGCAATCACTAAACTCTAGGGGTTGCCATTCGCTTTCTGCAGGACAACTGTGCAGACTACAAAGCTTCGGAAAACCGGAGAGGCTGAGTCGACTAATCGTGTTGTTGCACGTTAGAAACGCTTGCATTGCCTGACTCTGAAACCAGAAGGGCGGCCGAATGGCCTTCACCCTCCATTAACCCTCGCCTCCTTCAGAAGCCAGTGCCTCTGGAAATGCCTGGATCTGCGACCCCAGCCTGAGCCTAGTAGGGCCCAAGGGAAGCTGAACGCCCCGACGGCTCTCATGGTAGGTAGCTCTTTCTGTTTTTTTGCGCCGCCTTCAGGCAATCATCTACTCCGCTTGCTATCCCCTCACTCAACTCGGCTTCAGTAGATGGGGTTGGTGGGGCGGGAGCGGGAAAGAGGCAGGGGAGTCAAAAGGGAAAACCTGAAAAGAAGGAGGGAGAAGAAGCAGGGGAGACCAGGACGAGACAATGGGACAGCCCAGGATGCCGGTGCAGAGGGCACCGGCTGGATGCAGAGAAGATGGGACACGTATCAGAATGGACTGGAGAAGACGTGAGGGAAAATCACAAGAACCTGTAGCTGCCCAAGAATAAACACGTAAAAATCGCATAAATGTTTTTACATTAAAAAAAAATCGGGGGACCGGGCGCAGTGGCTCACGCCTGTAATCCCAGCACTTTGGGAGGCCGAGGTGGGTGGATCACTCACTTGAAGTCAGGAGTTCGAGACCAGCCGGGCCAACATGGTGAAAGCCCGTCTCTACTAAAAATACAAAAATTAGCTGGGTGTGGTGGCGACGCTTGTAGTCCCAGCTACTCAGGAGGCTGAGGCAGGAGAATCGCTTGAACCTGAGAGGCAGAGGTGGCAGTGAGCCGAGATCGCGCCACTGTCCTCCAGCCTGGGCGACAAAGCGAAATTCTGTCTCTCAAAAAAAAATGCATAAATAAATAAAAGAGGGGTGGGGAAGCAAAACGACGGGCAGTAGGTGTGGGGCGCATTGGGATTCTATAGTGGTTAGTACCCTGCCTTGTGCCTGCAGCAACCTCTGTTCTAATCTGAATCCTGGTACAGTCAGACTCTATCTTGGACCCACTGGGGCGAACCCACGAGTCTTTTGGTTTGCTTTTAATTCCTGCACCAGCTGCGGCCTTTATCTGCAGCCAGAAAGCAGGGTTTACCGCTGGCCCCACAGCGCCATACGGTCTGGGGAAAAGAAGGAAACCCAATAGTACACAAACAAAGGCCCAAAGAGAAACCTTCCAAGTGCTCTATGCCTCACGGTTTAGCAGAAAATATCAAGCAACTCTCAACCTAGCTGGTCTGTAGCTTCCACAAATGAAATACTGTATTCATTGCAGCCTTTCTGGTTGAGATATTTCAAATATTTGGTGGGGCTTTTAATGAGACGGAGAGACACTCTCGAGTGTGGAAGAAAAACGTGAGGGGGTGTGAGGATAAGGCGACTTTAGGACAGAAAAAACAAAGAGACAAGGAAGCCACGTAAACGTTTTCGGGTAGGCGTGAGGCGATGTCAGTTTTGAACCCCGTTATGTTAGGTAGAGAGCGCAGCCCTCTTCTAGCACAAACACCGTTTCCCACATTGAAGAAATCACAGAGATCAGCAACTCTAGAGTGCGATGAAGAAGCTTCACTCTGGGAGAACCCCCTTCGTGACCACGGTCTCTTTCCTGCCAGGTAAGTGGGAATGAGCGCATGCCCTGCAGGGACAGCACAGCGTCCTCGCCCTGGTCGGACGCTCAGGGTCACCACCCTACCCACTGCCCCCCTCGCCATTCTTCCAAACCACTCTCTGCCAAAGATTCCACCGACAGTCACCCCACACGACAACCCAGGCCGCCTTTCAGCAGTGGCTCCCGCCCCGCAACCACGCGCCCTCTCACCCCCGCGGTTCTGCCCGCCGCCTCTGTCCAGTCTGTGCACTTCACCTCCCTGGCTCCCGCTCTCCCCTGAGCTTACAGTGGACGCGGGGTTCTTCCAAACCCCTCTTGGGAATACTGAATGGAAAAGGGGGAGCGTGCGCAAGTGCTTGGTAGAGTGTAGACATTGTGGGATTTGACTGTGGTACCATCGCTTTGACGTCCTAGTGCTAATTTTTACACCTGCATTCTGCTTAGGGCACCGGCAACAGTTTTCCGTTTGTGCCTACTCCACCTGCTGTCTTTGTTGGGTCAGCGAACATCGCCTCCCTCTACCGCTCAATCAGCAAAAGGGACCGCCCTTGAGGACCTCACCCGCGGCTCACTCCCCTCCCAACTTCGCGGGCATCGCCTCCGGTCGCCTCTTCCGAAGGCCTAACGAGCATGTTAGCTGCGAACGGAGGTGAGGAGGCTCCGCTGACTGACCGGTGCCCATGTCCAGGGCACGCACAAACGCCATGACTTGGCTTGGCCTCTCTCTTAGTTATTCACAAGCTCAGCCCGATAGGCACCTCTGGGGCGGCGACGGCAAAGAGGGTGCGCTTATTAAGTGCAGCTCCACGGGGACTGGCCTCTGCACGGCTGTGTACACCTGAGCGAGACGCTCAGTCGCTCTCTAAAGCCGCTTCTGCGGATGACAGACACGGAGATAAACGTGAGAGGTGGCCCACCACGACTTGCCCTCCTTTGCCCGGGTTTGCCCCTCGCTGCGGAGGCTGTTCTACATCTGGCCCTTGGAGCAGGCCGGCTGACAGCGTGGTAAAGGAAGATTTCTGCGGGAGGGCGGCCAGTGCAAAACAATTCCCTGACCGGGAATCGAACCCGGGCCGTGGCGCTTTCAGCACCGAATCCTAGCCACTAGACAACCATGCAGATGCGGAAAGCTGCTTTCTCTCCCTTCTTCGACCTGAAGCGACACTTTCCTGTGCTCTAGGAGGACTTGGGTCTTGTGAGAGTCTCCCTTTGCTCCTGGAGTCGTCTCACAAGGCCGTTCACTCCCTGCTTTCTTCAAAAAAAGAACCTGCAGGCGACACACCAAGGGCTCCACGAGGGAGTCCTGAGTACTGGAGCGAGTTGCGGCCACGCGGCCGCAGCTCACCACTGGCCTAGAGATGCCCTTTGCCAGGCGGCAGCAACTGACAAGATGGTCGCGGGTCGCCGGGTCCGGAGCCGCCCACCAGGTTGCCAGGAGGAGGCGGGAGCGGGGAGGCGCCCGAGGTGAGACGGGGGCACCCTCTGCATCATAAAGGACCCAGACCCCGGCACCCTCAACATCATAAGGAATCAGACGGATGCGGAAACCGAGGCGGGCTGGATAGGAAACTCTTTCCAGGAAGGCTCCGGGGCACTCAACTGGTCTCCAACCTTCCCCTGCAACCTGTGACGCCTGCCATTTTCCCATTTTAGGCGATGGCAACGCAACCCCTCCGTTTGCTCTGGGCAAAACTTCGAGAGTTCCCTCTGAAGCTGGAGCTTTTTCCTCAGATCCAAGATCCAATTGGTCACCAATTCGTGATTTCCGTCGGCCAAGTGCGTGGGCATTGATCTACACGCGAGTTTCTCCACCTCTGCCGAATGGCTACTTCGGGGTGGGGGAGGGGCCCTCCCGCCGTGGATTGCAAGGTGTTTAGCAGCATCTGTCTCCTCCGCTGACTAGACACATGCCAGGGGGATAACATTCTCCCTCCCGCTTCCCCCAGCCGCGGCCTAGTGTCCCAGCGGGGTTGGGAGAGGCATGTGAGGGCGAAGTTGCCCCCTGTTGAGAACCATTGCTGCGCGTAGTCCTTCTCTCTGAACTTGTGCAGAGGACTCTCCAGGTGAAGGCTCAAGGGTGGATCCAGCTCGAGACACCCTCGCTCCCCCTCACAGTCGGACCTTAGGATTTAGGCTTTAACATCTCCACATCATGAGATTCGAAACCTTTAGGTCTTGTCTTCCGTTCTGTCCTCCAAATCGGCCTCTTCCGAGCCTGTTGACCAGGGCCAGCCGGGCAGAGGGCTGGGCTCGCTCAACGAGGCTCCTCTCGCACCTCCTGGAGCTTCAGGCTTCTTTCCGTTGCAGAGAAGCTTTATGGGCCAATTCGTTCGGCATCCCCGGGGGCAGGTGCGCGGTGCGCGGGGAAGAAGAGGATTTGACTGCGGTTCTCCACCCCCGGCGCCCAACCTCCACCCCGGTGCGCGCGCTCTTCCAGGCTCCTGCTGGTCCCACTTGCCAGGAGTTAGGTCTCAGGTCAGCCTGAGCTCCTGAGACGCCCAGGCCCGGAAAGACACGTAGGGGAAACCATCTGCTCACTTCTGTCCTGTCCGGAAGGGATCCCTTTCTGACGGGAAAGAAAGGCGGTGAGTCCTGTCCTGTTGAGTAGGCGGAAGAGAGATCAAAGGGAAGACAAGAAAAATCCTGTGAGTTTTCAGGATCTAAAGTTACCATGAGGTCGACCTAACCTCCTCTGGAGGTCCTCCCGGTCCTCCCGTGGCTGTCGAAGGTGAATCTAGCTTCCGTCTCCAGTTCGCCAAGGCGGACAAAGCCGACGACAATGGGCCTGTCCACTATCTTCTTTCATATGCACAAAATGTCAGCTCTTCTTGTTTCTAACTTGCAACATCCCACCTGATGACCAGCTCAGCAAATTAGAGACCCTCCATGGGATTCCATCTCTGTCTTAGTTCGGGCTTCCATAACTATATACCATAAACTGGGTGGCTAATTCACGACAGAAATTTATTTCTCACAGTTCTGGAGGTTGGAAGTCCGAGATCAAGGTGCCAACATGGTAGGGTTATGATGAGGGACTTTTTTCTGGTTGTAGACTGCCACCTTCTCATTGTATCCTCAGGGGGCAGAGAGAGCTCCCTGGGGTCCCTTTTATAGTGGCATTAGTCCCACTCAGACTAACGGGACTAAATCCAGACCCAGTTATTGCAATGTGTGCAAAAGAACAAGGACTTGTACTATCTGACTTCAAGGCTTACTATAAGCTATTACAGACAAGGCATCAGGAGGGACAAATAGATAAACAGACTGAGTTAAGAGACCTGAAACTGATCCACAGCCATACAGTCAATAAATGAGCTTTCAATGAAAGCAGTTCAATAGAAGAAAATAAATCATTTCAATTAATGGACTTTCATATGGAGGTGGGGGAGACCAACAATGTTATTCTCCCTCACACTACATACAAAAGTAATTTGAGGTGCATTATACACCAAAACTTAAAAGTTAAAGATATAAAGCATTTCAAGGATACTCTGTAGGTAAAGATTAGCCTACCAACAAGTAGGACACTGAAAAAATATATATAAAAGACATGATAAATTAGACTTCATCAACATTAGCCATACCTTCTCATCAAAAGATACCACTAAGAAAGTGAAAAGGCAAGCAAGCCACAGACAGAGAGAAAATAGTCACAAAACGTATCTGACCTCCACATCCTGTAATTAGAATTATTGTGGTCTGGTACACTGCACCCAGTTTCTGCAGGAGTACTTTCTGGGTGTCTCTAATGAGTAAGAGAGGGCCCCATGGGATATTCCTACAGTTCCCAGATGAACAGTGGGAAAGACTCTACGTTGACAAACCCCGGGGACCTGAAACCTCAGGTCCTCAAGGAGGGTAGAGGATACCTGGACCCTGACCCAGACCCCTAGATGGGCTGTGCCAAGAGACCCAGCAAGGGAAGGGATTCCCTCCTGCCTCAGGTTCTCTGTTCTTCTGTGGTTAGAAGACCTGAACCCAACTCCCTCCCCAAGCAGTGGAGATAGGGCTTTTCCAAGGGCTGGGGATCTTGCTGTCCTAAGGACAGCTGAGCAAGGAGGTCGAGGAGGATCTTGGGTGGTGGAGGAGAGGAAACCGGGTAAGATGTGTGAAGCAGTCGGCTATACCAGGCACAGAGAGGACCCACTGGGACACAAGAGCCTGCATGTGAAGCCAGGCCTTGGGCCACCTTGTTCCTCAAAGGGGTGCTTACTTCCATGGGATCTTCAAAGGGACTGTGGAAAGAGAAGCCTTCAGCCCACACCTCTGAATGCTTTTCCACCACAGCATGCCCTGTGGCCTGTATCCTGCTGGTGTGGAACAGTCAGACCCCTGCAGGGCTGCAGAGCCTCTGTACTGGGCGGCATCCCAGCCTGAGTGCCAGAGCTCAGTGGGCAGGCCCCCGAGCAAGTAGAGAGGAGGGCACCTTTTGGACAGAACCTGTGGGACAAGAGCGACGTCTCATCCGTTCAGGTTCCTCACAAAATGAGAGTCAGGAAGATCAGGGTGCAGACCTGATTTCCCACGAAGGGCTGAAAGCAGACAACCGGAGGGAGAGCAGCACCTGGGCCAATGAGGTAGAAGACAGAAGACCACAGTGTACTTCTGCCCTCAACCTCACCCCCTCCCACCTACATCCTCCACACCCCCTGACCACCTTCTTCAGAAACGTAATAGGAATCAAGATCCCCCCTGGCCTGGTTGCTATGGGAGGCACAGTGGCCTGATGGAGCCTGAGGCAGGTGTGGGAAGATGTGGATTGTCTAACTGGAGGTTGGGAGTCCAGGGTGCAGAAGGAGAAGCTTGGAGTGCAGGATTTGGTGGTATGTGTGTGGCAGTAGGCACTATGTTCTAATTGCCAGTTTTTTTTTCTTCTTCCTTTTTTTCTCTAGCTAAACAAGCACTGGCCTTGAGATAAGCAATGCTGAAGCACTTGCAGCTCACCTATTACCATAAACTGACTGAGCCCTCCCTACACAAGCCGTAACTACTGCTTTGATTGGACAAGAGACTGATTTCAGTAGTTTTCTCTTGATAAGAGACCACTGGCCGTGGGCGGGTTCTGGACAGTTTACAGAAGCTATGCACTTGATTGCCTTTGTGTCCCTGCTTCACCTTTTGAAGCATAGGGCCTAATTATAATGTATTTAAATGTTGTCTCCACCCCAAAGTGAACATGGGTTGCATGTAACAGGCATGTTTACTCAGCATGCATGCAGCAGGATCCCTTCACAAATATTCAGAGCTCCCCCTATTCCCTGTTGAATATGTATATGTGGCCAGCCAGATCAACGTAAATCACTATTCGCCCTCCCCTCCCTGGAAACCTACTTTTCGGGTTTCAGCAGGAAGCTATGCCTCCCAGTCTGTCAGAATGGCCACTTGCAGGCTGTAACCCTTTATAAAAAAATAAAATCTCCTTTCTAAATTTATAAATTGTGTGATTTTTCAGTTGACAGCTTTCAGTTGTCAGTCAAGTCATTGACTGGGAAAAGTCATTTGCAATATATTTATTTGAAAAATGACTCAACTCCTGAATATATAAGAACTTTCATAAATCAGTAATATAGAGCTAAGCCAAATAAAATCGGGCAAAATATTCGAATAGGCCTTTGCAAAGGAGAATTTCTTATATGCTGGAAGCCATAAGAAAATATGCTTCATAGTATTGCTCATTAGGCAAGTACAAATTAATTCCACACTGAGATACCACTAACCAATCACCAGTGTGTGACTACTTTTTTTTTTTTCTCTGAGACAGGGTCTCTCTCACCCAAGCTGGAGTGCAATGGTGCGATTGGTGCAATCTTGAGTCACTGCAACCTCCCCCTCCTGAGTAGCTGGGACTACAGGTGCATGCCACCATGCCTGGCTAATTTTTATATTTTCAGTAGAGACGGGGTTTCGCCATGTTGGCCAGTTTGGTCTGAGAGCATAGCTACATTTTAAAAAGTTAGTACACCAAATGCTGACAAGAATTTGGTGCCACTTCAACTGTCATTGCTGGTGAAAAAACATTCTAGAAGACTGGCAATTTATACTAATGTTAAACTTGTACTCAGGTCGTGACCCAGCAATTGAAGTACTTCCATGAATCTCAAGTGCACAAAAAGACCTGTAGAAGAATATTCATCACAAGAATTCAATAACACCAAAATTGAGAAGTGATCTATGAAACTACGTGGATATATCTCATGAGTATAATGAACATACCTGCAGAAAAAAGGCCAGATACAAAAGATATGTCCATTCACTCATGTGAACTTTAAGAACAGGCAATTGTAACCTATGGGAATAGACATCAGAATAGTGATTAACTAAGAGGACACAGGGTGGGAATTGCCTGGAAAGGGGCTCTAACAGGCCTTTCTCAGATGATGGCAATTTTCTATAACTTGAGCTGGGTGGTGATTACATTCATCAAAAATAAACGAACTGCACTAAAGATTTGTGCACTTTATGTGAACTGTAGTTTATTTACTGTTCTCATTGCTTGAACCCGGGAAACGGGACGTTGCAGTGAGCCGAGATTGAGCCATGGCACTCCAGCCTGGGTGACAGAACAAGACTACATCTCAAAAATAATAGTAATAGTAATAATTTACTGTTCTCATAAAAATTAGGGGATGGGGAATGGAGGCAAGCCGGTGTAGACCATGACAACTAGTTTAGATTTTATTGTAAACTCATTAAAAGCTCGTTCTCGTTTTGTGTTTTTAAAAAATCCCACTGATACAGCCGTTTTCTCTACCAGATGAGACTATAACCGTATTATTTCATCGGTGGAAGCTACAGACAAAGGGCCCTTGAGAGGCGGCATCTTCACCTATGGGAATTTTTTCTGCTCCATTGTGAGACAAAGAGCATGTCCGAGTTTTCATTTTGGCCAGGCCGCCCCCTAGTTTACGCACTGTGGGCTAAACTCCAGAAGCTGGCGCCCTTCCGGGCCAGCGGTTTACTCCGCTCTCTGGAGGCTGCTAGGATTAAAGGCAAAGCAAACGACAGGTCTTTTAGCTACAATCGCAGGAGAGAAAACACTACTGTGACTCAGATTAGAACCCAGGTTGCGGCAACCACAGCTGCAAGTATTGACCACTACACGACCAAAAAGCCTGCTGACAACCATTGTACTTCTTATATTTTTTTATGTAAAAACACTCATACTATTTTCTCTGCTTTATTCTCGAACGTCTGCAGATTTTCGTGCTTTTCTCTCTTTCATGCGCTTCTCCGTTACTCTCTCCCCATTCCGCTACATAATTTAAAAAACATCTCATCTCTCAGGACCTGGCCACTGCCTCTACAACAAGCCTCCTGGGAAGTCTCGTTGTCCCATCGACACCTCTCCCTTCTTTCGCTCCATTTTTTTTTTTTTTTTTTTTTGACGGAGTTGCTCTGTCGCCCAGGCTGGAGTGCAGTAGCGCGATCTTGGCTCACTGCAACCTCCGCCTCCCGGGTTCAAGCGATTCTCCTGCCTCAGCCTCTCAAGTAGCTGGAATAGCAGGTGCACGCCACCACATTCGGCTGATTTTTGTATTTTTAGTAGAGACGGGATTTCACCATGTTAGCCAGGCTGGTCTTGAACTCTTGACCTCAAGCGATCCATCCGCCTCGGCCTCACAAAGTGCTGGGATTACAGGCGTGAGCCACCGTGCCCGGCCAAATTTCAGGCCAACACCTGTTGACACACATTGCCAGACACACGGAATCCCTCACTGAACACCGATGGGCCCACAAAACACGCGGAGGCCACGGTGGCTGAAGATGTTAGCAAATTCGGTTCGCGGTGTCTGGGGTACAGCCTCGAGGGTCCATTGGCTACCTCTGTGCAAGGACCACTCTGCGCAAGGACCAGTCACCGCTGCTCTCCTCATCTCCATTGAGATTCTCCCGCACACACCTCCCCTTTCTTTGGGCCGCTGAGGCCTCTTGGACCTCCGAGGTGATTGCCCCGCCCGCAGCTTCTCTCCTTCCGGGAGCTTCATTTCTTGTTCCTCTCCGTAGTGGCTCAGCGGTAAGCCCAAGGTCCAGCACACGAATCAGGAAACTGATGGTTCTTGGGTTTGCAGGAATCCGCCCAGAGAACAGATGAAAGTAACAGGTACCAATATCAAAACTGCAGTGACTCACCAGAAACACTACGTGCTTGCCACTTTGCTTAGCGGTTTGTTGAGTCCAACAACTGCGTGGGTCCCGGGTTAGTCTCCTGAATGTCTTTTGCTGCTACTTTGGTCAGCGTTGTTGTCAGTTTACCTTGTGGTGGCCAAGCCCTTAAATGCACTATTAGGTTATGCAGTGTAATTCTGCAGGGCAGAAGGGTAAAGAGCCATAGTGAAGAGCAAAAAAACCTCTTGCCTTGACCGGGAATTGAACCCGGGTCTCCCGCGTGTGAGGCGAGAACCCTACCACTGAACCACCAGTGCCTCTCCCCAGCAACCCTTGGAGAATTACCGGAAAGAGTATCCAGAAAGACTTAGAAACTTCCAAGCGGCCTTTTCAAGTGTCGACTCAAAGCTAACAAAGACATCCAAACCAAATGTTTTTATAGGAAACTTTTGCTAAACAAAGTTATAAATATCAAAATAGCTCATTCATCCAAACCAAATGTTTTTATAGGAAACTTTTACTAAACAAAGTTATAAATATCAAAATAGCTCATTTGTCGGATCAAACTCTTAACTCTGAAAAAGGTCTTTCTACCTGCATTACATACCCCTATAATAAAACGTCACAAATTCATTCATGTTTCTTTTTTGTAATCCTAAATCTTCAATTGTCAACGTCAAACTGCTGCCTTAGTGGTTCTGAGAAGGTAACCTAACTGGTAGCTTAGGTAAGTAAAGTTCTAATCCAGGGAGGAAATAAGAAGCAGAAGCAGAATTAGAATTAGAGGAAAGAGGAAATAAAAGGACAGAATCAAGGTAGAGATAATGAAGAAACAAAGGTTGGTCCACTGAGTTAGTCTTTTGTCGCTGGTTTTTTTGGCAAAAGAGTAATGATCGGTCTTGTAACCATAATACTGTTATTTGTCTGCTTGAAGATGTATAAAGCATTTAAAGGAAATGTGATATAAAAAGATTAATAATGCCTGCAGTCAATATTTCATTGTTAGAGAGAATCCAATTTCCTAAGTTAATATGCTTTGATGTATTAGCTATGTAAGGAGTAGACTAGTTTAAGGAAATATTGATGGTCAAAATATTAACATATTAGTCTTTTGATGAAGTTCAAATAGAGAGATTTCTTTTCTCAATTTTCCCTGGAGAGATTAAACTGAAGAGAAAAATTCAGAGAGTTTGCCCCACATGTTGGGTCTGTGAGTCATTATGACTTTTTCAAAGACAGGAGTTGTGACATGGAATCATGCTTCTTCTCTAGCTGAGAAGCCAAGCTAGGTCCAGGCTGGGTCATAAACTTGAGCCCAACAAGGAAATCACCCTTCACATTGACCTCACAGAGCTTTGACTGTTCTCTGTTCTTTGCCCAACACCCAAGACACACACCAGCTCTGGCCAACAAACCTTAACATATTATCTATATCAACCAGAGCTACATTTATTCCCAAATCTCCTTCTAAAATACAAACCTGTACTTTCTACTCTCAACTTCTAAATTTACAAAGGCCTCATATGCATCTCAGAGTCACAGATGCTAAAACTCAACACACCGGTGAGTTCCCTGTCAGCAATATGTACCACCCTCTACCTCAAAACCCAATGATCAGACTCAAGCACAGCATCTCCCAAAGAGTAGTGCACTGCCCTGGGTGTTTCAATGATCACTAAAACCTGTTTCTAGCCCTGCCTAGCACACTTATCCTCACCACCATCTATCCTATTTGCCAAGCCAGATCTTTCTTTGGATAAACTCTCTCATTTTCATAACACAACAATTTCAGTTCAATTCAAAAAAAATAGCGTTTAAGTTTATTGGATACTCCACAAGCTTACTGCCACTTTATTACCACACTTTTCCATCTATCGGCTCTTGCATCCATTAACATAAGCAGACAAAAAACTGGACTCCTGGCCAGGTGCGGTGGCTCAAGCCTGTAACCCCAGCACTTTGGAAGGCCAAGGCAGGCGGATCACGAAGTCAGAAGATTGAGACCATCCTGACTAACATGGTGAAACCCCATCTCTACTAAAACTACAAAAAAAAAAATTAGCCAGGCGTGGTGGCACCCATCTGTAGTCCCAGCTACTCGGGAGGCTGAAGCAGGAGAATCGCTTGAACCCAGGAGGCAGAGGTTGCAATGAGCCAAGACCACACAACTGCACTCCAGCCTGGGTGAAAAAGCAAGACTCCACCTCAAAAAAAAAAAAAAAACAAAACAACAACAACAACAAAAAACTGGACTCCCTACAGCCAGTGTAGTATGCACCACTCACTTGCCACACTGTATGCTGAGTGACCCTTCCACAGCTTAAATCTGCACATAACTTCAGCCTAGAACCATATAATGTCCCTTTATTTCTTCAGTACAATGATTAATACCATATTCTCTGTACCCTTCTTCACTCTATGCTCATCATTCTAACAGCTCTTGCCAATACTCAAATCCAGGAGCAGCAAACTACTTCACATGTCACAAACTTTTCACAGGTTCACACCAGTGGATTCCCCAGTGAACCAGCTGTCTTAACTCAGGCTTCCATAACAAAATACCACAGACTGGGTGGCTTAAACACGAGGAATTTCTTTCTCACAGTTTGAGAGGCTGAGAAGTCCAAGATCAAACTGCCAGCGGATTCACCTCCTTGGTGAGGGCTCTCTCCCTGGCTTGCAGACTGCTACATTCTCCTTCTGTCCTCGCATGGTGGAGAGAAAGAGAGCACTTTCGTCTTTCTTCTGTTTCTTATAATGACACTGATCTCATCATGGAGATCCCATGGTCATGACCTCATCTAAACCTGATTACCTCCCAAAGGCCCTACCTCCAAAATACCTTCACATTGGGGGTTAAGGCTTCAATATATAATATGAAGGGAACACAAACATCCATTCCATTACACTAGCACCTGCATTTGCAATCCAGCCTCTGGGCCAGGCTTAGCAGTGTAGAGCCCAAGGCTTCAATTGACAGGATTTTTATGCTCTCATGCTCTGGCTCCTTGGCTCCAGAAGCTTCTAGAACCAGTAGGGTGATACATCCTTTAGCAACTATATTGTAAAACACATGGTGGGTAAAAGAGTGCCCTATTAAGTATTTTGGTTATGCCCCCATTAGTGTGCTTGGCTCAATATATTAATAGTAAGTAGTGGTTCGCATCCACCCTCAGTACCATCCTCTGCAGTCATCCTGTCAGTTTCCATTCCATTCTCCTATCCCTGGCTTGCTGGTTCAATACTCTTAAGTGATTTACTGCTGGTGCTCTTCTTTTTCCCTCAGAGATACCTTGTGATTTCTTTGATTCTCTCCATCTCTACAGGTTAATAAGTCTAATATTTAAAAACTCTGTAGAGGGATGTTGGGAAGCTGTGGGGAGAGCCCTTGGGCTTTTCGCCTGGGTAAAGTGCAGATTCCTGAGAATTCTGGGCCTTGGCTTCCAGCTGCACTAGTGCCGGCCACTCAGCTGTTCTCAGCAGCGTCACCTGGCGCAATGGTGCTGAAGCGCACTGCCGAGAGGCCAGAAGGCA
Source organism: Homo sapiens (assembly GCF_000001405.40). Lineage (NCBI taxonomy): Eukaryota > Metazoa > Chordata > Mammalia > Primates > Hominidae > Homo > Homo sapiens. The sequence goes on along the minus strand of NC_000001.11, from coordinate 145,157,890 downwards.
AAGCGAGAGTCGGTGGCTATGGCCTGGAACCCATTTAGGCAAAACAGAGGGCGCGCGGGGACAAAGCAATAGAGAAGGGTGGGCAATACAGGATCTGTACACCATACATTAGCAATTGTATTTATTAAATTGTTGATTACCTAAGCCTCCGGAGAGTAGTTTGGACGCTTACCGGTTTTCTGAGGATTATTTGGGGAAGGGGTATGCATGCAAATGTATGTACATAATTCGTGTGATTTCGGAATATTGACTCCATGAGTTCCAGATGCAGATTTGGAACGTTTTTAAAAAACATTTTGTTTTTGTTGTCTCGCAAATCAGCCAGATCTGCAACTGTATCAGAGTAAAGCGAAGCCAAGCTGGACCCTTAGGAAATGCGCTAACATGTCATCCACTTTCGGTGTCTGCCTGTGAAAATTCAGGCGATAAAGAGAATGAAGAGAACCTTAAGGAATTGCTGGAACCAAAGTTAATATTAAGCAGGCCTGCTGTGACGTCCTCTTCCTGGCAGACCAGTGGAAATTGTAGCCTGGTCGACAATCTGTATAGATTGATGAGGTCTAAAATGTAGTCACAGGTTCAACTATTTTTCTGTTTTCCAACCTCGAGTAAACTCACTAAATTTAAGGGCTAACAAAAAAAACAAAAAAACAAAAACCTATGTTTCCATCCAGTTTCGAACCGGGGACCTTTCGCGTGTGAGGCGAACATGATAACCACTACACTACGGAAACCACACGCGGAACCTGCGCGGCAAAACATAACCATGAAAATCTTAGATCAGCCGTTTCTATTATAGTTTCCAAATCCAAGATCGCACCACTGCACTCCAGCCTAGACGACAGAGCGAGAGTCTCAAAAAAAAGTTGGGAGAAGAAGGTGCCATTTTCCCTAGTTGCTTTTCTTACTGCGGTGGTGACCGCATTGCCTTCACACCTGAAGTCCAAGTGCTTGCACCCTGGGGAATATGCAGACAGCTGGGTCACTGGACGCCAGGCCGCAGCGCCGGCCTCGTTCTGCTTTTGGCTCTAAATGCAGTCGGGGGACGCGACTGGACCTCACCAGAGACTGGTGGGCTGTTACCCTTACCAGCGACTGGAGGGCCAACCTCCCAAAGAGGCCTACTTCATGATCGCCTTAAATCAGGAAATTTCATGAAATCCCACCCCTCTACCGCCCCATTCCCACATTGTATCTCCTCCCCTGCCCACTCTGAGAGGATTCGCCCCCTTTCTGTCTCGTCTGGACCCTTTGGAGTCCCACATAGACAAGACAAAAGGGGCATTGCCTTTTCCTACAGGAGCGGGAAGAGCCGTCACAGCGGAGGAAACAGAGACTCACAGCGCGCATCCCCACATACTTGCGCCCTGCCGAGTTCCAGCAAACCCAACAAAGCACTCTGAAGCTTCTCTGGAAAAGGAAGGAGTGTGAGGTTTCTGATACGGCAAGAGGAGCCAAAGAGAGGGGACCCAGGCCTTCCCCTAGCTCGAGAGAACAAACCCAGAAGAAGGGCAGATCCAAAGGAAAAGCGCAAAGGCGGCCCAACCCCACGACCTGAGCGAGCCAAGGGTCGCGGGTTAAATTGCGTTTATCAGAACAATTGTTTGCTCACTGTCCCAAAGCCCTCCTAGGGACAAAGAAAACACTGGCATGGCACCAATCGCAGAAGAGGGCAGCATTGACACCCAGGAACAGGAGTGGAAAAGCAGGAAAAGCAGGGATCATCTCTCCCCTACCCCGTATATGGCTGCAGACATAGCAGTGGTTCTTTTCTCCAGGACCCAGTGAGTATGCACCAGGAGAGAACATTATGCACGTTATTCATGGTGGCACCACCCAGGCTGAAAGTGAGCCTGTGCTGCTTGGGCTTTCAGGAAGGACGGGCCCAACTCTCCCTCCCTATACAGAGCTGCAGTGCCCTGACAATGGAGGACAGACCATGGAGTTGCCTGCCCTGGACTCGGGGAAGAGGCTTTGCCCTAAACCCCATTTTAGTGGTAGCTGTCAGAGTGCCATATCCACAGACTTCAGCTGCACCACAGCCAGGAACCAAAGGACAAAGTCTTTATAAAATGAAGGTTGTGAGCTCTGTGACAGGGCATGATAGGGAAGCGGATCACATTCTTGCCTACTCAGGAGGAGGAGCTAGTGCACCTCTGCCCCTTCCCCTGAGACCTCAGCACACCCCGACATGATCTCTTTCCCACCATCCTGTCAGGGCAGGTTTTTCCACTGGACACCAGCCTACGTAACAGCCCTGACTCTTAAGCACCATCTACTGGACTGCATCCTAAACTGGACCACTGAATTCAAAAACCCTGCTACCAAAGGGCTTAGTGCTAGTCCATGAGATAAGTTTCCTGAGAATTCCGTACCCTCAGCCCCCAACAAGGGTTAGTGTGTTAGCTTTTACTTCCAATACATCACCACAACAAGCAGCATCTGAGAAAGCTACTGCTCAGAAGCTATCCACAACCAAGAAACCCATACAAAGCTAGGGCTCCCTGAAAGCACCCAGAAATGAAGCCAAACAATCATACACAACATACACCACAGTCATACCATCAAGGGAAAAAAAGAATAAAAACATTAAAAATCCTCATCCAAACAATACCAAATTCAAAACTAAGAAGCAACAGCTTCCTCGGATGAGAAAGAATCAGTGCAATAACTCCAGTGTACCCAGAGTATTTACACACTTCCAAAGGATCACACTAGTTTCTAGCAATGGATCCTAGCCAGACTGAAATGTCGGAAATGACAGATAAGAATTCCAAATACGGATTGCAAGGGAACTCAATGAGATCCAAGAAAAAGTTGAAGTCCAATGCAAAGAAATCAGAAAAACAATACAGAATATGAAAGACAAGAAAACTATATTAAGAAAAATACAAATAGAACTTCTATAATTGAAAAATTCACTAAAGGAATTTCAAAATACATTGAAAGCTTTAATAATAGACTAGACAAGCAGAAGAATGAATTTCAGAGCTTGAAGGTTGGTCTTTCAAATTCACCTAGTCAGACAAAAGTAAAGAAAAATGAATTTTTAAAAATGAACAAAGCTTTTGAGAATTATGGGGTTATGTAAAGCGATCAAACCTATGACTTATTGGCATTCCTGAGAGAGAAGAAGAAAAGTAAGCAACCTGGAAAACATATTTGAAGGAATAATTCAGGAAAGAATTTTCCTAACCTTTCAAGAGAGATTGATGTTCAGATACAAGAAATTTGGACAACTTCTGCAAGATACTATACAAGATAACCAGTGAAAAGCATACAGTCATCAGACTTCCCAAGATAAATGTGAAAGAAAAAATCTTAAAGGCAGCTGAAGAAAAGGGCCAGATTATCTATAAAGGAAATCCCATCAGACTAACAGCAAACTTTTCAACGGAAATCTTACAAGTCAGAAGAAACTGGGGCCTATTTTTAGCCACCTAAAAGAAAAAAAAAACTGCCTGTCAAAGTTTCATACTCTGCCAATTTAAGCTTCATAAATGAAGGAGAAATAGTTTTTCCCAGACAGAGAAATGCTAAGGGAATTCATTAACACCAGATAGTCTCTATAATAAATGTTCAAAGGAGTTCTAAATATGGATGGTACTTGCTACCATAAAAGCACATGTAATTACAAAGCTCGTACACCTTATAAAGCAATATATAATTGGGTCTACAAAGCAACTAGCTTAACACTATGACAGAAATAACACCTCACACATGAATATTAACCTTGAATGTAAATGGCCTGAAAGTTCCACTTAACGGGCATAGAGTAGTCCAGGTGTGGTGGCTCACACTTGTAATCCCTGCAGTTTGGGAGGCCAAGGTGGGTGGATCACTTGAGGTCAGGAGTTCGAAACCAGCCTGGCCAACATGGTGAAACTTCATCTCCACTAAAATACAAAAATTAGCTGGGCGTGGTGGTGGGCGCCTGTAATGCCAGCTACTCGGGAAGCTGAGGCAGGAGAATCACTTGAACCCAGGAAGCAGAGGCTGCAGTGAGCCAAGATCGCACCACTGAACTCAGCCTGGGACTCCATCAAAAAAAAAAAAAGGCATAGGGTGGCAAATTGGGAAAAAAAAAAAATCAAACTTTCCATGGCCTTTGAGACCTATCTTACATTTTATAGCCCCCAGGGGCTCAAAGTAAAGTGATAGAGATCTGTTATGCAAATGGAAAACAAGAAAGGTCAGGAGTTGCTATTCTTGTATCAAGTAAAACAGACTAAACCAACAAGAGTTAAAAAAAGAAAAAAGACAAAGAAGGGCATTACATAATCAGAAAGCATTCAATTCAACAAGAAGATTTAACTATCCTAAATATATATGCACCTAACATTGAAGCACCCAAATTTATAAAACAAATACAACTACACCTAAGCAAAGAAATAGACAGCCATGCTATACTAGTGGAGGACTTCAACATCCCACTGACAGCACTAGACAGATCACTGAGGCAGAAACCTAACAAGGAAACTTTGGACTTCAATTGGACTCTTGACCAAATGAACCTAATAGATGTCTATAGAATACTCTATCCAACAACCACAGAATATACATTGTTCTCATCTGTGCACAGAACATTCTCTAAGATTGACCACATACTCAGTCATAAAGCAAGTCTCAATAAATTTTTTAAAAAATGAAATTATATCAAGTATCTTCTCAGACAACAGTAGAATAAAAGCAGAAATCAATGCCAAGAGGAACTCTCAAAACCACACAAATACATGGAAACTAAACAACAGAATCATTTTTGGGTAAACAATAAAATTAAGGCAGAAATAAAAAAAAATTGAAACAAATGAAAGTAGAGACACAATGTGCCAAAAACTCTGGAATATAGAAAAGCAGTGTTAAGAGGAAAGTTTATAGCACTCTATACCTACCTTGAAAAGATAGAAAGATCTCAAATTAACAACATAATACCACACCTAAAGAACTAGGAAAAGAAGAAGAAACAAAACCCAAAGCTAGGAGAAGGAAAGAAATAACTAAGATCAGAGCAGAACTAAATGAAACAGAGATAAAAAAAAAAATACAAAGGATCAATGAAATGAAAAGTTGGTTATTTGAATGATTGATAGACCACTAGCTAGATTAACCAGGAAAAAAAGATCCAAATAAGCACAATCAGAAATTACAAAGGTGACATTACAACTCATATCACAGAAATACAAAAGATCCTCAGAGACTACTATGAGCATCTCTACACGCACAAACTAGAAAAACCTAGAAGAAATAGTTAAATTCCTGGAAGCACACAGCTTCTTAAGATTGAACCAGGAAGAAATTGAAATCCTGAACAGACCAATAATGAGTTATGTAATTGAATCAGTAATAAAAATTCTACTAATCTGAAAGAGCCCTGGACCAGACAGAATTTTACAGCTGAATTCCACCAGACGTGCAAAGAAGAGCTGGTACCAATCTTACTAAAACTATTCCAAAAAATTGGGGATGAGGGATTCCTAACTCATTCTATGAAACCAGTATCATCCTGATACCAAAATCTGGCAGGGACACAATAAAAAAAGAAAACTACAGGCCAATATCCCTGATGAACACAGATGCAAAAATTCTCAACAAAATACTAGCAAACTGAATCCAGCAGCACATCAAAAAGATAATTCATCATGATCATGTGGGCTTTATTCCTAGGATGCAAGGATGGTTCAACAGACGCAAAGAAAAAATGCTATTCACTGCATAAACAGAATTAAAAACAAAAACCATACTATTATCCCAATAGATGCAGAAAAAGCACTCAATAAAATGTTACATCCGTTGCATGATACACACCTTCAACAAACCAGGCATCAAAGGAACATAACTCAAAATAATAAGAGCCATCTATGACAAACCCATAGCCAATATCATACTGAATAGGCAAAAGTTGGAAGCATTCCCCCTAATAACTGGAACAAGACAAGGATGTCCACTCTCACCACTCCTATTCAACACAGTACTGGAAATCCTGGCCAGAGTAATCAGTCAGGAGAAATAAAAGCAATCCAAATAGGAAAAAGGGAAGTCAAATTATCTCTGTTCACCAAAGACATGATCCTCCATCTAGAAACCTCTAAAGATTCCTCCAAAATACTCCTAGACTTGAAAAACAAGTTCAGTAAAGTTTCAGGTTACAACATGAGCATACAAAAATCAGTAGCATTTCTATACACTAAAAATGCTCAAGCTGACAGCCAAGTCAAGAACTTAATCCCATTTAAAATAGCCACACACACACACACACACACACACACACACACACAAATAAACAAAACACCTAGGAATATATTTAACCAAGGAGGTGAAAGATCTCTACTGGGAGAACTACAAAACACTGATGAAAGAAATAATAGACAACACAAACAAATGGGAAAACATTCCATGCTTGTGGACTGGAAGAATCAATATTGTTAAAATGACCATTCTATCCAAAGCAATCTAAAGATTCAACGCAATTCCTATCAAGTTACCAATGTCATTTTTTACAGAATTTAAAAAAAAAATTATAAAATTCTTATGGGGCTGGACATTGTGGCTCACACCTGTAATCCCAGCACTTTGGGAGGCTGAGGCAGGAGGATCACTTGAGGTCAGGAGTTCAAGGGCAGCCTGGCCAATACGGTGAAACCCCATCTCTACCAAAACACACAAAAGTTAGCAGGCGTGGTAGCACACACCTATAGTCCCAGCTAATTCAAGAGGCTGAGGTGGGAGAATCACTTAAACCCAGAGGCAGAGGTTGAAGTGAGCCGAGATCATGCCACTACACTCTAGCCTGGGTGACAGAGTGAGACCCTGTCTCAAAAAAAAAAAAAAAAAATCCCCATGGAACCAAAAAACGGCCCGAATAGTCAAGCAATCCAAAGCAAAAAGAACAAATCCAGAGGCATCACATTACCTAACTTCAAACTATACTACAAGGCTATAGCAACAAAAACAGCAAGGTACCGACACAAAAATAGACACATGAATCAATGGATAAGAATAGAGAACCCAGAAATAAAGTCACACACCTACAACCAACTGATCTTTAACAAAGTTGACAAAAATAAACAATGAGGAAAATGATACCCTATTTAATAAATGGTGCTGGGAAAACTGGCTAGCCAAATGCAGAAGAATGAAACTGGACCCCTACCTCCCACCATATACAAAAATTAATTCAGATGGTTTACAGACTTAAATATAGGACGTCAAACCATAAAAATGCTAGAAGAAAACCTAGGAAAACCTCTTCTTGACATTGGCCTATGACTAAGACCTCAAAAGCAAATGCAACAAAAACGAAAATTGACAAATGGGACTTAAAAAGCTTCTGCACAGCAAAAGAAATAATCAACAGAGTAAACAGACAACCTACAGAATGGGAGAAAATATTTGAAAACTATGCACCTGACAAAGGACTAATATCCAGACTCTATAAGGAACTTAAATCAACAAGACAAAACCAAATAACCCTATTTAAAAAATGGGCAAAGGACATGGCTAGACACTTATCAAAAGAACACATACAAGCGGCCAACAAACATATGAAAAAATGCACATCACTAATCATCAGAGAAATGCAAATTAAAACTACAGTGAGATATCATCTCACAGTAGTCAGAATGGCTATATTCCAGGCTCGAGGCAAGCGTGCTCTTCACGAGTTCTGTCATTCTCTTGAGTGAAGCTCACCTGGTATGGTAAGTTGTCCTCATTTTAAAACATTCAGATTTTATTCTGCAATCCTTTCACATGTGACAGTTTTTCTGTTCTTCCTAAGCATGTAATGGAAGTCAAGGAATTCTACATCCTCACTATCTATTAATATTTCTTACCTTCCCACAGCAGTGAAATTCCCATTCTAGTCTTCTGAAACAGAGATAGCTAATAAAGAAAACTCATTTCTCCTTTAACCTTTTCCACACATTTCAGACCATTCTGGTTTTATTCTTTTCTACACAAATTTTACTCTTTATAGGTGTTCAATAAATAAATATAAACATTAATTTTAAAAATAATTTATTAATTTGATCTCTTCATTTAAAGATAATATCCAATGCCTCCAAGTTCCCACCCAAGAATTCTGTTGGATAGGGCTGGAAAAGTTCTGGAGAACATTCTTCCAGACTCTCTAGGCATCATGTCACAGGATGTCCTCGCCACAGCCAGAAGAGTGACTCTGAGTATATGAATGAGGGGCTACAGTGGACTGTGCAGTACCTAGGGAGGGAGAGACAGGGCTGCAATGAAGTCTGGAGGGATTTAGGAGATTCATTGATTGTACCAAACAAAAACTTAATTTCTTCTCTCCTATTCCGTACCCAGGTGAAAGTGGGAAAGACAGGAAGAGAGACACCAAGCTTTCTAGTTGACAGCTAGTGACTCTCTGATTATCTGCAAAGATTGGGAAAGGAACTTAAACATGACATGTAGATTTTCCAGAGATATTTACTCCTGGAGCCAGGAGTCTGCGAACATGTAGGTGGGATCTTTTAAGAAGCAGCCTTATCTAGATTGGGAATAAGCTATTATAGTTTTAGGCTGTGTGGATCTGGTCAACTTTTGTGCTGCCTACTTCTCTTTGCTTCTACAACTGGGCATTGCTGCAGAAAGGAAGAAATATGGAAGTGACTTCAGCTTTGATTTTTTCCTTCTGGAAGCCTGAAAACTCCAGTTTGCTTCCCTGAGCCCTTTTCCTGTTGCACAACTAGGGTGTGGACTACAGGTCCTACCCATGGAAGATGGAGGTAGATACTTCACAGGGAATAAAAACAACCCAGACAAGTCATACCTTTAGGTAACAGATACTTTCAAAGATGTACTTTCCTGCACCCATTAAAGTTTTAGTCTCAGCTAATCTGAAAACCTGCGGTCCTCCTGCACTGGGATAGCAGTGCAATATGGCTCAGGCTCAGGTTTTGCTGGGCACACCAGAGTAGGCCACACACTCTCATGTGAAGTGGCTTCAGGTATGGATCAGGGTCTTTCCCACTAATTGGCTTCAGTTATGATGTTGTAGGTCATCATTCTTCTGGCTTTAATACGAGAGAAGAAGGGATGGGGAAGAACTGGTCTCCAAGTGAGAGCATCCAGGGTGAAGAGTGTGGAAATAAGGGTCATTAGCACAAGAGAAGAGCCAGGTGATATCAAAGGCATGTAGTAATGGCATAAAGGTGGAACGTTGCTCTCATTCTGCTGAAGTGGGCACCATGGAAACCTTGGTGCTACCACTCGCCAGTCAGGCCACAAGCCCAAGAACAGCACCAGGCAGTATAAGGACATATAAGAATGACATCACTTCAGATAGTCCTGAGAATTAGACCTATCCCTGCTTGGGGCAAACCACTCAGTGGGAGCAATAGTACCCTTCTGCTTCCCTATCTGGGCTAATTGTAAGGAACAAGTGAAATCATGCACACCAATGTGCTTTAAACCGGTAAAACTCTGCCCCAAGAAGCTATGTGCCCTTTTGAGACTCCCTAGACGTGGACAGAAACATAAAATTTCTGCCTTTCTACCTTTTCCTTGGTCACCATTGCTAAGCACATGCTGCAGCCTCTCCCTCAGGCGGTCATTGAGACTGATGGACTCCTCCAGGCGCTGGCGCAGGTTCTGTATCTCAGCAAGATTCTTTTCCAGCAGGTCGGCCCCTACTGCAAACACCAAGACATAGGAGAGGTAGGAGGTAGGGAAGCCTGATCATCCCTGGGCAGCTGTGGGGCCTGCGTGGCATCTCTCTGCAAGATCCCTACCTATCTCTATCCTTCTGTCAGCTTCTTCCTCTCTCCTGGGCATTCAGGAAGCACCAGGCAACTTTACTTAAAAGTCCTGGGCTTTCAATCACAGGGTGGCCCCCTGTAAGGAAACACCACAGGCCTCCTCCCAGACAGAGACCACCAAGTACATCTAAGGGAGATGGACACAGGGTGAGAAACTGCTAAAGGCCTCTAGGCAGAACTGGCCTAGTAATGGGAAAGGCTGTCTACCTCCTTGGTATGGAAAACAATCCAGAGAATCTCCCTCTCTACCTCATCCCTCTCCCCGATGATGATCCCGACTCAACAGCCTTTGAGATTTCACTCACTCACAGACAGAAAGACCAAGGTAAGTGCATATGAAATTAAACCAGGCTGTGAATAATGAGTGATAGTGAATGTTCTCCTTTAACCAGTTTTGGCAAAGAGGAACATGGAAGAGCTTGGGAAGGTATCAGGATCTGAAGTGGGGGAACAGGAGAGAAGGGAACAATCTCCAAGGAAGGAAAAAGATGCACAGAGAGAGGAGGCTGAGAATAGGCTTCACCCACTGGGAGATTTTGCGTAGGGTCAGGCTTTTCTCTGAGAATTTAAAATGTCTTATTGTTACACTACCTGGGACACAGAAATGGAGCTGCTTCAAGCCATTCCTCTAAATAGCTGCACTCCTAGCTGCCGGGTGCCAGGATGTTTGGCTCCAAATCCAAAAGCAATGTTTATGGGGGCAGGATTGGCACGTGGTTGTATGCACAGTGTGTGTGAAAGATGTGTGTGAAACAGGAAGGGGAATATCACACTCTGGGGACTGTGGTGGGGTCGGGGGAGGGGGGAGGGATAGCATTGGGAGATATACCTAATGCTAGATGACACATTAGTGGGTGCAGCGCACCAGCATGGCACATGTATACATATGTAACTAACCTGCACAATGTGCACATGTACCCTAAAACTTAGAGTATAATAAAAAAAAAAAAAAAAAAAGATGTGTGTGAAAGAGTGGAAAGAGTGTGTAGGGCTGGGTGACTCTGTAGAAATAGTTTCCCACCCGACAGTAGCTCCTGACCTAAGGAAGACCTTCCCCATGGAAATCTGAGCTTAGCATTCCAGGACAGTCTTAATCTAGGCCTAAGAAGGTTGTAGCACAGAGAGAAGGCAACATTTAAGTGTGAGGTAACTTATCCTCCTTGTAGAGCACCTCAGAATGTCCCTGACTTCTCCTACTCTCCTGCCCAGAGTGAGTTCCTAGGTAGGGTGGCTAGGAGAAGGCACTTTCAAAGAACAAGCACTGAGCTGGTTCTCACTGTCTGGCTGATCTACATATTGTCCTGTCATTTTTTATGAACCAGGTTCTAACAGAGGAACCAAAAAATCCTCTGGCCAGGAAAGGAATGTGTCATTCCTACCAATGGGCTCGATTTCACTAAGTGCTCCTTTGTGTTTTACCAGAGGTTTCGGAGTTGGGTTGGTACAAAGAGGAGAAGGAGGCTAGGTCTCCAGATGCATTCATTTTTTGAGGCCTCATCTCTTCCCATGGGCCACTGCTACCGTGTTCTAGTGTCCTGCTCTGCTGGGCCAGTGCCGCTCGAAGGATGGAAGGGCTGGGCAGGCCTGGTTCCTTGGTTGCTGGGCAAAGCAGCTGAATCAGCAGAAATGGCAGGGCTGGCATCTGTCCAGAAAGGAATGTGAGTGAGAAACCAACAGGGAAGTCATAAAAGAGTGTTTTAAAGGCAATTATAGTGAGTTGAATAGTGTCCTCCAAAAATTCATTCAGTTCACTTGGAACTTCAGAATGTGATCTTATTTGTAAATGGGGTTTTTGTAGATATAATAAGTTAAGATGAGATGATACTGAATTGGGGGTATGTCTTAAATCCAACATGACTGATGTCCTTATGAGAGGAGAGGAGACACAGAGATAAAGAGACACACAGAGAAGGAGACCATGTAACAAGAGAGGCAGAGATTGGGGTGATGTGTCTACAACCCAGAAACCACCAGAAACTAGGAAGAGGCAAGGAAGGATCCTTCCCTGGAGTCTTCAGAGGGAGCATGGCCCTGCTGACTCCCTGATTTTAGACGTCTTCATCTCCAGAACTGTGAGAGAATACATTTCTGTTTTAAGACGCCCGGTTTGTGTTTTTTTGTTTTGGAAGCCCTCGAAAGCTAATAAAGCAATCCACGGAATGAAGACTAAGGCAGATGTCAGCAGACTCATTTCCCAAGGACTCCCCATTTCACCCTAAAGTAACTGGCATTTCTCAGCCTATGACATAAGCAGTAGTGTTAGTTGTAATATCTGAGCATCACAGCGCACATACAGGAAAAATATGGGGCCCCTCTCCTAGCTCCCTTTATGATTCCCAATGCTGGAATGATCCTGGGGAGGTACTTCAGAAATGTTTCTCCTAATAGCAGGACTCACAGCCAATCCTAGGAGTTCAGACAGTGAGGGGTGAAGCATTTTGTTGGTCTGTAAACAGGTGACTATTTATTCAACATTCTATGCCCTTGCCAGAAACACACCAGCTACTCCTTCCTGGGATTGTTCTACACTGAGGCTGTTGGAGGAGGAGGAGAAAATGGCCTCCACTTCTGGACAATGTGCAGAGAACCTAGAGAGTGTTGCTTCCACTCCTGGTGGTTCTCTCTCTGGCCTCGGCTGACTCTGGACCTGCAGTGAAGCTGAGGGGGTGTCTGTCTAAGGCAAGTGGTGATTTGGATTCCACCTAGAATGGCTTTTGACACTGCAAAAATAATTCTTATGTACAGCTCACATTGTCTGGCTCCTGTCCATAGAATAGCTAGTGTACTCTTGCATAGAGGATTGTAGAATCACAAAATACATGGCATCTTACAGCTCAATGATGCCATGAGAACATGGCCAGATCCTCTGGGCCCTTCATTACTGTCTCCCTTTGAGAGAAAAACCAAGCTGGGGTGGCAGGGCCATAATTCAGAGAAAAGTTTTAGAGTCTTTCCCTTTCAAGGATTATTATCAAGGGCTAAAGAATAGACAAGTTTCTCCTCTGAGCAGGTGGGAGTGAGGTTTCTGTTTGCCCTCAACAACATCACGTTCTTTTAGGAACTGTATATTTAAATCAGTATCCAGTAGGTCTCTCCTTCTCCAATTTATAAAATATCAGATACTAATTAGAATCACTGTGAGATAAAGAGTAATGACAACTATGTTAAGTCTTTAATAAATGCCTGACTTAAAGTAGGAACTCAATCAAAATGTGATTACCACCCCCTTTCAAACCTCCTTTAACTCAGAAAATCAGTTTACTCTCAACCATGGCCATAGGAAGCTCTAAGTTTTATCAGTAACAGTGATCAGTGTTTTAACGTTCCCTGGCCATACCACACGGGGAACATGCCCTACACTGCAGATGGAAAGCAACAGAGACTAGACTTTTGTGAAGGAAATTTGGCCTCACAATGTAGCTGTCATGCCAGTGCACTACAGGTTGACTGTTCTAGAAATTTTGGTTCAAAAACCAAAGAGGAAGTGGTGATAAACAGTTGCCCCTGTGAAAGGACAGTGACTTCAAGTGGGAAAGAGAAGGGCTTCGATCTCCCTCAGGAAAGACAGTTGTGGCAAAAAGTAAAGCTGGTGCTCTCCAGAAGCATCATTCCAGAGGCCACACCTCACTGCAGGCAGTGGCAGGGATTGCAGGTAAGGGAAGCATGGGCTTGCCCTTCTGCCATCTCTTGGGGCAGTGCTGAGGTTGAAACAAGTGCCTCTGGGCAACTGAATCAAGGATGCACATAAAAGTCCCATTGGCCCCTTGGAATAGGTGATGTACATATCAAGGGCAGCTCATCTATTTACAAATTCTTAGATAGAAGTGTAATATGTGTAAGGTCTTGTCCCATCTTCAGAGGCCAGAACTCTGCTGGGTGCACAGAGCAGAAAAAGTGGAATGAGAAAAACCCTGGCTCCAGAAGCCTAGCAAAAGAGGTGCTGAGAAGGAGTGAGCACCCTTTGTACGCAGCCCCTGACTTCTCAGGCTGCAGAGTGAAATGCTCACAACCTGAGCTTTGAGTCAGGTAGACTCAAAGTGTATGTTACCCCAAGCTGCTTTGTCTTCAGTAAGTTCCTTAACTTTGCTGAGCCTCAGTGTCCTCCACTATAAAAGCAGAACACCACTACCTATTTGAGGGGATCACTGTGTCAATTAAATGAGGAAATATATGTATAGTGGTCAATATTGTGAGCATAATAGGTGCTCAATCAATGAGAAGTTCCTGTCTTTCCTTGGCTGCTATAATCTTAGAGGAAACATTTTGCCGCTTTGCTCCTCATTGTGAAATGAGAAACAGGAATAGTACCAGATCAAAACCCATTATGGGCCGGGCATGGTGGCTCATGCCTGTAAGCCCAGCACTTTGGGAGGCTGAGGCAGTTGGATCACCTGAGGTCAGGAGTTTGAGACCAGCCTGGCCAACACGGTCAAACCCCATCTCTACTAAAAATATAAAAATTAGCCTGGCGTGGTGGCAAGCACCTGTAATCCCAGCTACTTGGGAGGCTGAGGTAGGAGAATCACTTGAACCCGGGAGGCAGAGGTTGCAGTAAGCTGAGATTGTGCCACTGCACTCTAGTCTGGGCGACAACAGCAAAACTCCGTCTCAAAAACAACAACAACAACTAAAAACCATTATGGCTCACTCATTACTTAAAATTGCCAATTTAGAAAAAAACACCAGATACAGCCAGGGACTAAAAATAATTTCTTGGTATTGTCCACATTAGGATATGATTCATACTGGCCTAAAACTTCAAACACTTTTCTCAAGAGGAAAATTAAAGAGAAAACTGAGCAGGAGAAAAATGAAAGTCTGGTTTCAAACTTAATCTCCTCTTCCCGTCTCTATCAAGGCTATCCCAAGGACCCTCTCAGGGAAATTCTCAGGAGGGACACGCTGGTTGGTGATGGACTCAGCTTGAACCTCACAGCATGGCCCCATTCACTGATAGTTTAGAGGGTGTTACAGCAAACTTATTAGGATGATGGATGGGATCTGTAAATGCATAAATGATAAAGATGATTTAGTGATGAACAAAAAATAGGAACTGTGGCTGTTTACCCCAGGGATTCCAGGATTAGGTGCACAATGTTAGCAACACTCATGTCCCTAGTTTGAAAGATGACATAACTGTGTGCAGTGAAGAGGAACTATTTGCCCCCTTTCTCCCCTTCCCAACCCATGCCCCCCAAGACCAACACCATGTATGTGCCAGAGGGGATCTAGTGACTGATGACATGTGAGACTGGGAATGGAGAAAAGCTACCTGAAAGCCTTGGGGCTTATGCTCAGCACTGAGTCCTGGAGCTGTGCCCGACCAGGTACATCACGGTGGATCTACAGGGCCCGGCTGCAAAGATGCCACCTCTTGGCCTAGACAATGCATGAGCCCCAAAAACTGGAGCCATGTGGCTACTCACTGACTACAGTCACTGAAGGATGCACTTCCTCCTTGTCAAGCTGTGGAGACGTGCTGCTCAGGGAGTGATGTGGGGTAGACCGGGTGTGGTTGCTGCACCAGATCTGGGGCTGAGTCTGGGACCGGGCATCCCACTTGGTCTCTAGGACTTCTGTCACTTTACTCATATTATGCATCTTCCTCAAGATACTAGTGGGGTAAGAAAGAAGAAAAAATAAAGGTCACCTAATGCCACAGCTGTACTAATCTGGAGGCTCACAGGAGATGTAAAGGGGAGGTCAAGAGGATCATTCCTTCAGAGGAGAAGCCAAACAAATCATTTCTGTTTCAGGATAGAGTATGGAGGGAAGGCGGGGACAGAGAGAGCAACAGTTGTCTGGTGCATTGGCTACAAACATCCTGAGGAAAAACGAAGCCGTAATGGGCCCCTTAAATAACACTCATGATTCCTTCACAAAACAGCCAGAGACCCATAAGAGTTCAACTCCAGGTATGGGTATGGCGGTACATGCCTGTAATCCCAGCAATTTGGGAGGCCAAGGCAGGAGAATTGCTTGAGTCCAGGAATTCAAGACCAAACTGAGAAACATAGTGAGACCCTCTGTCTACAAAAAATAAAAATAAAAAATGAGCTGGGTGTGGTGGTGTGCACCTGTAGTCCCAACTATTTAGGAGGCTGAGGAGGATCACTTGAGCCCAGGAGGTCAAGGATGCAGTGAGCAGTGATCGTGCCACTGCATTCCAGCCTGGGCAACAGAGCAAGACCTCATCTCAAAAATAAAATTTTAAAAATGTTAAAAAAAAAAGAATTCAACTCATTCTGTGAACATAATTTTTAAAATAGTATTTGCTATAGGCCATTTAAAACAGATTCCCCAGGCAATGTAGCCTCACTGGTGTCTTGCAGTTTCTAGATCTCCTTCCCTAAGTATAGAGACACAGTATAAACTTTTGTTTGCAAGGAAAATTTGTAGCTGTTTTACATCTTCCAGCACTCCTTGGGTCACCCTTGAAGAAATCAGATATAATCTTACTCTGGTCTTTAAATAAGGGAAACCAGAGGTGATCCCTGGAGGTTCAGAAGACTCCTAAGACCCAGATAGGTTAGAGCAGCTCTATGTTACTAAATTGGTGAATTAATTGGTGAAAATAAAAGAATAATATATTTTTTAAAAAATTTTAAAAATGAGACTGCCTTATCCCTAAGGATACATAATGGTTTAATGGATAAATAAGCTATTTGTTTTTTACTGGCCATGTATGCTCCTGTTTCTTTGAGCTTCTGGCTCTTGCTTCTGGATCCTTCACCAGATTACATCTTCGACAGCCCCTGAAAATTTGGAGTTACCTGAGAGTCGAAGACACCTGTCCTACTTGATTCTTCTTACTTGTACAGTCATCTGAGAACAAAATTCAAAAAGGCCAGTCATGCTTTAAGCAGGTCTCATTTCCCAGACTGCAAACAAACATGGAGGTCTATCTGGGAGCAGAGACTTGACTACCTGATGCTTGCCTTGATTCCAGGATACTCTGAATTTTCTCAGATCTTGGGTTGAGTCTTTAGAGAGCTTGCCTGGCAGGCTTTCCTGAGCCCACCATGAAGGTCATCATCTCCACTTGCTTTGCCCTGAGTCACAGCAAAAAGCTAAAAATGTCTTTATTCCCACATATCATGGAACACATATCCACTCCAGCCAAAGCCTCCAAGTCCTGGCACAAGGCCAGCACCCAAACCCATGGCTGTGTGTTCCACCATAGCTTTCATGCAGAACTTCCTCCCTTCTCCAAGGAGATGATAGACATCCGTGTCCCACCTACCATCAGGAGACAGCACAGTGAACTCAAGCCTTCTGCTACTATGGGCCCTTGGGTTCTCAAGGGGGAATTTCATGTAAAATGCTCCTGAAACAGCTAATTATCTCACCACCATGTACTAGTACACACAGTGCCTGAACCATGCCAAAGTCAGCATGATTCTTTATCATTTTTTTGAAGTGTGCCGATTAATGTTACTTATTTAATCCCTAGAACAATCATGCAACATTCAAGGGCTGGAATTATTTGACTTAATTTTTTAGGTAGAGAAACAGAAATCAAAATAAATATTAACCTGTCCAGAGCTGGTAAGGAACACATATAAGCTAGAGGTAGGGTTTTTGGATTCCCAGTTCAGGGCCCTTCACAAAAACCAGCTGCCCCTGTTCCTTCTGTCTTTCTGCCAATTAGTTTCAGATGAATACCATCATCCCTGGGGATGCCTCCTGCCCTAACAGTCATATTCCATGAGGGATGGAGGTGCTGGTGATCATCATGGCATCCTCAACCCTTCTTCTTGGAGCTCCTCTCCAGCCAGTCCTGACTCTGTGATGGTCTTAAGGTGGTGATTACAAAGCAGGACACCAGGTTGAAAAGTGACATGTGAATGGGGGTGGGATCCTGTGAACTTAGGACCTTGGGAGAGACTGAAAATCTTCCTAAGCTCTGCGGCCAACTTACCTGTGCTGAATTTTCTGGCAAGGCTCTCTGCCAGCTGGCTTCCTTTGGCCAGCTGCTCGCAGTAGTGCTGCTCCATATAGTGGTCAATGTTATTGCTCTGGAGTAGCTCCTCAAAGGTCTTTAGTGTGTTCTTGACATGCTGGATGAGAAGAGCAGAGGCCACTCTCCCAAGCTTCATCTTCTGCCGTAGGTGGGTTAACTCTTGAGACTGATCCTGAATCAAGGAATGATACTTCCTAAAGTAGAAAAAAAGAAGTAAAGGTAGATAGGAATAACTGATAGGTTATAGCAATTTAGGAGAAGGAACTTGAGAGTATCACCAAAGGAGGCCACACACTGAATTCTAGCATATGTTTAGTGTCCTGAATATGGTAAAAGGAATGAAGGAAATGAAAACAATCTTTATGTGAAAGATCCCTTCTAAGATTGTCATTTTCCCTGCCACTTGCTAGAGAAGAAAAATCACTTGATCATATTAATAGATGAAGAAAAAGCATTTGACAAAATTCAACACTCATTCATCATAAAAACTCTCAACAAAGTGGGAATAGAGGAGACCTTCCTCAACTTGATAAAGAACTTCTATAAAAACTCTACACTAATGTCATACTAGAAACTAGAAGCTTTCTCACTAACATCAACAATAAGGCAAGAATTTCCCCGCTTACCACTTCTTTTCACCATCATACTGGAAATCCTAGCTAATGCAGTAAGATAAGCAAAGGAAATAAACGGTATACAGATTAGAGAAGATGAACTAAAACTGTCTTTGTTCACACATGATGCAGTTATTGTATTATAGAAAATCTCCAACATGGTGAAACCCTGTCTTTACAAAAAATACAAAAATTAGCCGGGCGTGGTGGCATGCGCTTGTAATCCAGCTACTTGGGAGGCTGAGGAAGGAGAATTGCTTGAATCCAGGAAGCAAAGGTTGCAGTGAGATGACATCGTGCCACTCTGCACTCCACCCTGAGTGACAAAGTGAGACACTGACTCGAAAAAAAAAAAAAAAAAAAAAAAAAAGGCCGGGCGCGGTGGCTCATGCCCGTAACTCCAGCACTTAGGGAGGTCGAGGTGGGCGGATCATGAGGTCAGGAGATCGAGACCATCCTGGCTAACACAGCGAAACCCCGTCTCTACTAAAAAAACAAAATAGTAGCCAGGCTACTCAGGAGGCTGAGGCAGGAGAATGGCTTGAACCCAGGAGGCGGAGCTTGCAGTGAGCCGAGATTGAGCCACTACACTCCAACCTGGGCGACACAGTGAGACTCCATCTCAAAAACAAAAAGAAAAGAAAAGAAAATCTGAAAGAATTGACAACAAAAATCTCCTGGAACTAGTAAGTGATTATGTCAAGGTAAAATCTAACAAAACATGTACAAGATCTGTATGAGGAAAACTGCAAAACTCTGTTGAGAGAGATCAAAGAAGCACTAAATACACAGAGAGATATTCTGTGTTCATGGACAGGAAGACTAAATATTGTCAAGATGTCAGTTCTTCCCAACTTGATCTAAAGATTCAATGCAATACCAATCAAAATCTCAGCAAATAAATTTTGTGAATATCAACTAACAGATGCTAAGGTGTACATAGAGAGGCAAAAGACCCAGAATGGCCAACACAATATTGAAAAGGAACAGAGGGCTGATATGACCTGACTTCAAGACTTACTGTAAAGCTACAGTAATCAGGAAAGTATAAGATTTGTGAAAGAATAGACAAATAAGTCAGCGGAACAGAATAGAGATTCCAGAAGACTCCAAAATATAGCAGATTGATCTTTGACAAGGGGACAAGGGCAATACAATGGAGAAAAGATAGTATTTTCAAAAAATGGTGCTGGAACAGCGGGACATCCACATGCAAAAAAAGTGAATCTAGACACAGACTTCACATTCTTCATGAAAACTTACTCAAAATGGATCATAGGCCTAAATGTAAAACATAAAATGATAAAAAAAAAAACCCTAAAAGATAACAACAGCTGAAAATCTAGATGACCTTGGGTTTGGTGATGACTTTTTATTTATTTTATTTATTGATCTAAAGATTCAATGCAATACCAATTTTAATTTAGAGACAGAGTCTCTAAATAAATTAATTATTTTATTTATTTGTTGGAGGGCATGATCATGGCTCACTGAAGCATTCCTTGGGCGTGATCATGGTGTGATTATGGCTCACTGCAGCCAAACTCTTGGGCTCAAGTGATCCTCTTGCCTCAGCCTTCCAAAGTGCTGGGATTACAGGTGTGAGCCACCAAGCCCAGCTATATGATTACTTTTCAGATATAACACAAAAGGCATGATCCACAAAAGAAATAATTGATAATCTGGACTTCATTAAAATTAAAAACTTCTGCTCTGCAAAAGGCACATCAAGAGAATGAGAAGACAACACACTGGGAGAAAATATTTGCAAAAGACATATCTGGTAAAGGACTATTAAGCCAAATACACAAAGAACTCTTAAACTCAACAATAAGAAAATGAACCACACAATAAAAAATGGGCAAAAAACCCTGAACAGACACCTCACCAAAGATGATGGCAAATAAGAATATGAAAAGATGCTCAACATCATATGTCATTAGGGAATTGCAAATTAAAACAACAAGATACCACTCTACACCTATTAGAATGGCAAAATCCAGAACACTGATAACACCAAATGCTGGTAAGGATGTGGAACAACAGATATTCTCATTCCTTGCCGGTGGGAATGCAAAATAGTACAGCCACTTTGGAAGACAGTTTGGCATTTTCTTGCGAAACTAAACATACTCTTACCAAATGACCTAACCATCTGCTCCTCAGTATTTTCCCAAGCGAGCTGAAAACTTAAGTTCACACAAAAACCTGCACATGATGTTTATAGCAGCTCTATTCATAACTGCAAAAACTTGGAAGCAACCAAGATGTCCTTCAGTAGGTGAATGGATAAATTTTGGTACATGCAGTCAATGGAATATTATTTGGTACTAAAAAGAAATGAGTTATGAAGCCATGAAAAGACATGAAAGAACCTTAAGTGTGTAAGTGAAAGAAGCCAACCTAAAAAAGCTACATACTGTATGACTCTGACTATATGACACTATGGAATAGGTAAAACAGTGGAGACAGTAAAAAGATCAGTGGTTGCCAGGTGTTAGGAGGGAAAGGAGAATGAATAGGCAGAGCACAGAGAATTTTTAGGGCAGGGAATAGTCATTCTTTATTACAATGGTGGATACATGCCATTATACATTTATACTTGTGTCAAAACCTATAGAATATACACCACCAAGAATGAACCCCACTGTAAACTGTGGACTTTGGGTGATGATGAGTCAATGTAGGTTCATCAGTTGTACCAAATGTTATCACTCGGGGGCAAGATGTTGATAGTGAGGGAGGCTGTGTCCGTGCAGGGGTAGGGGGCATATGGGAACTCTCTGTTACTTTCCACTCAATTTTGCTGTGAACTTAAAGCTGCTCTTAAAAAGTCCATTAAAAAAAAGAATGATCACAGAAGTATAATTTTTAAAAATATATTTGATGAAGTGGGTGTAGTGTAGCCTTTGTGAATCGAGAGCACAGGATTCTAATGTTATCTCTGCCAGAGGCTATTATGCAACTTTGATCAAATGACTATCTCTTAGGGCCTAAGTGTTCTCAGTTCTGAAATGAGGTAATGAGACTAACTGACTCTAGAGTTTTTTGGGTGTTTTGTTTTGTTTTGTTTTGTTTTGTCTGAGATGGAATCTTGCTCTGTCATCCAGGCTGAAGTGCAGTGGTGCTATCTTGGCTCACTGCAATCTCCACCTCCCGGGTTCAAGCAATTCTCCTGCCTCAGCCTCCCAAGTAGCTGGGATTACAGGTGCCCACCACCATGCCCAGCTAATTTTTGTATTTTTAGTAGAGACGGGGTTTCACCATGTTGGCCAGGCTGTCTCCAATTCCTGACCTCAAGTGATCTGCCCACCTCAGCCTCCCAAAGTGCTGAGATTACAGGCGTGAGCCACTGCGCCTGGCCTAGCGTTATTTTAGCCCTAACTAACATTATTCTCTGGGTCAGTGAAATTTAAGTGGAATATATTGGGCAGTGACCTAATGGAGCATGAAGCAGGATTTGAATCACTTCCAAAGCTGTGCACCAACCACTTAGGCAAATTAGTGATTTCAGTAACTTAGTATTTCAGTAACTGGCGCTCACAGGCAAATGCGTAATGGATTAACCCCATATTATTTAAATGTTTCCAAAAAGCTATAGGAAAATGGCCATTAAAAACAAACTGACAAATTTAGCCAACAGGCCACTATTTGACAATTCTGCAAGCTTATTTTTAAAATTCAGCTTATCAAAACTGCCATTCCAGAAGCCAGGGACCTGAGTTTCCATAGAGGATGGAGTAGAATGGAGGGGCCTCTGTATAAATCTACCTCCTCGGGAACTGGGACAGTTCAGCATTCACCAGAGTAACATATGAAGAAACAGGAGATTCCTACATGCTCCTGGGGATCCAGAAGAGAGACCACTCACATGACTGGAAGATTTCCAGCTCAGGTAACCACAAAGGCCATATATTTGGTGAATACATGCAATGTTAGTTAGAATAAAACCAAATTTCTCTGAATAATATAAAGTCATTACTAATAAAACTTTTATAGATTTTTCTCTGAAGAAATTTCCAAGAAGGTGTTAAGAGAAAGCCCTACAATTAAGGTATGGAGGCTGGCTGCAGGCCCTGAAAGCTACTCTGACGAGCAATGACTTAATGCTGATAGTGGGAAGTCTCTTGCCCACTGCAGGATACAGAGAATTCTTCCTCAACCCGAGGCTTCTGCTCATTCACTCCCTTCTCAGCAGGTCCCTTCTTCTCTGAGGGCTGATGCATCCCAGCCTTCTGCTGGGACATTTTCTCATGAAGAGCTCTCTTACAGCCGTCTTTGAAAGGAAGGACAGAGAAGAAAGATGTCTATGTCTTCACAATGGCCAGGCTTTTCTCCAAAACTACCTAAAGCAATTGAAACAAAATTATGGCTTACAGAGGTTAGATTATTAGTGGAGATCCTGTAGGACGATAGAATCTCAAGAGCAGAGCCTACCAGGAAGTAGAGTGAAGCCTACAACTTCCTCAGCCATGAGGACCCAACAATCCACTGGGTAAAAGAAAGATGCAGCAAGTGCTGGGGTGGGGTCGGGGTGGGTGCTGTTATGAGAAGGAAGGGGAGGTCCCACAGGTGTTTAGAAGAAAAAACAGGCAATAAATGAATGAAAACAAATGGGGTTTAAACTAAGCTAAGGGATGAGTATTTTTGTTTCTTATAGCTGAGATAAGGTTCTTATGAAGTTCCCAGGGAATGTCCCTTCAGAGGTCAGGAAGCATTTTGCTTCCACAAGTTTTGAGAGTCATGAAGGCAGGAACACATTTTCAGATGCCAGAGCTCAAATCCCATGTCACTGGGACATCAACAATAGTGCTATGGGGAAGACTCAGGGTGCCAGCTCTTGAGTCACAATCACAGAATTAGAATGTGGAAGTAGCTACAGAACCCAAGGAAGCCCTGCCTTCTGATAGCCACACTCAATGCAAGGCTGCGTATTTCACCCTGGAGGTCTCTATAACAGGGGAGGCCACCCCCTCAATAGCCAGCTTTTTTACCCTTTTGCTTATGTTGTCAACCAATTTCTAACCACAGCAAAATAACCTAAGTATACCTCTCCTTGAAAACATCAAAATATTTTCTCAGCAGCTTTTATTTTCTTGAAGACAATTTCAGTAAAAACAATTCTTGTGGCTTTTCCTAAATGAATTTTTTTTTAACTTCTAGTGATTCTTACTCTTCGTTTTTAGGAACTCTCCAGGTTTTCACTTCCTACATTCTTTCAAGAGTATAGTGACTAAAACTGGAGAATAATCATTTAAGTCTGACTAATAAATTTAGCCTCATGTTGTATTACCTTTTAATACATAATAAATAATATATCCCAATGCGATACTTGCTTCCTTTCCCTTGCAGTAGCAACGTGTAGGGGTTTCATTTAATATGAGGTCGATTTTAACCTTCCAAACTCCCATTCCACCCACCTTTGCTTGCACTCATGGGAAGGCTCAGTCTATATCTGGTTTGCCCACATTCCTAGGCTATAGACCTCTAGGACTCCCAATTTGAGAGGCGCCATTTTTTTGGAGGGTAGTGAATTTTGATTTCTGTCTCCTTTGCATCCTTCCCAATGAAAACTGCTTTCAGCCACTCTCTGCTAGCCTCTCACCAGCACAGAGCTGAATTCACAAATGCCTTGAGGGGAAAACCTTTACCAAGTGTTCAGTTCACATCTCAATTCATTCTAGAATCTTGGCTTTTCAAGTCAAAATACCTGGACAGCTCCACATGTCTACCCACTCCCCACCCCCATGAGGTTACTTAAAGTGCTGCTGTTTTCTCTGGTTTTTAACCACTGCCCTCTCCCCAGCTTCTCAGCCTCTTGTCCCTTGCCAAGAACTAGCAAATACCCTGAGGGGGAAAAATTGTTTCATTCCAATGATCTTCTTTCTCTCTCTCTCTCTCCACCCGCTTTCTGTAGCTGGCCCTGTGGGTCCTAGCTTTTCAAAGACTTCAAACAGAATTCCTTTAAACCAGATTTTATCTACTTCTTTTCGAAGGGAGTGCTGGTTTGCCACAAAACTCCATCGTAACTGAAAGAGGAAATCTTCTACAAATTCCAGGTAAATCAAATTTTCCTACCTTGATTTCTGAAGAAAACAAAAAAAAAAGAGAAGAGGCCATTGGTAGGTATATACTTGCATTTTTCTTGTAATACTTGCGTAAGTCTGAATGGGTATTAAAGGCTCTTGCTAGAATCATGTGCCAAAGATTGTCTACCATGACCTAAACAATCAGGCCTGTCCAAGGTCCAAGAATTTGATCAGGTTGGATCCAGTCCTCTGGTGCACTAACAGAGATCCTGTTGGAGGATAGAATCCTGCTGTAGGATTCTACGTCTGTACTTTGAGTAGACACTTCAAGTAACCAGTTTTTCAGACACCTGGCCACTAATATGGGGAGAAGAGGTCAAAAAAACCATTGAATATTTCTAATTTATTTTAGGGAATGTTAAAATTTCTCACTGGTACAGTTAGAAATGAAAACAAAGACATAATAATAATAGTAATAATAATAATAACTGTTTCAAGAGCATTATTATGTGACTGGCATTGTTTCTAAGTGCTTTACTGTGTAGTAACCTATTTAGTCCACATAACGACCCTACAAGATAGTGTTGATTTTTTTGTTTGGTGGTGGTTGTTGTTGTTGTTGTTGTTGTTGTTGTTGTTGTTGTTTGAGATGGAGTCTCTCTCTGTCATCCAGGCTGGAGTGCAGTGGTGTGATCTCAGCTCACTGCAACCTCTGCCTCCCGGGTTCAAGCGATTCTCCTGCCTCAGCCTCCTGAACAGCTGGATCACAGGCCCCACAACCATGCCCAGCTAATTATTGCATTTTTAGTAGAGGCAGGGTGGTTTCACCATGTCAGTCAGGCTGGTCTCAAACTCCCGATCTCAGGTGATCCACCTACCTTGGCCTCCCAAAGTGCTGGAATTCCAGGCTGAGCCACCCCGCGCAGCCGATAGTGTTGATTATTACAACCCCTTGTTGCAGATGAGAACATTGCACTGAAAGGCTGAGCTTACCTTTCCAAGGTCCCATCATCTCTATGAGAGTGAGAGCCAGGACTCATCCAGACCCTTGCTCTGAGCCATTAGGCTTGGTGGTAACTAAGAAGATCTCACTAAGATGCGCATTCCCTCCTTCTTGCTCAATCTCCAAGATTTCGAGGACAAAATGGAAATTAAAAGTAAGGCCTACAAGATGGCTATTATTTTAAAAAGAAGGAAAGAAAATTATCAGTGTTGGTGATGATGTGGAAAAATTGAAACCCCTGTGCACTGTTGTTTGGAATGTATTAGGTTGGTGCAAAAGTAACTGCAGTTTTTGTCATTACTTTTAATGGCAAAAATCGCAATTACTTTTGCACCAACCTAATAAAATGGTACAGCCACTGTGGAAACCCATATGGTGGTTCCTCAAAATATTAAAAATAATTATCACATGATCCAACAAATTTACTTCTGGCTATATACTCAAAAGAACTGAAAGCAAGGATTCAAAGAGATATTTGTGCACCTACATCAATAGCAGTATTACAATAGCTAAAGAAGGGAAAGAACCCAAGTGTCCAACAACAGGTAAATGAATAAACAAAATGTGGCAAATACATGCAATGGAATATTATTCAGCCTTAAAAAAGAAAAGAAATTCTGACACATGCTACAACATAGATGAACATGAGGATATTATGCAAAATGAAATAAACCAGTCACAAAAGGAAAAAATACTATAGAATTCTGCTTATATGAAGTACCTAGAGTAGTCAAATTCATAGAGACAGGAAATAATGGTGGTTGTGCCAGGGGCTAGGGAGGGAAGAATGGGAAATTAATGGGTATAGCGTTTAGGAACTTTAGTCTAAGAAAGTAGAATATTGGATGCCAGAAATTCAGTTTTCTTTCTGTTCCAAGATCCCTTTAGCTAGAACGACATATTGAAGTCAGAGTTCCTAAGGGAAAATCATTGTGCATGGAGATCATCCTTGTGGATCAAATGTGAATCAATAGTAGATCAAAAGATATTCCACTTTTGCAGATATTGACATTTGTTGGACCCGTAAGATTTTATCTAGTATTAGATAGATAAGATGTGAACCACTTCTCAACACTGCAGACTCAAATACTAGGAAATACTAAGAACCTCAGGACAAACAAATAGCCAGTCCAAAAAGACTCACAGACTAGATAAGCTGTCATCTACCACCTAACAGATAATGTATCCCTGTTAACCACTATCCCCAGATGTTCATTTCATAAAATCAAAAACAGAATTCCATGTGGATCATGGAAAAAAATGGTTGACAATGTACAAATGAGAGAGAGAAAAAATACTTGTCTAAGAATTACATTTAGTGTCTAAAAGCCAAATAGCTCAATTTCTGCTCATGAGATTCAACAGATGAACTGAGGGAACATATGCCAATAGCTCTGAGATTACAGGTCCGCATGGGATGCCCATAAGGTGCAGGATTCTATTAGCTAAGATTATATGTCTCAGGTGGGCAAATCTTTGTGGACATAGCAAGAAAAAAGAAAAACTGTCAAGGAATAATATAGAGACAGTGTGATGGTTAATTTTATGTGTTAACTTGGCTAGACCACAGTGCCCAGGTATGTGGTCAAATATAATTCTGGAGGTTTCTGAGAAAGGGTATTTTGGATGAGAGTAACATTTGCATTAGTAGACTTTGAGTAGAGCAGGTTGCCCCATGTCATGTGGGTGGACCTCATCCAATCAGTTGAAGGCCTGAATGGAATGAGATTGACCTTCCTGGAAGAAGAGGAAATTCTACCAACAGAATATTTTAGGACTCAAATAACAACTCTTCCCTGGGTCTCCAGCCTGCCTGCCTTGAACTTTCACAATCATGTGAGCTAATTCCTTAAAATAAATCAATAAAAATAGATGATAGATGGATGATTCTGTTTCTCTGGAGAACCTTGACTAATACAGATAGCATACTAATTCACCCTTGCCATTTATAGAGGAAAGAGTGGAGTAATAAATATCAGAATATCTTCTCCAGACCTGGTCACCACAGAAACAAATTATAGCTGTACAAAATATCTTGGAAGTTTAGCTGAAGAGATGAGGAGATACTCTACTGCTCCATGTGCGCCATGTCATCTGTTGTACCTCCCCTTAGTTAAGTCAGGAGGGCAACACTCCCTTTATTTTTTATTTTATTTCATATGTATGTGTGTGTGAGATGGAGTCTCGCTCTGTGGCCCAGGCTGGAGTACAGTGGCGTGATCTTGGCTCACTGCAACCCTGCTTCCCAGGTTCAAGTGATTCTTGTGCTTCAGCCTCCCGAGTAGCTAAGATTACAGGCACAGGCCACCACCTGTGGTAATTTTTGTGTTTTTAGTAGAGATGGGGCTTCGCTATTTTGGCCAGGCTGGTCTCAAACTCCTGACCTCAGGTGATCCGCCCACCTCGGCCTTCCAAAGTGCTGGGATTACAGGTGTGAGCCACAGCTCTCAGCCCCTCTATTTATCAGACAGATGTATAGAAAGTTTATTGTGCTAGCAAGAGTATGAAGAAAAGGATTCTCTGAGTTGAAAAAACAAATTGGAATATAAATTGGTACCACTTCTATGGAAGGCAAATTTACAGGGCTTATTAATTAAAATAAAAAATGTGTACTGTAACCACTATGATACAGCAGTTGCACTTCCAGAACTCTACCCTATAGAAATCCGTGTACAAATAGCAAAAGATATTTGTACAAGAATGATGACTGCAGCATTATTTGTAATCGTAAAATCATGGAACAAACTTAATTTAAAAAACAACATGTAAAGGGTTACATGATGGAATAAACAAAAGAAGAAATGCCTTCATCAAAAATAATGCAGAGGATAATAATAATCTTGAGTCTACTGATAACATTATTGATCGAGCAATTATTAAATCTAGGCACATCCTGCAAATGCGGTATTATTACCATCCTCATATTACAGTTGAAAAAATATTGAGGTACAAATAGCTTGTCAATAGCCCAAAGGCACAAAGAGAAGCAAGATTTCACCCAGAACCCGTGAACAGATCACACAAAATTTATCTTGTTCCCTGGTCCAAGGAACTTCTGTACCTTCCAACTACATTTCTTTCCAACAGAGACCTTCTTGGAGGATGAGAAGCAGCCACTAGTTGACAGGAGGGGAAGTGAGGCATGTAGTCTTCAAGGGAGCAGACCACCGTGGGAGTTATAAAATATCAGCGACGCCTCTGGGTGGGTTCGAACCGCCAACCTTTTAGTTAACAGCCAAACGCGCTAGCCGATTGCGCCACAGAGACATGGCTGAGCTCCTGATTTCGTTCTAAAAGAGGGTAAGCTGTCACTAAACGCTAGCTAGCACCATCCGCCTTTTGCAAAATGATTGGGTAATCTCCAAAGCCTGACCAACATGGTGAAAACCTGCCTCCACTAAAAACACAAAATTAGCTGGGGGTGGTGGTGCATGCCTGTAATCCCAGCTACTTAGGAGGCTGAGGCAGGAGAATTGCTTGAACCTGAGAGGCGGAGGTTGCAATGAGCTGAGATCGCACCCTTGCACTCCAGCCTGGGCAACAACAGCAAAAACTCCACCTCAAAAAAAAAAAAAAAAGAAAAGAAAAGAAAATGAGCTAAGGAGCTAGGCTTCCTTATTTCACAACCTTGGCTCTGTCTCCTATGAAACCAGGGCAACTATTTAACCCCTCCATGTCTGAGTTTCCTCATGTATAAATGAAGGGAGCAATAGTACCTAGCTTATAAGGCCATTATAAGGATTTTAAAAGTTAATCTAAAGTGCTTAGGACAGTGTATGGCATAGAGCAAGCACTCAGTAAATCCATTCATTCAATAAATGTTTATTGAATATAGGTGTGGCTGCTGTTTTGGCTGATGAGTATACTAAAGTCAGTGAAACAGACGAAATCTGTGGAGCTTTCTTCCTTGGGGGAGGAGGCCAACAACAACAACGAATACACACAGAGGAAGAGCAATGGAATGAATTGTGTTCCCTCCCCTCCCAAATTCATATGTTGAAGCCCTAACTGCCAACGTGATGGTATCTGGAGATGGGGCATTTGGGAAATAATTAGATTTAGAAGAGATCATGAAGGTGGGAGACTCGTGATGGGATTAGTGCCCTTTTAAGAAGAGAAAGAGTCAGGTGCAGTGGCTCTTGCCTGTAATCTCAGCACTTTGGGAGGCCAAAGCAGGAGGATCGCTTGAGTCCAGAGTTTGAGACCAGCCTGGGCAACATGGTGAGACGCCATCTCTATAAAAATAAAAATAAAAAATTAGCCCAGTGTGGTGGCACACACCCATAGTCTCAGCTACTTGGGAGGCTGAGGCGGGAGGTTGAGGCTGCAGTGAGCTATGGTTCTCATCAGTGCACTCCAGCATGGGTGACAGAGCAAGACTGTCTCAAAATGAAAGAAAAAACAAGAGAGAGAGAGAGATACACCAGGGCTCTCTCTATGTCCTGTGAGGACACAGCAAGAAGGCAGCTGACTGCAAGCCAGGAAGAGAGCCCTTACCAGGAACTGAAGCTGTCAGCACCTTTATCTTGGACTTCCCAACCTACAGAACTGTGAGAACTAAATGTGTGTTGTTTAACAGACATTTTGTCTATGGTATTTTGTTTGTTGTTGGTATTTGTTGACATTTTGGTATTGGTGTGTTGTTTGTTGGTATTTTGCTATCAGCAACCCGGCAGACTAATATAGATTTATATGTAAACATATATTTGAATAGGAACCCTGCAGAAGCCACATAGCTGGTTTTACTGATGCAAAGAGCCCTATGCTACAGTATGATGAGGTGAAGGGCTTACATTTCCCTTTCAGCAGTGGTATCCACTCTCCACAGCGTAGACTTGGAGAAGCCACTTGACTCTCATCTTAGATTCCTGCATCTGTAAAATGATGAACTAGATGATACCCAAAATTTTAGATTCTATCCATCTTATGGTTGGAATAACAGCCCACCTTCTAGGTCAATTACACACACAGGTGTGCTGATGCTTAGGGTGGCAGAGAGGGTGTCCCAC
The DNA here is from genome assembly GCF_000001405.40 of Homo sapiens. Taxonomy (NCBI): domain Eukaryota; kingdom Metazoa; phylum Chordata; class Mammalia; order Primates; family Hominidae; genus Homo; species Homo sapiens. Next base: position 145,127,496 of record NC_000001.11, on the reverse strand, counting down.
AAGTAGACACTGATTATCCTAACTGTAACTTTCAAATGGAAAATTAATTAAATCTCTAAATTTGGATTTGGCTTCCTAGTTAGCACTGTTTCCTTCCTGGAAAAGAAATAGTTATGTGTCAGACAGAACAGCCCCCTCTGATCATTTTTTTCCTTCTTCCTTGCATTATTGTTAGCTCTGACTGTGCAGCTCTCCTGGTGTCTCTCCCTTTCTAGATAACAGCCTAGAAAAAGGAGCTTATGGTTTCCCTGAGGTTCTTTTGATAAATGGCTGACATTTGATTGAACCATTCTCATTTCACTTATTTTTCACTTTCACAGAAAAACTGTAGTAGGTATAACAGCACAAGGTAATCATTTTTAAATTATTCAGACATTTTTAAAAATTTGATTCTGCTTCTCTCACCTCTGAAAGATGTTACTGGGGTGTCTTGGTTGCAAAGATTCATTCAAGTTCTTTTGCTTTTGGATTCTCCATATTCTCTGAGGAAGTGACTGCATCTAAGACTGTGTCCAAGGAAGCATCTTATCACTTTCATCCTTTGATCCCTGAGTGCCTTTCACTACCAGATATACTAAAACAAAAATCTTCTCTTAGCTCCCTGGTGCAGTGGAGTTGAGGGATAACCACAAAGAATTCAGAGTACATCACATAACGGAACTGTCAGGAAGCTTTTGATGGCAGAAACATATTTTCCTGGTGATGAGATTAGAAGGATCTTCATATAACCATCAGATATGTTATTGTCACTTCTGAACAATGCTTTTTATAGCAGATTGTTTCTCAAAAAGGAAATAGAAATGCGATTTTAAAATATGAAAAATATGTTCAATCTCATTATTAAGATAAATGCAAATACAAATTATAAGAGGACTTAACAGATTGGCAAACATCAGAAAAGTGAACAACCTCCTCCACTGGCATTCTTTTTTTTTTTTTTTTGAGATGGAGTTTCACTCTTGTTGCCCAGGCTAGAGTGCAGTGGTACGATCTCAGCTCACTGTAACCTCCACCTTCCAGTTTCAAGCGATTCTTCTGACTCAGCCTCCCGAGTAGCTGGGATTACAGGCTCCTGCCACCACACCCGACTAATTTTTGTATTTTCAGTAGAGATGGGGTTTCACCATGTTGGCCAGGCTTGTCTTAAACTCCTGACCTCATGATCCGCCCGCCTTGGCCTCGGGAGTATAATTTGCTGTATGGAGGGCAATTTGACAGTATCTATCAGATTTTATAATGTACAGAGCCTTGAATTCAGTAATTCTACTTTTAGGAACTTATCCCACAGATATTCCAGACATGCTCAAAGATGTAGGTACAAAGATTTTATTGCAGTATTATTTGTAAGAGTAAAAAACCAGTCCATGAGGAAGACTAGTTCAATAAGTTAATAATCTAGAATATATCGATATAATGGAATACTATCAAAGAACAATTTTCACAATGTATTTTTAAGAGGGGGAAGGTACAGAAACATATGTAAGGAGTTTCATTTGTTTAATATACAATTAGTGACACAGGTTGCATCTGGGGAGGAAAATTAGGGAACAATTTTTTGTTGTACACCTTTATCTTTCATTGTATCTCTTTCAAAACCTTTTGTACCATTTGTGTGTATTGTGTATTTTAAAAATTAATTTAAATTTCAACAACCGTTATAGTGATGCAAAAAACCCTATAGAAATAACAGTTTACATTCAATTTTGCTATATGTCAGGTACTGATTTTTCAACCACAACCTTGTAAGATACGTGCTATTATCATCCCCACTTCACAGGGGGAAACCTGTGGTAGAGAGAGGCTGAATAACTTGTACAAGGATTCATACCTAATCAGTAGCAGAGCTCAGATTTGAACCCAGGCAGCCTGTTTCCAGAGACCATACTTTACCCACCATTCTATACTGCTCTGAGGTCACAGACCTCCATGATGAACTCTTAATTGAGTGCAGTCAATAGGAAACTCAGATAAACTCAGATGTACAAGAAATATCTCACTTCTTCATTTGCTTTTCACCTACTTAACTCTGACTCTGAGTCCCCATCCAGCTTGATTGGCAGAAATTGTAATCTCAGTCATTATTTGGACTCTCCACTGCAAGGGTTTTTCAAGGTCCTGGAATCTTACATGGCACCAAAGCTTGGCAGAGATCCTGCCAGTTGTCAATACATACTGGTTACCACTGACATGTCCATTGCAGTCCAGTACTCTCCTGCGGCCATGTGTAGTCCTACTCACCCTCACCCATAGACTGAAAACTTCCTTATATTCTTGGGAAATTTTCTCCTTTCCTTTTCCTGCTGCCTTCAAAGACATTGATAATACTATCTTCATTGAGTTCAGGTTTTATCTACAGACAGCTAGATCATTCTGCAAAATATCTCTAAGGTAAGAAATTACTAAGGGCCTACCTAACTCACTTAGATCAAAGGGGTAGAGAAAGTACAGAAAGTAGACAAAGAAATTAATATTTCAATAGATTATCCTGCCACAGAGTCATAGCCATGAAAAACAATAACTTTGGATTTGGAATTTACCTCCTACCTCAAGTTTCCCTCTGCAAGTGTTTGGACTTGCATGTTATGGAATGATGATTGTAATGAACCATGCCTTCTATTGGTAGCAGATTTTGACTGAGATATAGGACAGTTAACAACTGCAGTTTGAATGCAAAGGCAGACAGAGTACACTTTGCACAAGGGACAAAGAACTGATAGGGAAACAAGGACAGTCTCCTTTTACACCTTAAAAATCCTCAAATAAGAACCTGGCTTCTGCTCAGCTAACCGACACATAAGTGCAGAAAAAAAGACAAGATTGGAATCCAAGGAAGGAAATGTTAGAATCCAAGGGCCAGGAATCAAAGAGAATATATTTAAATAGAAACCAGGTTGATACTAGAACTTTGGGATGCCTAGAGTAGGCGGGAAAAAGATGTATGATCTAAGCACAGGATATTTCGAATACAGGAGCTTGGATAAGAAGTCTATCCCAAATTCCATCTGCCACCAATGAAAGCAGAAAGGAAATACGTAATGAGAGCCAAGCCATGGGGAAATAGTCCAAGATGGGTGTGCCTCCTGTGTATTTAGTAATCATGTCCAGCTCAGCAAATCTGAGTTTCTTTATTCCTTGAGCCACTGTCCATTTTAATGAACAGGGAACATTTGATCTCAAGCAGCTTCAGAAACTCAATTTTCCCCCAGCCTTTGTCTAGGTTTTATAGAGGAAAAGGTATAGTTGCAGTACTGGTTGATATTTGCTTGTGAGAGCTCTTGGGCAGGTAATTCTTGATCCTTTGCTCCACCTAGTGGATTTCCAGGCTAGAGAGACTCTGGAAAAGAGATCAGTGATCAGAAGGGTGTACATTTGCTGATAAATGAGACTTACCAGTCAGTTTCTGGATTATCGTCAGTTTCTGGATTATCGTCTGTTTCTTTACTGACGATACCCGATTCCATCCCAAAGTGTCCTTGTTTGAATTGATTGAAATCTTTCATTTATTTCCATTAATGCCAGATGTGTAGCTGTAAGTCATCAAAATCTAATGCATTCCTTTTCTCTCTTCTTAATATATAAATAACATTATATAATCAGGAGACCCATATCAGCACAAGAAAGCATATTCTACTTATAATTATATCCTCTGAGGGCCAAACACACTCAAACCTCAACAGAGTCATTTAATTAAACAATGACCTACCTGCTTAACACTTTGGGGACTCCTTTGAACAATAATTGGTTAAAGAGTCATAGGACCCTTTCTCAAGAAGTTTCACATCCAATTATAAAAACAGATGAAATAACACTGGAAAGCAGGGCGACGCTGAAAAATTTCAGGTAGAAGAGAATTCAGAGCTGACTCTTACACAATATCCATATGTGGAGATAAAATTAGTGTTAATGTAGGTTTAAGCCATTAGAGTTACAACATAAATTTGACAATCTATGCTTACTTGCTGGCTGACCATGTCCCTGTCAGTTACCAGCCTTAAAGGCTACCAAGGCATTATTCTTTATTCCTTACCTATATTTAATACTTACTTTTTGTTATGGGTTGAATTGTGTCCCCCAAGTATTCATATGTTGAAGTGCTAACCCTCAGTCCCTCAGAATGTGACCTTATTTGGAGATAGGGTCTTTATAGAGGTAATCAAGTTAAAATGAGGTCATTAGGGCATCTCTACTCCAATATGCCTGCTATCCTTATAAAGAGGGGAAATTTGGAGACAGATGCACACAAAGGAAGAACACCATATGAAGATGAAGATGGCCCTCTACAGGCCAAGGAGAGGAGCCTGGAATGGATTCCTTCCTCACTTCCCTCAGAAACAACCAACTCTGCTAATACCTCGATATTGGGTTCCCAGCCTCCAGAACTGTGAGAAGATAAATTTCTGTTGCTTAAGTCACCCAGTTTGAAGAACTTTGAATGGCAGCCCTAGTGAATTAGTTCAATTGCCTCTGGCAAATGAATAAGAAGCTCACTGCAAAAATGAAATTAATCCACCGAGTGCTAGAGTTGGACGGGATCTCAGAAAATGTATTGCACAATCCCCTTGTTTTGAAATAAATGCCCAAGGTCACACAGCAAGTTGGTGACTTAGTCACTCTTTTAGCTCAACTTTCAGTCCATCAACGTTCTATCACAGTCTGCCAACTATTTCAAAGATGGTGGCAAAATCAGCCAATGATGGTGATTAGATCCAAAACTTAGTTGCAAATAATTTTTCGGGGAACTATATGCAAGCATAGGTCCTTCCTAAATATTTGCTAATGGAAGCATGTGCTAAATAGGATGCCTACCAGAAGACTGATACCCAGCAGAATAGCTAGACAGGTAATTTGACCTCTGGCTGGGCCCGTAGGATTCATCATCCCTCCAGACAAGCACTTGGTTGTGGTAAAGATCTGGCTCTGGTTGGAAGGCTGTCCCATCCCACTGAGGGTGATTCACCAGAGCAACTTAATCATCTACGGATCAGAAGCTCAGGTTCATGTGAGCAGGGTGGGGGTTAAGGGAAAGAGAGTCTGAGTAATGCTTCACAGTGGGTGTGGGGACTTGTTATAATAGTAGGCACGCTGTTGATTAAAGTACATGACAGAAGTAATTGCCAGAGATCCCAAACCAGCCATCACCTAGCATTAGAGATGTATCTAATATCAGACAGAAAGCCTAGTTTCAACTCTGCAGCAGAGGCCTTTGAAAAGTCTCCAGAAGTAATTGGCACTTAATCAATGCAATCATTATTACAGCACATGGCTACTGCAGCTTCAGGCCCTCTTGCAACCACTGAACTGCAAAAGAGGAGACTATGTCTGTAGAATTTTACCACCAACACAACATTTGATTCACAATCTCAGACTAGATAGGAGTGAACATATTTTCATATTTATATATTTTAGAAATACAGGTTCACTGTCAATAAGAATTCAGTCTTGTATAAATGATGGTATAAACAGGGAGGGGCATTTTCCCTTTACAGAGGCTTAATCAGCATTAATTTTGAGAGATAGGAAAGCAAAATCTACCACAGGCTGTTAAGCATTTGTTTTTCATCTAATCTTCTCAACCCTCCATTCAATATTTGGGGGAGTATGACTGTTTATCACTTGCTGAGATATGCAAGGTGCACATGCTGCTTATAATTAAGGAACAAAGAAATGTTGACTTTGCTCTTGGTCTTGCTTCATAAAGTGTTACCACTGGGCATCAAATTGGGTGTTTAAAGGAGAATATACCTCTCTTGGAGAGTAGACACGATTTTTAGGCCTAGATCGTCTCTTCTTTTCCCCGCAGGAGTTCGTAGTTAACTTTCCATCACTCTGTAAAAGGCAATTAGAAAAAAGAAAAAGCCCAAGTTCCCCTCTTGGCATCTTGCAGAAGTCTTTCATGCATAATGGATGAGAGGAAATGGGGAGAAAGAAAAGAAACATCCTGAAATTTAAGCACCCGTAAATGTTTTCATAGATGTTGGTAGTCTATTTCAGTGTTTTTCAAAGGATATTCCCAGATTACCCACTTCAGGATAAGCTGCATTGTTGACAATGCAGATTGCCAGGCCTCAATATTAGACCTGAATCAGAATTTATGGGACTAGGACCCTGGAATCTACATTGTTAGCAAGTGTCTCCAGGGATTCCTGTATACACTGAAATGGAGCCTACTCATCTATCTTCCATAGTCTAAACAGTGCTGTGCTCAGTATCTCCCTCCCTACACCTCTCCCTTGTTAATCAAATCAAGTCTCTCATATTTAAATGTCTTTTTGTATGCAGATGGCTCTCAAATTTATATCCACAGCCCACACCTCTTCCCTAAAACTCCAGAATCCTATACCCTACTGCCTGATTGACATTTAATAGGCATATTCAAAAACAAACTCTTGAATTTTCTCTCCAAACTTGTCCTTCTTCATCTCCATAAATAGCACCATGATTACCATAAAACCTTGAAGTCACTGTTGACTGCATCCTTGGCATCTTCCTCACTTTCTCTCATATTCATTTCCAATCCATCAGAGTACTGTCAGCTCTACTTTCAAAATATGCCCCAAATCTTCCTCTATCTCAAAGACCAGATAGGAGGCTGCTATCAAAATATGATGTTTTGATTATATAATATATATTATATTATAGACTTGATATATTGTATACTCACAGCTACACATTTGGCATTAGTGGAAATAAATGAAAGATTTCAATCAATTCAAACAAGGACACGTCGGGATGGAATAGGGTATCGTCAGTAAAGAAACTGACAATAATCCAGAAACGGGCTGGTAAGTCTCATTTATCAGCTAATGTACACACTTCTGATAGCAGCCTCTTATCTGGTCCCACTGCATGTTTTCTGTATCAGCCAGAGTTCATTTGCAGATAACAGAAGCCATTCTAGCTATTTGAAGCAGAAAGGGATTCAAAACAGTTGTGGTAGATTGATGTTACAAAAATCCTTCCTGTTTCACCCACCTTTTTGCAATTGCCACAACTCCCATAAAGAGATGAAGTCTATTTTTCTCTCCTTGTAAATCTGGGCTAGCCCTCGGTTTAATTCTGACCAATGGAAAGAGGCAGAACTGATGCTGTGTCACTTCCAGACCTAGCCTTAAGAGGCTTTGCGGCTCCCACTCTCACCCTCTTAGAAGAAAGCAGCCGTCCTGTAAGGAAGCTCAGGCTAGATTACTGAATGATGAGAGACCATAGGAGAGAGAGGTCTCAGCCTTTCAAGGCATCCCTGCCAAAATCCTAGACATACGAGTGAGACAAAGTAGGGCCACTGACAGCTGAATACACCCACCTGCCTGTGGAGCCAGGCAGGATCAGCAGAATTGCCCAGCCAAACTAAGTTTTTGGGGTGCTTATTACACAGCAAGAGATAACTGAAATGTCACTAAATTTAGGGATTGCAAAACCATTGGAGGGTTGGTGGGGCAGGCTGTAAATGTGGCCTCCAGGAATGACTCACAGAATAACACCACAGAACTGCCCTGTTAGAAGAATCGCCGCTCCTACCATAGTCTGAAAGCTAAGGATCAAGAAGCCATCAACCACTTTCTAGCTTCAGAAACACACTATCTTAGTCATGCTCTGGACATCAGGAAGTCTCCACAAGTCTGTTGGCTTCAGAATCATACCACAGATCAATTTTAGATAGCAAAATGGATAAAGTGCTGTGACCACCTTTTCCCCACTGAAGTTTGTTCTGAAATCAAGACTTATGCAAATGCATATAACTAGCAAAAAGTAAATTATATAAACCCCTAGCTGCAAGAGAATCTTTTTAGCTTTTTTATTTTTTATGTTTATTTTTTGTGGCAGGGTCTTGCTCTGTTGCCTAGGCTGGAATGCATTGGTGCAAACATGGCTCACTGCAGCCTTGAGCTTCTGGGCTCAGACCTTCCTCCCACCTCAGCCTCCCATGTAGTTGGGACCACATGTGCATGTCACCATGCCCCGCTAATTTCTTGATTTTTTCTAGAGACTGGGGTCTCACTTTGTTGCCCTGAATGGTCTCGAACTCCTGGGCTCAAGCAATCCTCCTGTCTTGGACTCCCAAAGTGTGGGATTAACAGGCATGAGCTACCGCACCCAGCCCACTTTTAGCTTTTTGGCCTAGGCACTGTGGGTAGGCATAGAAGAAAGAATTTTTTTAAAAATGCTTTGTTCACTGCGTAACGCTCACAATAGTGTTCACACAAAAGAGATGCTCATTAAATATTTGTTAAATGATTGAACTAAAGTTTGATAAAGCAAAGGCATAACTTAGAAATGACTGTCTCTAGTTCGCCCAAAGTATGAAATTCTGTATGCCTAAAACTCTCTTTCAGTAATTCTCTTTTATGAATATATTCTGGAATATCAAGAAAGATCTAGGATTCAGGATTTTTTTCAGCCCAATATTTACCATCTTTACTATAAGTGTACAACCATCCCAAGTCAGACAAGCTGAGTCTATTTGGTTTTTTTTTGTAATAAATTTTAATTGGAAAAGATGAATTTGGGAGAATGGGAAGAAGGTTTTGAAGGGCAAGCCCTTCAGTCATTTCTGCTTCCTATGGCTTTGGCCACCATCTCACTTTGAGGGCTTGTTCTTCAGGATACTGACAGCTTGATTTCTCTGGGTAATGTCACACAAAGGAAATTAGCTCAGTATGTCTTCTACTGAATTCCATCTGTAGCTCAATGTTTGAAGGTATTTGTGAACATGACTACAGAGCAATTTTGATAAGACAAGGCAATGTTCCAGTCTCTGAGAATATTTTCCCCAAAGAACTATTTTTTAAAATACCACTGAACAGCCTGAAAACCCACCCACACATGAGCAATCTCCTGCAATATACAGAAAGCTTTTCAGGTGTCACAGCCATAATAGCAGGTGGTTCCTTTGGGTAGAAAAATTATGGCAAGAATATAGCGACAGAAAGCAAACTGTTTTGATATTCTGGGTACAACTTTCCCCAAGTGAATCATTCCCATATGCCTACTTTTACCACGGGCGCCTTTCCAGAGGAAGTGATTTGTGTGAACGGAGGTGTAGAGATGCATTCTGGTGGGCACACTTCATTGGTGCCCATATTTAGCAGATCCAATTAATCGTCAGCTATTTGTCAACCCATTCCTCTGTAAGTCTCAAAATGCAAAATTCGAATATGAATTTGATACCTATTTTTGCTTTCCACATAACAAATACATAATCTTGTTATGAAGATTCAGTAGTGCTCTTTTAAGGCAAGGCTGCTTCTGAAATTCCATATGAATAGATTTTTAAATACAAGCTTATAAAGAAGGCTGAGATTAGAGCAATTTGCAAAAGGCAGTCATTTAATTCACTTTTTATTACGAAATATTTGAGACATACAAATAGCTTAAAGAGCTTATTTACTCTGCTGTAAACTTTTGTTGCTTGTAAGATAAAAATCTGGACTTGTAAAAAAGACTTTGTTTCTAGATAGAACAGCAAAGTTGCAAAGTAAGAGTTTTGCATAATTTTTTTCTTTCTCTATAGTGTATAAGACTAGCATTTTTATTGTTTACAGATAAACCAAATCTCCCTTACTGAAAAGGGAGATGTTGTTGTCCCCATCTCAATTTAAAACAAAAATCAACTAAGCTCTAATAGGAAAAGATGTGTACAGGAAGATTGCTAATGGAAAACTTTTATTTTTACATTTTATTTGTATTTAATTTTTAAATTTTTATTTGTTTTATTTATTTGAATGGAAGACAACTGCATTGAAAAATAAAAAGAACCGGGTACGGTGGCTCATGCCTGTAATCCCAGCACTTTGGGAGGCCGAGGTGGGTGGATCACTTGAGGTCAGGAGTTCAAGACCAGCTGGGCCAACATGGTGAAACACCGTCTCTAGTAAAAATACAAAAAAATTAGCCGGGCATTGTGGCATGTGCCTGTAATCCCAGCTACTCAGGAGGCTGAGGCAGGAGAATTGCTTGAACTCAGGAGGTGGAGGTTGCAGTGAGCTGAGATCACGCCACTGCACTCCAGCCTGAGCAACAGAGGAAGACTCCATCTCAAAAAAAAAAAAAAAAAAAAAAAGAAAAGGAAAAAAAGAAAAAGAAAGCACAGTTATTAAGCTACTTAATTCTGGGCTTTCCAAATCTTAGAGTGGTGTCATTTGCTAGCTGGGTGACCACGAACAAGTTCTTTAACCTCTCTGTGCCTCAGTTTCCTGATCTCTATGGGGAGGATAGGATCCATCAGTTAGGGGTTACATGTGAAGCACTTGGAACAATGCCTGGCACACAGTAAGCCCTCTATCAATGGTAACTCATTTTCTTCTTTACCCTCAACTAGAAAGTCAGCTCCACATGACAGCAGCAATTCTGTCTTGCTTAGTTCTGCAGCCTCAGCATCTATTTTGCCCATAGTAGGCACTGAATAAATATTCGTTGAACTAACTGATTAATGAAAAATAACTGGGCTTTGAGGTTGAAAGTCAAAGGAAATTTCTCCTAAGTTTTATAGCTAGTGAGGGAAAAATGGACAGCAGTTTAGAGTCAGGGAGGTAGAAGAAAACCCTAAACTAAGATGAGAAGCCTGATTGAAGTTCAGATTCTTCCAACTCTCTGGGTATTGCAATCAGGATTTTATTTCTTAATTTGCTCATTTATTTATTTACTTATTATTATTATTTTTTGAGACAGGGTCTCATTTTGTTACCCAGGCTGGAATGTAGTGGCACAATCACAGCTCACTGCATCCTTGATGTCCCAGCTCAAGTGATCCTTCCACCTCCGCCTCCTGAGTAGCTGGACTACAGGCACGCGCCACCACACCTGGCTAATTTTTAAAATTTTTGTAGACACTAGGCCTCACTTTGTTGCCCAGGCTGGTCTCAAACTCCTGGCCTCGGGTGATCCTCTGGCCTCAGCCTCTCAAAGGGTTGGGATTACGGACGTGAGCCACCATGCCTGGACTCTTTCTTAATTTGTAAAATGGGAATGATAGCTCCCAAGGTTATTCTGAGGAGTAAATGACACTGCATGTGAAAGCTCTTAATAAACTGTAAAGGAATATACAAAAGCATGATATAGTTAATTTCTATCTCAGTAAGTTTTTCCATTGGATGACAATAAAGGGATTCTTTGAGAGTGTTGGAAAAAGGAATCTTTAGCTAAAGATTTCGGTACTAAAAATATTCAACCCCAGAGGTACCACAGACATAGACTAATTTTTTCCATCTGTGCAGTTTAGGGTAGATTTGGCATACGCTCAATACCAGGCAAGAAAGAAACTATGGTTTAGGCTGCTTTTAAAGTTAAAAAAAAAAAAGGCAGAAAAGGAAACTATTTCCTTTTATAAGCAGGAATGTTAAAATAGGGAAAGCTTTCATCGAGCAATTCACTACTGAATCAAAACTATTTGATCCATATTCTCACCTACCTCCCCTCACTCCGTATTTGTGTTGTGGTTAGTTGTCTTCTAGATCATGGTTTATATATCATGGTCACTTCCTCACTAAAGTTAAACAATATAGATTATTCTTAACCAGCCACATGTGACTCAGAGGTCAAAAGAGTGTTCTTTTTGGGTAATCTCTCTCAATTGCTAATACTTAAGGACCTGGTTTTCAGAACCATTGATTATTTAAAATGTATGTCTTTAAGATTAGGCTCCACCCAAGATGCCTCCTCAGAGGCTAAGTTTGAGGTTGAGAAACTAGCTTAAGGAGAAAGATAAAGTAGCAGAAATGTCATGGCGGGTGAGCTGATGACTCACTGCCCCTTCCTTGAACTGCAAGAATGACAAAATGGAAAAGGGGAAAAAAAAAGGCAATGCCCTACTGCAGACTAGAGGCTCCATGAAACCCAAGAAATTCCGAGAACTTGAAGAACTACATGGGTTCTTAGGGTAAAGGCAGTAAGTTTAATTTCCATGGTCAAATTGTTAAGTGCATCAAAGAAAGGACATTAGGAAAGCTAAACTTGATTATACTTTACCATCAGAGCCATCATCCTCAATCTGATCATTTTATTCTCCTGCTTAAAAACTTCAATAACTCCACATTGCTACTGGACCAAGTCTAAACTTACAATCGTATAGTAGAATATTCTTCATAACATATAACCTTCCTTGTTAACTTCACCTTGTAATTAATTCTTTTTTTAAAAAAAATTTATTTATTTTTTAACTTTTGAGACAGGGTCTCACTCTGTCACGCAGGCTGGAGCGGAGTGGTCCAATCATGGCTCACTGCAGCCTCAGCCTCCTAGGCTCAAGTGATCCTCCCGCCCCAGCCTCCCAAGTACCTGGGACTACAAGCCTGTGCCATCACCCTGGGCTTATTTTTGTATTTTTTGGTAGAGATGGGTTCCCACTATCTTGCCCAGGCTGGTCTCAAACTCCTGGCCTCAAGCAATCCTTCCTCCTCAGCCTCCCAAAGTGCTGGTATTATAGGTGTGGGTCACCATGCCTGGCCGAATTAATTTTTATTACATGTCTTGGAAGGTATGGGGGACAACTTAGAACTTCCCAAATAAGCAAGATACTTTTAAATTCCCATCAATTTGTTTACACTATTCCCTCTGCTTAAAACTCTCATCCCAGCTGGCAACTCCTAACTGCTTCAAAGCCTGCCTCAAGTATCATTTCTTCTCAGTAGCTTTCTCAATTCCTATGCTCTCTTGCTCAACTCCCACTCTCTCCTGCTACTCAGAATGATTGCTCTTTCATCTCTGGAGTCATAGCACTTTAAGCATGCCTTTGTTAAATCACTTAACCCAATGAAATAAATGGACTCACAGAGTTCTATCCTTTCCTCAACTTACTGTGTACTCCCTGAAGGCAAGTGTGAGCATGTCATTGTACAATTCTTGCCACACTATTGGAGAATAATACAGGTGTGTTGAATTGAATGAAATATTAAAAGAGGACCAAAGAATAGATGGATCTTCTAGGCCTAGGAATTATACTAGGAGTAGAAGGTGTATCCTAAATCCATGTATGTGATTCTGCTTTGGTCTTACCAGAGTGAATGTAATTTGCTTTTATTTAAAAACAGTGTTGACAGGCCATGCACAGTGGCTCATGCCTGTAATCCCAGCACTTTGGGAGGCCAACGCGGGAGACCACCTGAGGTTAGGAGTTCGAGACCAGCCTAACCAACATGGAGAAACTCCATCTCTACTAAAAATACAAAATGAGCTGGGTGTGGTGGTACGTGCCTGTAATCCCAGCTACTTGGGAGGCTGAGGCTGGAGAATTGCTTGAACCTGGGAGGCGGAGGTTGTGGTGAGCCAAGATCACACCATTGCAGTCCAGCCTGGGCAACAAGAGTGAAACTGCATCTAAAAAAAAAAAATCCCAAAAACAGTGTTGGATTCACACTCATGCGTGTAATCCCAATACTTTGGGAGGCCGAGGCTGGTGGATCACTTGAGGCCAAGAGTTCAAGACCAGGCTGGCCAACATGGCAAAACTCCTTCTACTAAAACTACAAAAATTAGCCAGGCATGGTGGTGCATGCCTGTAGTCCCAGCTACTCGGGGGTGCTGAGGCATGAGAATCGCTTGAACCCTGGAGGTGGAAGTTGCAGTGAGCTGAGATCATGTCACTGCACTCCAGCCTGGGTAACAGAGCGAGACCCTCTCTCAAAAACAAACAAACAAACAAAAAAAGCCCCACAAACCAGTGTCATTTAGCCAGGTGTGGTGCATGCCTGTGGTCCTAGCTACAGGGGAGGCTGAGGCAGGAGGATTGCTTGAGTCCAGGACTTCAAGGCTGTAGTGAGCTATGATCACACCACTGCACTCCAGCCTGGGCAACAAAGCGAGACCCTGTCTCTAAAGAAAACAACAACAACAACAAAAAACCCTCAAACCACACTAGTGTCATGAATATATTTCTTTAGATAAAACTTTATTAATCAGCTTTCTGTTTAGAATTGGCTTTCCCATAATCCAGTTAACCAAAGGTAGTTGAGTAATTTGAAATATTCCCCAGCTGGAGTAGAATCACATTTGGGGCTTGCTTCAATCAGTGCACCTCTGTCTTGCTTTTGCTTTTCAGAGAGACCCTAGGTCAATCATAGCCTTTGAAGGCATGAGCTGAACGGAAACCAGATGAACTCTATTGAATTTTAAATTTGCCACATTTCCTAGTCTAGTATTAAACTTTTCTTCTCTAGTTGAGCAAGTTAACCAAAGAAGTATATATATATTTTTTCTCTTATAGATTATGCTCACCTAAGAACTTGAGGTTACAACACACACACACACACACACACACACACCCAAAAAACCAAATCGCAAAACAAATTATTCCATACTCATTCCATTGGTTCTTTTGATGGCCTTCTGTCAGTGTTAATGGTTGGTGTGAAAGATTTTTGGAAACGTTTTCCAGGAGGGAGTAATAGCATTTCCTGAAGCACCTTTTATCTTGGTTTGTGGCAAATGATTCTTTCAATGCCCTCAGGTCACTTATACCCTAAGACCCTGCATGAGTTTATTCAACCTTCAAATCAGTCACTTCTGCCCTCATCTAGGGCACATAACAATGTAGTTAGTTACCCAGCAGGTATCCCGGCTAAGTAAGACCATAAATAAATCATATGAGCAGGAGCTTTTGGAGTCAGTCTTCTGTCTGAGCACCTCTAACCGGTTATGCTACCTTAAACAAATTACTTAACTTCTCTCTGTCTCACCTGATTTACCAGTTTAAAAAAAAAGGAATAATAATGGTACCTACCTCATAGGTTTGTTGTGAGGAGTTAAACGTCTAAAGCACTTAGAACAGTGTCTGGCATATGGTAAGTATTCAATAAACATTAGCCTTATATTCTATACTTTAAGTACTATTTATTTATATTTTTACATACAATATGTGGGCATAACAAAAAATTAAAGGAAGAATGGTCATTTTTAGAAAAAACTTTATTTACAAAACCACAACTCAGTCTGCTTTGGTATTGACAAAATCCCTACAACTGAGATATTAAAGAGATACATTTATTTTAGAGTTACATAAAACCAGAATCCAACACTACCCTACTTTCCTATTCCTTTGTAGCTCTGAATGCAGCTTTAAAAAAACAAAACAAAGCAAAGCAAAGCAAAACAAAACAGCTCTTTATAATGTACAATGGCTTAAGCAAATCGCTTTAGTTTTTTTTTCTATTTAAGATTTAGGACAGACCACTCGTCTAAAATTCACTATTTACAGAGAAGGTCCTAGGGAACAGGATAACTTATTTAGGTTTAGCTCTCATAATACAATATCCATAATGGCTTTAGAAGAATGTAAATAAATAACATTGGTAAACAGCGTATACTGATATTTTCTGACAAACTCATTTATCTAACATCATGCTGAGCAATCAAGAGGATTCCTCTATATATTTTAAATTTTAATTTATTCTATTTCCTGATTCACAAACTCTTGCTCCATGTTAAAGCAGTTATCACCAATAGAACCTATGAGAACCAGTGCCCATGGAAACCTAACAGCTTGTTTTTTTAATCCCCTATTAAAACTCGGTTGAACTTGATATATGCATGGTTGAAATATGCGTGGGTACTAGGCCTTTATTCAGGAATGTAAAATTAATGGTATCTGGTATCAAGTTGTAAGAAAAACTCCCCCAGATTGGGAGGTAACTGAGTGATATGTGAAAGAATCTTCCCGTCTGAATTTAAGAATACACCTACACTGGGCAGAAAAAGGTGGGGGAGAGGAAGTAGAAGTAGAGGAAAAGCACAACTCCACTGGCTTCAATCAAACTGAGGTAACTAATTAGAGACAGAAAATAAATAAATCAACAAATGCCCCATTTTTGTTTTCCAAAAAAGATCACTGGCAACTAACAATTTTAAAGTTGATCCATTAATATATTTTTAAATAGAAAAAAGTTTGTATATCATATATATCATAATTCCATTTATCTAATACACTCCTCTGCTGAGATATTTAACACATCTTCATCTGTACTCTCTTCTATCTCTGGCAAGTTGCCCCGAAGTAGGACGTTTACACCTGAAAATAAAAAGTCATAAAATTCTTTAATGCTTACTACTGTTATAACTCAGAACACAAATTACGAAACTTTATATGTTAATATTCTTATGTAAACCATAGTGTTAGCAGTAAAAAGAGTAGCTATTGAAGAATGTACTGCAAATAAAATTACCTAATATTATCCATCTAGGACATAAACTTTATTTATTTATTTTGAGAGAAATTCTCTCTGTGTTGCCCAGGCTGGAGTGCCTGGCAGGATCACGGTTCACAATCACAGATCACTGCAGCCTGAACCTCCAGGGCTCAAGTGATCCTCCTACCTCAGCCTCCCAAGTCACTTGGACTACAGGCGTGTACTACCACACATGGCTAATTTTATTTTGTAGATACAGGTTCCCACTATGTTGCCCAGGCTAGTCTCAAACTCCTGGGCTCAAGCAATCCTCTCTCCTTGACCTCCCAAACTGTTGGGATTACAGGCATGAGCCACCATGCCTGGCAAACACTTTTTTTTAAAGGGCTAGGACATAAACATTCTTTAAATCCTTTTAAGCAAGGGCTTGAATTCTAGAATTTTACAGCTCAAAAGGCTCTCAGGAGTCCATTTACTCAAACTCTGCCTCCAGCTGCATTATAACATAATCACTATACACTGATAATTTTCTGATCTATTTTAATGATGTTTAAGAATGGAGATCTCACAAGATCCTTTTAGATTAAATGCCTCTTTGGAGGGTTCAGGGAGAAGTCCTGAATAAGTCTCCTCATCCCTTCAATAAGCAGAGAAGTAGCTGGTGCCATTTTTCTGATTCAGAAAAAAAGCAAGGGTTCGGAGCCAGTTATAATATGAACTGCAATCCTTGGTACCAGTGGGTTTCAGTCCACAGGCAGAGCTTTAAACTGAACTTTAGGGCCAGGTTGCAGCAGTCACTATAATAAACAAAAGAATAATCAAAAACTTCACTGAGAAAGAATAGTCAGATTTCATATTGAAGAATGAAGCACAGGTATACAGTAAATGACTAAACATACAGTAGAGGATAATGACAAGTTTATTACTCTGGGCATATATTACATTATTAGTTAAAAGCACTAAATGGAAAATAACTGACCTCTAGGATAGCCAATTAACTTCACAAGAAAAGCAAATCTTTTTTTTTTTCTTTTTGAGTCAGAGTCTCGCTCTATTGCCCAGGCTGGAGTCGAGTGGTGTAATCTTGGCTCACTGCAACCTCTGCCTCCCAGGTTCAAGTGATTCTCGTGCCTCAGCCTCCCGAGTAGCTGGGACTACAGGCGAATGCCACCATGCCTGGGTAATTTTTGTATTTTTAGTAGAGATGGGGTTTCACCACGTTGGTCAGGGTGGTCTTGAACTCCTGACCTCAGGTGATCCCCCTCGCCTCGGCCTCCCAAAGTGCTGGGATTACAGATGTGAGCCACCACACTTGGCCAGAAAAACAAATCTTAAGCTGTCCAGTTATCAGTGTGGACACAAAGAGGATCCAGCAATTCAGGATACCCACCCCATATACACTGAGATAGCAGCCACATGGCGGAATGGAATGAGCCAGGATTTGGAGATTTGGTTTGAATCCAGTGTTCACCACTGCTAGTACACCATGCATGGTTTTACTACAAATGCATGCAACATAGACAATATATATTACTGTTTAGTGGATTTAAATTTTGTATAGAATGTTATTACACTACATATTGTTTTCTAATTTGCTTTTTCACTCGTCATGTTTTTGAGGTTAATCCATGTTAACTTGTGTAGATTTCGCTCATTTATTTTTACTTCTGGAGAGTATTCCATTTTGTGAATTTTTAAAAATGTTGCAAATACAGCCCATTGCTCATCCCTTCCTCAGCTGCCCATCTTGCATAGGTGGTTCAAGGCGACATGCACAGGGATGTGTAGTGTGACATTGTTGAAACAGTAGAAATAATTAACTGTTTACCTTGACTGAGGGAGATACTGGAATCTAATCTGGCAAGAATTTAGCATGTATCTGATGCTGGTAGGGATACAGATGTGTATCTTATTATTTTCTATAATCTTTTCGTGTTTGAATTGTTTATAATAGAAAACGCTACCCCATCCCCACCCCCACCCTAAGAATGAATGGTGTTCTGCTCCAGGTAAATGTCATGGAAGAGCTGACAGGAAGAGCTGTAAGGAATTGCGAGGCAAAAATCAAAGTGAAAATTAGAACCCATAAATGTAAATGGAGGGCTGAAGCCATTTTGACTCTGAGGGCATTTGCCAATTTCAGGAAATTTGAGCTGAGGTTTCCCAAGGCTCCTCCAGAAAGTTCTGGGAAATCAGGTCTCTAAATGAAGACTAGCCTAGAAAACAGACCTCCAGGAGTCCTTTTCAGTTTAAACATTATAGAATTTATAAAGCTTGTCTATGCATTCCTTTGACACTGCTGGTTCAGGTGATTCAAGGACAGTTGTGGCGCCATTAGAAACTTGCTTTGATACCAAGCATCTAGAAAATCTTGCTTGAAATCACAATATTAGGGTTACAAAGCAGAAGCTTGATATTCTTGGAGTCAGTACTCAGAGACATGAAGCAGCTCAGCACAATTGGTTCAAAGGAGGAAAAATAAACTAAGAGATTGGATCTGACAGAAGCAGCACCTTCCTTTCTCTGTTAAGAAGGGAGGAAGGAAATCCTGTGATACATCTGTTTCTTATGGATTAGATTCAGTGCAAATGGAAGAATGCGGGGCTTTTATCTTTGAAAAATTGACCAATATTAAAAAGTAAATCAAACTTGAAAAATCTCCACCCTGTGTTTTGAATTCTGTAAAGCAGGAAAAATACTATCAAAGCAGAAACTTCCTTTAATGTGTCCCATGGGCAACACAAATATAAAACTGGAGGCTTAAATTAGGAGACTGTATCCCACTTAGGGGAGTTCAGATAAGTCCTTACATGAAAATGGCCTTCTTAACATACCAAAGTTTTAAATTAAGACCCCATAAATGATAGATTGAGAGCCACAGTTGAGTCCCAGATAAAAAAATCAAATCTACAAAAATCTAAGCATAATTGGAGGATTTAAAGACCCTTGACAACCTAGCTTGCAATTCGTGATCTTTTGGTCTGTGAAGGCAAATCATATATTTAAAAAATACATTTAAGTTCTAAAGGAGACTAAAACATGCATTTAGGAACCTAAGAATGCTAGTGTCAACTTAGATTGTCAAGTTACTTAAAGTCGGCTGGCGAGGTGTCTCAGGCCTGTAATCCCAGCCCTTTGGAGGCCAAGGTGGGCAGATCACTTGAGGACAGGAGTTCGAGACCAGCCTGGGCAAAATGGCAAAAACTGGTCTCTATGAAAAATACAAAAAATTAGACAGGGATGGTGGCACACACCTGTGGTCCCACCTATTGAGAAGGCTGAGGTGGAAGAATGGCTTGAGCCTGGGAGGTCGAGGCTGCAGTGAGCCAAGATTGTGCCACTACACTCCAGCCTGGGTGACAGAGCAAGACCCTGTCTCCAAAAAAAAAAAAAAAGTTCCTTAAAATCAACTTGGTCTGTTGTGTAAATAGATGTTAGACATGGAGAACATGTGTCTTATAACAAAACTCAATGGCTCCAGGCAATATAAAAAGTATTATATAAATCCCCTTTAAAAATTGGTACTTTGGCCGGTGCAGTGGCTCACACCTGTAATCCCAGCACTTTGGGAGGCTGAGGTGGGCGGATCACCTGAGGTCAGGAGGTCGAGACCAGCCTGGGCAACATGGCAAAACCCCGTCCCTACTAAAAATACAAAAATTAGCCAGGTGTAGTGGTGCGCACCTATAATCCCAGCCACTCAGAAGGCTGAGGCAGGAGAATCACTTGAACCCGGGAGGTGGAGGTTGCGGTGAGCCGAGATCACGCCACTGCTCTCCAGCCTGGGTGACAGAATGACTCCATCTCAAAAAAAAAAAAAAAAAAAAGGTACTTCAGGCCAGGCATGGTGACTCACGTCTGTAATCCCATGTAATCCCAGCACTTTGGGAGGCTGAGGCAGGCGGATCCCCTGAGGTCAGGTGTTCAAGACCAGCCTGACCAACATGGTGAAACCCTGTCTCTACTAAAAATACAAAAAAATTAGCTGGGCGTATGCCTGTAATCTCGCTACTCGGGAGGCTGAGGCACGAGAATCGCTTGAACCCGGGAGGCAGAGGCTGCCATGAGCCAAGATGACACCATTGCACATCAGCCTGGGAAACAAGAGTGAAACTCTGTCTCAAAAAAAAAAAAAAAAGAATTAGTATTTCAGTGCCTCAGCACCTTAACACAAGGAAAAAGAAATTTTTTTTTTTAAAAGAATTGGTAGTGTACTTTCTTACTAAAATAATTTTTTTTTTTTTTTTTTTTGAGACAGGGTCTCACTCTGTTGCCCAGGCTGGAGTGCAGCGGTGCCACCTCGGCTTACTGCAACCTCCACCTCCTAGGTTCAAGGGGGGTTTCATCATATTGGCCAGGCTGGTCTCGAACCCCTGACCTCAAGTGATCATCTGTCTTGGCCTCCCAAAGTGTGGGATTACAGGTGTGAGCCACCATGCCTGGCCTTGCTAAAATAATTAGTATAAGCATACCTCAATTGTGCTTTAGTTTATTGTACACCATAGACACTGGGCTTTATATAAATGGAAGGTTTTGGCAATCCTGCATTGAGTAAGTCTAACAGCATATGCTTACCTTGTGTCTGTTACATTTTGATAATTCTCTCAATATTTCAACCTTTTTCATTATTATTATATATATTATGGTGATCTGTGATCTTTGATGTTACTGTTATAATTGTTTCAGGGTGCTATGAACCACACCCACTTAAGACCACACCCACTTAAGACTGCAAACTTAATCGATAAATATTTTGTGTGTTCTGACTGCTCCACTGACCAGCTGTTCTCGCTCTCTTTCCTGGGGCCTCCCTATTTCCTAAGATACAACAATATTGAAATTGGGCCAGTTAATATCCCTACAATGACCTCTAAGTGTTCAAGTGAAAGAGAGTGGCATGTCTCTCACTGTAAATCAAAAGCTAGAAATGATTAAGCATAGTGAGGAAGACATATTGAAAGCTGAGACAGGCTGAAAGTTGGGCCTTTTATGCCCAATTGTTAGCCAACTTGTGACTGCAAAGAAAAGTTCTTAAAGGACATAAGAAGTGCTACTCCAGTGAAAACAAGAATAAAAAAGTGAAATAGCCTTATTGCTGATATGGAGAAAGTTTTAGTGACCTAGATAGAGGATTAAACCAGCCATGATATTCTCTTAAGCGAAAACCTAATCCAGAGCTAGGTCTTAACTCTCTGCAATTCTATGAAGGGCAAGAAAGTTGAGGAAACTGTAGAAGAAAGTTTGAAGCTAGCAGAGGTTGGTTTATAAAGTTTAAGGAAAGAAGCCATTTCTATAACATACAAGTTCAGGTGAAGCAAAAAGTGCAGATGTAGAAGCTGCAGCAAGTTATCCAGAAGATCTAGCTAAGATTATGGATGAAGGTGGCTACACTAAACAACAGATTTTTCTTTTCTTTTCTTTTTTTTTTTTTTGAGATGGAGTTTCACTTTTGTTGCCCAGGCTGGAGTGCAATGGCGTGATCTTGGCTCACCGCAACCTCCGCCTCCCGGGTTCAAGCCATTCTCCTGCCTTAGCCTCCCAAGTAGCTGGGATTATAGGCATGCGCCACCATGCCCAGCTAATTTTGTATTTTTAGTAGAGACGGGGTTTCTCCATGTTGGTCAGGCTGGTCTCGAACTCCCAACCTCAGGTGATCTGCCCGCCTTGGCCTCCCAAACTGCTGGGATTACAGGCGTGAGCCACCGCGCCCGGCCTCTTATTCCTTTTTTTTTTCAGATGGAGTTCCACTCTTGGTGCAATGGTGCGATCTCGGCTCACTTCAAACTCCACCTCCTGGGTTCAAGTGATTCTTCTGCCTCAGTCCCCCAAGTAGCTGGGCATGTACCACCACGCCCAGCTAATTTTTTATTTTTAGTAGAGGCAGAGTTCTACTATATTGGTCAGGCTGGTCTTAAACTCCTGACCTCAGGTGATCCATCCACCTCGGCCTCCCAAAGTCCTGGGATTATAGGCGTGAACCACTGCATCCGGCAGAGATTTTTAATATACACAAAACAGCCTTCTATTGGAAGGAGATGCCATCTAGGACTTTCATAGCTAGAGAGGAGAAGTAATACTTGGCTTCAAAGCTTCAAAGGACAGGCTGAATCTCTTGTTAGAGGATAATGCAGCTGGTGACTTTAAGTTGAATCCAATGCTCATTTACTGTTCCGAAATTTCTAGGGTTCTTAGGAATTATGCCAAATATACTTTGCCTGTGCGCTGTCAATGAAACAACAAAGCCTGGACGACAGCAAATCTGTTTACAGCATGTTTTACTAACTATTTTAAGCCCATTGTTAAGACCTACTGCTCAGAAAAATCCCTTTGAAAATATTACTGTTCATTGACAATGCACCTAGTCACTCAAGAGCTCTGATGGCATTGTACAAGGAGATAAATATTGCTTTAATGCCTTAACATAACATCTATTTGGCAGCCCATGGATCAAGAAGTAATTTAATCTTTCAAGTCTTATTATTTAAGAGATAGATTTCATAAGGCTATAGCTGCCATAGATAGTAATTCTTCTGATGGATCTGGGCAAAGTACATTGAAAACCTGGAAAAGCACATTCCTGATTCATGGGAGGAGGTCAAAATATCAGTCTTAACAGGAGTTTGAAAGAAGTTGATTCCAACCCTCATGGGTAACTTTGAGAGGTTTTAGACTTCAGTGGAGGAAGTAACTGCAGATGTGGTAGAAATAGCAAGAAAACTACACTTAGAAATGGAGCCTGAAGACGTGACTGCATTGCTGCAATCTCATGATGAAACTTTAATGGATGAAGAGTTGCTTTTTATGGATGAGCAAAGAAAATGGTTTCTTGAGGTGAAATCTACTCTTGATGAAGATGCTGTAAATATTGTTGAAATGAAAACAAAGGATTTAGAATATTACATAAACATAGTTGGTAAAGTAGTAGCAGAATTTGAGAGGATTGACTCCAATTTTGAAAGAGGTTCTACTATGTGTAAAATTCTATCAAATGACATCACATGCTACAGAGAAATCTTTTGTGAAAGGAAGAGTCAATCCATGCGGCAAACCTCATTGTTGTCTTATTTTAAGAAACTGCCACAGCCATCCTAACCTCCAGCAACCACCACCCTGATCAGTTTGCAGTCATCAACATCAAGGCAAGACCCTCCACCAGCAAAAAGATTATGACTTGCTGAAGGTTCAGATGATCATTAGCAGTTTTTAGCAATAAAGCATTTTTTTTTTCTTTTTTGAGACAGGGTCTCATATTGTTGCCCAGGCTGAAATGCACTGGCATGATCACAGCTCACTGCAGCCTCTACCTCCCAAATTCAAGTGATCCTCCCACCTCAGCCTCCTGGGTAGCTGGGACGATAGTATGCCCCACGATGCCTGGATAATTTTTGTATTTTTTTTGTAGAGATGAGGTCTCAGCATGCTGCCCAGGCTGGTCTCAAACTCCTGGGCTCAAGTGATCCTCCCGCCTTGGACTACCAAAGTGCTGGGATTACAGGCATGAGCCACTGCTCTCGGCCGAATAAGTATTTTTTGATTAAGGTATGCACGTTGTTTTTTAAATGTCCTGCTATTGCACACTTAATAGACTACAATATATTGTAAACATAACTTTTATACACACTGGGAAACCAAAAAATTGTGTGACTTGCTTTAATTGTGATATTTGCTTGCTTTATTATGGTGGTCTGGAATTGAACCTACAATATCTCCACTTGTGCCTGTACAACATACTTTATACTTTGGTGTCAAATATTTCCCTTGACTAAAATTCTGTCATAACGTATTAACATAGATGTCGAAATGTCTGTTTTTATTCTGAAGCATCACCAAATACAGAGGTTACTTAGTCCTCCTCCTCTCAACTCCCATTGCCCTAGGCCTGGCCTCTCCCTTTCTTACACACACACACAGACACACACATGCATTAGACTATCAAATCTAAAATCTTCAAAAATTCTCTGGAGTCAGAATATGTATCAAGGCAGCAGTTAAGAGCAATTATAATATTCATTTTAAAAGACCAAGAAATTCAGCCAAGTTTGAGGCCTTAAGTACAAGGATGAACATAGAAATGACAATGAATTTTGCCTAATAGTTTTCATAAGTGAATGTCTGGGAAAAAAGAATTGAAGTTTCACTCTAGCTAATCCAGCTAAGAAGATCTAAAAGGAATCCTGAAATGATCTATTGGGAATTTTACTCAGGTATTGATAGAGAAATGTTACAGGAATGTCCAAGTCAATTGTTTCTTACCTGTGGAGTCTAGTCTGTTAATATCATAAACTGCCTGGCTGTGAAACATCCAGAAGTGTCTGTTGTTGCAGGAAAGAAGACAGGAACTACATGGAACAATCACATGATAACCTACAATGTTCCCACTAGAAAAGAAAGTAAATGTTACTAGATACCATGTAATAACTAGCCAGATAAGTCTTTTCATATTGCTTATATAAATAGACCATATAATTTAGATCTCATTTCCTAACAACTTTCATTGCTGAGATCTTTGGGATGGGATGGGGGTGCAGTTCTACCATCAAGTGGGAAAGCAGTCTTTAAGTGAATAATAGTAAAATATTCTCACATTTCTTTGCTATTATTATTATTATTATTATTATTATTATTATTATTATTATTGAGACCGAGTTTTGCTCTTGTCACCCAGGCTGGAGTGCCTGCAACCTCCGCCTCCCAGGTTCAAGTGATTCTCCTGCCTCAGCCTCCAGAATAGCTGGGATTACAGGCGTGTGCCACCATGCCCAGCTAACTTTTGTGTTATTAGTAGAGATGGGGTTTTACCATGTTGGCCAGGCTGGTCTCGAACTCCTGACCTCAGGTGATCCACCTGCCTTGGCCTCCCAAAGTGCTGGGATTACAGGCATGAGCCACCATGCTTGTCCTGCTAGTATTATTTTATGCATTCTCCCTTCAGAAGTTAGCTTCTAGATGCCATAATGTTGTGATTTGTTTTATAAACCACCCAAATTGATGTGCTGTACAGACAAAATAAATTAAATTAACTCAGTTCTGTGGGTAAAGGTTTTTGCTATCCCAGGACTGTGGCAAGTTGGGTTCTTACATGTTCTAGTTTCATGCCAGCACCTAAAAACTGTTTCAACAGATGGAGAGGTAGGAAGACAGCATGAGTCCCTGTAAACCAAATACAATCTGGCTGCTCTAATTTTAGTCTCAGTGTTTTTGAAGGAACTCAGAAATAAAGCAATCTACAGCCTCCAGAGAAAGTTGCAAAAGTTTTTACAGTTTTCAGAATTATCCAGCTGATTATAAGTACCTCAGTCTTTCACATTTTTTTTTTTTAACTAGCTAGTCACATATTAAATAGAGTGAACCTACAGGGAATGTTTTAGCTAGTACTTTAAAAAAAATAGCAACATGAACTGTTTATACCTTGAGTTGTAAAAATTCTTATTCAAGCTTAGTCTTACTCTGTGAGATTTGTGAGTCAGTCATTTTTATGAGACCCAATAAAGATTACTATAAAAGGTACCATTCCACCTAAAATATGTCTTCTAATTATAACTTGCTTGAAAGGCAAACAAATGAAAACAAAAGTTGTGTTTGGACTAGGAGTGCCAGTTATTTGTAAGACTATATTGCAAAAGTAAATTCCATGACTTTAATTACCGCCTATATTCATTCATTCATCCATTGATTCATCACTTAAACTAACATTTATTGAGTATCTGCTGTCTTTCAGGCACTGCTCTAGGTGCTAGGAATACACTGGTAAACAAAACAAAGCCCTTGTTGTCACGGAGCTAACAGTCTAGCGAGGCTACATCAGATCATTCTGCTCCCTGGTTAAAACCTCTTCAATAGCCAAAAATGAAAATAAAAACCTTTCCATACCAAGGTCCAGATCTATGCTGTCAAGAATAATAGCCACTAGCCACATGTGGCTGTTGTACACTTGCAGTGGGGCTGGCCTGAATTGAGATGTGCTGTTAAGTGTAAAATGTACACCAGATTTCAAAGAGTAAGACCAAAAAATGGAATATAAAATATTACATTAGTAGTTTATGTTGGTTACATGTTGAAATAATATTTTGGATACATTGGGTTAGACAAAATATATGATTAAAATTAACTTTCCTGTTTTGGTTTTCTTTTGAAAATGTTGTTCTTCGGGTGCGGTGGCTCATGCCTGTAATCCCAGCACTTTGGGAGGCTGAGGCGGGTGGATCACTTGAGGTCAGGAGTTCGAGACCAGCCTGGCCAACATGGCGAAACCCCACCTCTACTAAAAATACGAAAATTAACTGGGCATGGTGGCATGTGCCTGTAGTCCCAGCTACTCGGGAGGCAGAGGTGAGAGAATCACTTGAACCCAGAAGACGGAGGTTTCAGTGAGCCAAGATGATGCCATTGCACTCCAGCCTGGGCAACAGAGCAAGACTCCGTCTCAAAACAAAACAAAAAAAATGTCGTTGCCCAGGTGCGGTGGCTCACACCTGTAATCTCACACTTTGGGAGGCCGAGGCAGGTGGATCACTTGAGGTCAGGAGTTTGAGACCAGCCTGGCTAACATGGCGAAATCCTGTCTCTACTAAAAATACAAAAATTAGCCGGGTGGGCTGGGTGCGGTGGCTCACGCCTGTAATCCTAGCACTTAGGGAGGCCAAGGCAGGCGGACTGCCTGAGCTCAGGAGTTTGAGAGCAGCCTGGGCAACACGGTGAAACCCTGTCTCTACTAAAATATGAAAAATTAGCTGGGCATGGTGGTGCGTGCCTGTAGTCTCAGCTACTCAGGAGGCTGAGGCAGGAGATTCGCTTGAACCTGGGAGGCGGAGGTTGCAGTAAGCTGAGATCGTGCCACTGCACTCTAGCCTGGGCGACAGAGCAAAACTCCGTCTTAAAAAAAAAAAAAAAAAAAGAAAGAAGAAAATAATGTCCAAAGGCCAGTGACTTCATCTAGTTTTTGTTGTATTTCCAGCCCTTGTAACAATGACTACCACATACTAGTTCCTCAATACAAGTATAGCTTAAATAAAGGAATGAAATCAAATAGCACATAAGAAGAGCTTGCCAATTTAAATTATTAGGATTGTCATTTATAATACAAACCCCTTCTAAATACAAACCCCATCTAAATGAGAAAATTTCAACTTTTATCCTCCTAAAATGAAAATAATAACACGTCTACTTCTCAAAAGATTATAGTAATAGCTCTCAGCTGTTGTAATTTATAGTTTATTGAGCACTTTAACATTCATATTTGCTCTTTATAATAACTTGATAAGGTAAACACAGAAGATTATTAAATTTCTATCTTAATAAGACAGAATGGCTGGGTGGGGTGGCTCATGCCTGTAATCCCAGCACTTTGGCAGGCTGAGGCAGGCGGATCACCTGAGGTTGGGAGTTCAAGAGCAGCCTGACCAACATGGAGAAATCCTGTCTCTACTAAAAAAAAAAAAAAAAAAATTAGCTGGGCATGGTGGTGCGTGCATGTAATCCCAGCTACTCAGGAGGCTGAGGCAGGAGAATCACTTGAACCTGGGAGGTGGAGGTTGTGGTGAGCTTAGATCGCGCCATTGCACTCCAGCCTTGGCAACAAGAGCAAAAACTCCTTCTCAAAAAAAGAAAGAAAGAAAGAAATTAAGGTAGGATGCAGTGGCTCATACCTGTAATCCCAGCCTTTTGGGAAGCTGAGGAGAGAGGATCACTTGAGGCCAGGAGTTTGAGATCAGCCTGGGCAACATAGCAAGACCCTATTGCTACAAAAATAAAAAACTTAGCCAGGCCTGGTGGTGCCTGCCTGTAGTCCCAGCTACTCAGGAGGCTGAGGTAGGAGAATCACTTGAGCCCAGGAGTTCAAGGCTACAGTGAGCTATGATCATGCCACTGCACTCCAGCCTGAGCAACAGTATGAGACCCCTCTAAAAACAAAGAAAGAAGGAGTAATAACCTAGAAATTAAATAAGAAAACAGAGGTTCAGCAGTTTAGAGGCTAAAGGAGTTCACTCAAGGTCACATAGAGAGTAAGGGTAGGGTCAGACCTCAAACATGATTTTTATTATTGTAAATCCAGGTGTTTCTCCCCCCTAACCTACATTGCCTTGTTCTGAAAATTGAAGCGGATACTGTGAATACACTTTGAAAACTGTAAAATTATATACTAATGTGAAGCATCAGAAAACCCTTTTAAAAAATAGCTCTAAGTAATAAGTAATTTTTCAATGGCTCATTGCATGCTTTATACCAGTCCTTGTTGCAGCCCACTGAACCTTTCTCTATGCTTTGGTGTCAATATCCATCTTCCAAACCCAGAGCTATCCAGAATAGTGCCACAAATTACCATTTTAAACATGCGATGTCCTTCAGTTTACATTTGCAGATTTTGGTGAAATAGCATCTTCCAGTGAAGTCCACTGCGCTGGAGAGAGAAAGGTATAAAAAGACAGTCAGATGTACTTTACAAAAAATTTAATTGTGGCAAAAAATTAACAAAATTTACCAACTTAACAAGTTTTATGTGTGCAGAGCAGATGTGTTAAATATAATCACATTGCTGTGTAATGAATCTCCTGGGTTCAAGTGACCCTCCTACCAGAGTTTCCTGAGTAGGTGGAACTATAGGCGCCCTATACCACATTTTGTTTATCTGTTCATCTGTAGAATCAATGGACATTTGGATTGCTTCCACCTCTTGGCTATTGTGAATAATGCTGTTAATGAACATGGGTGTGCAAATATCTCTTCCAAGATCCAGTTTTGAATTCTTTTGGATATGTACCCAGAACTGCTGGATCAGATAGTAATTCTACGCTTGATTTAGCACAAATTTTGTCAATCCAAAGAGCTGAAAGCTAACATAGAAGTATAGTATATTTTTAAAGAGTCAGTTCATATTTGTGAGCTCAACATAAACATCTGACAAATTTTCCATTAAAAAAATTTTTATGTGTTCATTGATTCACATACATCTTAGCACGCTAATTCATTATTATTTTAACCCCTACAAAGAAGGGTAGAAAATAGGAAAAACATGATTCTATTCTAGACTTGGGTCTAACCTGTAACAATTCACCTAGCCTTCCTTATGACTGCCCTATTACTTACCATAGCTATTGCAAAGATGAATGGGTTAATATTTTAAATTTGTGTATGAGCTACTAAAAAGAAAAAGCAGTGGACAATGAATCACAGAACTTTGTAGCAGTAGGTTCTATGATTTATTTTCTAGTGTTTTCCCTTTTTTGAAATACATATACGATGTACACACACACAAATGTAAAATATTAACTTAGAATTTAAAAAAATTAAAAAGATTTTAAAATAACACATTTATCTCTGCAATAAATGAGAGCCTTTGGCTTTGCTGTTAGACGTGATTACACTTAGACCAATTCAGAAAAGATTTCAAGAAAGGAAGAGTACACAGCTTTACCTGGGTAAATCAAAAAACTTGTAAAGTTTCTATCATTATCATGAAATTCATTTAAAATGAATTGTGGTTATTAACCTGCTTCCTCTGGCTCTATATCCAAAGACTTAGAGAATAACTGTCCACTCATATTTTGGATAATTACTTTCCTTTTAATAATAAAATTTCAATAAATAACTAAATTTTGAAGATTCATGTAGGGCATATATATGTTGATTATGGAAAGGGAAAGTACCATTTAGAGCTAGAAAGAGGTTTATTTGAGTCAAATAAAATGGCTATTTTACCAAATAGGAAGCAAATTCTTAAGGACTCTACACCCAAAAGCAGTTAGTGGCTGAAAACAAACAGATTTTAAAAGGGTTCAATTATGGGAACAAATGTGTAATGTCCAAAATAGTCTTTATTGGAGATAAGGATTAAGGCTAAGTCTCTATTTTTCATCCCATAAAAATCTATTTACATCTCTTTCAGAGAGAGAGAGTTTTGAGGAAAGAAAACTGAATTTGATGAACAACGGATCTGATTTAGGATGCCAATTGCAAATAATGATAGAAAACGGATTTTTTTTTTTTGGTGCAAAATTTCATGGATAAAAATGAAAAACTTAAATGACCTCTCCTCTCCAACAGTACAGAAAATTTTGCCTGAATTTACCTAAAGTCTACGCCACGGACTTGATTCAGTGAAATAGGATGGTTGGGCAGGGCACTGAACCAGGGATCAAACTTAAGAGATGTGTGGTCGCATGACTGCAATTGAACTAGAAGCATTACATCAGGACTGACCACCTTGGCTAAACCATAGACTTTGTCCAGACAGTCTGCCCACTTAGATATATTACAAGGGGATCATCAAACTGGTGGGAGTGGCTGAAACACCGAAATGATAACCTCCTTGTTGACTCCCACAGATCCAAGCCATAAGTGTTCCCATTTAGTTAAAAGCTACCGTTGCCCGCCACTAGCATGACTTACTTGGTAGGAGGGATGTCTGTAGAGAAAAGGTCTATTTCAGTATCAGCCAGCAAAACAGCCTTCATTCCCCTAGAGCTGAGCACTTGTTTACAGAATTTGCAACACAGGATGGACACGCACCTGTCCTTGAAACTACAAATGTTGGTGGACATGGCGTCGCAGGAAGGATGAGGTGTGGGATTTTGAAAAAGGAAACAAGAGTAATGCTCCTACTATTTTGATTCCCCTAGGCTAAAATTCAAATTGCGGGACCTAGAGCTTTTCTAAGTCCTAATATTGGGAAGGAAATTAGTTTTTTTTTCTGTTTTCCCGGTGGCGGAGTAGAAGAAGTATTTATTGAGTAGGAACAGGGGAGCGTGGTAAACTTGGCTTTCCTTTTAACTTTTGGAGAAGGGAGTGGAGTTTGAATTGGAGAGGAGGCAGGTGGAGTTTGAAGGGAACTTCTCAACGGCTTTCCCTTTCTGCTGTCTAAAGGAGTCCTCTACACTTCAGCTCCCGCCCCTTCATAGCAATTCCCTCAGCCTTCTCCGATCGTCTAATTTAAAGCTTCTCCTCTTTTAAGACATCCCTTCCCCAGCATTAAGCCCCTCCCCCGGAGCGCTCCGGTTCCCTGCTGTCGGATCTCGGGCTAAGCGTCCCTACCCACGCCTCCTCTTCCCAGGATTCAGAAACTCCCTTCTCTTTTTCTGCCAGGCGATCCCGGATTCTCCTCCGTCCCGCCCCTTTTCTCCCGGACCTTCCTCCGCTCTGCGGGTCCGCGGGCCCCTCTCCTGGCAACCCCCGGCCCTCAGCGTGCTCGCGCTGTTTCTCTCGCGTCCTCCCTTCCCTCAGCTGTCCCTCGTGCCCCCCGCAGTCCCCTCAGGTTTCTTCCCGGAGCGGCTGTTCCCGGGCGCGCGGTGGTGTTGGTGGGGCAGAGCTGAAGTCGCTTTAGAGGCTCAGTCGGCGCTGGGGTCTGTCACCGAACACGTTGGTTTTCGCTCCCTCTTCCGCTTTTCCTGCCTCTCCAACCCGGTATCAGTTTGAATTGCCAGCGCCGCGCACCGATTGGAAGAACTAGAGTTAGCCCCAGTCCCTCATTGGAAGGCTCCGGGGCCTCCCCTCACGAGAGCTTAGTGGCTTGAAGACCGTAGGCACCGCCCCAGTAACGGTGCTGAGATCAATTCGGCTTTCTGGTCGGCTGAGCTTGGCTCCGCCTCCGATCTCATTGGCCGGCTTCGGGAGGTTTCGGCAAACCCTGCTTTAGCCCTAGTGAAAGTGGCAAGGCACGCCCTTCCCGCTTCTTATTGGAAGAGGGTCTACAGTCTCCACCGGTCTCTACTCTTTATTGGTTAAAATTCCCCGCAACACCCCTCCTCTCTACCCCGGCCCAATTGGCCGTGCCTCAGCTCAAGAGTTTGTGTTTGGTCGTCGGTTCCACCTTAATCCCGCCCATCAGTTCTACTTAGGGGTTCAACAACCCGGGGTGGAGCTTAATCTGTGACCACGCCTCGGCAGTGCTAGTCACACCTCCAAGTTTTGCCAGCTCCTCCCCCTCATTCCGGGCCTCTCGGGATCAGCTCTTCCTATTGGCTATGGGCCCCATCGGTCGATAGAAAACGGGCGGTGATTGGTAAAGGGGTGGGCTCTACTTCCCGGCGGGGTCCTGCGGAGTTGGCGGAGGCTCCTCCAGGGACTGGGGCACAGATCTGCGTAGAAACGGGTGGCGGGGAAGAGAGGGGAGGAGAGCTCTGAGTGGGAAGCGGAGCCGGGGGCCTGGGACCCGTCGCGTCAGAGCCAGGTAAAGGCTCCTTCCCTCTTCCTTTTCTTCCTCCCGGCCGCCGGGCTGGAGCCCTGACTGAACAAACCCGGGCTGGGGCGGGAAGGAGAGGGCGCGGATGCTGCTCGCGGCATCGCCTTAGCGGTGCCGCCCGGAATCCCTCAGACCGCCCCTCCTCCACCCTCTCCAAATCTCCCAGTACAGCCCATAATACTTCTCAGGACTGCGAGTCTCTCCGCCCATCACTGTACAGCCTGGGACTCTGTCCTGGCTCACGGACCGCAGCGCAGCCGGCACCCAGCCGCCTCTCCCTTTCCTCCGCACACGGGCAGCCGCGGTCCACCGTAGGGCAGTCGTCGTTGGCATCGCGCGTAATCATCGGCCGGCCTCCTCCAGTGTCTCCCAGCCCTGGCGGACAGCCCGGGTCCCAGCCTAGGACCCAGGAGGATGGGTGTTCCGCGCAGCTTCCGGGGCTCTCCCCGAGTCCCACCCCCCGGCCCGCCCCGATGGACTTCTCTTCGCCCACTCCCATCCCTAGACCACATCTCGGCCCCCACAGTTCCTGACATCCTTGCGCTTCACGCAACATCGCGGCCCATGATCATGCCCCAATTCCCCTCACCTCTAAGGCAGCCTTCTCCTTGCCGCCTCCCGCCTTCCGAGCGTGTGCAACTCCAGTTGTCCCCGGGCTCCCTTCCAGCCTCAGGACCCCATCTCACACCCGCCTCTCGCTTCCCGCTTCCCGCTCGCCTGAACCCCGCCGCCTCTGCTCCCTGTCTTGTTCCCTCAGCGTGGCCCCTTCCTCCAGCCGCGGGAAGTGGGAGACGCTAGCGGGAGCTTCCTCCTCCCGGCGCTCGGAGGAAAAGGAAAGACCAAGTAGAAAGGGTCGCCGCTGCGGCACGCGAGGGAGCTAGTCGCCGGGCTCCGCGCTCCCGCTTGCGTCCCTCCAGCCCCCTGGGCCTCGTCCGGGGCCGGATCTTCTCGGGCACCGCCTGGTGCGAGGAGTCAGGACTGCGACCTCACCGACCTCCTCCCATCCCCAGCCTGGGATTGGGTGGGATATCTGGGATCTCTGAGCTTGGGTGTCAAAAAAATATTGGGGGTGGCATTTATAGTCACTATCGTCCCTAGCTTGAGGGAGGCGACGGCTGCCTTCCGCTCGCCGCCCCCCGGTTTTCCCGGCTCCGACCCTATCCTCTAACCCGTTTCCTGCTTCAGCTGACCACATTGTTTTCCTGGATGTGTCCCGTGCCGAGCAGGCTTTTTCCTGCAGATTTGCCCCGCCCCCCCATCAACATTTTGCTGCCAAGAGAAGCTAGTAACCAAAAACAAAACAACTGGGAGGAGGGGCGGGAGAGGAAGAAAAGTTGTGCCCTGGTGGCTTGTCCCTCCCCGGCTTTGATCCCCTTTGATGTACAGGGAGGTGCCCCGGCCGGGGGTCTGGGGCCACGTCGGGGGCTAGGTCGGGAGGGCTCCCTCGGGCTGGCCGCTGCCCAGCGCTGGCGGGGCTCAGCAGGCCGCCGAGGTGCCGCATTCCCCGCCCGGTGCCCCGCGTTCCTGCAGTTCCCGCCCGGAGCCCGCGCAGGCGGCTGCTCCAAAGTGTTTTCTTTCAGCCTTAAAATCCGGAGGGAGCTTCCTTCCTCCCCACCTCGTAGCGCCAGGCTCTGCGGGCGGGGAGACGTTAAGCGGACAGGAATGGGCCCAGGGCGGGCTCGGAACGACGTCCCCTACCCCACCCCCGCCGCGATTAGGATCTGCGCTCTGGCTGATCGCCCCCTCCCCCTTTTCCTGCATTTACAGGCAAGTGAACCGGAGCAAACGACTTCCGATCCAGTCTGCGCTGTTGCGGCTCCCGTTTGGGATTTGATTTGCAGCATCTTTGAGCCTCTACGACAAAAAACCGCGAAGCACGCCCAGCCCTCCCCCGGCACCCCGAAAAGCACCCACTCCCTCCCGGGGACACAGCTGGGCGCGTCCACACCCCCGCAGCCCCACACCATGTTGTGCGGAAGGACTTCCACTCCCCGCCTGTGTCGTTGATGTCAGACCCCAGGCCAGCCTCCGGGCGCTGCAGTTCTCCCGGCTAATGCTGAGGCTGCGGCTCCGGCTCTAGCACAGGCACCAGCCGCCGCCGCACCCGGCCTCAGCGCCCACCGTCTGCATGTGCCCGCCGTAGCCGTCTGCCCAGCCCGCAGCCCGCGCTCCACGGAGCGCTGGAGACCACCGTGGGGGGCCCCTTCTGCCCTCGAGAGAAGCGGTCTTGGAGGTATTGATTTAGGTGGTTGGATTTTTTCCGTGGATCTATCAATTCACAATTCGAATTTGGAAGAAAGAAGGAAAACATGACGTCTCCAGCCAAATTCAAAAAGGATAAGGAGATCATAGCAGAGTACGATACTCAGGTCAAAGGTAAGGGTTTTGAAAAATAGCACACTGCAAATGCTCTGTGGACTGGTGAGGCGTGTATTTCCACCGTGATTTGCAGGTTGTTCATTTCTTTGGGTGGAGCAGATGGGGGCAGGCTGACCCCAGAGGTGGTTTCATAGATGGGTCTGAACCTCCAAAGGATGGGCAATGCCAGGGGGCCATTGACACTGGAAAGGAATTTTTGCAGTGGGCTGTAGGAGTATCTTTGTGGGGCTGACCATGATTTTGGCAGCCCTTTCCCCCCAAGCCGGGCAGGGTGGGGGGAGGGGCAGGAGGCTCTTAGAGAAAGGCAGTTTGCCTCCGGTTCTCTGGGTCAGGTTTCCTTGAAAGACAACTGAAATCTGACAGGTGTTTGGACATTTGTTTCAGAGATTGAAGAGGAGTCCAGACAGAAAGGCAACCTTGGGAAGGTGTACCATTTGGAGAGCCTTGGGAGAGGCGGGGTTTTTTGGATGCACTATATTAAAACATGAGATTTGCAATGGCATTGGCACCAAAAGTCCATTGCCACCTTGGGTGTACCTTGTACCTGCCTGGTCTCTGGTCGGCCTGCATACAATCAGAGATCAGAGAATAAGGCCACCCACGCCCGGTCTCCGCCCTCACCTAAATCTGAATAGAGTTGGGAGGATGTTAGGGTAGCCGGTTGGTGCTGATTCTGGAAAATGGGAAGACATAATTGTTTAACCCTTCTGTGCTGTGGCCCTCTGCTCCGGAAGACATGCTTTTAAAGCCCCATTTCCCTCTCCTGAAAAATGTGAAGGGTAAAGCAAAGTGTGGACTAGGAGAAACCAAGTGACCTGTCTTCTCATCTAGTCGACTGACTTGACTCATGAATAAGAGCCCTTACTCAGATAGCGTTTTTTAAACCAGCAATTCCCATAGGAAGGGTTCCTGCCTGTTAAAGAGCTGCAGCATGTGTTTGTGCAAGGCACTGTCCTTTCCTGGTCAGTCACTGGAAAGAGCCATGTGGCTCCAGCCCATTGAGACCTTAGCTGGGGAGTGGAAGAGGTGGGTGGCCTTGAATGTTACACCACATGGTTGGAGCTCTGGGTTTTCCTTTGTTTCAGAGTACAGAGGGAGGGGCCCCTCCTTTCCCTGCACCAGTGCAAGGAGACCTTTTCCTATCAGAGAGGACTTGGGAAGGGCCATGGCTCCCCTCTAATGATTGCTGGGGGGTGGGGGTAGGCGTAGAGTTTGAAATGGGCAGCTCCCTTATCTCTTGGAAGGTTGGAAGGTAGTCTGAAGTCCTCATTGTACCTACAGGATCTTTTTTATGTCATTAGTTTGGTCAGTGCTGGAGGTGCCCTAAGGGGCCTTCTATCCACTTGGCTGCAAATATTGGTAGGTTTATTACAGAGATGGGGGAGTTGACTGATTGATAGCTTCAGTTGAACTGGGATTGAGAGAGGTGTGGTTGTGAGTTATTATTGAGGTCTTGGCCTCTTGTCACTGTTCATAATCCAGGCCTGTTTTTGTAAACAATAGGCCACTGGCCTCCATGTCCTGTCCAGATGCATTGCATTTGCTCTTGGAATCCCCCCTGCAGTTTTAACCAGATATGTCTTTTTTTTTTTTTTTTTTTTTTAACACATCCTATTCTTAAACTGTTGCCATCGGGAGTGTTAATAACTTTGATCTTCCCAGATTTCTCTCCAGAAGCACGCCATTTGACTAAGGTGCAAAGTGACTTTAAATGTTTAATTTTTGGAAGGTTCAAGGCTGATAGGTGTTAATAGAACCATATCTGCCAATTTCTTATTGGCAAAGGATTTCTCAAGAGTGTCTCAAAATTAAACACTTTGGATATTTACAAACATTGCTCATTGAGATGAGGTAATGCAGTCGGCTATTTGGGTTCTCTCTTCAACCTTGCCACAAACAGACTATTTTGCTTTGCTCTGATATTTTCCCATTGATACTATTCAGGATCATAGAATTTTATAGGTGGCTGAGCATGATGTCTTACTCCGAGAAGGTGCCTGATGAATGCTTATGGAACTGATTTGAATAGTTTAGTCCTTCATTTTACAGCTGAGGAGAATACAGAGAACTGAAGAGGCTTGTCCAAGGTCACACGGCTAGATGGTGGCAGATCTGAAACTAGAAGCAGATTTACCAACTCTCAATTCTCTATTCTGTATCTTTACTATGAAACATCATCTGACCAGGGTGGAAAAAAATAAAAAATTCTTAAGGAGCCCAAATCTGTCAATGAATAATGATAGTAATAATGATAATGATAATAGATTACATTTTGGTTGCTCATTATGTTCCAGTCCATCCCAAGTGCTTTAAATGAATGGTCTGGTTTAATCCTTACCTCAACCCAGGGAATGGGTATTATTGTCACCTTCCATTCACCATATAAGGAAACTGAGGCTTAGAGAGGATGAGAAGCCCTTCCAAGGTCACACAGCCAAACCATGGCAGCTTGACTTCATTCCTTTATTCATTAACTATTTATTGAGTGCTTGCTGTGTGTTCTGGCGATTGGCCATACAGCTGTGAAGAAGAAAAAGTCTCTACCCTCGTGGAGCTTATATTCTGGAAGCTGGGCTCTCTATGGAACAGCACAGAATTTGGAGACAAAGGGCCTGCGATCTGGTTTGGCTCTGCCCCCCACTAGCTAGAAGCCCTGGGTCAGAATTATTATGAGTGTCAGCTTTTTGTGTGTTATATGGGACTCATGGTGCTGCCAGACTTCTCTTACAGATGCCAAGATAAAAAGAAAATTGCTGTAACAGCTATGCAGTTTGGTTTGGTTGTTAAGTGCAATTTTTAGAGTCAAAGTGATTCAGGTTTAAATCTTGGTTCTGCCAGTAGATAGCCTTTCACTTCAGGCAAGTTACATGACTTGTCTGAGCCTCAGTTTCCTTATTTGGAAAATGGGTAAAATAAAATACATTTCCTAAGATAGTAGTGAGTTGTTGATGAGATATATAAATTATTTAGAACAGTATCTTGCACTTGTAAGTGCTCAATAATGGTACGGTCTACTTCTCTGTGAGCCTTTCTTTTGCTGAATTGGGCTGACTATTGAGGCTGCATTGCATATTCACTCCCAAAGTGCCAGCTATTAAATGATAGGAAATAAGTAAGGAATGAAACTTAAGTTCTAGCTTAAGATCATTTAGTCGTAACAAAACATCTTGGGTCAGTCACTTAAACCCTCTGGACATCAGTTTCTTTTTCTGTCAGTGAACAAGTAAACTAATTATTGGCCACTGTGGTTCGGCCTGTCTTTGACCAGAGTCCCAGGTCCTGTTTTTTCAATCAGAATTGTTTGAGTCAAATGGACTCTAAATGGGACCCTCATCTCATGGGACTTTCTGGGACCCTACCTATCCCTTGATTTTTGCCTCCCTATAAACCACCTGCTTGCATGTGCCCTGAGGAACTCCTGAGGCTTCAGCCCCAACCCTACCCCAGAGTGGTTTTATGAGGGGTGTGCCTCCTTAGTCAGCCTGCCTTGTAGTGTCTTCTTAAAAACCATCATTGTTTCAGGTTTGTGGGTGCCCACATTCCTTGGAAAGTTCATGCCTCTCAATGTCTGACTTGAAAGCAATAATATTCTTAGTCTTTTTACATAGCTCTTTCCAATTTACATTATGCTTTTATATGTAGTTGTCCGTCAGTATCCTCAGGGGATTGGTTCAAGGACTACCCCCACTTC
Organism: Homo sapiens; assembly: GCF_000001405.40. Taxonomy (NCBI): domain Eukaryota; kingdom Metazoa; phylum Chordata; class Mammalia; order Primates; family Hominidae; genus Homo; species Homo sapiens. The sequence continues at coordinate 145,089,140 of NC_000001.11, read as the reverse complement.
CCTCAGGATACCAAAATCTGCAGATGCTCAAGTCCCTGATAAATAATGGTGTGGTATTTACGTATAACCTATGTACACACATCCTTCTGTATACTTTAAATCATCTCTAGATTACTTATAATACCTAATACAGTGTAAATGCTATGTAAATAGTTGTTATACTGCTTTTAAAATTTGTATTATTTTAAATTGTTGTATTGGTATTTTTATTGTTTTTTTTTTTTTCTTGAATATTTTCCATTCCCATTTGGTTGAATCTGCAGATATGGAACCTGCAGGTATGGGGAGGGCTGATGTACATTAATCTCTGGAAATTCTTTACAACCCTGGTCAGATTCATGGTCATAAACTGAAGCCTTTGGCCTCTAGCCTGTTAGCTTGTTGCTGGGATTGGAGCAGCGAAGGTGGTAAGGTGCAGGGCATGGTTACCAGGGTTGTGAATCTGGGTGGTATTTGGGTGAATACACATGACTGTATACAGTCCCAGCTATTGTTCTTTCCTTATTTAAGGCCCCTTTCCTTTACCCTCTCTATACCTTGAGTTTTTACAGTCTCCCAGAAAGCTTGAGATTGACAGTTCATGCAAATATTCCAGAAGAAATAGTCTGAAACAGGGTGGCACTGTATGCTGAGCAGTCACATTTTCTTTCTCGAGAACATTAGGGGTCTTGTCTTTTTTTTTTTTTTAATGTCTTAGGAGAACAGTGTGTGTGCACCACAGAGCTGGAAGCGAAATTTTGTAATTTCCATCTGGAGCATTTTGATAGAAAAAGTGCAGGCCTTTGCTTGGAACAGTTTAACCCTTTCAGGACCCTTCAAGAGCAGGAGATGAAATTTAAAACTGGAGTCGTATTGTGTATGTATATATACTTGGGAATGTTGATGGCTGGTATATAAACAAGCTCTTTCCCTTGGGAGGTCTGAGCAATTTTTCATTCATGCCAACAAAGGTCTTCTCCAAAGCTTCTTTCCTCACAGCTCCCATTCCCCAAGGGAGCTTTAAATATAATCAGTTAATCAGTTTTAAATATAATCAGTTAAATATAGTCAGTTTGAAAAGCTGCAGTAAAACATTTAGTTGGAATCCTCAAGCAGATGCTATCATTTTCCTGCAAGATGATTGAGGGCTCCTGTCCCTTGCTCAGGGGAAAAAACAGCAACAAAAAAAGCTACTCTGCAGCAGTAAGGTGAACTCCTGGAAGAAAATGAAACTCTTGGAAACTTTCAAGTACCATACTCTGCATCTTGCAATTGAAAGACCCTAGAGGAAGGTGGTAGGCAAGGAGCCAGGGGATGCAGTGTACTGTGCAAAGAAGCAGTAGTTGGAAACAGTGTTCATGAGGGGTCCTTAGCTTTTTCAATTTCAGGTGTTCTTGGGGAATGAGAACAGAAATTTCCTTTGAAGAAGCCTATCTGGTAATTGTGGCCACATCCGTTATGTATCATGCAGGTTGAAAACTTAGACAGGCTCTGATGATTTCTCTGCTATGAGGTGTCCAGAGATGGACCTGGCTGCAGTATGTAGGCGCCCTCACTATTAAAATCAGCAGGTACCCAGACCCTGACTCCCATTATTCACTCCAGATAAACTGGGCTACCCAGTGGCACCTGTAGAGTTGTCCTTCCAGAAGTGAGAATGCTTCATGGGAATTGTGCTTACCTTATACCCTTGACCTCTGACAGCTACATTAGGAAAATATGTCATATTGCAGGGAAAAAGCAGTTGATATGTAGATTTCTGGTAGTAATAAAATTAGCAGTTTTAACCTGGTGTCAGCTCCAGAATTGACTTTTTGGGGAATCTGGGAAAGTTGCCTTGGAAGTTGTTAGGTTTAAACATAAGTAATAACAGCACTTAAAATCATTTTAAAAAATTACAAAATTAACACCCTTACTGATTTTACAATAATGTGTAGGAACTCTCATATCTCCCTTACTCTCTGTAATTGTGGTAGAATACACAGGAGGTTGACCATCTTAACCATTCTAGAGTACAGTTCAGTAGCATTAAGTACATTCACATTGTTGTGCAGCCATCACTACCATCCATCTAAATGACTCTTTTCATCTTGCAAAACTGAAACTTTATACCCATTAAACAACAGCTCCCTATTCCCTCCTGCCCCTGTCTCTGGCAAGCACCATTGTACTTTGTCTCTATTTGATAACTCCAGATACTGCAGGTAAGTGGAATCATATTGTATATATTTTTTGTTACTGGCTTATTTCACTTCCTATAATGTCCTCAAAGTTCATCCATGTTGTAGCATATGTCCAAATTTCTTTCTTTTTTAAGGTTGAATAATATTTAATTGTATGTATATACCCCATTTTGTTTACCCATTCGTTCATTGATGAACACTTGGGTTGTTTCCACCTTTTGCCTATTTTGAATAATGCTGCTGTGAACATAGGTGTAACATAGGGGTGTTCTTTTTTCTTTTTTTTTTTTTTTTTTTCAGATGGGGTCTCACTCTGTCACCCAGGCTGGATTGCAGTGGCTTGATCACGGCTCACTGCAGCCTTGACCTCCTGGGCTCAAGTGATCCTCCCACCTCAGCCTCCGAAGTAGCTGGGGCTATAGGCACATGCCACCACACCCAGCTAGTTTTAAAATTTTTTGTAGAGATGAAGTCTCCCTACATTGCCCAGGCTGGTTATTTTTTTTTTAAAAGGTACACTATACCAAAGTTTTACAAGCCTGTATATACATTTCTATATAATCACTTGTCCTGATAAATTTTTTAAATTTAAGGTTTTAATATGTGCATTAGCTTGTATATTAGTATATTATTAATTATAAAGTTGTACACCTTTTAATAATTACATGAATTACTAAACTTTTACCATATTTTTAATAGCTTTATTGAGATTTAATTGACATTTAATAAATTGCACATATTTAAGGTATACAATTTGATAGGCTTTGACATATATAATACCCATGAAACCAGCACAATCAAGATAGTGAATGTAATCATTACCCCCAAAGTTTCTTCATTATAATGTATTAATAAACCAGTACTATTGGCCAGGCACAGTGGCTCATATCTGTAATTCCAGCACTTTGGGAGGCCAAGGTGGGAGGATTGCTTGAGCCCAGGAGTTCAAGACCAAACTGGGAAACATAGTGGGACCCCATCTTTGCAAGAAAAAAAAACAAAAAACAAAAACCTGGCTGGGCACGGTGGCTTACGCCTGTAATCCCAGGATTTTGGGAGGTGGGCAGATCACCTGAGGTCAGGAGTTTAAGACCAGCCTGGCCAATATGGTGAAACTCTGTCTCTACTAAAAATAAAAAAATTAGCCGGGTGTGGTGGCAGGCACCTGTAATCCCAGCTATACGGGAGGCTGAGGCACAAGAATCACTTGAACCTGGGAGGCAGAGGTTGCAATGAGCTGAGATCTCGCCATTGCACTGCAGCCTGGGCAACAAGAGCGAGACTCCATTTCAAAAAAAAATTATCTGGGTGTGATGGCACATACCTGTAGTCCTAGGCTCTCTTAGGATGATGAAGCAGGAGAATTGCTTGAGCCCAGGAGTTCGAGATTGCAGGGAGCCATGATTGATTGCACCATTGCAGTCTAGCCTAGGTGATAGAGCTAATAATTATGTTATAGAAGAGGCATTAACTTCAAGATAACTAAGTGAAAGCCTGGTATTAACAAATTTTAAAAAGTAACAAATAAATAATGATCTAAGCTACCCAGATTAGTTTCTGGAAAATTTGTTTAACCAAGACAATCTCCAAGGGAAGTCAGGCTAATAATTGTGTCTCAGCCATTACTCTGCTTTTAGGAGGGAAGGTACAGGATGGAGTGAGAAAGAAAAGAAAAAAAATCATGGCCATGTTAGGAGTGGACAAATGACAGTGTCTGTTTCCATATAGAGTTGGCTTGGCTGGGTGTGGTGGCTTACATCTGTAATCCCAGCACTTTGAGAGGCCGAGGCAGATGGATCACCTGAGGTCAGGAGTTCGAGACCAGCCTGGCCAACATGGCAAAACCTCATCTCTACAAAAATACAAAAATTAGCTGGGCGTGGTGGTGGGTGCCTGTAATCCCAGCTACTCAGGAGGCTGAGGGAGGAGAATCGCTTGAATCCAAGAGGCAGAGGTTGCAGTGAGCCGAGATCATGCCACTGCACTCTAGCCTGGGTGACAGAGCAAGCCTCCATCTCAAAAACAAAAAACAAGCAAATGAAAAAATAGATCTGGCCTGAACTAGTCCTAGGGCCTCATGCCTTTTTAGAAGGGGTCACAAATAAGCCAGATGTCAAGGAGAGGGGCTAGGGGCTCCCACTGGAGATCTACTCAGAATGTTCTTAATATGGCTTCTTTCTTCTAATGATTGACTCCCTATTGCCTGCTAAATACAGACCAACTTTCTAAGGTAGACATGAACTTCATTCTCAATCTGACTGCAACCTATTGTTTCGACCACATTTCTTATTTTGCTTTAAGAGGACTGGAAGCCTAACTTGACTGCTTACCATTCTTTAAACAGACTACTAGCTAACATTTGCTGTCTGTTGGATGTTTACCACTTACTAAGCATTATGCTAAATACTTTATATAGATTATTCCATAATCCTTACTCCAACTTTAGGAAAAAGATGTTACTAGTATCCCATTTTACTGATGAAAAAAGTGAGGTGTAGGACATTCAGTTATTTCTCCAGGGTCTGCAGCTGGTGAATAATGGAATAGGAACCTTGGTTGTCGCCAGAGTCTAAGTTCTACGTGTTGCTCATGAAATGCCCCTTTTTCGCTGCGCAGTCCCGTATCTTCACCTATTGAAATCTCATCCTTCTGCTGGGGGCAGTGGATCACCTGAGGTCGGGAGTTCGAGACCAGCCTGACCAACATGGTGAAACGCTGTCTCTACTTACAATGTAGAATTAGCTGAGGGTGGTGGCACTTGCCCGTAATCCCAGCTACTTGGGAGGCTGAGGCAGGAGAATGGCTGGAACCCAGGAGTTGGAGGTTGCTGTGAGCCGAGATCGTGCCCTTGCACTCCAGCCTGGGCAACAAGAGTGAAACTCCATCTCAAAAAAAAAAAAAAAAAAAGAAAAGAAAGAAAGAAATCTCACCTTTCTGGTAAAGCCCAACGTTTCTGGGATTCCTTCCTTAATTGCTCTGACCAGAAATAACCCTTCTCTCTATTTCACCCACATAGTGCTTCTCTTAATAGATCTCATATGGCATTGATCTCATACTGCCTTATGTTTGGAATATTTGTATTTCATTCTTTTTTCTTCTACCAGACTTCTGAATGTAGGAATGTTTTGAAGTTGTGTAGTGCAATGCAAAGAATACAGGCTCTGGAACCAGCCCTCAGTTGGAGTCTTGTCAGCATCACCTCCTTGCTGTGTGACCTTGCTGAAGTCACTCAACTTCTCTTCCAAGCCTCCTTTTCTGTGATGTGGAGATAATGAGACCTGCCTTGCTATTAATTGCAGTTGTGTTAAGAGTACTGGCTCAGTGTATGGCAAATATTAAATGCTAAATAAATAGCTTATTATAAGGTCCCTTCAGATAGGAAACGTGTCTGGAAGACTATTGTAGCTCAAATGGTGGCTCTCAGTAAACACTTACTGTCTGTAGTACTGAATGAATGGATGACCTAACTACTACAAATAATCTTTTAGAAATAGTTTAATTGTATCTTGACACTGTATCTTGCACAATGTCACCAGAGTGATTTTTAAAAACTCATTTTTTTTTTGCTAACATCGTAGCATAAAAGACTGTTAATATTAATCACTTCCCACTTACCCTGCTTACATTTTATACTGCCTTACAGCTGAACTGCCTCTAGTTTCCTTTCTTTATCATGTTGTGTCATGGTTTGTGCTGTATCCATGCTGTGCCCTCTCTTTGGAATGGGTCCTCTTCCTTGAACCTGTAAAACTTATTCAACCTTTAAAGCAGCTCAGATGCCACCCCTCCAGGAAGCCTTCCCTGCTCCCCTGTGCGGGATCCCAAGCAGGATTCCTCAGCATCTCCCCTTGCCTTCTGTACAGAGTTCATCAGTACGCTCTCAGCATCTCCTCTGCAGTGTCTTTGTACACTCTTGTATTATTGCACTCATCATATTACATTGCGATCTCTTCATTTACATCTCTTTGTTTACAACTCACTGAGCACCTTCAGGAAAGAATGGTCTTTTATTCATTTCTGCATGTCCAGCTCCTGACACATAGTAAGCACTACAATGTTTATAAGTTGAATTGAACTGTCTTCTGAGTTGAGTTTGGATGTGATAGTGCCATGATGGCACGCTTCTGCATTTCTCCCCGACTCCAGTAAGAAACCCATGCCCTATGTTAATATTATTTGAAATTTGATATAGATTAAACTTTGTGAATATATTTGCATTATACAAGGACAAGTACAAACTACATAGCCTTATGGATCCTCCCCCACGGGGGTGTGTTTCTCCTTAAATTTATTGCTGGCACAGCCCTCTTTAGAATCACTGCCCTCTTTAGAGTCACTGCCCTAGAGCTATACTTGCTTTGACCAAATTTCTTCAGTCACATCTCTCACCTTGGAAACCAAGAAAAATGTTAACACTGAAATTCCCGAGAGTTTAAAACAAACATAAGGCTTTCTGTAATTGAAGCAAAAACACATTGTACATTTGTCTAGGATTTATTCACCATTTTAATCAGGCACTAAAAGTCTAAGTTTGAGAAAGTTTGTCTGTCTTGACCTGGAGTTAAAACTGGGTTGACCTGAAAAAGGAACTGTTTTGTTCCTTTTTCAAAGCACGGTGTGGAGAGAGCTATTGCCTGGTTAGAAGCAGCTGTGAGATCTTTGGTAAATGGGGAAGGAGAGGTCCTAAGGAACAAGCAGGAAAATGGTCCCTTATGGTTTTTCAAGTCATTTGGTATGAAATACCCTTGACCTTATTTATACGTTGTGAATGAATGGTTCTGAACTTGAAATATGTATTCGTGAGGAAGGAAAAACAGTTGGGGCATGTTCCTCCATTTTGGTGTATATTTTAGGATATCATCCTTTAGGAAGAAGGCATATTCTCTTTGTTTTTTTTGTTTGTTTGTTTGTTTGTTTGTTTGTTTTTCTTAACCATATCTTCTAAATGCATTAATCAGTGGAGAGGTGACCCAGAAATCACTGTGAAAGTTGGGACCTTATCTTTGCTGTTTGAGCCCAGATCTTGCATTTAGAATCATGGCATGGTGGGCAGGATCTGAATACTCTCCCTGGAGAAGATGACCCTGGCAGCCATGGGTGGCTGGGTGGCCAGGGCTCCACAGGAGGACAAAGCACAGAAAACAAAGGGACTTAAGAGCATGAGCTGGCCATGACAAGCCATGCCATAAGCTTTAAGAAATATGTCTTGTTTCTGAAGAGTTGGCTGTTGCCAACTCTTCTCCAAACATTGAAATCCCTTAGAAATCTGCTTCCTTTCCCCATTAGATTTTGTGTGTGTGTGTGTTTATTATTTTGGTAGGCGGTGGAGATACTGCACCAGAGCTTGTCAGATGAGTAAGCTGCTCTTTGGGAAGACATCTTGACTGAGGTACCTATTCTGGAGCAACATTTCTTTTGGGCCAATACAGTACTTTGTTACGCGTTGAGCTACAGGATTCTACACAGGCAGAATGATCCTAAGGGAAAGTGCTGGATTGGGAGGCAGAAAGCTTGGGTTCTAGTTTAGCTTTGTCATTGGCTGCCATGATTTTGGAGATAACTCACCTAAGGTCTCAAAATCCCTAGTTTCCCTATAAAATCCCTGTAAGATGGGAACAACAATTCTTGGCCCTTATAATAATGATGGTGATGATGGTTAGCGTTTATCAAGTGCTTCTTATGTCTCAGCTCTGTTTTAGGTGCTTTACATATATGAACTCATGAATTTCTCAACAGTCCTGTGAGGTAGCTGCTATTATTATCCCCATTTTACAGATGACGCACAGTGAGGTTAAATAACTTGCTCTGAAGCACATGGCTAGTAAGTGATGAGGACAGATTATGAACCTAAGCTGACTTAACACTGGTGTGAAGCTGAAATGAAAGAATTCAGTTGAAACTATGAGATGCTGTACACACTCAGTTGATTGTCCTCATTTCCTAGTAACTTGGTACAATAAAGAATTAATGCAGTGTTTTAAATGTCTTTCTGTTACATACCTACTGTACCTCCCTATGCCTTGGTATTCTCATCTAAAATACTAGGGGTTAAACATTAGAAACTTTCTAAGGTCCTTCCAGCTTTCAGGGTTCATTATTTTTGCTTATTAATACGTTGAAGATCGGCCTGGCTGGGTGCCTCAAGCCTGTAATCCCAGCACTTTGGGAGGCCGAGGCAGGCGGATCACCTAAGGTCAGGAGTTCAAGACCAGCCTGGCCAACATGGTGAAACCCTGTCTCTATTAAAAATACAAAAGTTAGCTGGGCATGGTGGCGGGCGCCTGTAATTTATCTTAGCTACTTGGGAGCCTGAGGCAGGAGAATTGCTTGAACCTGGGATGCGGAGGTTGCAGTGAGCCCAGATCGCACCATTGCACTCCAGCCTAGGTGACAGAGCAAGACTCCGTCTCAAAAACAAACAACAAAAAAGATGTTGAAGATGATGATTTGTCCCTTTTAAGTAGACACACTTTGAAGTACAAAAACCATTATATTCTCTGAATGACATTCTTTCCACCCCCAGAACTTGCCATGCCTGCATGGCTGCTGCACACTTATGGAGGGTAGGCCCCAGGTGGTAGGTAGTACCAGAGTGGCAGCTGGCCTGGAGAGCAGTTGAAGTGATACTTGTTGAAGTATCACGATCTAGTAGGAAGATGTGCCTCACAGCTGGAGAAAAATCGAGGGGAGAGAGAGTTACTTGATGGGCCTACAGGTGAACTTGTGACTGGATCACTTTAATCAGGATGTTTTAATCAGGATAACTATTAAACTTTGGACTTCCAGTAAGCTCAGAGACTTCTAGAGTTAGAAGATTCCCTGCTGTAACTGGTTTGTATGGTTTTCCCCATCCATGTTGGTAGGTCAGAAATGGAATTTGTGTAACTCTTAGTATTACAGATATTTATGTTGTTGTGTGCAGTACTTAAATTTAAAAGAAAAAGGAAGTTGATTGATTGTCCTTAATGAAAATTAAAGAAATAAGGAAGTGGGAGGCTCGTAATCTCTGACATCTGGTCTGGGACAAACCTGGGGGAGGCAGTGTGGTTATGGAACTGGTATAGGGTTGATCTAGACATCTGGGTTGTTCGGGAAGTGACTTCAGGCTCTTTTAGGATGTGGAGTGGCCTCTTGCCTCTTACATTGCTCTTTATGTATTAGGCCTTTTGTCAACTAAGGATTTCTTTGAGGATTGTGATGAAGCATGCTGTAATGTGGAATTGAAATGTTTTCATGTTTATGTTTGTTTTCCTTTCGCCTAATGAATAGGCTAGTAATAGTCTGTTGTTTTAAATGAGTACTATTAATAATAATGACAGCTCATATTTTTATCATTACAGCATTTAAAAAATATCATTCATAGGGAGGAAGAAATGTAGGGTAATGGAGGACCAGCTATGTAATGTTGAAGATGTCATTCCACCTTTGGGATTCTCAGCTTCTCAGCTGGAAAGTGGAAAGATGGATTACTAGTTCCTAGCTTCATGATTTTTAGGACATATGAACAAAAAATGGCTATTGTTAAGTGAGTTGTCACATAGAGTCTAGATGTTGATTATTGTCCTGGGGGAAGGATAGAAACCAGAGAATAGATAGCACAGGTTCTTCCTACTCCCCTCTTCTACTTCTGGTTTAAGGTTTCATCTTTTTTTTTTTTTCTTTGTTTTCTTCTTAAAGGTTTCATCTTTAAATGACATTAATTAGGCTTTGTGTTTTTAGCCATTTTTAGAGTCCGTTGTGCTGTATCTCCTGATCTCTCTTTTTCAGTGATTTGTGGTTATGTAAGTTATCTCAGTTCTTTGCTGTCAGCAATTTTAAATCAAACATTGAAGCATTTTGGGTAGATGACGTGTTACTTTGATTAATGAGGTTCTTGATCTGGATATTTTAAGGCCAGTAACAACACAATATGGAAACACCTAATTCTCCTTAAAACTGCAATAGTGTTCTCACTGCCAAAGCTGAAACCGATTTGTGCTGGTTACTTCTTTCTAAGAGTGAATGTGTGCGTATGAGCTTTCTTTTGCTGTTTTGGCCAGGGAGTGGGACTGCCAGTCCAGAAAGGCCAGCTCTTCTGGATTCAGTAGCAAAAGAGTTAATCATTAAGCAGAGACAGAAACCTCCCAAGTTTCTAACCTTCTCTTGCGTTAAATCTCCTTACTCTTATTAGAAGAAAAGGCATATGCACACTTATGCATGCGCGTGTGCACGCACGCACACAAACACCATACACACAAATACTCTAACAAAACTTAATGTAAAATGATCTCATGTTTATGAGAGCTGGAATTACTTGGGAGGGATACTTGTGTTCTGCAGGCTTAGTGGGCACGATGTGAAAGCAAGGCTATTTGGCCTGTGGAGATTGAAGATAAGAGCGTGATATGTAATTGAGTAAGAATTTGAAAAATTATCCGATAACGTTAGGAGCAGCAAAGCAACTGCTTGTACTTTTTTATGCTTGAAACTATTTGGAGTAGGAGTGAGGAGCTAGCATTGTTTTCAGGGCATGGGAACCCCCTCCCCACCTCACTAGCCAAATATGTTTGCCTGGGCCGAGAGTGTCAGATCTCTGAGAGATCTTGACAGAGTATTTAAATACATTCTGCCCTCGGACAATTCTTCAGTGTTAATCATTTCAGGAAAAGGGCTGTCAGCTAACCTTTAAAATCCTTTCCAGAATAGTATACCACAGCCCACCTTTCCATCTTGTTCCAGTGACCCAATCTATAAATGGTCAGTTCCTTCATTTGCAGAACTTGAAATAGTTTAAAGAAGAGACTTGATGAATTGAACTCATGTTTTTGCTGCTGTGGCCACACCCTCTATACAGACATTTGCTTCATTTGGGTTCTCAGCAACTTGGGAAGGAGGAGGCTATTGATGAAACTTTCAAGGCGTTGGCTTATAGCTACTGGAGTGTTCTTCTTTCCTGTCCCCTCCCCTCCTCACTTCCTCCAGTGTTGGGACACTTTGTATTGAACAAGAAGATCATGAGCTAATTTCAACCTGGCAGCCATTTATTTAGCACCTACTGTATGTTGTCTTTTTTTTTTTTTTGAGGCAGAGTCTTGCTCTGTCACTCAGGCTGGAGTGCAGTGATGTTATCTTGGCTCACTGCAACCTCCGACTCCCGGATTCAAGTGATTCTCCTGCCTCAGCCTCCTGAGTAGCTGGGATTACAGGCACGTGCCACCACGCCTGGCTAATTTTTAAATTTTTAGTAGAGACAGGGTTTCACCATGTTGTTCAGGCTGGTCTCGAACTCCTGACCTCATGATCCGCCTGCCTCAGCCTCCCAAAGTGCTGGGATTATAGGCGAGAGCCACCGTACCTGGCCTATATGTTTTATACTATGCTAAGCTGTGGGCATAGAGAGATACAGAAAAAAGTTTCTGCCTTCAAGGAGCTGCAGTCTATTAGAAATGTCTTAGTCCGTTTTCTGTTGATTATAACACAATGCCTGAAACTGGGTAATTTGCAAAGAAACAATTTTTTTTTTCCGGTTCTGGAGGCTGGGAAGTCCAAGATTGAGGGCTGAATCTGGTGAGGGCCTTCTTGCTGATGGGAACTCTCCACAGAGTCCCAAGGTGGCGTAGGATATCACATAGAGAGGGAGCTGAGTGTGTAAACTTGCCAGCTCGGGTCCCTCTTCCTCTTCTTAAAAAGCCACTAGTTTCACTGCCAAGATAACCCATTAATCTATTAATCCATTCATGATGACATGCCTTCATGATCCAGTCACCTCTTGAAGGCCCCACCATGGGGATTAAGTTTCAACATGAGTTTTGGAGGGGACATTCAAACAATAGCAAGAGGGGTGATCGGATTACACAAGTACAGTGATAGGGTCATAGTAGAGAGATATCGAAGGCTCTGTGGATAAGGAATAGTCTAACAGTGAGTAATGCTGATGAGACTGGTTGATAGAGGAAGATGATGATGTTACCTAGTATTTACAGGGCACAAGGCAGTCAAAGTGCCTTGCCATACTTTATCTCATTTAACCTCAGAATTGTACAACACAGGGCAGGATGATATCCGGCCTTTTTTTTTTTCTTTTTTTTAATATTTTATTTTGAGATAATTATGCATTCACATGCAGTTGTAAGAAATAATGCAGAGAGATTGCACATACCTGTTACTTAGATTCCTCTGATGGTTAACATCTTGCAAAACTATAACACAGTATCATAATCAGGACCTTGACATTGATACAGTCAAAATTCTAAACAGTTCCATCACTGCAAGGATCACTCATGTTGTCCTTTTCTAGTCCTGCCCCTCCCAGTTCACTCTTTCATCTCACCCCACTTTAGTCCTTAGTCCTTAACTGCTGGCAACCACTAATCTCTTGTCCATGTTTATAATATTGTCATTTCAAGAATATTATAAAAACGGAACCATTAGCATGTAGCTTTTTAGGATTGGCCTTTTTTTTTCACTCAGCACAAGTGTCTGAAGACTCATTCAGGTTGTTGTGCATATCAATAGTGTATCCCTTTTTATTGCTGAGCAGTATTCTATGGTATGAATGTATGATGGTTCGGACATATGGGTTGTTTCCTATTTTAGGCTGTTATGAATGAAGCTGCTCTGAACATTCATTATAGATTTTTGTGTATACAGGTATTTTTTAGAAAATAGAGATAAGCCAGGCATGGTGATGTGTACCTATAGTCCCAGCTACTCTGGAGGCTGAGGCAGGAGAATCTCTTGAGCCCAGGGGTTCAAGATGAGCCTGGGCAACATTTTGGAGATCCTGTCTACAAAAAAAAAAAGATGGAGGTAGTTTTTTGTAATGGCAAGATTGTACATTAGAAGATAGAAAAGTAGGTTTTGCATCTTACTAGGGAAGATACATGTATATTTCTCTCCCTTTGGACTGATCATTTAAGTTGTTTCAATTTCCTTATCAAGAAACTGGCATAATATATGTTCTGCCTACATCCCAGGGTGGTTGTATAGATAAACTGAGATAATATATGGCCTCCTCCCAAGTAACTGGGATTATAGGTGCGTGCCACCACGCTGGGCCAATTTTTGTATTTTCAGTAGAGACGGGGTTTCACTGTGTTGGCCAGGCTGGTCTTGAACTCCTGACCTCAAGTGATCTTCCCACCTTGGCCTCCCAAAGTGCTGGGATTACAGGTGTGAGCCACCGTGCCCGGCCTCAGAGTAGTTCTTAAATTGCAATCTAGAGACAACTCTTTTAGGCCATCTTGCTTTTTCTAATAATTGATGTGTAGATGTTCCTTTTATATTCTGTTTACTCATTGTTGACGATTATAGGTTGCAATACCTGCTCCCAGATTTAGTTTATCATCTTACTTTTAATTGAATTATTTGATATATAAGAAATTCCAAGTCCAAGCATGGTGGCTAACACCTGCAATCCCAGCACTTTGGGAGGCCATGGTGGGAGGATCACTTGAGTCCAGGAGTTTGAGACCAGCTGAAGCAACATATTAAGACTCTGTCTCTACCAAAAATACAAATAAGTTAGCTGGGCATGGTGATGCACTCCTATAATCCCAGCTACTCAGGAGGCTGAGGTGGGAGGATCACTTGAGCTCTAGAGGCCAAGGCTGCAGTGAGCCGTGATCATGCCTCTGCACCCTAGTCTGGGTGACAGAAGGAGACCCTGTCTCAAAAAAAAAAAAAAAAAGAAAGAAATTCCAAATTTAATATAGTCAAATTTACTTTTTGTTAAAGAAATTAATTTTCTTTACTGTTTTGATTTATTTAAAAGACAAACACACACAATCATAAGGATATTCTTCTATATTTTCACCTACACATTTTGCCTTTCACATAACGTCTTGAATAAACAAGGAGTAAATTTTCGTGAACAGCGTGAGGTAGGGATCTAACTTTATTTTATATTCCATGTGGCTATATTTATTAAAGGGTTCATCTTTTTCCCCATTGATTTGTAATGTCTCATTTGTACATACATTAAGTTTATTATACATATTTGTGGGCAAGATGAGTTCTCCATCATGCTGTAGCGGTGCTGCCGCTGGATGTGCATCAGGGGTTGCTGATGAGGGAGTCAAATATTTTCCCCTTTGAGGTAGCAGCACTAGGCTGTCCCCACAGCTCCAACCAGAATAGCTCTGCTTTTATGTTCACGATATTGGGTGTCCCGCTAAGATTTTATTTGAATAACTTTTTAGATGGAACAATTTTAAAAGTTAAAAACTACCATTTTTAAACAAATTACATTTTGGATCGTTTTTTGAGATAGCAAGGGTTTCGTCTCTCATCTTGGGTTGGATGAAAAGTGTAAGACAACACAGAACTCAGAACCTAGCAGCGAGGGAAGTGCCTGTTTTTCAAAGGGAAAGGAATGTGTTATTTTGCAGTTGTCAGTAGTTCCAAATATATCAACTATTCCACAAAATAATGAGTATGTAGTTTCCGTGAGAGACTTAGAACTGTCTAGAGCCTAGTCCTTATTGTCTGTGATCATAGAAACCATGGAGAAAAAAAGCCTACCTATACGAAAGTAGTTAAAAAAAAAAATAACCCACAGCAATACAAGAAATGACATCAGCCAGCAGATGACTGAAAATGAGTGGTGTTGATAAGAACTTGAGGAATTTTGAGATGGGAGAGGTGTGGGCCAGAATGAATAAGACCTTGATTTATGGACTAGGATTTGGCTAAGTCGATAGTAGGAGGAAAGAACAGAGGCAGTGTGTCTTCCCTCAGTGGAGTTCCCACAGCCCCCACCGTGCTTACCGCTCCTGCATCACTTCCTACACCCTAATACAATGATGGTTTTATCCACCCTCACCCCCACCCCCACGCTCCTTCCCCCAGACTACACTCACTACCAGAAAGCTTGTGAGTTCTTTGAGGGTGGGCAGTGGGCAGCCTGTCATTTCAACATTCCCAGCCTCCTGCACCATGTTTGCATGTGGTAGGCACCCAATAAATGTGTGCTGAGTGAGGGAGTAGACTCTTGGGCTGGAGCAGAGGAGTTATAGACAGAGGAGTAAGATCGAACTGGATAGTTTTTGATGACCTTGAAGATCAGCCAGAGTCTGGCTTCATACTGGGGCAACAAAGAACAGTGGGGGCACTCTGAGTTGAAGAGTGATGAAGTGTGATGAAGTCATTTCAGAGGGACTCCCTGGTTGCTCTGAGTTGCCTGGCTGGGGGCAAGAGGCTTGTTCCTGCCCACACAGCATACCAGGCCTTGTGGTGGGTGCTGCAAACATGCTGTTAAATGTGATCAATTACTGGAGTCACCTGTGAGGGAATTGCGAGTCCCCATTTACTGAACAAGAAATTTGAGTCAGGCAGATGATCCGAGGTGATGGTGACCCATGATGGAATGGGGACTGCAGCTCAGGTCTGTCCAACTCTAAAGCCTGCTGGTTCTTTTATCTTGGATCTTATGTTTGACCACACTGTAATCAGGAGATACCACTAAGATGGGAAGATGAGCTGCCGAGATGGGTGTGGGGCCTAGGGGTGAAGTAAGAGTCAGGAATGCCTGAGGTTTTTAGTTTGGGAGACAGGGAGAACGATGGTGGCAATGGCAGAAATAGACATATGGAAGCCAGGAAGAGGTGCAGCAGTTGGTGAGAGAATGAGCATTATTTTAGATACCCTGAGTTTGAGATGACAGTTCCATTCAAGCAGGAATTTCATTAGGCAAGTGACAATGCCACCCCCATCCGCCTTTCATTAAATCTGTCATTTTCTTTTCTTCTAAATTGGGAATGTTGCAGAGAAACTGTGAAATAGATGACACCCCTCTTACGTGCCAAATACCTGACCTCCTTTTGCAGCTTCTTACCTTTCACTTTCAGAAATATTCTCCCTTGAAGGGGCTTCGTGTTTGTGTGCAGGAATTAATAGCATTTTCTATCCCTGTGCCCTGTAGGGAAAGAGCACAGCTAAACAAGGAGAGAGAAAACTGGAGTTCTGAGCTGCCTTGCTCCGAGTTTGGTTGGAGGCCCCTTATGAGGGTCAGCTGGGAATGAAAGAAAAGTCAAGTCAAGCCCTGCCAGCACCCTCCACCACCTGACCTCCCATGGGTGACTGAAGAGCCAGCTAATGAACAAGTTCTTTTAAAGGCAGCCTGGGGAGTGTGGGAGAGGCTGAGTTCAGCAAAACATGACTAGGTGGTGCTGGTGCTGTTTCGGGGTGTGGAGGCAGAAGTGGTTGATCTCCTTAATTTGAATAACTTTGGAATGGGGAGATGGTGCTTTGATAGAGGATTTGATTGGAGATTTTGATTGTAGGATATGTTGAAAGAGGGGATCAGGCTAAAGCCATTTATAGGAAATTATATTTCAGATATTGGCAGTTGAACTTAATGTATTCTATTCTCACTTCCAAAGGCTTTGAATTTTTAGTGTTATTTCTATTTTGAGGAGAGTGGCCTATGAGTACTTCTCATCCAATGTGTTCAATCCAAGGAGACTATAGGAGTTATTACTCTCCTCCTTTATAAATTCTTTCTGTGTAACAGAGATTACCCACAGTTGGCTTGAGAGTTTTACGCCACAGTTTGGTAGAAAAAAGACCACTCAGCTGGAGGTCAGAGGCTTGGGTACCAGTGGTAGCTCTGACCCTTGCCATCAACTATGTGGCCCTGGGTAAGTCTCTAACCTCTCCTGGCCTCAAGCCTCTTCAGATATAGGATGAACATATAATTCCTACATCTAGGAGTTGCTGTGTTGACTAAATGAAGTAATGCTTGTGTATCAGCTTTGCAAATTACATACCCCAAACAAATATATATTAAGATTTTATTTGCTGCAACAGAAGAAAGTGGACCATCTCTTGGTGTTTGTTTTGATGAGACTTGACCTATATAACACAGGCTCAAGTATGTTTGTTAAAGTGAATCACCTGTTGCTTTCTGGGCCATACTTGAAATGACGTGCCGTGTTACAGTGAACCCCTTTTGCACCGCCCCAAGTTCAGGTTGCCCTTACACAATTTGGGCGAGATAGATGAACACGCACCTTCCTCCTTCTTAGAAACAAAACAGTGACTTGGGTAGGGTAGACATTAGGAAAGTGACTTAGCTGGTAAATATGTGATTAATAATGGAGATTTGGCCTAAGCATGAGTGCGAGCCTCTGAATACGGATGGGTAAATGATAAATAGCAAGTCTGCCAAGTTGAGCACATTGGGGAACCTCTTGGGCTCTGTTCATGCTTGAAGTATGACTGTGCCAATACTGTACTCGCTATTTAACAAAATGAGGTCATACCAATCACACTATTTTGCACGTATTTGTTTACACATCTCTTGTCTGCTAAGCTATGAGCTCTTTGAGAGCAGGGACTGTTTCTGTTTATCGTTGTTTTCTAGCATCTAGCAGAGTGCTTAGCATATAATAAATGTGTATTGGATGAATGAATGAACGAATGAAATTCTTTGCATTTTTACTCGGTTAGAGAGATTTTTTGAAAGGCATATATGTGGGATTATTTGTGCTGTCATCTGCTAATTTCACAGATGTCTTCTCAACTGTAGACCTTCATATAAGGGAAAGACCTATTTACGCATAGTTGAGTTGCAGCTGCTGCTGCCCTGGCCTGATGGCACAGTGGTGAGGGCTGTCTCAATATCTGTCCCATG
This sequence comes from Homo sapiens, assembly GCF_000001405.40. Lineage (NCBI taxonomy): Eukaryota > Metazoa > Chordata > Mammalia > Primates > Hominidae > Homo > Homo sapiens. Next base: position 145,071,365 of record NC_000001.11, on the reverse strand, counting down.
TCTCTTTCATAGAATAATACCCTCCCTCAGCCCCTTTTCCCTGTATCTTCCTTTCAAGGGTTGCTGTGTAGTTAACTCTGCCTCAGGCAATTTATCTTATCTGTACTTTTCTCTTCCTCATTCCTCTTCTCTTTTCCAGTGCTTGTCCAGTAACCTCAAGGAAATCTGTTCCAACCCTTCTTTGCTGTTGGTGTATTCCTATTCATGAGTTAAATCCCAAACAAAACATACTCTAATCAGGGCAGTCGAACTTGAAAAGAGTCAGTGAGAAATCTGAAAGGAGGAAAAGCCTGGCCACGAGGCTCCAAGTGAAATGAAAGCCATAAACACCAGCTTCGTCAACCTTGAAAGCTTCTAAAAGTGCCCCTAAGCCTCCTTTTGAATCACTAAAAGTTTTCACTTACCTCCCTGTCTTTCTCAGATAAAATTTCCTCTTTCTCAGCCATGAGTCTTAAAAAACAAAGCAAAACAAAACACTTCACACCTGCTTCTTATTCAGTTTTACACTAGTGGAAAGAGAACGGGATTTAGAGTTGGAAGGCCAACGTGAGCGTCCTGCTGCCACTTAGTAGCTGTGTGACTCTGTATAAGCTTCTAGGCTTTCTGTGCCTCAATTTCTTCAACCGTTGACAATATGACCGTGTATCATCACATAATACACTATGATGTGAAGTTTATGTAGATGAAGAACTCTTTCAAGCTCACAAAGCACCAGATACATGTCAGATATTTCTAATGTTACACCAGTTTTTAATATCATGTTTCATTTCACATACGGTACTTGATATCTCAATTACATTAGAGGCTAAGACAGTTTTCTACCAGCATGAGAACTGAAACACGATAGCATGCCTTTTATGGCGAAATGTGTTTGAACTTCAAACAACAAATATATAAAACTTATTATGCAATACACCCTATCAGCAAATTAATTGAAGGCTGCCTCTAGATTGTTAGGTGTGGACGACAGGAACTTTATTTCCTACTTCTTTTGTACATGCCATTGCTGTTTAACAGTGTTGGGTTCATAACAGGTGATTAGACAGTCTTGTTGATAGTTTGGAGAACCATCTTAATCATGACCTAGAATCATTCTTATTTCACAGCAACCTGTGTCTTGACTAATGTTAAACTGACTAATTTGTTTTGAAGCTGAGAATGAGAAATTGGAGGTCCTTCTCATAGATCTGAGATTCCTTTTTATTCCCGAGTTGGATAAATTAGGGTAAACAAAATCAAATACTTGTAAAAATACTGTACAAAGGAATGACATATGCATGCTGGTTCCCTAGCAGGGTAATTCCATCAGCGCTTTAAAAAAAAAAAAAAAAAGATGACATTCCTTCTCAACCAGCCAAAGGAGCCATTTTCCAATCTCTTATCTTGTTGGGGTGTGTTAGAGAAATATACCAAGTGCAAGAACCTGTAAGCCTGGGGTTCATTAACCTGCTTAAAACCAGTTTTACTTCAAATAGGCGATCTTTAGTGTCAACCGTTGTACTTTTGTCTGCAGGGAACAACTCAAGTTTCGTCCTGTCCTCAGTAAGCAGATGAGAGGTAGGGTTGACGTTAGAAGCCAAGTTTTTGTGGAGCAATAAGGTAAAATTATGAAGGAAGCCTATAGAATTCCAGGAGAGTTTAAAGAAAACAGTAGAATACTTTCTTAGCAAGGGTATGGGTGGGCTTCTGAGTGGAGGAAGCAGGCTAGACCTTGGGATGTTCCAGTCCAAATTCTGTTTCGGAAGCTCCCTAAATGTATGCAGAGGTTGTGTAATTGTATTCATCACTGTTGAATGTATTATTGGTTTGATTTGGTTTCACTGCTCCTAAGTTCCTTTTGTCTTATCTTGCAAGCATATCACTGTGAGTACTTAAATCATTAACAACTCATTAAAACTCTTGACCATTTTCATTTTCTACCAAGCTGAAGCCTGGGTGTGGTGGAAACTTGTGCAGGCCTGCTTGGCTGTGCCGCAACTGAGCAGCTCCTAGCAGTTTGGCTGTCAAAAGGTCACTGAATAAACAAATTGATAGGAATGGCGGACATAATCTCTGCAGTTCCTTGAAAAGAAGGAAGGGGCTGCAGGATACAGGATAGTGAAGGATCCTTCTCTTCAACCTGAAAGACTCTTCAGCAATTAACACCTTGACTCTCTTTTTATGCAACACTTTTTTTTTGTCCTCTCAGAGACTCTATTTGTACTTGGTCTTTTCTTCTTTCAGGATTTCTATAGCTTCTTTTAGAGACTCAAAGTGCTTCCAGTTTTGTTACCTCATTTATTCTCTAGGGGCAGGAATTAAGGTCTTGATGGAGATGAAGTGGTACATCACTTACTGGGCTGTGGAGGCAGTCTACAACAGGCAGTTGCAGCAGTTCTTCTGGTTACATGTTGAGAGAGAGATATATATATACACATACACACACACACACACACACACACACACACACACACACACACACACACACACACATTTTACCTTATTTAGGATCTCCCAGAAGATAATTTTAACTATTTGTAATTTCTATATATTTTAAATAGCTGATTTATGCCTCATAAGTAAAGAAAAAAGGTTTCTCTGCTTTTGACTTGAATTGTTGAACTATTTGTCCCTTGGTAAACTGATCAGTTGCCGTGCAGATTGAGAGAAAGCCATTCAATCAATCAAAATGTTTCTACTGCATTGGCATGCTTTGTAATGGAAATGAAAATGACAGCATGTTTTTGTCAGTTTAAATGAATAGGTTTCCTTTAGATCGATGCTGAAGTTGGTATTATAGGTATCTAGCCTATGAATGCTAATAATTAATTACGGAAATGCCTCATGGAAGCACTTGAACTTACCCCTGCATCTTACAGATATATCTGCCTGTTGGTGAAGTGTATGCCAGCGTTGACATTTCTTGTGAGTACTGGCATGACCCATGACACAGCCTCTGTGGTACCAGAGGGCCCTACACTGTCTTCAGAGACATTCAGTTCAGTGCATTTTAAAAAATTCATTCATTCAATCACTAATTCATTCATGTACTCAACACATGATTATGTATGCCTACTATGTACCAGGCTCTGGTCTGGTGCTAGAGATAGAGTTATTAACAAGACTGAGGAAGTCCCTGCTTTCATGGAGCTGTATTTGTTTTTTTTTTTTTTTTTTTTTTTTTGAGACGGAGTCTCGCTCTGTCGCCCAGGCTGGAGTGCAGTGGTGCGATCTCGGCTCACTGCAACCTCCACCTCCCGGGTTCAAGCAATTCTCCTGCCTCAGCCTCCCAAGTAGCTGGGACTACAGGCGCCCGCCACCACGCTCGGCTAATTTTTGTATTTTTTAGTAGAGATGGGGTTTCACCATATTGGCCAGGCTGGTCTCAAACACTTGACCTCGTGATCCGCTTGCCTCGGCCTCTCAGAGTGCTGGGATTACAGGCGTGAGCCACCATACCCAGCCCAGAATGGTATTCTTAACGTATGGACTTAAAAGGAGCATTTGCAAGGAAGAGTGGCAGTGGCAGTATTGTATGGGGAGCTCTGATTCTCATTTATGCAAGATATGTAATGCCTTTCTAAAGAATAGTGTTGCTACTTACAGCTCGGGCTTGGAGATAAGACCCACTACTCTGCAGGTCCACTTGAACTTCTTTGTAAGCCCACTTGAACTAATCTGGAAGAGTTTCAAGCTTTGGTACCCTATTTGCCAACAGCTGGGTACAAAACCACCTATTGGGTATGATTTTAGGGCTATTGTCAAGGTCCCTGAAGGTGGATAGACTGAAGACATCTCTTCTACTGGTAGCTTTATCTCTTTAAAACATTCTTTTATTGTATCTCACTCAAAAGACTAGCTGTTTATTTATACTTTAGTATGAGATTCCATTTGTTTCTTTACAAGGTTTTGATAAGGGTCTAAGACTACTAGATGCCAGTTTAGTGAGGGAGGGCACTCTGGGGGAAGTAAGCAGGTATATGGGGCTAAAATCAAAAGGTTGAAGCACCTCCAGTTTGACCTACTTAACAATTTTGCTTAGCCTTGAACTCTTGGCTTCTCTGATAATTAGTTTTCTAATTTTTTTTTTTTTTTTTTTAGACAGAGTCTTGTTCTGTTGTCCAGGCTGGAGTGCAATGGCGTGATCTCAGCTCACTGCAACCTCTGCCTCCCAGGTTCAAATGATTTTTGTGCCTCAGCCACCCCGGTAGCTGGGATTACAAGCGTGTGTCACCATGCTCTTGTAATTTTTGTATTTTTAGTAGAGACAGAGGTTCGCCATGTTGGGCAGGCTGGTCTTGAACTCCCGGCCTCGAGCAATCCACCTGCCTCTGCCTCCCAAAGTGTCGGGAGTACAGATGTAAGTCATCATGCCCGGCCTCGTTTCCTAATTTTAAAAATGAAATTGTTGGAGTAGATCATCACAATCCCTTTTAGTTAAGTCTGCTCACTTGGTAGATTTGTACCTAACTGCCCAACTGCCCAGGCTTTGGTGTTTTTCCCCATTCTGTGCTTTGGTGAGGAGATCCTGCGTTTTCTTTCCGTTTCCTTTGCCAGAAAGAGCTCCCTGTGGCAACATAGAAAATATCAACTCACTGATTTCCCCAGAAAGGGAAGAGTCCACAGCTTCAGAATGGTATCTGCCCTGGTGTCTGCATTCTGGTCAGGCGGCTGCGTTCAGCGTCTGTGCTCCCGGGCTGGGGTGCTTATCTGTAGTAGCCAGACGGCCTGGGCGCTCACAGTAAGTTACGTTTACATAGTGGAGAGGTGAGCAAGCAGATAGTCTGAAGCAAGTAGAAAGAACACTCCAGTCAAGGTTTTCCAGAGGAAAGATTTTGAACCATCGTCAATTAAATAAAACAGAATCTTCTCAAGATCACCAGAAAATACATAGCCAGGGAGATCCCAAGTATTGTGGAACCAAGCTAATTATAGTTACCTCCTATTTGCTTAGCATTTTGTGCTTTTAAAAATGGGTCTTATTTCATATCTCATCTGATCTTAAATATCCTGTGAGCTAAGCAGGTCAGAAATTATCATTATTATTATTTTTTGAGACAGAGTCTCACTCTGTTGCCCAGGCTGGAGTACAGTGGCATGATCTTGGCTTACTGCAGCCTCCACCTCCTGGGTTCAAGTGATTCTCCTTCCTCAGCCTCCCAAGTAGCTGGGATTACAGGTGTGTGCCACCATGCCCGGCTAATGTTTGTATTTTTACTAGAGATGGGGTTTTGCCATGTTAGCCAGGCTGGTCTCGAACTGATCTCAGGTAATCCACCAGCCTCGGCCTCCCAAAGTGCTGGGATTACAGGCATAAGCCATCTCACCTGGCCAGCAGGTCAGAAATTAGTAATCCCATTTAAAATATGAGAAAACTGAAGCATTAGGTAGGCTAAGTGACATGGCCAAAGTCACACAGTTAATAGGGCAGGATCAGAATTTAGAATGCATGTTTTTTCTTTTAAAAACAACTTTATTCAGGTATAATTTATGTGCAATAAAATTCACTATTTGAAACCTATAGTTCAATGAGTTTTGACAAATGGTATATACTTGTGTAGCCACAATTATAATCAATAGGTTGAACATTTCTATCACCCCAAAAAGTCCCTTCACGGTCCTTGGCTTTAATCTTCCTCTTTCCTTCCCCAATTCCCCCTGTCTTTTGATGTCTAATGCAATGCTCTTTTCACTGTCCCACACTCGGACTTGACAGCCCTTCAGCCATATCCTTCTGGAGAGAGTCCTGGCTGGCAGCCAGCCTGCCTCATCATGTTGAGTTATGAGAGTGAATGGGAAGTTAGTGGGTTGCTTACTCCATTGTTAGTTCCTTCCTTCCCTTCTTTTACCAGCTCCAGGCTATAGAAAAATTATGTGGGTTCTCCTTCCCAGGAGAGCTTGAAAAACAGGACACCAGCTCACCTGTCTGCTCTTGCTTCCTGGTAGCCTGCTGCTGGGGAGGGGTGGGAGTGAGCAGGAGGTGGTGGGGTGGTGGACTAGGCGACCTCTAGAGGATGCTCTACTTCTGTATCGTCTGCTCAGTCTCGATCTCCTTAGAAACCAGCTAGCTCTCTGCTGCCTAGTTGCAGTTCTCCAAGGCTTTAAGCAGTCTGAATTCCATATCTGATGAATGAATCCCAAAGGTGTTGAAGATCCCAGTTCTGAAAAATGAGCAAACCCCAAGTTTTATAATTGAAACTTTCATAGCAGATCGGGTCCTAGACAGATCCCTCCCTCTGTAACTGAGTTAGGTTTTGAGGGGAGATATCCCCCATTATACTGTTCCTAAATCCTAGATTTTGACTGTAGTGTTCGGGACATTCCGGAGAGTCACATTGTTTACCCAGGTGCTGGACCAGAGTTGCTCCCCGGCGTTGCTGTGTGGCATCCAGCAAAGGCAGGTTGGGAGCCTGCTCCTTTTCATAGCCAGCTTTGCCTCCATACCAGCAAGATGGAAGATAGGTGCCTTCACTAAGCCCCTCAGGTGGCCACAGGATATGATCCAGAATGGTGGTCTCTACTTTTCTATTTGCTCCTATTTAGCCACCCAGTTTGGGAGTAGCCCTGTGTATTATGATTATCTCTTTCATTCATTTTGGGCTATTTGAGTTTTTAGGGCCCTTTCCTATCCGTTATCTCCTGTTCTCAATAAGTCTGATATCTTCTGTTAGAGTAAAAGCTCTATCTCCTCTGATCTAAGACAGCTGCAAGGACAGGACAGACTCAGATTTCTTCTCTGCAAAGGCTCCTGTTAAATCTTGGGCCCTATGGTATTGATTTTCTTCTAGTTATCTCTACAAATTTTTCTGGCTTTGCTGAAGGGGGAAAAAATCACCAGACTGCATGCTTGAGCTTCAGGTTTCTCCTTAGCTGGCAGCCTCAACCAGAAAAAAATTCTTTTTGAGAGCACTGAGCCTCAGGCACTGGTTTTGCCCTGTACTCCCCAGTGTCTAACTCTTAACAGCTGGTGGCCATCCCTGGCCTCCATCTTTACTTTGCTGCATACCTCAGCTTGATGAGTCCTTGATGTTGATTCCTTGACCTTACTGCCATCTTCTTTCCCCTGCAGGGGCCTCTTGAACTATGGGGAGCTTAGTAAACAGTGGGCTTCCTGTGTTTTGTCTACCAGCAAAGCTGGGTACCTGAATCCCCATGTGACAGTGCTGCATGGCTGACTCCAGTATTCTTCAGGAGACACAGTAGCAGGAACAGAGACTTAGTTGAAAGCCCCAAGTGTGTATATCTGAAGTGTTTGTACAAAGATGGGGGCAGAGAGCTGCTCATGTCTGCAAAGAGGGACAGTCCCACTCTTGCAGAGGTGACAGTCCACAGCAATGCTGTCTCTTCCATTTCTCATTGGGGTTAGGTTTCCAAAGGTCCATGAAGGTTTTATTCGTTTTCGTGCCCCAAGAGAGCTTTCCATAGTAATGAAAGAAATGTTAAGAACTGCAGGAAATGGGTAAGATTATAGATGGCCAAGGAAAGTGGCAAGGAACAAAAAAAGACAATGTATTTTAAAGGAAAACTTTTTGGAGCTATTTCATGGATGCTGCTGGTCACCTGGGGAAATCTTGGATTTATTTGACAGTTCCCATTTTCCACTTAGGCTTCATGTATACATGGGTTTGGGAGCTAGGAAGGGGAATAATACCCTCCCCAAAGAGCTGTGGCTGAGCTCCCAGTCCCCAGGACCAAATTGAGCTGTTGCAGCTGGGAAGCAGATTGGTGCAGCCCTCCCCAAAATGCTCACAGCCCTGTGGTTATTTCCTGTGTTTTTCCCCTTGTATATTCCTCTTTGCAGCTTGTATCTTCCCTTTCTACAGGAAATCTCAGCCGCCTAGCCCATGGGCCTGGTTGGGCTGCTGTCTCCTTCCTTTATTCTTCATAGCCCTTAATCACTTCTCATTAGTGGACTCCCTGGGAGGGAGGGAAGAAGGGTTTTGTTCTGATGCCGGCCTCCTGGAAGGGCTGTATCCCACCAAGACAGATGGCTGCCTAGCCTATTTTTAACTGTCTCTGGGGAAGAAGATTCCACAACCTATTTTGAAACCTGTTTCATTGATTGACAGCTTTCCAATTAGGAATTTCTTGCTGATACCTGACTTAAAATTTGACAGCTATAGTTGAAACTCATTTCCTTTTGTTTCTTTGAAATCATAGAGTTTGGGAAAGAGAGGGATTTTAATTAGAAGTCGTCTAGGCCTACCCCTAATGAAGAAAATAAGTTGAAGTTGAAACTGAAAATGCCTCCTCATCCTCTCATTGAGGATCCCATCAGTTTTGGGATCTGCCTTTGAAATCACACATTTGGGTACCATTCTGTAAGAATCAATTTAATTTTCAGGGGGAAAAAAGTGTTCTGGAGCTGGAAGTTTAGAACGCAAGTAAGTCGTTAATACGACTTACTCTATTTTGTTTGTAGTGAGAAAGTTAAATGGTGCTTATAGAATTACCTTGCCTCTATTGGCAGAGAGTAAAAATAAACTGAGCTCTCAATATACAAAGACTTCCCCAGTTCTTTTCCTTTCGCTCATATCAATGCCTGTCTTTAAAGAAAAAAAGAGGGTTATTTTTCTCTCCTCCATCAGTGGGATTCTCTGTATTTTAAATATCTTTTTTAAGACTAATGTCAGGTGACTCAAATTCCACTGAAGTCTCTCTTTTTAGTTGTCTTTCTGCCGCTGCAGACTTCTCTTGACATGAGACTCTGTGCTGCTTCTCTTGACAGACTGCATCTCGATGGCAGAACACTGGTAAGAAGCTAATGATGTTGGTTCCGTTTCAGTGTGTGGAATCTTGTTATGTGGTATAGAAGTCCAGCATTCTAGGCGAATAAACCGAAAGGTATTAGACTGACTATAAAGGGGTCTTGGGAAGGGATCTTACTCCTCTTTGATAGTTGGTACTTGTACCTTTTCTCAACACCTGCGACATTTTCTTTTTCCAGAGATAGCATCACATGTCAAGGTGGAACATCAGATGCTTGGATCAACCAATGAGTTGTATCCAGACCTGTGACCAAAACTGAGGTGGCATTTGGGATATCATTCACCTTTTGGTCTGTGCTTCAGGCCATGAGTAGTTAGTGTATAGCACATGTTCACAGGCATTAGCATCTCAGTCTTTTGAAATATGGCTAAAATTTAGTATTCCACCTGCACTTGATCTACTTGAGAAGTATTTAACAGGTCTATTTTATAAAATCCCAAGGCAGCCTTTTCTGCTACCTGCTTGGATTGGGCTGCATGAATATAAACTCATTTTGCTATCAGCCTGAGAAATAGGCAGGTATACTGGAAACACCTTCTTATCTGGGGCAATTGGACTAGTAATTGGTCAGTTAATTCCAAAAGTCAGTTAAAACAGAGAGTCTTTAAAAACGAAGACAAAACTGTTCTCAAGCATTTTATTTATTTTAATTTTTTTTTGAGACAGGGTCTCTCTATTATTGCCCCAGCTGGTCTCTAACTCCTGGGCTCAAGCCATCCTACAGTCTCAGCCTCCTGAGTAGCTGGGATTACAGGCACATGTCATCATCTAGCTAGCATTTTATTTTAACTTAAAAATATGTAAATGCCAGCCTGGCCAACATGGTGAAACCCCGTCTCTACTAAAAAAAAAAAAATACAAAAATTAGCTAGGTGGGTGGCAGGTGCCCGTAATCCCAGCTACTCGGGAGGCTGAGGCACGAGAATCTCTTGAACCCGGGAGGCGAAGGTTGCAGTGAGCCGAGATCACACCACTACACTCCAGTCTGGGCGACAGAGTGAGACCCTGTCTCAGAGGGGGGAAAAAAAAGTGAATGTACACATATTCACAAATCTTTTTATGTGGGCCAGGGCTTTTTCTTAAAGTGTGGATCTTTCAAGTAGAGTTCAGTTGACTTTCTTTCATAAATTATACACTTAACATTTGATCTGTGATTTCCAGTTTAAGTGAACCAAGTTCTTAAATACATTTGAGAAATGAAGGGCAGAATTCTTCCAGATTTTTAAGCTCCACCACTACAACCTTTTACTGTTGTCTTGCCCATATCTAATTCAGCAGCAATTTTTTTTAGCAACTTGCCTTCAAATTTCTTCCAAGCATTCAACCTCTTTTTCATAGAAATATCTTTTTTATACTCATATTTCACTTGTTTGTATTATATAATAATTTAATATGTAATTAAAATAACAAGTATACCTAGCGTGAACTAACTACTGACCCTGAAGCAGCCAACCTGGCTGGTGGGAGTAGATGTGAGTAATACACAACCAGCCTCCAGTGTGCTATGCAACTCAGCCAGTTTATTTTGAAGAGAAGTTGGTATGTCACATAAGCTGGCAAGTCAGTTAAGAAAGTATCACCCGTATGTTTCTCTCCTTTTTGCCTCTACTGATTGCTATGGGACTTTTATCTTAGCACCTGTTATCATAATTCCTCTATTAAACTATAAGCTTTTGGATGGCAGGGCCCTTTTCTTACTTATGTGTGTATCTCCAGTGTCTCCTGATATAGTGTCTGGCCTATAGTAGGTGCTCAGAAGTACTAACTAGACATATATATGTCTTAGTTCAGTGCTATATATTTGTTGGTGCCAAACAGCTCTTTATTGAATAGATGGATATATGTATGTATTACTGCACATAATGTACTCAAAATCCAAATGAGAACCTATAGAGTATCTATTTTTTAGGATTTTTGCCATACTGGTTCCTTGTGTTTGCATGAAAAACTGAAAATTGACTGTGGAGCTTTTAGGCTTGGGTTGGAACAATATGTATTTTAGAAAGATTACTCTCTTAATAATAACTACAACTCATTCTTAGAATAATAAAAATCATATCAGTACTAAGTAATATTTATCAACTGCTTACTGTGTGCCAGGCAGTATGCTAAGTGTGTATGTTATCTTAGTTCATATCTACAGCCCTGAAAGAAGACACAACAAGGCATGTTGTGTTATTATTTCCATTTATAGATGAGGTCTCTTTGGGAGCCAGCAAGGAGGTGGTACAAGGTCTAATCTTTGAACAGTTGAGAAATGGGTAGTTTGTTTTCATAGTGCTGCTTCTTATTTTCAAGGTTGAGGGCCCTTCTAGGCGAGGTGAAAGGAACCCTTAAATCTAGAGACTGCCTAGAGGGAGAAACTGACACTTACTTTTGGCTTTCTGGGAACCAGGGTAGGTCCTCTCTTAATTGAAGAGAATTAATAGGATCCTGTGGCTGGGCATTGGGCAGAGTGTTTGAATAGCTGCTGGCCATGGTAGGTAATGCCAAAGTGGCAGTGAAAACAAGCTACTGTGGGACATTAGACCCTGCCTGTCACTTTTCTTCCCAGGCCACTCACTTGTTGGAGGGCCCTTCTGAAACTCCTCTTGCTCTGTAGTCTGGATGCTTGTGAACAAGCTGCTTGCAGGTGCCGAAACAAACAGCAGTGTGGGTCTCAGGGCCTGGGCTTGGAAGCTGGGCAGAGGGTGGAAGGGCTCCATTTGGGAGCAGTGTTGATGGAAGTGATTTTTCTAGCTGAGGTGCGAGGTTGGTTCTGAGCTGAATTTAAGAGAAGGCTATGGTCTTTTGTCCTTCCACACTTTTGGGACCCAGCAGATACTACAAATGCAATCTTTACAAACCCACTCACTGCCAGAAATGAATCTAAAAAAGTGCTAGTCTGTGGGCCTCTTGGTCAGGAAGGTGACAGCAGTGGCAACAGCAGAAAAACCAATCAAACAAACAAAATGCCTGTGGGCTGGCAAACAGAATTTCTTTGCAAGGTTAATTCTGAATGTCAGACTCTTTCCTTTTTTGTAGGTTGGA